>NC_000015.10:62651874-63276874 GCF_000001405.40 Homo sapiens
TGTTTTAGAAGAAAGGGAAAATCAGAGTCTACTCTGATTTTTTTAAAATTCATTTTTTAAAGAAAAGTGTTCAAGTTTGTTATTTATTTTCCCCACACAGTGTGAAATTTGTATGTGGTTTGTGCTCTAGGATATTTTGGAATATAAAAAGAAACAGAGACCTCAGAAAATCCGGATGCTGGATGGATCTGTGAAGACAGTGATGGTGGATGATTCCAAGACTGTGGGGGAGCTCCTGGTCACTATTTGTAGCAGAATAGGTGAGCATTCATACACCTTCATTATGTCTTTTTGCTTAGTTTTTAATTACAGGCCTCTTCTTTTTTCCACCTGCATTTGATCTCTAGGCAACTTTGAATGTGTCTTAACACGCCGAGTTCTGCCTAATCCCCAGAGGGTGTGTCCATTCTCCCAACTTGCCAATCCATGAAACATTTGGACTTCTCACTAAGTCACAACGGAGGGCTTTCATTTCCCTCTCCAAAACAAGAAGATTTTCAAATGGAAAGTCATGTGTAATTCAGCCTTCTGCCCATTGCTGCCTTCTATTCTATATGAGCACTCTAGATGTTCACTATCTCCTTGAGTACTTACGATGACAGCCCACATGATTATTAGATAGTCTTTCTTCTTGTGGCTTCTGTTAGTCTCCCCAGAGAACAAGTCTGCCTCCTTTCTAATGAAGCCCTTCAAATATTTGAAGAAAATAGACTTACCTATCTTAGTTTTCTCTTCATGCAAAGGAAGCCTAGTTCCTTCAGACACTTCTTGTTTGACACTGTCTTGCCTTCTTCTGCATGACCTCCTCTGTGGCGGTGTTTCCCAAAAATTATTATAGATGAGAGAATTGAATGTGACATAAGTTCTACTATACGCGTGACTTCTTTGGGTACGATTTCACTACTACATTTTTAGGAAACCTTTATGAAAGGAATTACTTAGCACTGGAGATTCTGTATTGTAGTGACAATAACCCTGTGAAAATGTAGGAAGGTTTCAAAGACATTTTGGAAGAAAGAGGAAATCAGAGTCTGATTTTTAAAAATTCGTTTTTGAAAAAAAAGTGTTCAAGTTTGTTACCTGTTTTCCCCCACAGTGTGAATATGACTTAACTAGCTGAAGCTTCTTCATTTAATTTGATGTGGCCACCTCCCTGACCCTCATATTTGTAAGGCCGTTTCTGGTTCTTTGCCACCAGGAGCTCCTTGGAATATCACAGGCCTTAGGCTGGAAGAGGTTGACAGCAGTTTAATTATTTATAATTATAACCTAATTTCCAATGTTTAGGAATAACAAATTATGAAGAATACTCCTTAATCCAAGAAACTATTGAAGAAAAGAAAGAGGAAGGAACGGGCACACTCAAAAAAGACAGGACACTGTTACGAGATGAGAGGAAAATGGAGAAGTTGAAGGCCAAGCTGCACACAGATGATGACCGTAAGTGTTTGCAGAGGAAGCATGATACAGACACACAGGCTTTGCTAAGCCTCACTTCCCTCCCACCATCCATATGACCCAGGACAGGACTTTTGATTTTTGTTTTTAAAACTCTATTTTAAAAAAGTAGGCTGGGCTCAGTGGCTCACTTCTATAATCCCAGTATTTTGGGAGGCCAAGGCAGGTGTATTACCTGAGGTCAGGTTTGAGACCAGCCTGGCCAATATGGTGAAACCTCATCTCTACTAAAAACACACAAAAAATTAGCTGGGCTTGCTGGTGAATGCCTGTAGTCCCAGCTACTCAGGAGGCTCAGGCAGGAGAATCACTTGAACCTGGGAGGTGGAGGTTGCAGTGAGCTGAGGTCGCACCATTGCACTCCAGCCTGGGTGACAGAGTGAGACTCGGTCTCAAAAAATAAATAAATAAAAATTAAAAAAAAAAAAGTAATTGTAATACCATTTCACATCTAAAGAAATATCTTAATATCAGATATACAAATCATGTTCACATTTTCTTCATTATTGTCTAAAAATTTTTTTAATAGTGTGAACTGGGATCCAAATAAGGTTGAACAAGTTAATTAGTTAATTAATTTGTTTTACTAAGTGTCTTTCCATCTCTTTTTTTGACTAATACTAATGATGTATATTTATGGGATGCATTGTGATATATCTGTGTAGACACTGAAGAAGGATTCAGTCAAGCTAATTAACATATCCATCACCTCACCAATGTATCTTTTTTTCTGGTAAGATTGTTAAAAATCTATTATTAGCATTTTTGAAATATATAATACGTTATTATTAATTGTGGTCACCACTCAGTGTGATAGTGCATGTCTTTTTGCAGTTTTTGTGTATGTGAAGAAACCAGATTGTTAGCTGTACAGCATTTCATACAGTCTGGATTTTCTTCATTGCATACCTATGGTGTCATTTAACATGTTCCTCTGTCCCTTTTAATTCTTTAGATCTGGAGGCTTGAATAGATTTAAATGTTTGTGTTTATTATAATAAAGATGCTTTCTTCAGTGGTGATGTGCACTTCCATCAGGAAGTGTTTCTGGTTTTCTTTTTTGGGGGGATGTTTAACATCCATCAATGACCATTGCCTTAGACCCATTATTTCCTTAGGAGTTAAAAATAGTAATAGTTGGTTGCACGTGGTGGCTCGTGCCTGTAATTCTAGCACTTTGGGAGGCTGAGGCGGGTGGATCACTTGAGGTCAGGAGTTTGAGACCAGCCTGACCAACACGGTGAAACCCTATCTCTGCTTAAAAATACAAAAATTAGCTGGGTGTGGTGGCGCATGCCTGTAATCCCAACTATGCGGGAGACTGAGGCAGGAGAATCGCTTGAACCCGGGAGGTGGAGGTTGCAGTGAACTGAGATTGTGCCACTGCACTCCAGCCTGGGTGACAGAGCGTGACTCTGCCTCAAAAAAAAAAAAAAAAAAAAAAAAAAAAGTAACAGAATTCTGTTACTGGAAAGTCATTTTCTACAGCCACACAGTTAATATATGGAAAAGCCAGCACGTAACCCCATGTGTCCCTAAAGCCCATGCTGTTTGCACCTTGCTGCCTGACCCTCCACTGAAAGGGTCTTAATTTATTACCCAGTCCACCTAGACTTCCTGGCCTCTTTCCTCCTTTCATTGTATTTGTTCTTGTGGCTGTATCGGGATGACATCATTATTGCCATTGTGTTTATTGATCTTCTGTGAGGCTCTCATTTCCTCTCACCCTTTCTGTGTTTTTTTTTTCTTACTCCCTAATTTGATTTGCAGTTATATACTTCTTTTCAAGAGACTTTAGTAGAAAAATCCCAAGGATTTATTATTATGTGCAAAATACTCTCCCAGGTACTGTGGGAGATGTGGGAGACACGTTTTGTGTACTCAGGTTGCTTATAATCTAGAGACGCTGGTGATAAGGACTTAACCCACAATGTGTTTGAAGCCCAGAGAGGAGTGTTGGAGTGAGAGCTGTGAAAGTGTAGAGGGGAGTGGTCGAATCCTGTGCACATAGATGTGAGGACAGGGTTCTCAGAATGGCTGAGATTTAAGCTGGCCCATGGCACGGTTCTGCCAGCCCCCCTTTAGTGTTGTCTCCGCTACTCCCTCCATACTTTCATTTTCTTCCTCTTTTCTACTTGAGATCAGAGGTAACTTACTATGCTCATAGCCTCAAGATCACTTTATTAGGTGAGACTGGAGTATCTGCCCTCCACCCTGCCACCGGAGAGGCAGCATATTATACATTCATTGTAGCACATGTCACCGTGGGTTGGCTGGCACTGTCCCCTGCTCCACAGAGGGTGTACTGGGCCATGGGAATGCGTCAGTGGAGAGAACGTGTCACTCCCCGAAGCCTCTGATGCTTTTCCTTCCTCTTGTGTTTCAGGCATGGGAATTTTCTCCCTCATTTCCATTTTGGCTGGTCCTTTGGTAGATGTGAAATTATTTTGCAAAGCTTAAAAACCATAGTTCTAAAATAAGAAATAACTATAACTACTATAACTAAGTATCAGAGATACAGAAATCTGCATCACACTGCTCTTTTGGTAAATTCCCTTTAATTAACAGGAAAAATAAACACAGTTCTCTTATATGTCTTGTTGTGTTGCAGTAAATTGGCTGGATCACAGCCGAACATTCAGAGAACAAGGAGTAGATGAAAACGAAACGTTGCTGCTTAGACGGAAGTTCTTTTACTCTGATCAGAATGTAGATTCGAGAGACCCCGTGCAGCTGAACTTGCTTTATGTTCAGGTACAGTATTTACTGCTCAGACACTGAGGTTGGTGAGATTGCAGGAAGCTCCTGGCTGTATCTTGTGGCGAGCAGGAGGGCGGCGCTGGCTTCTGCCACATTTATGGCGTCGTTTCCAGCAGGCGCTGCTCGTGGGTCCCCGCATGTGTTTGGTTGTGGTGCAGGTTGATATTCTGGATGAGCAGCTGACCATCCGGAGTAGGGCCTCCCTATGGCTTCCCAGATTGTGTCCTGGTAGCCAACACTGTGTCCCTCTCTGCCGGGCTTTGAGGGACAGTTGTATTTCACTTAACTGGCTCACCATTTCAAGTGCACTAAAGGTTTCTTAGCTGGCATCTTAGAATGCAAGAGAATGTTGGTCAGAAATCAGGACTCTCATTAACTGGAAGATATCCTCTCAATAACCTTTCATGTCTTTACCCTTAACTAATTGTTAAAACTGACAAGTCATTTAACATATCTGAGTTGCGGTTTCCCAGTATGTAAGATGTGGATTGCACTAGATTGTCCCCAAGGTTTCTTGTGGCTCAAGGAAAACATCATCCATCTTTGTCCTCTCCTACCAGCTTCCTTTCTTCCTTTCCTTCCCTCCCTCCCTTTCCTCTCGTTATTTATCCATCTATCTGCCCATAGAAATAATGTAGGGGTTGGCAAACTACAGTCATGCCTTTTGCCTGTACTTGTCAATAAAGTTGTATTGGAACACAGCTTATGTATTCAAGTATTACATATTGATAAATCCCCTTGAGGGTTATGTAATTGTTACACATATCTTCTGTGGCTGTTCTCGCATTCTGGTGACAGAACTCAGTGACAGAGACTGTGTGGCCCAGGAGGTTTGAAATGTTTACTATTTGGCCTTTAGAGAAGTTTCCTGACCCCTGAGTTAGTGGACGGAAGGATGGCATGGAAAGAGGGCTGAGAGGAAAGAAGTGGGGAGGCCAAAAGGAGAGAGATAGCAGGGCAGTGAAAAGATGCTTGTTGGCTTAAGGCTTAGAGTGATAGCTTGGAGTGTCCATCTTAGGGTGATCTGGGGGTCATTTAGAGAAAGGAAAGGCTGAAAAGGTGGGGGGGGGAAGCAACAGCAGTGATGGATGGAGAAACTGGGAGGAGGAGGAGTTCAGACACAACAAGCTCCCCATTTTAGGATGCATTCGCTTGTCATTTCCCCTGCTGTCTTGAGTATTGAGTTCTTGTCTGTGTGTGTGTGTGCCTATCGCCTTTCTTTCTCTTCCTCTATTACATTGGTTTTTATCTGGGGATGGGGGTTGGGTTGATTTTACCTCTAGATATTTGATTAGCTAGCTTTGTGATTTAGGATTGTAAAAAGTACACTGTATTTGTCTTTTGGCCTCTTTGAAGCTGATCATTTCATATGAGTTTCCTTTGCCTCTTTTTATAATCACTTCTGCCTTTCTGGACTGTCATCAGACTTTGCTTTTGCTGTACTGGACACCTCTAATGTTTTCCATCTACAGGCCATTTTGGACAAAAGTTTGTTTTTCTTTTGCCTTAGTTTTCTCCCATGCGGTGATCATCCACTGTGTCCTGCACATGTCACCGTGGGTTGGCTGGCACTGTCCCCTGCTCCACAGAGGGTGTACTGGGCCATGGGAATGCGTCAGTGGAGAGAACGTGTCACTCCCCGAAGCCTCTGATGCTTTTCCTTCCTCTTGTGTTTCAGGCACGGGATGACATCCTGAATGGCTCTCACCCTGTCTCCTTCGAGAAAGCTTGTGAGTTTGGTGGATTTCAAGCCCAGATACAATTTGGACCTCATGTGGAACATAAACACAAACCTGGATTTTTAGAGTAAATGACATTTTGTTTCTCTTTTTTCTCTTTTCTCCTGTCTTCTTTCTCTTTCAGCTTTTTATTTTTGAGCTAGGTGTCTAAGATCATACCCTAATTTCAATCATTTGTGAGAATGCTAGCTTTTCTTCCATCGAGTAGATGACCAAATTTGCAGATTTTGGGGAAAGCAAGAGAAATTCAGAAGTTTCTTTTGCTGAATAGAAATTCAGTGATCTGTGTCCCCCTCCACCCCCTTTTTTTCCTTCTACTTCGTCTTAGTGAAGAGGAAAGTAAAAAAAAAAACCAAAAAAAAAACCGCTCCAGTAGGGCCAAGGTGTGAACGCCAGTGTGGGGGTTGTGGGGAGGACATGAGCTTTCCTGTAGGATGTGCCAGTCAGCATGAGATGTGTCCAGCAGGCCATTCTTGGTATTGTGCATTCATTGTATTGTTTCAAGTGTATTGCAGGGAGAGGATAACGGAGAGGCTTCTTTGGCCCTTGACCCCAGTTTCACTTTGGTGGAAAGTAGTTGGGACCAGAGTATGCCTTTGAGTAAGAAGAAAACTTAACTTTTCTTCTGGTGGCAGAGAATGCCTGGCCAATATGCTGTTTGGTCTATACTGAGTTGTTAACCCCCCAAAAAGCAAACCTCTGCCCTTGGGTTAGCGAATCCCAGGGAACCTTTACAAGGTGACGCCGTGTCCTGCAGTGTGCCACACATTGTGAGCCTGAGGCTGAGGACGGCTCTGAGCAGTTTCTACCACCTACTTAGTTCTGTATTCTCCAAATGAGTCATACTGCCGGGTGTTCCTCAGGGCCTGCTTTTACCCCACCAGTCTGGCTTCCTTCCTCAGGAACCTCGGGAAGCTTCCCCTTCTCTTCCGCCACCTATCGAAGGCCATGTGCACAAGTTCCTTTAGCAGTTTCCACGTTCCCACCTTCTAGCCTCACGGCTGGCCCCTCAGATACAACTGATGTCATCAGCCTGAGGATTATGGCCACGGATATTGAGGAATAAACACCAAGAGCTAGAGGGGCCTTGGAGGAAACAACATTTTGTTTCTGTTGCTAGAGTGACTGGTGACAAATAGAAAATGGAGGGAAGATTGATGAATTTTAAAAAATGGAAATAAAACGTTTACCTATTTTTAGGCATTTGTAGCTGTGAATCTATGTCTCCCTGGTAGGAAGGCGATCCGAATGTAGTCATTCACCGGGTTCCTATATTGATGATGATGCCACCATGGTCATTTTATTAGCTCCCTTTCTCCATAGCCCAGGGGCAACTAGTTCTCAGGACTCCCTGTGAATTGAGAACATAGTATTTTATTTGATAGATATGGAAGAAGCAGCAGAGAGAGAAGTGGCTTGTTCACACTTACTTAAAGAGGTTCTCCGCAAATAGCTTCTGACTTCTAACACCGGGTTCTCATTTTCAAAGGCATTCCTGCTTTCAGTGAAAGGCAAAGTTGCCCCTTTCACTGGTCTCCCACTATGCAGCAAAGGTACTTAAAACTGGGATTACAAGGTGCTTTGGTCTACTTCCTAGTATGATGGGTCGTACCAACCAAATCATCATGAATGTTACTGTACAGCTGACTGCCTGTGTCGAGATTACAAACTAACATCAAAGCATTGGTATTGGTCTTAAAATTAGGTCCTGCAGTTTGTGGTCCTATTGAATGCTCCACACTCACACTCCAGCAACAGTATTCTTCCCTTAATAATCTGAGACCACAAGAGTTAAGCAATTGCATTGAGTTTGTTTCTTTTTTTGTAAGATTATAATATCAAGTTTATGCCTGTAGTGGTACCTGTACCCTTATTCAGATTCCAAATTAAAATAAGGTGGTTTTGCCTGGTGGCAATTGTTTTTCCTTATGAATTTGATTTACTTTTTAATTAGGCCAAATTAGGTAATGAGGCATTTTTACTTAATGTAGATATTTAATTGGGTACATTATTGCTTATACCATGCAGGTAAAACTTCTTGAGGATATAAGTCCCTTCTTAATTAAAACAAAACAGCGAGGCCACATTTTGCTGATTTGCGAGTTGGATAGTCAGGTCCTGTTTTTACCTGGGCTGTCCCTGGTGACTGGCTGGGCTCTCTTTTGCAGCCTTTATATCTTTCCCAATCTAGCTTTCATATGTGTGATCTGCTTAAACAATTTAGGGTTTTAAAATAATAATGAGAAGGTTGGACTTGTGACAGTCATGCTGAAGATGCAACCCCCAGAAATTTCAGTTACGTAGTTTCTGAGGCAGGTACATAGGAATGTGAACAAGGGCATATCTTTTAATTTTTTGAAAATTTGCTCAGCATTTTTGCTCGAAGTTGCAATATGGACATTTTTATGAGATTCGCTTCGAACTTTCTTCAGACTCTCCAGTGATTTCTGGATTTGTTACTTTAGTGAAGGTACTCATTTAGAATAATGAAAATCATCAGAGCTTGAAAGATTTTCAGAGTTTTCAGGGATTTAAGGATGATTTAATATATCCATCTACTTTATTGATGGGGAGAATAAGTGCTAGAGAGAGACAGAGACAAGGCCCAGAACAGTCAAGTGTGGGGAGCCAGGAAAAAGCCAGTTCTCCTTAATTGAGTCTGATGTGCTTTATCTACATGACAGTTTTCCTCAGGTCACCTTCAAAGGGTCCTAAGAAGGGACATTTTATTGGTGCATGAAGTAAAAACAACACATAATCTAGTAATCAGGTATTTGCTTTATGCTTTTCTGTGTTGAGAAAATGCTTGCAGAAAATATGCCATGTGATGTGGAATTTTGTACAAATGTGTGGGGTTCATGTGAAATTTTGTTACCTATATGTGAGCCTGGTGTTTTTCTTTAACTCATTGAGAACTTGCAGATGTGTTTTATTGTGTCAGGTACAGGGAAGATACAAGGGAGATATTATATACTAATTCCTTGCTGTTTTTGAATCTACAGTCTATGTGGCAGATAAGTATATGAAATGGTTATTATGCAGAACCAAAACTTGGCTCTGATCATCTCAACAAAGTCCAACTTTTAAACTGTATTTTAAGTGCAGGATGGTCTATTCAGGAAGTAGACTATGGAGACTACTATGGATTGTTTCTAAAAAGGTGGGAAGAGTATCATGCAAGACGCAATGTTGATTAAAGAAATTGACAAAGTAGAAGGTCAATGTAAAGAAGAATTAACTCTTAAAACAGCCACAACAAAACATAATAATGACTAATTTCTAGACCTTTAAAAACACTGTGGATAACTTTAAGAAGTGGTCAGAGTAAAAGCCTTCTATATTTTATTGGAGAAGATGAGAGTTACTGGTAGACTTCAGCTCTTAAATCAAGTATACATGATAAAATTGAAGGTGACTCTAGGTGACAGATATAGAATGTTAGTACACTATTTTTTCAACATTGTGCCGTGTTTGGAATTTTTCATAAGAAAATTGTTGGGAAAAAAATTGAACATAGCCTAAGAGAATATAGATAGACTGCATATGGAAATAATGAAAGAAACCAGACTTCACAAGTTCTTTAATAAAGTTTTAATACTGGTCAAAACAAACAAGAAATAACCTGTATAGCTTTCAAGCCAGTAGGGGTAGGAGGGAAGAAATGCAGGTATGTTGACCATTAAAATAGGAGAAGTGCAGGGCGGCTTATGGAAACAAAGTGAAAAGAACGTATGGAATAAGATATGGTAAACACTTTTAAATATATTAGGCATCATACTGAATGTAAGTAAATGAAATGCAGCAATTAATAAACAGAGATTCTCATTGAATGGAAGTTTTTTGTAAGTCCAGGTCTATACTATCTCTAAAAGACACAATTTTAGACAAAGAGCAGAGAGAATGACAGAGAAAAGTTTAAATGCATTGAAACTGATAAACCAGGAAATTTCTACTTAAATCAAAAATGTAGCTGCTGGAGCAGCTACATTTGGTGTTACACAAAATAGACTGTAAGGCAAACAAAGCGTAAGTAGAGATAAAGAAGATTATAAAGACAGAAGGACTAATTTATCAGGAT
Organism: Homo sapiens; assembly: GCF_000001405.40. NCBI lineage: Eukaryota > Metazoa > Chordata > Mammalia > Primates > Hominidae > Homo > Homo sapiens. The sequence continues at coordinate 62,661,910 of NC_000015.10, forward strand.
ACTAAATAATTGTGAACCTGTATATGTGCCTAACACTGCCTTAAATGTATATAAAGGAAAAATAGACTGTATTGCAAAAATTTCAGATATGCAGTTTTAGTAAAGTAATTTAACATACTTCCCTCAGTGAATGATTAGTAGAACAAGATCAAAATAGAAGAAATAAGATATTTAAAAGAAAGTAATGAAATAGAAACCACAGAGAATCAATAAACCCAAAAGCTGGCTCTTTAAAAAACTTAATAAACCTTGGGTAAATTTGATCAAGAAAAACAAAAGCAGAAAAAGGCAAAATAAGGTTAAGGGATGTTAAAAAGCAGTTGAGAATGTGATAAACTAGGAAAATTTAGAAAAAATGGATAATTAGAAAATTGAAATAAATTTACAATCTTGAAAGAAATTGACTTATCAGTTTAAAATATACCAGTCAAAAAACAACAAACACTAGGCCCAGGTTATTTCAGAAAATAAAAAAGTAAAGCTCCTCTCCTTAATTTGAAACTAGCAGAACTGTAATACCAAAATGAATACAGACAATAGAAAGCTTTTAAATTGAATATAGATGTCTTCCTCACAAAAGTTGATCAAATATTAACTAAGTCCAACATGACATATGTGCGTGTGTAAGTGCAAATTATAACTAAATAGTGTTTCTTTAAAGGAGGCAAAATTCATTTATTTAACAAATAATTTGTTGAGTGCCTTCTACGGGGTAGACACTAGACACTGGAGATACAGCAGTGAAAGACACAGTCAAACATTTCTGCCCTCATGGAACTTAAATTCTAGTGCGGAAAGAAAGATGATAACTATTAAGTAAGTAAAATACATAATATATTCATGATGATGAATGCCAAGATAAAAAGGCAGAAAGGGGGAATAGGGAGTTGGTGTATTTTAGGGATTGAGAGAGTTTTTTTTTTTTTTTTTTGGAGACAGAGTCTTGCTCTGTCGCCCAGGCTGGAGTGCAGTGGCGTGATCTCGGCTCACTGCAAGCTCTGCCTCCCGGGTTCACTCCATTCTCCTGCCTCAGTCTCCCGAGTAACTGGGACTACAGGTGCCTGCCACCACGCCCGGCTAATTTTTTGTATTTTTAGTAGGGACGAGGTTTCACTGTGTTAGCCAGGATGGTCTCGATCTCCTGATCCTCCTGCCTCGGCCTCCCAAAGTGCTGGGATTACAGGCTTGAGCCACAGCGCCGGGCCTTGAGAGAGAATTTGACATTTTAGAATGGATTACCAAGAGACACGTTTTCACAGTAGAAAATTTGTTTATATAGTTTACCATGTGCGATTTTTTTTAAAAAGACTATATGATTGTCTTAATTACTGGAGAGAAAGAATTTCATAAAATAAAATAATCTTGATGACAAAAAGAAAAACTTCATGGCATGCCAGAAATTCATGAAAACCTTCTTAGTCTAAACAAGTATGATAATTAATAGTTTAATATTAATTCCCTTTAATGTCCAGAAGGATGCTTGCTCTCAGTGCTTCTTATCAACATGATACTAAATATCCTAATGAGTGCAATAAGGAAAGAAAAAGAGCTAAACCATATCAGGATTGAACAAACTGTCATTAGTTGCAGGTGATAGGATTATCTACATAGATAATCAGTCAGTCTATAGAGAACCTTACTAGAATTAACAAGACTTTTAAGTGTGGTCTTTAGAAAAAAAAAAATCAACATATAATAGCAAATAGTATTCCCATACAAATCAAAAAAGAGGAAATATAATTGAAAAAAGGGAGTTACCTTTTATAGTAGTTACAAAAAGTATAATTTACCTAGGAAGACAGCTGTCCAATGATCTCCAAGATCTCACCAATAAAATGATAAAAGTTTATTGAGGAGCATAAAAGGAAGTCTGAGTAAATGCTATGTTATTGCTATGTTAATGGGTAGGAAGACTTGTATCAGGTAAAGTACTTCTACCCAAACTTACAGATTCAGTTCAATTCCAGTCACTTACATAATAATGAGAAAACTTATTCTTAAAATGGACATCTCAATAAAGCTGTTAAAAATTAATATGAACTAGTCAAGGCTCAAGAATGGTAAAGACTAATTGAAGATATATGAAGGACTCATACAACTACCACAATTTTTTAGAAAGGTAAAGTAATTAAAACACTACATTAGTATCATAAGGTGATATAGTAATTCAAAAGATTGATAAATTTACCTTTATTAAAATTAGAGTATCTTATTAGGAAAAGACCTCATCAAGAATAAAGCTCCAAACTGGAAAAAGAAATTTGCATATTTGCAATGCATACTCCAAGATCAGATTAATATCCAGAAGATATTAAAAAAGAAAAAAAAAATCTAAGAAAAAGATCACCCAGGATAGCAGTATATACTTCAAAGAGAAGGAAATGTAGTTGACTTATAAAGACATGAAAAGATGTTTAACCTAATAAGTGATTCAGAAAATACAAAATCAAAAGGGACAGAGCATTTCATGTCTCTCAGATGGGCATACATTTAAATGTGTGAAGACAACCAAGGTTCTTTATAGAGGAAACAAGGTATTTCAGAATATGAATCTTTATATTTAAAAATATATACACAAAGAGAAACCGGATGTATTATTCTTTATAGACACAAGGAGATACAGGAAGATATTAAAATATCTGTGGAAACTAACTTCAAAAAAGTGGCAGCTGGGCGCGTTGGCCCACGCCTGTAATCCCAGCACTTTGGGAGGCCGAAGTGGGTGGATCACCTGAGGTTGGGAGTTCGAAACCAGCCTGACAAACATGGAGAAACCCTGTCTCTACTACAGATACAAAATTAGCTGGGCGTGATGGTGCATGCCTGTAATCCCAGCTACTCGGGAGGCTGAGGCACGAGAATCACTTGAACCTGGGAGGCGGAGGTTGCAGTGAGCTGAGATATGCATCATTGTACTCCAGCCTGGGCAACAAGAGGGAAACTGTCTCAAAAAAAAAAAAAAAAAAAAAGTGGCTACCTAATAAAGAAAGGATATGGGATTTCCACTAATTCTGTAATCTCTACTTTAATAACAGAAGAGAAGTAGCAGTCATAAAGCAGATATGACAACATGTCAATATGTATTTCTCCTTGGTGGTAGGTATATACTTTATAAGGCATATACTTTTCTATAATTTGAAATGTTTCACACTCAACTATTTTTGTTGTTGTTGTTGTTGTTGAGACAAGGTGTCACTCTGTCACCCAGGCTGGAGTGCAGTGGCGCCATCTTAGCCTCCACCTCTCTGGTGCAAGCAGTCCCCTCACCTCAGCCTCTCAAGTAGCTGGGACTTCAGGCATGCACCATCATGCCCAGCTAACTTTTGTATGGGGTCCTAGTTTGATGCCCAAGCTGGTCTCGAACTCCTGGGTTCAAGCGATCCACCCTCTTCAGCCTCCCAAAGTGCTGGGATTACAGACTTGAGACAGCACACCCAGCTCACTTAACATTTTTTTAAAAAAAGGTGGTTGCAGTAGTCTGGGCTTGAAGTGATAAAACTTATATTCACCAAAGTTGGATATTTAACACATGGCAAAGGCAAAAGTAATAGGCACTGGAGGCCAGACAGAAAGGTTCCATGAGTCTGCGTGTTACGTGAAGAAATTGTCCAAGGGCTGAGTGTGGGCAGGCAGGTCACAGGCTTAGGAAACCTCCCTCATCCTTGACTCTCACAGCCCCGCTTCCTGTTTGGGAATTCCTCGGAAGTATTTTACTGAGAAAACAAAGCAACCCAGGGTATGAATCTTTGTTGAGAAAGAATTCACAGTGGACTTGGAAATTTTCCCCCACAAACTCAAGATAATTCTACTGTCAACAAGCAAAGCTTTTGACCCAGTAGGAGGTCTTAAGCCAGTTTTTCACTTGGCCTCTGTTCAAACACATATTCCTCCTTTGGAGTTGGTCATCTGTGTGTGCTTTTGTCAGAATAATTTGGCCCTTGATTCTCTTCTTCACCACCATCCTCCCACTAAATTAAAAGTAAAGTGCAATAAAAAGCCACTTGCGTACTTCCTCCCAGTGAACTTTTGTCTTGTGTTTCTGACAGCCCGGAGCTCTCCTATCCTCTCAGTATTGGGAGGTAGTGACCATTCAATAGTGTCTGTATTGTTTCATCCTAGCTGTCTTCTGAGGTTGATGCCTGTCTCCCTAACTACTTTCAAACCAGGAACCGCTGAGGGTATCCAGCCCTGAGCTGTCTCTGAGTTCCTGGGCAGTGGCGTGTCCTTATATTAAAGGACATTTGGATTGGTTCAGGATGACAGAACTGCTGTGTGACCAAGATAGGTCTTCAAATCCAGTTCTTAGTTTCTCCCATGCTGCTGTGGTTTGAATGTGTTCTCTCCAAAATTTGGGTGTTGTCAGTGTGATAGCGCTAAGAGGTGGGGCCTCAAGACATGATTAGGTCATGAGGGCTTTTCCCTCATGACTGGGATTAAGGCCCTTAGAAAAGAGGCTTCACGCAGCATTCACCTTGCTTGGTCTTCTGCTCCTTTGCCTTGTGAGGACACAGCCTTTCTCTCCTCTCCAGAGCATGCCACCCATACCAGACAGCTGAACCTGCCAGTGCCTTGACCTTGGACTTCCCAGCCTCCAGAACTGTGCAGAAATAAATTTTCTGTTCTTTATAATTGAATTATAAATTATAGAATTAAGTATAATTGAATATAATTAAAAGACCGGTCATTACCCAGTCTGTGGTATTCTTTTGCAGCAACACAAACTGACTAACAAGCTGTTTTCTGTTTCCACTTTTTCTTGCCACTCTAGGCGTTTCCCAGCTCACTCAGTGCTTCCCTCCACCTGTGTTATCACCTCACTTAACCAGAACTTCAGAACTTAACTGCTACACTCAGTTGCAGACATTTTGACCTTTGAGTCTGGATTCAAATCCAAGTGTGTTTGAATCTGTAATTTGAGCTTTCAGCCCACTGTGTCAGTGGTTCTCCAACTTCATCTGATCAGAATTATCTAAAGGGCTTGTTACAAGATGCCGGGCCTCACCCCCAGAGCCTCTTATCCAGCAGGTGTGGGATGAAGCCTGAACACTGGCATTTCTTTTTCTTTTTCTTTTTTGAGATGGAGTCTCGCTCTGTCGCCCAGGCTGGAGTGCAGTGGCATGATCTCGGCTCACTGCAAGCTCCGCCTCCCGGATTCAGGCCGTTCTCCTGCCTCAGCCTCCCGAGTAGCTGGGACTACAGGCGCCCACCACCACGCCCGGCTAATTTTTTGTATTTTTTAGTAGAGACGGGGTTTCACCATGTTAGCCAGGATGGTCTCGATCTCCTGACCTAGTGATCCGCCCGCCTTGGCCTCCCAAAGTGCTGGGATTACAGGCGTGAGCCACCGTGCCTGGCGAACACTGGCATTTCTGTCACATTCCCAGGTGGATGCTGCTGGTCCTGGGGCCACACTCTGAGAAGCTTATGTGATACCAGATTTGACATGTTGTTGTTAATCATTTGGTGATTCAACAACACAGTTGGAGTCAGGATCCTGGGTGTTCCAGCATCCTTTGGGTGATGCTGTCCCTATTGTACCTCCACCATCCCTCCCCTCTGTTCCTCTACCCTGTGCTGAGTGGATACTCTGCTGCTTTGTTTGTATGTTCATGTGGATCCCCTCCGCTCTCACAAATGAGGCGACATCCCTTGTTTTCAATTCGTATGAGCGATAACACTCATAGGTTGTAAGCCTCTCCTTTTCAAGTGATAAAAACCAACTTAGAGAAACGGTGACTTCCCTGTGGTCATGCAGTGACTTGATGGCAGCCCTGGGACAGATAAGAGGCAGTTCACATTTCTCCAAATCATTGCTGCTTCCCTGTGTGCTTGTAACTTACGGTCAGACTAGGAAACATCTTTGGAACTTCTCTTTTGGAATTACTTGTAGAGGCAGCTTAAATTTTACATAAGAAAATGAGGTTCGATTATGTACACACAGTGAAATAATATTTAGCCTTAACAGTGAAGATACTGCCATTTGTGACAACATGGATGGACCTAGAGGACATTATTATGTCCTCTGAGTGAAATAAGCCACACAGAGAAATGAAAATACTGTGTGATCTCACTTATGTGGAACCTTAAAACATAACAAAGAACTCAAATACATAGAAACGGTAGGAAAGTGGTTACTGAGGGTGGGGAAATGGGGAGATAGTGGTCAAAGGGTACACAGGCTCAGTTACATAGCATAAATAAGTCTAGAGGCCTAATGTTCCTTATGTACAGTGTGAGGGCTATAGTTGATACTATTGTATACTAGAAATTTGCAAAGAGTAAATTTTAGGTAATTTTACAAAGGAAATTTACAAAGAGTAAATTTTACCACACACATAGAAACTGAGATGATGGTTACATTAATTTGCTTGACTGTAGAAATTCCTTCACTATATATTATATGAAAACATCACGTTGTATTCTTTGAATATATACAATAAAATAACAAAATTGCAACTCATCCTTCAAATAGTAGAAAATGAAGTTTTGGTGACATCTGTGTTTGAATTCAGATCCTGCTCCCCTAAATGTGTTAAATTCCCCTTCCCTGATTCCACTGGCTTCTGGGCATTTCTATAAAACTCAGTGGCCACCACCTGGTCTTCATTGTCATATTCTGATTATTATTTTATTCCACAGGGTCTGAAATACTGATCACGTGGGATGTTGTTTGCCTACAGGGTAACTTGGAGGGGTCAGGGTGCGTAGTGGCCCAGAGCATGGTCCCCAGTGCCCACGGATGAGACGGCGTGTGTGCTGTGACCCTGGGCAACTTAGCATCGCTGAGCCTCAGAGTCAGTGTGTAGAATTATCTAAAGGGCTTGTTACAAGATGCCGGCTTCCCACGGCTTTTGTCAGTACTCAGTTAATCTGCTGGTGCTTGTAAAGCACCTGAAACAGGGTTTGGCCTTCAGAAAATGGCAGCTGTTTTAATTGTAGAAACTCTCTCTCAACCTGGTTTGGACTATTAGTTGGATAATCCAAAAAGTCATTTAAAATGTAGAATCATAACAGGTGACATGTACCACTTGAAACCCATTATTCTAACTTTGAACTTACACATTTGTTGCTACTGTTTTGATGTAGGGCCAAGGTTTTTTCTTGTGTGCATCTCCTGATTGGATTTCTGCAGTGTCTTGCATGAACCATGCATAATGCATCATCTGTGAAGGAATTTAAAGACAACCATGAAGCAATCTGAGGACAGAATATCTTTAGATTTCCATGATTTTTTTCCTTTTCAGTATTTGACAGCTATCTATATGTCATTTGATACATTTTACAACTATTACCCTTAGGAAGAATGCAGTAGCTCAATTTTTATACTATTTCAGCAGCTCATGGGCTATGTCAGTGTATCATATAATCATGTGCTCTCCAGCCAGCTGCAACAAATTGGAGAACAAATACAGTGGACTTGACCAGAGCAGAAGTCAGGGTTTGTGAGAGAGGAGTCTGTTGGCTGCGAACTTTCAACCTCTCATGGATCTTACTGAGTCTATTAGAGATTAGTGTACTAACTTTACTGGAATAGAGGATCTGCTATTATGACTGCATTCAGAAAGGGCCATGCTTAAAAGGCTGGCAGTAGGGTTTGGCGGAGAAGTGAGTTCTCAATGCACAGTTTGTAGATGGCTGCCCTTTTAAGGTGAGAACAATTTAAGGAGACAGTGGGAGGGATTTTGCTTGACCAGAACTTGCTTAATTAGGAAAATTTCCAATCAACTTTGATAGTCTGACCCATTTTTTCTCTGACAAGGCTGACAGATTGCACTTGTATACATGTCCCAGATGTTAGGAACCTTCCAGACTCAGGTTTGGTAATCAAAACAACAACTGAGCTGGAACTACTGCGCTGCTGGCTGGCAGGCCTTGATGACACCCTGCCTGCTCCGTGCTGACATGGCACCCACACACGGCTGATTTACTGGGGAAAATACATGCCACACACATGCACACACTATTCATATCTTAAAATGGTTTTTAAACTCCCCACAAACCGATTCTTGAGACCTCAGGGGTAACACCTCTAGTGCACCTTCTGATGTTGGTTTTAGTAACTCCTGAAGACTGCATAGGAGGCAGATTCGGATGGGCTGGTTTGGCGGAGTTTGAAAGAAGGGCGCTTGCTGCAGTACAGGACTTTCTTGCCAGTGGTGGTCAGCATATTCTACCCCTGCTGGTCCCCTGGACACCACCATCTGGTATTCTTCTAGTGACAGCCATTGCTCTGAGAGGGCTTGACATGGAGCCCTTTTTGGGTGCTTTTGTTAACCTTAACCACGTCTCTGTTGCTGATGGAGGAGCCAATGCCTAGAGGCTGGCAGCAACGGTTCTCTCATGATGCCACTTCCTTATTTTAAATGGGCCCCTGGAGAAAGCCTGAAGCAGCTGTGTGTTCAGGTGGACCCACTTTTGTTCTGGGAGGTCAGAGGCTCTCTGCTACTTACTCACAAGTCCTGTGCCTTCAGCTAAGTCTTTACCTCTCTGAAACTCAGCTTCCTCTTTTGTGATGTTGGTGCCGTCCAATTCTCTCTGAATCATTCATTTTTGCCCATGGAGTTGCTTAATGATAATTTTAATATCTAAACTGCTGCAGATTAGATATTTCTTAGATCCCTCCTTCTGATGAACTTGGAATCTCTCTTTTTTTCTTATTAGTGAAATCATACAACTGTTCCTTTGTGACTGCCTTCTTTCCCTTAGCACAGTGTTTCCATGTTGTAACATATTTCAGTACTTCCTTTAGATCCAAATGATGTTCCATTGTATGGAGAAACCACATTTTATCCATTAGTTGATGGACTTTTGAGTTATTATCATCTTTTGGCTATCATTAATAATGCTGCTGTGAACGTTTGTGTACAAGTTTTTGTGTGGGAGTGTTCTCATTTTTTTCTGGGCATATGTCAAGGAGCAGAATTGCTGTATAATATTTTAAGGAACTACCAAACTTTTTTACAGCAGCTGTACCATTGTACATTCCCGCCAGCAGTGTATGAGGGTTCCAGTTTCTCTATGCCTTTGTCAACACTTGCTGTTGTCCATCTTTTTTATTGTAGCCATCCTCGCGGGTATGTATTGGTATCACATTGTGGTTTTTCTTTGCATTTCCCTGGTGGCTAATAATGTTGAACATGCTTTCATGTGCCTATTGGCCATTTGTATCTCTTCTTTGGAGAAATGACTGTTCATGTCCTCTGCCCATTTTTAATTGGGTGTTTGTCTTTTCATTATCAGTTAAAGGTTTTTTATATATTCTGTATATATTGTAATTTCCTCATACATAATTTGCCAATATTTTCCCCCATTCTATGGATTGTATTTTCGCTTTCTTGATGGTGGTATCTGCAATTTAAAAGTTTATAATTTTGAAATAGTCCATTTTATTTTTTTTCTTTTACTACATGTGCTTTTGGTATTGTATCTAAAAACTCTTTGCCTAAATCAAGTTTGTAAAGATTTACTCCTGTATTTTCTTCTGAGAGTTTTATAGATTTAGCTATTACATTTAGGTCTGTCATAGATTTTGAGTTAATTCTAGTGTATGGTGTGAAGTAGGGGGTCCAATTTCTGTCTTTTGCATGTGAACATCCTGTTGTCCTAGCACCAGTTATTTAAAAAAGTATTCTTTCCCCACTGAATTGTCTTGGAACCCTTGTTGAAAATCAGTTGACTGTAAAGGTGAGGGTTAATTTCTGGACTCTCAATTCTATTCTATTGACCTGTGTATCTGTTCTTACATCATTACTGCACTGTCTTTGTTACTATGGCTTTGTAGTAAATATATTTCTTGTATCTCTTTTAATTTATTATTATGTCCTCCTTTTCACCACTACTACCAAACTATTTATTTTTGAAGAAACTAAGTTATTTTTATAGAATTTCTTGTGTTTGGGTTTGGCTAATTGTATCCTGATGGTATCATTGAACATGCTCCCCTATTCTTCTTTTTGTAAACTGTTATTTAGATCTAGGGGCTCAATTAAATTCAGTTTCAATTATGTATTTACTTATTCTTTATTGCCAAGAATACTTCCTAGGTGGTGCTGTATACTTCATTTTGTATCAGTTGGGAGGCATATATTATCTGGTTATTCTGCTTTGATTAATATTAAAATTGATCATTGGGTTTAGATGTTATCAAATCCATCAATCTATTAAAAAGTTCCCGATCAAGTTGTTATTTTTTTGTCTTATAGCCGTTGAAATGTGCTTTGATCTATCATTTATTTCAGTAAGAGTTGTATAATGATGATTTTGGACTTCTTTTATTTTTTCTACATTTATTAGCTGTGATTCTTGCCCTCATCAACATTTAGAAACATCAGAATAAATACTTGTTTCTTTCTCCTCATTTACAGTTTTCAGTATGAGTTGGGACCTTAGCAGTCTCTTAAGGTGACCAATGATTTTTTAAAAAAATCTTTGTAGGTATGAAATATCTGTGCTTTAACTTACTGTGGTCATCCTTTTTCTGATGCTCAAATTGCCCCATCACATGGTATTAATTATATGATGTCTGGGATTTGCTTCGGAATAATCCAGGGGAGGTCAGTGGGATGGGGAAATAGATGAGTCATGATTGGCCATGAGTTGATAACTCTCGAGGCTGGATGGATGGGTTTATTATTTTGTTCTCTCTTTTTCAATATAAAGTTTTAAATCATCCAATTTTTGGCTAATGGGAATTCACTGATACTGGCTCCAGTATTATCTTGGTAGCTTCCTTGGTTCAAGCCACAAGAAGTCCCAGGAACATTTTATACATTTCCTGCCTCAGACCAAGAGTCAGTGATTTATCTGAGACTCACTGGTTCCTTTTAGTGGAAATGGTATTTAGAACACCACCTGGCCTAGGCACCGGGGTTGGGGGGTGGTGTCGGGGGGTTGCCACCAGGTTGTGCTTGTTCCTGGCCTTTAAACTGGACATAGCTAGAAATTGTTTTTCAGGAAAAGAAAAATGAATCAGGTACTCAGGCCAGTATTTCTAGTTCAAATAAAAGATGCAGAATGTTTAGCCAAGTCTTTTTGCATTTTGTTTATTTTTATCTATTTTATGCTGAAAAGCTTGGTTCCTAACAGCAACCATAATTACTCATTTACTTTATCCTAATTATATGTAACATCCTACTTATATATAATGTAATATCCTAATTTAATTGTGTGTGTGTGTGTGTGTGTGTGTGTCTGTGTATAGACAGGAGGGAAAGTGGATGTTAATTTTAAATACTAATATTTTTACTAACAAGTCTACTATGGCTTATTTTGCCCATAATATCTTACAAGGGATACACAGTCAAAAGACTGTTTTGCAGTTACTTGACATAATTATTCTTCCTGTAGTTATGCTGTCAGCTTGATAGACGGTTTTAGTTTGCTTTAGATTTTTAGATGTTGCTTTTTTTTTTTTTTTTTTGCAATTTCATGTGGTTCTAAAGTGAAAACTACAATAAAAGAAATAGGCAAGTTTAGTTTCCATACTTGTTCCCTTCTCCTTGTTTTTCGCCTCTTCCATGGAGAACCATTTTTATTAGTACTAGGTTTATCTTTGTATTATTTTTTAAAAATACGTAGACAATAGAAAATAGTGTTTTTAAAATAAATATTTCCTTTGTTTCTTACAAAAGATAGCATACTATATACTCTTGTGCTCTTTTTTTTTTTTTTCACTTTACAATAGATCCTGGAATTTCTTTTTTCTTTAAATATGTTAGTTTGACCTTTTCTATCATACTAGTTTTATGTCCGTGCCCTTATTCAAGTGCATCGTAGGATATAGCAGTCTGTTATTAATTACTCTATAAAATATTGGGAGACTTAGTGAGTTAACTATGAGTTTTATTAAATGTCTTTGCTTTGCTTCTCATCATGGAACATGATAAATGCCTTTCCTTTTTAAATGTCTCTCTCTTAGTCTGAAGGAATTCCTGCCCAAAGAATATATCAAGCAGAGAGGAGCTGAAAAGAGGATCTTTCAGGTATTGGAAATGTACAGAACTTTATTATTCTCCTCACTCCCCATCCTCATTTATTAGTGTGAGGGGGCCTCTGCGCATGGTAGTTTTATACCTCGTGCCTGTACTCTGATATAATAAATGATTAGTGACTCAAGAGTATAGAAGCTGACAGTCCTACTTTGGGCAGATTTATTATCTTAATCCATATTTTCTTGCTAAAGGTTACCTAGCCCTTCTGAGAAAAATGTGCATACATTTAATTTCAAAGGCATTATCTTGGTAACATTGAAACAAGGTGATAGACTGTTAACATGCATTGAGGAAGGATCTACAAGTAGCCTCTTTGTCCTGAGATTTGTTTTTTGAAAGTGGAATTTGGAAATTAGTGCCTTTTAAAAATCCAGAATTATCCTAAAAGTCAGAGACTTGTCCAGTCTACGCAACCAGTAAGAAAAGCCTTAACACAAACTTTGCCATGAAACACTCTAAGGAATCCAAGATACCAAAGTCTACTTTGATCCTGAAATGTAAATATAAATTAAAATACAAATTTCATGCGTATAAAACATTCTTTTCTCCAGTATTGTTTCTGAGTACTATCGTGCACAGGCGTGTATTTACCCTATTCTATGGAAAACGATATTTTTTTTTTTTTTGAGACAGAGCCAAGACGGAGTGCAATGGGGCGATCTCAGCTCACTGCAACCTCCGTACCTCCCCCCGCCCTGTTCAAGTGATTCTTGTGCCTCAGCCTACCAAGTAGCTGGGATGACAGGCATGTGCCACCACACATGGCTAATTTTTGTTTTTTCAGTAGAGAGGGGGTTTCACCATGTTGGCCAGGCTGGTCTCAAACTCCTAATCTCAAATGATCTAGCCACCTTGGCCTCCCAAACTGTTGGCATTATAGGCATAAGCCACCACACCCAGCCAATACATTGAGGATGGATGTTAGAATGACACCTCTCCTGATAAGAACTTTTTCTTGGTATCATTTAAAGTCTTGGCTCTCAACCATTTGGGACGTGGAGTCCTTTGACAATGTGATTACAGTTATGGACCCTGTTCCCACCACACTGCATGTGTGCATGGATTGTCACATTTAGTTGTGAAGTAATGTAGGCTGTTTGGGCTCAAACTCTGGTTTGAAATCCCTGTGTTAGAACTTCCTGCATGCTCTGATCCTTGGTCAGCAGTTGCCTGTGTCATGGAGGGGTCTCAGACACAACCATCACTTAATGATCATTCCTAGCCATTTATCTCCACCACATACAGTAACTACCTCTCTCCAAGTCCACCTGCTGGCAGAGATGCAATAACTGGTCCCGACCACTGTCACTTTTGCAGGAGCATAAGAACTGCGGAGAGATGAGTGAGATAGAAGCCAAGGTCAAGTACGTCAAACTCGCACGGTCCCTCCGCACATATGGCGTGTCCTTCTTCCTGGTGAAGGTGAGTTGGGCAGAATGGGGAGAGTGTTCACCTTGGCCCCTTCTTTTTTCTTTTGTTCAAGCGTTTGCTGTTAAGCCTGGTTTGTCCTGCTCACCCCCCTAGCATTTGCGGGTGGAACATCTGGCTAGTGCTGACCTGCGTTTAGCTGCCGCACAGGCATGAGGGGTATGACCTGCAGGCTGGTGAGTGAGCGCTGCTGTCCAGGAGCCCCTGGGCAGCTGGGCTTTGGCTCAGATCACTGTCAAAGCTATAAAGTCCCTGAAGGAGTGAGTTCACTTTTACTTGTTATTCCTTCTCCTGACAATGTTTCATTTATGACTGTCAAGAGTCCTGTGGACTAAATGAAGGCTCTTCACCACTGCAGACCAAATCGAATTCATGTGATAAATGCGATGCTTAATTTGTATACTTTAAGACAGGGCTTGGGATTTTACGGCCTTCAGATCTGTTTTCATGGGAATTGTCTGTTTTCCTACTAGAGGAAAAGAGGCGTGTTTTTGAAATTGTACCTGTGAGCAAGTCCAGGTTGGCCCTTGATGGGTGTCATCTTCACTTGACTGACAAATCCTCTGGTTATCTTTGTTACCCCTTTGCTTTTCCTAACCTCAGGAAAGTGATACGCTGTTTAGTTGTTTAACTATTAGGTTTCACAGATTTCTGCTTGTTTTGCTTTGACCCCTTTGGCCTCTCGCCTGGGGCCGTGGAGAAAGCTCTAACTTATAGTCAGTCTTCTTGTGTTGCTTTCTGCAAATGGAAGCAAACCAGCCGTGTTGCGGCTGCATCCAGGGACTGAAGTAGGAAGGACAAAACTGACCAGACTAAGAAGGTGTCTTTCCCCACAGCCAAAGAGAACTGCAAAAGAAGAAGTTACGTTGTCCTCTAAGATGTTTTTCTTGACCCCACTCCTCATCGGAGCAAGCTGCCTCATTTGGAGAGAGGAGATACCAAGATGTTATGCATCAGAAAGCCATATACTGCATGCTGATTAGTTATTAATACATTAACCAAACTAGCTCTCAGTTTTACATCCAAAATCGCTGGGGCCTTTGCAATGAAGAACGTATACATCAGTCACCTTGTTTTTAAGAAAAATAATTGAGAGGTCGAATCTTTTACATTTAGTGGCAGTTTTAAAAGATCAGTGAGTATTTAAATGGCACTGGTGCCATCTAGGTAACAGTGACTCCACTTACCAATATTAATAATAACAGCAATAATGTTTAGTAAACAGCCATCCATCAAGCTTATCTCATTCAAAGCTATCAACAACCCAAGGGTAAAACTACTACTACTATCTTCTTTTGTTTTTTGGAGACGGAGTCTCACTCTGTCGCCCAGGCCGGAGTGCAGTGGCGCGATCGTGGCTCATTGAAACCTCTGCCTCCTGGGTTCAAGCCATTCTCCTGCCTCACCCTCCCAAGTAGCTGGGACTACAGGCGCATGCTGCCACACCCGGCTGATTTTTTGTATTTTAGTAGAGACAGGGTTTCACCGTGTTGCCCAGGCTAGTCTTGAACTCCTGAGCTCAGGCAGTCCGCCCACCTTGGCCTCCCAAAGTGCTAGTATTACAGGCGTGAGCCACCGCACCCTATCTTCTTGTATAAGTGAGAACACAGAGCCCCAGCTAGATCCATTGATTCAGTGGGGGCCATAAGGCTAGTAACTGAAGAAGCCAGGACTTGAATTCACGTTTCCCTGATTCACAGATGGTGTTCCCAACCTCTAGCTGTACTGCCTTAGCCGGAGTGACCCCATTTGAGAGGTAGTCACCTGCTTCCACCGTTCTAGCTTCCCATCTGTGCCCTGAACACATGGGGAGATCTGCTCATTTTAGAAGGCGTGCTTTTCATTCATTATTGTGAAGGGCAACCAGTAGTAGATGAGCTCCAATGCCTTGCAGGGACAAAGATTAAACAAATTTTCATCATGTCCACTGATAATGGCATCAATTTCCATTTATTTTCTTGAGTTTCCCTGTAGTCCTTTGAGTATTAAATTCATCTCTTGCATTCAGATCATCTTCCATTAATACCATCAGGCTTCACACAGTCAGTTTCAGTGACGTGCTAAAAAACTGTTGTGCCTCTTGCATGTAGGTCAGTAAATTTAGGATGATAAAGAACATACAGAAATCTGTAATTAGGAAGAGAAGTTGAACACCAAATTGTAGAAAAAATAAATTTGTTCTTCAGTGACAATTTGGAACCTAAGAAAAATCGGTCCATGGTCACCAGGATAATTTGAGAGAGAGCAAAGATCTTCTCATTATAGCAGGGTCTTGCAGGTTTGATCAAACCAAATCTCCTTTTACACAATTATTTAAGGCAAAACAAGAACATGGTAGACTTTTTTTTCCTTTCTTCCTTCCTCCTTCCTTCTCTCTCCCTTTCCTCTCTTTCTTTCCCTTCTTTCTCTTTATTTTTTTTTAAAAATTACATCTCTTTGAAGAGAAGAAAGGATTAAGAAAGTAGGCAGCACTTGCAACTTTTTTTTTTTTTTTGAGACGGAGATTCACCCAGGCTAGAGAGCAATGGCACGATCTCGGCTCACCACAACCTCCGCCTCCTGTGTTCAAGCGATTCTCCTGCCTTAGCTTCCCGAGTAGCTAGGGTTACAGGCATGCACCACCATGCCCAGCTAATTCTGTATTTTTGATAAAGATGGGGTTTCTCCATGTTGGTCAGGCTGGTCTCGAACTCCCTACCTCAGGTCATCCTCCTGCCTTGGCCTCCCAAAGTGCTGGGATTACAGGCGTGAGCCACCACCCCTGGCCAAGCACTTGCAACTTCTATATACATATTAAATATTCAAATTGTTATTAATTTTATTTTTGTTGCTTTCTACAATGTTAATAGCACATTGCTCACTCCAGTGTTTTGCTCAGTGGGCCCATTAGTATGACATTTTATTTTATAATTGTTTTTAATATAATTTATGTGACCATAGTTTGCCTTATTTTAAAAGTGGTATAGCTAAAAAATTCAGGAATGAGTCAATATTAAGAATTAATGAACCTGAATCACATCAAGACTTTAAATAAGATGATATCATATAACTATTTTATATAAAGCCACTAAGGTGTTTGATAAAACTCAACATCCTTTTATTAAAAATTCTTTAAAATGCTGGAATATAAGTGTGCTTGCTCACCATGATAGAGGTTCATGAGTATCAAACCTCTCATTAGTATCATACTTAATAGAAATGCTAGAGAGAAATCTATAACAGGCTGGGCATGGTGGCTCACGCCTGTAATCCCAGCACTTTGGGAGGCCAGGGCAGGCAGATCACTTGAGGTCAGGAGTTCGAGACCAGCCTGGCCAACATAGTGAAACCCCATCTTTACTAAAAATACGAAAGTTAGCTAGATGTGGTGGTGCACATCTGTAATCTCAGCTACTTGGGTGGCTGAGGCAGGAGAATCGTTTGAACCTGGGAGGCAGAGGTTGCAGTTAGCCAAAATTGCACTACTGCACTCCCACCTGGGCGATAGAGCAAGACTCTGCCTCAAAATAAATAAATAAATAAATCTGTAAGAATTGAAATCAGAATAAATGTGCCCACCATCTCATTACCCTCTAACATTATTTTGGAAGTTCTGGGAAATACAGTAAAATGAGGGGAAAATCATTGCTTTAGCAAATGAAGGAACAAAATTACTATGACTTGTAGCTATGATTATTTATCCTATAACAAGATATACCAAGTCTTTTTTTTTTTTTTTTTACTTTTTACTTGGAAATTATTACAGATTCACAAGAAGCTGTAAAACTAACTCGGAATCAAAAAGTCTGATAATAACAAGTGTTGGTGAGGATATGGAAAAATTGGAACCCCCATAACCTGCTGGTGGGAATGTAAAATGGTACTGTCACTTTGGAAAACAGTCTGTCATTTCCTCAGTTGATTAAACATAGAAATACCGTATGATCCAGCAATCCCACTTCTATGAATATATACCAAAGAAAATTGAAAGTGTATATCCACATAAAAACTCACACATATGTGTTCACAGCAGTGTTAGCCAAAAGTAAGAAACAACACAACGCATCACCTGATGAATGGGTAGACAATTTGTGGTGTATCCTTACAATGCAATATCATTCAGCCATAAAAAGGAATGAAGTACCGATATATGCTACAACACGGATAAACTTTGTAAATGTTACGCTAAGTGAAAGAAGCCAGTCACAAAAGACCACATACTATATGATTCCCTTTATGTGAAGTGCCCAGAAGAGGCAAGTCTATAGAGACAGAAAGAAGGTTAGTGGTTGCTTAAGAGTTTGGTGTGGGAGATAGGGGAATGATGGCTAAAGGGTTCAGGGTTCTTTTTGATGTGTTAAAAATATTCTAGAACTGACTGTGGTTTTAAAAATAACAGTAATACAGAAAGGTCGTATGTGCTCTTCATCAGGTTTCCTCCAATGCTAACAATGGTACAGTAACACAGCCTGTAGAATGACATTGATACAATCCACAGACCTTATTCAGAGTTCACCAGCATTACATGTACTTGTGTGTGTTTAGTTCCATGCAATTTTATCATATTTATAGATTTATGTAACCCCCACCATAATCAAGTTACTCCAGCACCATTTGTTGAAAGTGCTATTCTTCCTCCATCGAGTTACTTTTGCATCATTTTCAAAATCTAGTTCAGCACATCTATATGGGTCTATTTCTGGGTTCTTTATTTTGTTCTTGTTCAAATATGTGTCCCTCTGCTAATCACACTGTCGTGATCAACTTTAGCTATAAAGTAAGCCCTAACATCAGATAAATTCCCTTAACGTTTTTCTTCTTTTTCAAAATCATTTTAGCCATTTTAGGTTTTTTCCTTTTCATATATACTTTCAAACAAACTTATCTATGTCTACCAAAAGGCTTGCTGTGATTTTGATAGTAATTGCATGAAATTTATAGATCAATTTGGAGATAATTGACATTTTTATTCTGTTAAGTCTTTTAACCCATAAACATGATATAGAGAGCCTCCTTGATTGCTTTCAACATTTTGTAATTTTCAGCTTATGGATCCTGTACATGTTTTAACAATATGTACACAATCATTTTAATTTTCAGGTTTATTGTTAAATTGATTAAATTGAGCAAGGAAATTGATAAGACATATGTCAACCATGTGAAATAAGCCCTTAGAGTATGTATGTAAAAATTAGCAAAACCATTTAGAGTATATGATAAAAAGAGATCACATGCAGAACAGCATCAAAAAAAAAATTGTATACCTAAGGGATACTTTTTTTTTTTTCAATAGCTTTTGGGGTATAAGCGTTTTTTTTGTTACATGGGTGAATTATATAGCAGTGAATTATAAGATTTTAGTGCTCCTGTCACCCAAGCAGTGTACATTATACTTACTGTATAGTTTTTTATCTGTAGCCCCACTCCCACCCTTTCCCTTCTGAGTCTCTAAAGTTCATTATACCCCTGTTTGCGTTTGTATCCTCATAGCTTAACTCCCATTTATAGGTGAGAGCATATGGTTTTTGGTTTTCTGCTCCTGTGTTATTCACGTAAAATAATGGCGTCCAGCTCCATCCAAGTTGTTGCAAAGGACATTATTTTGTTCTTTTTCATGGCTGAGTAGTATTCCATGGTGTATATATGCCACATTTTCTCTATCCACTCATTAGTTGATGGTCACTTAGGTTGGGTCCACATCTTTGGCAGTTGTCAATTGTGCTGCTATAAAGGTACGTGTGCAAGTGTGTTTTTCATGTAATGTCTTCTTTTCCTTTGGGTAGATACCCAGTAGTGGGATTGCTGGATCAAATGGTAGATCTGCTTTTAGCTTTTAAGGAATCTCTATACTGTTTTCCATAGAGGTTGTACTAATTGGGACAATAAATTTTTTAAAGACATCAGTAACAGATTTCTCAAGCCCTAAACTGAACATTGCATTAAATTGTGAAGGAATTATGCTAATGAAAGCATAATTTAGGAAGTAAATTAAAAGTTAGTAATTCCACCTTCCCATTCACTACTTTTATAGGATTCTATTAGAAACTCTAAATAAGTAAATGAAATTATAATTAATAATGATATTGAACACACCTACTCAAACCCCACAGCCTTGAGATCAGTCATAGATATTTTGAAAGGACTGGTTTCATGTGCTTAGAGCTGCTTACATCATATTTTCTTTTATGTCTATGAACATTTTGTCCTAATAATCGGTATTAAATTTTATGTCATTGTAATAGAGCGTGCTTGCATGTTGGAGTTGGGAAGATTGGCCTAGAATCCAGGATGGTAATTTACACCTGTGTGAGGAATAGTAGAAACTTATATGACCTTAGGGAAAGTACCTAAACTCTCTAAATCTCAGTTTCTTCATCTGAAAAATAGGAATAATTCCTTAAAGAGCTCTAATGACGAGTAAGCGAGCTAATGTATGTAAACAAATGTGGTGACTGGAAAGTAAGGATATTTGATTAATTTAATTTTATTTATTAATTTTTTCGAGACACGATCTCACTCTGTCACCCAGTCTGGAATGTAGTGGCGTGATCATGGCTCACTGCAGCCTCCTGAGTAACTGAGACTACAGGCACGTGCCACCACGCCCAGCTAATTTATTTTTATTTTTTCTTAGAGACGGGTCTCCTTATGTTGCTCAGTCTGGTCTTGAGCTCCTGGCTTCAAGTGATCCTCCCACCTCAGTTTCCCAAAGTGTTGGGATTGCAGGCATGAGCCACTGTATCTGGCCTGATAAATTTTAGATGATCCCAGTCACTGAACTCTTCCCACACTTCCCAACTCCCTGGCCCTAGGGGCAGATAGTAAACATTTCAGGCTTTGCCAATCATGCTACTCAACTTTGCCCCTGTAGTATGAAAGCAGCCATAGGCAAAATGTAAATGAATGGCATGGTTATGTTTCTACAAAGCTTTATTTTTGGGCTCTGAAATTTGAATTTTATGTAATTTTTCTCGCACAAAATATTCCTCTTGGTTTTTGTTTTTAATTTAAAATTGGAAAATTCATTCTTAGCTCTTGGTCCATAAAAAATAAGCCGGATTTAGCATTGGCCATAGTTTACCCACCTCCATACAGAGCATGTCTGCGAGTCATATAATGAATTCATATGGAATAGCATTAGGCAGCAGTATTCTCAGTGGCTAGGAAATGTGCTTTGGAAAAGAAAGACTTCAGTTTGGATCCCGGCTTTGCCACTTAGTAGTTTGATCTTGGATAAGTTACCTTACCTTTCATCTCTAAGCTTCAGTTTGTTCACCTATAAAATTGTGACTTTTTATGAGGTTTAAATAAGTTAATACAGAAAAAGGGACTGCCTCATATAAATCTCCATAAATGGGAGCTGTAAATGTCTACATTCTTCCTTCTTTCATTGCCTTCTTTTGCATTTCATCATGATCTGCTACACCAAAACCCCACAAGCAACAGTAAGGCATTTCCCATGACCAGCATAAAATCTTGTTTTATTCCAGAAAATCACGTGTAACCCTTCTCACTTCCAAATTTGCCTTTGAAAACTTTTTGCAGACTTACCCAGAGCCTTGAGGTGTTAGATTACCTGGAGAACAGACCCTCTTCTCCCCTCAACTGTAAAAACACCAGAGAGGGCATTCGGAGCATCTCAGAATCCCAAGTTCAGTCAAAATGGATTGCCAGTCACTTGCAGGGAGAGAAATGGCTAATAAACAGGGTCTTCAGGTTTGCTCTTGAGCAGCCTTTTTTTCCCATGCCCCTAAAAGAAAGAAATATACTGAAGACAGAGTAAAACATGCAAACCAGCCCTTTGGCCAAGCCAACCTAGAACTCTAGTGAGCTCAGCTGGATCATGGGGAGGACCCTTTGGGCTTGGGCCATATTGAAGTGAGGGTCCAGGAGCCAGAAGCTCAGTCCAGTTGCATTCCTCCATCCAGTTCTGGATCTCAGATGTGAGGCAGAGGTGATGCAGAATCAGGCAATCTCTACACCAGTGAAAAGAGCCTGCAGACAGCAGTCTTGATCACAGCTGGCTGCCAGGGCTGAACCCGTAGTTTTAGCTGAAATACGTTTGAAAGAGGAGGGCTTGGGTTTATTAGCGAATCCTGCCTCTCATTGGTAGAATGCCTGCATTCTCCCGCCTCTCATTGGTAGAATGCCTGCATTCTCCCGCCTCTCATTGGTAGAATGCCTGCATTCTCCCGCCTCTCATTGGTAGAATGCCTGCATTCTCCCGCCTCTCATTGGTAGAATGCCTGCATTCTCCCGCCTCTCATTGGTAGAATGCCTGCATTCTCCTGCCTCTGAGTTACACAAGCTGTAGACATTTTCAAAACAAAAACAATCTAATCAGGACCATCTTGAGAGAGAAGCTTCTAGATGGCCGTCAAAAATCACAGCTACAGCTCTTTGTGTGTGTTGGTATATGAGATAGATGGGTCTTCACTGGTGCCTGCTTTAGCCTGCTTTGTCTACTGGAGATAAAAGGAAGCTGGTCTGTGTAGTTGAAGGTCGGAAAGGAGTGGTTCGGGGGTACTGAGACTTGAGGCATAGGAAGGAAAGAGGGAGCTTTATTACCCTGTGGCCCTCCCGTCACATCCCTGTCACTGAGGCTCTAAGGCAGGTCTCTGCACCGGGGAAGACCTTGCATCACGATCACAGATCTCAGCCATTTGCTACTTTACCTTTCTCCAGCTGCTCTGCGTTTTGTGTGTAGGTGCTGAAGTAATTTTATCCCTTGATGGTGGTCTCTGTTGCCAGTTGCAGTATTTTTTGAGTTCCCTCAGCCCCTTTTCCTCAGTTGTGACCTGTTGATAGAGCGTCCACTGTAAGTTGTTTGTTCACTGTGGCTTCCTCTCCCAATCTGGAATGATCTTGACAAGAATTAGGGCAATCCGTCACGATTCTGTGTTCCCGCACCCCAGAAGCCCTCACTGGGGAACAGTGCAGATGGGAAAGAATGAAGGAAGCAGCTGCAAACCATATTTTATCTCCAGTCCCCTTCCTGGGTCCCAGAAGCTGGGATTGTGCCAACCCTGTGTGACTAAATTAGCTGCCTAGAGCCTATCAAGCTAAAACTCTGTGTGGCTCCTGAAGCCAAAGTAGATTAACTGACATTGTCTGCCCTGCACTGATCTCACCCCTTGTGGAACTGCCCTCTCTTTGAAAAAAATCTGACGCTTGTCAGTGTTTTTTAAGACTTGAGGTTCAGGGAGGAATATTCCCCTCCTCAGACACCCAGGTAGATTCCTCATACCATGGTGTCCTCCGTGAGGAAGCTGGGGGTGTGCGGTGACTGTCACCATCTGAGGGTTACCAGATGCCCATGGTGAGGGCGGTTGGGGGTGGGTAGGATTTGGCCTTTTCTCTTTTTGCTTCCACCAGAAGACAGTAAACTGCAGTAGACAGTCAGCTTTTGAAGTCAGAGATATTTTTGAGCTACTCAAATCTATGTTCAAATTATGGCTTTACCACTCACCACTGTTGGCTTTGGTCTCTTCACTTGCAAAGTGAAAAATGATGATACCAGTGTTTTGGAGATGCTCTGAAGATTAACAGATGGTGCTTATTAAGTATCTAGTATGTTCCAGCTCTGTTTTATGTGCCATTACCCTGTGTTGGGTGTGTGTAGACACATCCACAAATGCATAGATACTTTGTGTGAATGTATATATCTAGGCCTCTGAGAATAGCAGTTTAGGTGTTGTTGCTAGGTTTCAGCAAATATGAGTTGAAAAGGTTTTCCTGACAGCCCTAAAAATACACACTTAATAGTGAAATTTTGGAAATAAGGAAAAGCATGAAAAAATAATACAAAACACATGAGATGTTCAGTGCCTTTTTCATGTAATGGACATAGGCCTATTTTTAAATTTTTATTTCCTCTAAGATTAGGCCCTATATTCTGTTTTTTAATAATATATTATGAATAATTTACTTCCATAAAACCAATTGTTTTTCTACAATATGATTTTTAATAATGTAGGGTAATCTGTTATCTGGATATATCATAATTTATGTATCAAGTCCTGTGTTATTGAAAACTTGGATTGTTTCATCTACAGCCATACCACCCTGAATGGGCCTAATGTTGTCTGAAAATTGGGTGGTTTCTAGCTTTTCACTATGATGTACTGTGGTTGAGCTTCATGTGGCATAATCTTTACACACATTTATAACTTTTTTTTAAACTAAATTTCTCAAAGCTAGCTGTGTCAAAAGTAAGGACTTTTTAAGGGTTTGGATAGATAGTGACACATTTTCCCCCATGAAGGCTTTGCTATCTTAAGCTTTCATCACTAGTGACCCGCTTCACATCTTCCTCAAATCTGAGTATTAATTTTAATAAGAAACCTTAGCTATTTTAAGTGAAAACTTATTTGCTTATTTATTTTAAAAACATTTTCTGTTCATATTCTTCAGCAGTTATTTTGTTGATTTATGAACACATCACATAGACAGTATATGAAGTCTATTGCCATTACATTCATTGTAAATATTTATTGCCCAGTCTTTTTCATTTTTTATGAGGTTTCTTTAGCTTCTGCTCTCCTCCCCCTGGTCTATCAAAAGTATGTATATTTTGAGTTAAGCATATTAATCGTTTCCTTTATGGCTTCTTATGTTGGTGTTTTTCTTAGGAAATCATTTGTCACCCAAGGATCACAAAAATATCCACTTGGATGTTCTTCCTAAATTATTAATCTGTCTCTGTCTTTAATTTGTTTTGGTATGAGTGTGAGCTAGGGTTCCATTATTTTAATAGACATTACTATATCTTAAAACATTATTAAAACTAGTTATAAAATAAGTTTTAAGAATCAGTAGATATACAAAATTCCAAAACAAAGAATCCAAACAGAAATATATTTCAGAGATTTAAAAAAAAGGGCAGGAAGCTGTGTCTCCTCATAATGAGAAGATTCTACTTTGACAGAGTTTTAGTTAAGTTAATTTTAAATCTCAGATTAACCCTTGTTTGTTACTCACTGAGTTGGCCACTGGGAGTGATAGTACCTGGAATTCACCTTTGCTTGTTTTTCTCTGGATGTCTTTTCAGTTCTATCCCATCTTTCTGGCATCGTCTGTTTTTGGAGCAAGCTGCTCTCCTGAACAGGGGGCATGATTTTGTGGCTCTTTCCAGTCTTCTCATGTCTTTGTTTGAGTTCCCATGCCTTTAGTTTAATGAGTTATTCACCTAGCCTCAAAATCTTGGTTTCCCTATAGCCCTACCTGTTTTGAAAGACAGTGTATGCAGGTGAAAGGTCAAAAAATCACTGATTCCCTGGCAAAGTCAGATGTATTCAGAAGAAGAGCACTGACTCTTGGTATCTCCTGTTTCAGGAGAAGATGAAAGGCAAGAACAAGCTGGTGCCTCGCCTGCTGGGGATCACCAAAGACTCGGTGATGCGCGTGGATGAGAAGACCAAGGAAGTGCTGCAGGAGTGGCCCCTCACCACCGTCAAGCGCTGGGCAGCCTCACCCAAGAGCTTCACACTGGTAGGGACTGGCAGAGGGCAAGGAGAGCACTAGCGTGGCCTTGAGTGATATTGTGGGGACAGGAGAAAGACCAGATTCTTGCCCATTGGGTTTCTCTGGCCTGGGAGAGCCAGCGTGGAGTGAGGAAGATGGTGCAAGCCCATGGGCAGGGAAGGGGATGGGTCCAGAAGTAAAAGAGAGGTCAGCAAGCCTGGGTTTCTTCAGGCACTACTGCTTCTCTGCACTCTACATAAGTCAGCCTCTAGTTCATTATCTAGAAAAAGCCACTCACCCAGATGATTCTCAGTTCTGTGTTCCTGATGACATCCCTAGCATATACTGAAAGGAAACTTTCTAGTGCTCTGAGACACAAAGGCCCCCTCTCTGTTTTAGATGGTCCTAAGCATTGTGATTATCTTGCTGAGGAATGTTTTCCCAGCCTGCCTAGAAAGAGAGCATAGTACACAGTGGAAATAACGTGGACTTTAGGATAGTATTATTATAGAAATCCAGTTTGTCATTTCCCAGCTGTGTGACCTTGTTCAAGTTACCTTTCCTCTCTGAGCCTTAATTTCTTCAGCTATAAAATGGTGATAGTCCTACCTACAGAGCTGCTAGGATTGAATAAGATGAAGATAAGATGCTTAGTATAAAATTTATGGAAAGTAGTGAGAATATGTTTGTTTCAGGTCTTCAGACCTCTGAATTCTTCCTCCTGATTTCAACATTTGTTGTTAGCAGAGTATAACTCTATGCCTTAACTATAGCCACATTTACATGTGAAACACAATAGAGCGGGTGGTTGGTAGGGCAAGATGTGCAATAAGAAAAATCAAAAAGTGCTAGAATTTGTCAGTTCTTAAGACTCTTGAAGTCTCTAGTGAATGCTTGAAATATCACCTCTTATCTATGCAAGATATCATAATAGGACATCAGAAAAAAAACTGTGTAAAGAAGGGGCCATGGAAAGAGTCATTAGTTATCTAATTTGACTATAGATTGATAGGTTCCTGCCAATTATAAGGAATCATCAGAAAACATACCTTCTTTCCTCTTGTAGCTGTAACATTTGTGCCTGTGTGGCCCTCAAAAGATGAATGTTCATACTTAGCTGTGTCCTCATCTTCCATTGCAGGAAGTCATGGATGATTTCTAAATTAGAAAAATCAAGAAATCAATATAAACATATTATTTAGAAATACTAGAAGCAACTGCTAAAAGAGTTGAAAGTGGTTACCTTTGGAGAGGTATGTGGTAGAAAGTGAAGTTGGGAATGGGTAGGACAGGGAACAACTGTGTTTTGTTTTACATCTTGTAATACTATTGGTCTTTTTAAACTAGGTCCAAGTATTTATTGAAAACAAAAATTTATTTAAAAAATGAATAGTTATGATAACCTCATTAACTACCTCAGGCAAAAGAGAGAATAACAGTATTTTGATTAAAGCATAACGTCACATTAAAGCCCATTATACGTAGTGATTTTTTCCTTCCTACTCCTAGCCTTTATTTAATTTCCAAGTGTTTAGAGGTTTTTCTGCTGTCTTTCTACTATTGATTTTTTAGTTTGATTCCATTATGGTCAGAGAACATACTCTGTATGATTTCAGTCCTTTTGAAATTTTAAGGTTTGTTTTTATATCCCAGGATATCCTTTTTGGTGAGTGTTCTACGAGTATTCAAAAAGAACATATATTCTGCTATTATCATGTAAAGTGGGCTCTATAAATACCAGTTAGATCCCTATTAGTTGATGGTGGTGTTCCAGTCTTTTGAATGAATATCTTTGTTAATTTTCTGCCTGGCAGTTTTCTCAGTTGCCGAGAGTGAGGTTCTTAACAGTAATTATGGATTTTTCTACTTTTTCTTTCAGCTCTCAGTTTTTGTTTCATGTAATTTGAAGCTTTGTTGTTTGATGCCTGTACATTTAAGATTCCTCTATCTTAACAGAGAAGTTGTTTTTTCCTTATGTAATGTTATTTTCTGTTAGTAATTTTTGTTTTTCTCTGAAGTCTACTGTATCTAATGTTGACATAGCCACCAATGCTTTTTATAAAACTAATGTGGGCATGATACATCTTTTTCCATCCTTTTATTTTCAACTTGCATATACTGTTATATTTGAAATGAATTCTTGTAGAGAGCATAATTAGTTGGGTTATATTTTTTTAATCCATTCTATCTCAGTTTTAATTGGTATATTTACACTATATTTAAGCTAATTATTGATATGTTAGGGCCCAAGTCTATCATTTTGTAGTTTTTCTGTTTGTCCACTTTATTTCTCTCTCTCTTTTTTTTTTTTTTTTTGCCTTTTCTGTGGGTTACTTGGACACCTTTTTAGAGTTTGTTTGCTTTGTGTGTTACGTTTTGAGCATATCACTTTGTGTAGTGTTCTTAGTGGTTATTTTGGATATTACCATGTCCATATGAAATTAAACACAGTCTACTGGTAATGGCTTTTCCCCCTTAAGTGTAGAAACCTTACTTCCATTTAGGTCTTTTTACCTACCCACTCCCCACACTTTTTGAGTATAATTATTTAAATATTTTTTCAGTATACACATAAGATGGTTATTTTGTCTATAACCACATAAGATGGTGTTACAGCTTCTGCTTTGAACACAAAATGTGATGAAAGAAACTCATGAGGTGAAGAACCGTCTATTACACTTCCCTTTATTTTTATCTACCCCATTGTTCTTCTTGCCTTTCTAAAGTTCCCAGCCTTCTTCTGTTATCATTTTGTGTTTGGAGAGCTTCCTTTAGCTATTTGTTAAGGGTACATCTGCTAGCAACAAATTGACTTTGTGTTTTTTTCCTCTGAGAATGTTATTATTTCCCCTTCATTCATGAAGGATAATTTTGCCAGGTACAGCATTTGGGATTGACAGTTCCTTTCTTTTAGTATCTGAAAAGTGTCATGCCACTTCTTTCTTACCTCCATGGTTTCTAATGATAAATTTGCTGTCATTCAAGTTGGTGTCAATTTGTAGGTAATATGTCATTTTTCTGTGGCTGTTTTTAAGATATTTTTATCTCTAGTTTTCAAAATTCTTGGTATGGGCTTCTTTTTTTTTTTTTTTTTTTTTTTTTTTTTTTATTGGCTGACCCCCCTTCCTCCCTCCCGGACGGGGCAGCTGGCCAGGCGGGGGGCTGACCCCCCCCACCTCCCTCCCGGATGGGGCGGCTGGCCGACCCCCCCACCTCCCTCCCGGACGGGGCGGCTGGCCGGGCAGAGGGGCTCCTCACTTCCCAGTAGGGGCGGCCGGGCAGAGGCGCCCCTCACCTCCCGGACGGGGCGGCCGGCCGGGCGGGGGGCTGACCCCCCCCCACCTCCCTCCCGGACGGGGCGGCTGGCCAGGCAGGGGGCTGACCCCCCCACCTCCCTCCCGGACGGGGTGGCTGCCAGGCGGAGACGCTCCTCACTTCCCAGACGGGGTGGCTGCCGGGCGGAGAGGCTCCTCACTTCTCAGACAGGGCGGCTGCCGGGCGGAGGGGCTCCTCACTTCTCAGACGGGGCGGCCGGGCAGAGACGCTCTTCACCTCCCAGACGGGGTCGCGGCCGGGCAGAGGCGCTCCTCACCTCCCAGACGGGGCGGCGGGACAGAGGCGCTCCCCACATCTCAGACGATGGGCGGCCGGGCAGAGACGCTTCTCACTTCCTAGATGTGATGGCGGCCGGCCGGGAAGAGGCGCTCCTCACTTCTAGATGGGATGGCGGCCGGGCAGAGATGCTCCTCACTTTCCAGACTGGGCAGCCAGGCAGAGGGGCTCCTCATATCCCAGACGATGGGCGGCCAGGCAGAGACGCTCCTTACTTCCCAGACGGGGTGGCGGCCGGGCAGAGGCTGCAATCTCGGCACTTTGGGAGGCCAAGGCGGGCAGCTGGGAGGTGGATGTTGTAGCGAGCCGAGATCACGCCACTGCACTCCAGCCTCGGCACCATTGAGCACTGAGTGAACCAGACTCCGTCTGCAATCCCGGCACCTCGGGAGGCCGAGGCTGGCGGATCACTCGCGGTTAGGAGCTGGAGACCAGCCCGGCCAACACAGCGAAACCCCGTCTCCACCAAAAAAAATACGAAAACCAGTCAGGCGTGGCGGTGCGCGCCTGCAATCGCAGGCACTCGGCAGGCTGAGGCAGGAGAATCAGGCAGGGAGGTTGCAGTGAGCCGAGATGGCAGCAGTACAGTCCAGCTTCGGCTCGGCATCAGAGGGAGACCGTGGAAAGAGAGGGGGAGGGAGACCGTGGGAGAGGGAGAGGGAGAGGGGGAGGGGGAGGGGAGGGGGAGGGGTATGGGCTTCTTAAGATTTCTTCTATTTGGAGTTCACTCAGCTTCTTGAATTTGTGGGTTTAAGTCTTCACTAATTTGGGGAAGTTTTCAGTCATTATTTCTTCAGCTACTCTATTTTTATCCAACACTGTCCTCTCCTGTTACTCTGATGATATTAATGTTAGATCTTTTGTTACTGTCCTATAAGTCCGTGAAGCTCTGTTTTTTAGTTTCTTTTCTCTATATTGTTCAGATTGACTAAATTCTGTTGATCTATTTTCAGGTTTACTGATTTTATTTTTTATTATCTCCACACTACTATTTAGTCTATCCTGTGAGTTTTAAAATTTTGGTTATTGCCTTTTTCAGTTCTGTAATTTCCATTTGGTTCTTTTTTATGACTTCTGTTTCTTTGTTTGAACTTTTTATTCTTTAAAATTTGCTGCAAGAGAATTTGCAATTTATTGGTGAAGCATTTTTATGATGGTTGCTTTAAAATCCTTATAATTCCAATATCTGATTTATTTCAGTGTTGGCATGAGTTGATGATCTGTCATTCATATTGTGGGTGTCCTGGCTCTCGATATGAATATTTATTTTTTTAAGACATCCTAGACATCTTGGTTATTAGGAGACCTGTTTTTTTTGGAGACAGTCTCTCACTCTGTTGCCCAAGCTGGAGTGTAGTGGTGTGATCATAGCTCACCTCCTGGGCTCAAGCGATCCTCCTCCCTCAGCCTCTTGAGGAGCTGGAACTGCAGGCTCATGCCACTATGCCTGGCTAATTAAAAAAAAAAAAATTTATAGAGGTGAAGTCTCACCATGTTGCCCAGGCTGGTCTTGAACTCCTGGGCACAAGTGATCCTCTCGCCTCAACCTCCCAAAGTGGTGGGATCACAGGTATGAGCACTGTGCCCAGCCCATTGGGAGACTTCTGATCTTACTGAAATATTCTGTTATAGCAGGTGGCCACTTTGTTCAAGTTTAGCGTGTAGTATTCTGGCCTACTTTTCAGGGCTTAAGTTGCAATGACAGTTTTATTCTCTGAGCCCTTTCATTGCTATTCTGGACTGATTTTTTCTTTTGACACTAAGGTTCCTGCTCAAACCCTGTTGGTTCTGTCGATGAAGGCAGAAGGCACTTCCCTGGGCTACCTGCTATTGCTGGGTGACCTTCGTTGCAGGAAGCAGAGGGCACTGGAGCTGAGTCTCTTTAAGCCACTGGCTAGAGGGCAGGGAGACACAGGGCTTTACTGTGGCTGCTGCAGCAAAAGGGTCAGACCATCCACCTGCCTGGGTTGTGGAACAGGGCCTGGGAGGGTCTGAGGTTTCCCTGCTCTGCAGCTTCCTGTGAATATCAGCCCAGGTTGTTGAGCTGGAGTTGGAGCTCCTGACTAGTTCCCCAAATTAGTCTCTCTTGGGCTCCCCTTCTCCTAGTTCTTTGACTAAAAGCATGCTTTTCAGGAACTGCTTACTGGAGGTTCCAATGTTCAGGCCTCTACAACTCTTAGTCTTGGGGGTATATGGGATAGGAAAGAAGCCCAAGAACTCAACCACATTGTGGTTTTGCAAGTTCTGAGCCCCCCAGCCAGTCTGTCTTCTCAGTTTTCAGAGCTCTTTTACCGTTGTTGAATATTGTTGAATAAATTTTAGGATATTCATTTGTATTTAGAGAGGAGGAGCAGGGAAAATGAAGTCTATGTCATATTGTTCTAGAGCTGGACCTGCTAGCCTTTAAAATGCTGATATATCTGATTTGGCTATATTTCCTCCATTGCTGTCTTTTCAGGATTTTGGGGAGTATCAGGAAAGCTACTATTCAGTACAAACCACCGAGGGAGAGCAGATATCCCAGCTGATTGCAGGCTACATTGACATCATCCTGAAAAAGGTATTTTGTATTGATGCAAATTGGAAAAGCAAGACGGCTTTATTAAAAGGCTTGGTTTCGATGACGTGGCTACCTTGAAAAAAAAATCCTCTTAAATAATACTTGAGGCCAGGCATGGTGGCTCACGCCTGTAATCCCAACACTTCGGGAGGCTGAGATAGGCAGATCACCTGAGGTCAGGTATTAGAGACCAGTCTGGCCAACATGGCAAAACCCCGTCTCTACTAAAAATACAAAAAAGTTAGCCGGGCGTGGTGGCAGGCGCCTGTAGTCCCAGTTACTCGGGAGGTGGAGGCAGGAGAATCGCTTGAACCTGGGAGGCAGAGGTTGCAGTGAGCTGAGATCACGCCACTGTACTGCAGCCTGGGTGACAGAGCGAGATTCCATCTCAAAAAAAAACAACAAAACTTGATTTACTAATTTAATCTTTAATCACTAATTAAGTGTGAGATCTTTGACCTCAAGATCCTTTGAGAATTCCTGCTTTTTCTGCAGCACATATTTGTGTCATTTACTACCAGGCAGTGAACAATAGCATGTCACTTAGCTAATGAATGAGCCTAGCACCCCTCAGCATCTTCCTCTCCACGTAGCTGTACTGTGCTTTTCAGCCTCTGTGGGAACTTGGATTGAGGGGCCAAAAATGATCTTTGTAGTTTTCATGTTTTTTTTTTAAACAAATGTAATGGGGTTATATGCCATAGTGGTATATAGAAAAACAGATTTCTTAAGGCTTCAAGATACAGCCCATTCAAAAAACCAAGATTTAATAGAATGTTAATATGTGCATCTTGATTTTTTACTATGTAAAATTAAAGTCTGTGCAATAAATACGTGACATCTAACTATATATTAAATCATATATTTCTCTTTTTTATTATTATGCTTTTGTTCATCCATCGCTTACTAAATATCCAGTATAAAGAATTTTGAGTAAACTTCAACACTTTGACTTGTGTCCCTTCAAAATGTTTTTTTAAAGGTCCTTGTATGAAGACCTGCTGATTTTCTTTCTTTTTTTTTTTTTTTTTTTTTTTTTTTTTTTGAGACAGAGTCTCCCTCAGTCGCCCAGGCTGGAGTGCAGTGGCGCTGTCTCGGCTCACTGCAGGCTCCGCCTCCCAGTTCAAGCAATTCTCCTGCCTCAGCTTCCGGTGTAGCTGGGATTACAGGCTCCTGTCACCATGCCAGGCTGATTTATGTATATATATATTTTTTATTAGAGACGGGGTCTCACTGTGTTGACCAGGTTTGTCTCGAACTCCTGACCTCAAGTGATCCGCCCGTCTCAGCCTCCCAAAGTGCTGGGATTAGAGGCGTGAGCCACCGCGCGTGGCCTGGTTTTCATTTTTGCATCTTGTTTTATTGCATTTCCAGAAACAAAGTAAAGATCGATTTGGACTAGAAGGTGATGAGGAGTCAACCATGTTAGAAGAGTCCGTTTCCCCAAAAAAGTAAGTATTATGAAGAGTACTAGAGGACCACCTTCTCCCTAGATAGGTAGGTTTCCTCTTGCCAGCTTGGAGCCTGCTGCTCTGAAGCCTGTCACCTGGAGAAGATGACAGCAGATGATATAGTTGAATCTTCTTCAAGCGTGGTCCCCAGACCAGCAGCATTGAAGTGGCAGACGTCTCGTGAGGGAGGCTGAGGATTTTAGGGAAACATTGACCAAGGTGTGGCATTTTAACTGCGTCTTTTGAGGCAGTAAGTGTTCATGAGTCCTGTTCTGCATTTCTGATTTAAATCTCATGATCGAATCATGATCATTGAGCCGTACCGTCAGGAGGTCAGAGGATGAGCCTCTGTTTGATTCTGGCCCCTTTTGTGGGAGGAGGGAGTGCAGCCAGTGGCGGAGTTACGGTGAAGCACTGCTGCATGCCACGCTTGTCTCGAGTGCTGTGAGGTAGCATAGTGCAGGCGAGTGGTTAAGAATATGGACTCAAATCTGGGGTCTCTGTTTCACTGTGTGGCCCTGGGAAAGTTACTAAATTCTCTTCTGGCATGAGCTTATCTATAAAATGGGGATAATGATATTACCACCTAAGTAGGTTTTATTTCCATGGTAGTTACTAATAAAGCACATAAAACAATGCCTGGCACATAGCACTTGCTATTATAACTATCATCCTCATGATCATTGTTTTAAATTCATGGTATTCTTAATTTAGCCCCATTTATAGATGAGGAGATAGGTTTATTAAAATTAAGTAACATCTAATAAATGGCTCTTTTTGGGAAACCTATCCAGACATCCCTTTTATGTTAATAGAGCAATGTAATGACTGTTCTTGTATGCTTTAGTGTGACATTTTGTCTCATCTGGAATTCCAATAACAACTCCCTATGCAAAAGGGAGGCCAGGGGTCTCAGCCAAGGAGCAACGCAGGAAGAAGTGGAAGGTCTAGCGATGGGGACAATCCTGACCATTCTTCCTGCTTGCCTTGATAAGACCCCACAGTGATGCTCTGGGCAGTGGAGGAGGCTACAGTGGTCCCAGGCAGGATCTATCTTTCCCAGTCCACGGATAAGGAAACTGAAGCTCATGAAAGTTAGTTGAGATACACATATGTGGTAGAGCCAGGACTCAGATTCAGATCTTGCGATGTTTCCCATAGTACGCTGCTAGAAAGTTCTAGCATCTTCCAATCCATTAAACTTGCTTAGCTGTAGTAGTTTCTCTAATATTTTCACCCTTGCTGCCAGTTTCTCACAATTTGCTTCCTAATCACCCAAAAGGTGTTTTTCCATTTGTCCCCACTAGTACGCAAGTTGGAACCAAACTTGATATGATAAGTTTCTAGTACTTGCCACCCTTGGGCAGAGCACCTTAAGTCTTTGGAATTATTCATGACCATTGGATGTAAATTAGTGAGCTAGTGCTCCCTGACAGGGTGATCTGCGTCACTTCAGAGGACTCTGCTGTGCTTTGCTTCCCATAGGAGCGGCCCAGTAAGTGTCTGAGCCCAGAGGGCTGGGACCTTCCCCTGCCTGGGATCACTGTAGCCTCCTCCACTGCCCACAGCATCACTGTGGGGTCTGATCAAGGCAAGCAGGAAGAATGGTCAGGATCGTTCCCATCGCTAGACCTTCCACTTCTTCCTCCATTGGTCCTTGGCTGAGATCTCAGAATGCAACTGACTTCTTACTGGAGCCTCCAGACCAACCTTCCCTGGTGTCTCACCACCCCACCCCTAGACTGCAGTGTTTCTCCATGGATGCCTGTTGCTTGGGATCCCCGCGTGGCTATCGAGCCTTGCTCTGGGCAACAGGGTGCGAGGGCCCTGGGACAGAGGTCCCTGTCTCTTCATGCAGCTGCACCTCCACCTTCCTTCCGCCTCACAACACACACAGACCCTGTTTGTAGGTTTGTCCACTGGGCTTCTGAGGAACATATGCCACCCTCAGACTTTTTACCTTCAGATGATCAGCGTCCTTTGCACTTATTCTTCATTCTAAGACAATATGAAGTAAAAAATGCAATTTTTTGGCTGGGCACTGTGGCTCACGCCTGTATTCCCAGCACTTTGGGAGGCTGAGGCGGGTGGTTCACCTGAGGTCAGGAGTTCAAGACCAGCCTGGCTAATATGGTGAAACCCTGTCTCTACTAAAAATACAGAAAATTAGCCAGGTGTGGTGGCAGGTGCTGGTAATCCCAGCTACTTGGGAGGCTGAGGCAGGAGAATCGCTTGAACCCAGGAGGCAGAGGTTGCAGTGAGCCGAGATCACGCCACTGCACTCCAGTCTGGATGACAAGAGTGAAACTCTGTCTTAAAAAAATAAATTTTAAAAAATGCAATTTTTTCCATTAGATACCTTAAGAATCTTCCCAATATTTAGTTGAAAGCATTTGGGGAAGGTTCCAAAGCCTCACATGGTTGAGGCTCTAGAGGCGATGAAACATCCTCTGTGGTCAATGGTGGTGGACCTGAGGACCCGAGGGAGGGGAGCTAAGATGTGGGAGATTTTCCCCTAGCTTCATTTCCACATTTCCCCTTTCAAGCTAAAGATAAATGATCTGTATCTCTGATGCCTAGAATGGAACCTGGCACAAGGTTGATACTTGTTTAATGAATGTTCTTTCAGATATTATTTACCAAAAATAATATATCAACATATCAATACATTCACTTAAAACCTGGAACATCATTATTATGGGAATCTCTGTGTTGTTGTCATTTTCTCTTCTTGAGACAGAGTCTCACTCTTTTGCCCAGGCTGGAGTACAGTGGCGCGATCATAGCTCACTGCAGCCTCAGGCTCCTGGGCTCAGGTGATCCTCTCACCTCATCCTCTTGAATAGCTAGGACTATAGGCATGTACCACCACTCGGGACTGAGTTGTTGAATTTTTTGTAGAGACGAGGTCTCATTATGTTGCCCAGGCTGGTCTTGAACTCCTAACTTCAAGGAATCCTTCCCATTTGGCCTCCAAAAGGGCTGGGATTACAGGGGTGAGATACTGCACCCGGCCTTGTTTTTTAAATAACAACTAATTGCATAATACCATAAATCTATTAAGTAGATAAATTGGGAGTAATTATTTACATTACTTATCATAAAAGGATTCATCTCAGAGCTCTGCTAAGTGTTGTAATGCCACTTCTTCATTCCTGCTTCTCAGTCTGTATGTGCCTCTTTTAGTTGGCCTTCACAGCATAAAGCAGGGAACATACGTGACATCTGTGGGGTCTCCTCATTGCACTCCACATGGCTGGTGTTCTCTCAGTGACCAAACCACTTTTCCCGGCAGGTCCACCATCTTGCAGCAGCAGTTCAACCGGACCGGGAAGGCAGAGCACGGCTCAGTGGCGCTGCCGGCCGTGATGCGCTCGGGCTCCAGCGGGCCTGAGACCTTCAACGTTGGCAGCATGCCCTCGCCACAGCAGCAGGTCATGGTTGGGCAGATGCACCGAGGCCACATGCCGCCACTGGTGAGGCTTCCTGTGCTCGTCCCCCACTCGTTAGTCTGCTGCCTCCCGCATGCAGGGTGGACACCAGCGGCGGTGATGGGCTGAGTGTTGGAACGCTCTCTATTTCCCGGCTGAACCATGCCTCGTTCAGCTGTGCATTTTTTAAATTGGATGACTCGGATCACTGCCTGTTTAGTATCGGAGGTGTCCTCTGTGACTGGAAAATTAGGGAGCTCTTAACATGACTTGTGTACAGGGACAGAACTCTGCTCCCGTGTCCTGGCAGCATCAAGCTGATTGGGCCAGATACCCCTAGGAAAGTCTGAGAAGTCGACCAGGTTTTTAGTGATTTTGAGGTTTCACGCTGGGAGTCATTGATTCCTTTCCACTGTGCTGGTCTGTCCGGCTCAGTGCCTCTCAGGCCGGCCTTGGGACTCCCTTGCTATTGTGTGAGAACTTTTCGAAAGCTCAGGAACAACACTTGTCTCTGAAAAAGTACATTGACCGTAGATTTAGATGGAGTCCTTAAGTGTCTATCAGGAAGCATTCTCATTTAACACCCACGTGTTTCCTGTGCGTGAGGAGGTCCTCAGTACTCAAAGATTGGATCACCCCAGTTCCCCAGCAAGGACTCTTCTGAGCCTTCTTGTCAGCTAATTAAGCTCTTCACACACTTCTGATTATAATCCCTCCGTGGCAATCACCTTCATTTTGTGTTCTATTAATATAATGCAGTATCTATTTCTGGCCTCCAGGTTGAAATGGGAGATGGTTGAGGCGCTTGTTGAGATGTAGCCTGGGCTGCTTTGTCTTGAGTGCAGAGTTCTGTTTTGCTTTGTTTTGCATAAAGGGCCATGTCGGTCCCAGGCGTGTGGGATGACAGCTTTGTTTCATTTGCCTTTGCAGACCTCAGCCCAGCAGGCCCTGATGGGGACCATCAACACAAGCATGCACGCCGTCCAGCAGGCCCAGGATGATCTCAGTGAGCTCGACTCGCTGCCACCTCTCGGCCAGGATATGGTAAATACTGTTCAGTGGTTTTCATGCCAAGTCTCTGCCCTGGCAGAAAGCAGGGTTATATACTCTGTCGGGATTCATCTAGGTAAATTTCTATCTCTAGGTGAAATGGAAACCCATGATTTTTTCAGGATATTGAGTCTTTGCCTCTCAGTTGCACCCATAGGAGGAGAGAATCATAGGGTACTGCTGGCTGTTGGCAGTACCACGGGTGGGCTGAGAACTTGAACCCTAGGATCCTGTGACCTGGGTTCAAACACCAGCTCCAGTACTGGCTGTGTGAATCTGGGCTACTTGCCTTCTCAATTCCTCCACTTTGTCATCTGTAAATAGAGTTGTTATGAAGATGCAATGATCTAATCACCTGTAGAGTTCTTAGCACAGCCCCTCGCACATAGTAAGAGCTCAGTAAGCATTAGCTGTTTGTTAGTTTTATTGCTACCCGTGGTTCTCAAGCTGTAGCATCCATCAGCATCATCCGAAGGGCCTGTTAAAATGAATGTTGCTGGACTCTTCCTCTATTTTTTTTTTTTTGGATCTTGGGTAGGGCCTGAGATTTTGCATTTGCAACAAGATCTCAGGTGATGCCAACACTGCATGCCTGGGGACTGTGCTTTGAGAAGCACTGGCTTACTACCACTGAGCTTTTCAGCAAGGTAGGGTGATTAACCCAGAGATCTTCCTGTAGCTGCTGCTGCATGAAATCTTCCAACTCCTCACTGCTCAAATCGTGGTCCCAGGACCAGCAGCATTGGCAATTCCTAGGGTCTTGTAAGAGGTGCAGAATCTTGGGCCTTCCCCAGCCTACTCAAACAGAATCTGCATTTTAGCCAAGTTCCCAGCTTCTTTGGGTGACCATTAAAGTTTGAGAAGCACCGGCTAGCGCTGTCATTCTCAACCCTGCTTTGTACGTTAGAATCATCCTAGGAACTTTAAAAACAAAGCCCAAAGCACCAGTTCTGACCAAATAAATCGTTGTTGCTGTGGGTGGAGCCTGAGAATCAGTGGTTTTTATTCTCCCCAGGTGATTCTAATGGCCAGTCAGGGTTGACAACCACTGTTGTAGGACTGACTGGTGCCATCACAGGGGCCAGAACCAAGATACAGTCTGTAGCCTCATCTTGTCCTGCCAGGATAACTGCCCTCCAAGTTCTCCCAGAATGCTGAGTTTTTCATTTGCACAGTTGTGTGCGTGGAGGTTGCTGGTAAACTCAGCGCCATTTCTCCCAGGTACCCAAAAACAATAAACATTTGCTTTGGGGAACTCCAGAGTACAAACATGTATGGCAGACTCCCATATCCAGTATAATTGGTAGAGTTTTAAAATATTTAAGATTTAACATTCCTGCTTCACCAGTTTTCAAAGAATTAGAATGCCATAAATTATTTCTAGTGCTAGTCACATCCTGAACATAGATGAGTATTTTTGGGATGTTTTGGGAAGCAGATGAGCACCTTACTGCAGGGTCATCATTATCAAGATAAATGATCATTTATTAGGTAAGTTCTGAAATGTCAGAAAATAGAGAACTTGCTATTTATAGGTTC
This sequence comes from Homo sapiens, assembly GCF_000001405.40. NCBI lineage: Eukaryota > Metazoa > Chordata > Mammalia > Primates > Hominidae > Homo > Homo sapiens. Next base: position 62,700,413 of record NC_000015.10, read on the forward strand.
AAATAAACGTAAAGTATAAGAGCTGGAAAGGTTTTTAAAAACCATTGAATTTCCATGGTAGAAGAAGTATAAGGCACAGGACCTGCCTATGATTTGCCCGAGGTCCTGTCACCTGCTAGTGGTAGATCTGGATCCAGAACAGGGATCTCAACCCATCCCCTCATCTTACCAGGAAAGGTCTTACCGTCTACATGAGCATGGCCCTTAGTTGTCTTTACGACAATGCACGTTGTAAGCAAGAGGCATTTCCTACATTGACAGAGAACATGTCTAAGTTGAAACACCCTCTTTCTCACCCTGCACCCTGCAAAGCAAGGTGAAAATTAGCAACAACTATTAGTGCTAATGTGCAGTATTATGATGAAACATTGATTTTTCTCTCCTCATTCTTTTTCACTTGAATTTTTCTAAATAAGGCCACGTGGAATTTTTCTCCCTAAGATCTTAAAAGTTAAAAACACAAACAACATAATTAACATAAGACACAAGGGAGAATTTGCACGCCATTGAGTATCTCTTGCTCCTTAAGAGGCCTGTTAAGGATACTGTTTAGGATAACTTAAGGGCCCTGTCGGTGCTGGCCTCATAAGAAGAATGTAGCCAAAATGCTGGTGTGATTTTATGGCGGGGCTTCTCCGGTCTCCTGGGTAATTCTGTGCTGTGATTGTGTTGTGCCGTTGTCTGGCTTTGCAGGCATCTAGGGTATGGGTTCAGAACAAAGTCGACGAATCCAAACACGAAATCCATTCTCAAGTTGATGCTATCACGGCCGGAACGGCTTCAGTTGTTAACCTCACAGCTGGTAAGTCCCGGAGAGATTTGTGCTGCATTGGGGTTTTGTTTAAAAGCTGTGTTTTTTTTTTTAATTTTAAAAAATAAGTTATCTGTTGATTGAAACAATAGACTTTATATTATGAGAGGATAGTCTAAGGCACTTTTAGTGCTGTAGGCATTTTCTCCCAGTGACCCAGGAGAGTGGGAAGGAACATCTCATTGCTTTTTGCCTGTATCATGCATCCTCATTAAAAAGCATCTATTCAGATCTTCTCACGGCTTGTCAGTGTGCCGGACATACTGCAAAGTCTACTGAGGCTACTTTCTGCCTTCTGGGCACCTACAGTTGGAAAATGGTTTTGAATGAACAGACCTGTCATATGTGCCTTTGCCCATGTTGTCCAGCAGTGGTCTCTTCTGGCACAGTGTGGCTCCCAGCCTTTCACTGTCAGAGGAGAGCTGGGAACTTGCTTGTTTCACCCTGCAGCAGCCTTTCAGGAGCAGAGTTGACCCCCTGAGCTGCTGACAGGGGCCTAATGAAAAGGGCTGTGAGATGCCGAGACATCCTCTGGATTTTTAAAGGTGGTTGTACTCAGTATTTCAGTGCATGAGGCCTCCAGGTGAAAGGGCCTTTTTGAAGTCACCTCGGAGACAGGGAGCAGGCCAGCTCACTGTGCTCATGTGAAGCTTGGTGTCTGACTCCTGCAGGATGGTAGGTGAGGAACTCCTGCCAGTGTGGGGTTTTGAAAATTCTCACCAGAACCATGTGCCCTCCTTTGATGGGGATGGTTCTTTTCTGTGCCAGGTGACCCTGCAGACACTGACTACACAGCTGTGGGATGTGCGATCACCACTATTTCTTCCAACCTGACGGAGATGTCCAAGGGTGTGAAGCTATTGGCCGCCCTCATGGATGATGAGGTGGGCAGCGGGGAGGACTTGCTCAGAGCTGCCAGGACCCTCGCTGGGGCGGTGTCAGACTTGCTGAAAGCTGTGCAGCCTACTTCTGGAGAGGTAAGCTCCAGAGGCAAGCAATCACTCAGGTTCTGATGGGACAGCTGCATCCACTGGGGGACCATGGGGCTCTTGCTTCCCGAGCTGTTCCTTGCGTCTTGATGGGGTGTGTTTCTCTCTGCAGGAGTAACTGGAGTTGTGGAACTGGGTGCAGAAGCTCATCCACATTCAGGAGTGGTTGAGCTCTTAGTATAAAGGCCTCCCCCTCAAGGGTACTTGAGTAGATGCAGCTACAGGAACTTAACACACATGACTAATACGCATTTAAGGGGAATAGAAGTTTGCACCCTAATTTCCACAGAATGCATCACCTTCTTACCAAATGAACAAGGCTCACTAATTGGCCATTTCAAATCCATACAACTATATTGCTGGTTTGTGAGACACTGGATGTTTCCTTTCACGGATTTCACCGGGATGTCTTCTATCTGGCAGACCACCTGAGATTCTCACTGTCAGACAAAGGGAGCAAATTCTGTGAGATTCTACTTCCTGTACTTCCATGTCTGATGGCACTGGAGGAAATGCGTTTTCTTTCCAATTAAGGTGTGTTGTTTGTTCACAGCCTCGACAGACAGTTTTGACTGCTGCTGGCAGCATCGGACAAGCCAGTGGGGATCTTCTGAGACAGATTGGAGAGAATGAGACTGATGAGCGATTCCAGGTAAGATATTTGCAGGCTTATAGTCATGGAAAGAAGTCTAAGTGATGGTCTAGACCCGAGCAGGCAGAATGTAATATTTGAAAACTAACTAAATCTTTGAGATAGTCAAGAATGCGATTGAGATGGATTATCTTGGGAGTGAGGTCTTTTTGTGTTACCAAAAAGATTTTTTTTAATAGGAAAACTCATTTCACTGCCACCATGCGTCATCATTGTAAAGCACGTATTTAGCTTTCCTGATTTTTTTTTTTTTTTTAAATTAGAGTCTCACTCTGTTGCCCAGGCTGGAGTGCAGTGGCGTGATCTTGGCTCATTGCAACCTCCATCTCCCGGGTTCAAGCAATTCTCCTGCCTTAACCTCCTGAGTAGCTGGGATTACAGGTGCACGCCACCATGCCCGGCTAATTTTTGTATTTTTAGTAGAGACGGGGTTTCACTATGTTGGTCAGGCTGGTCTCGAACTTTGACCTCGTGATCTGCCCGTCTCGGCCTCCCAAAGTGCTGGGATTACAGGCGTGAGCCACCGCGCCTGGCCGTGATTATTTTTTTTGTTAATGTGCTGGACATTCTTTAATCACAAGAAGGGAGGAAATATTAATAGTGTCATGAACTCCTGGTATCTGTCACCTAACCTCTGTGATCATTAGTTCCTGGCCAGTCTTACTTTATCTGTTCAGGAGGAGGTTTTAATGGCATCATTCTTGAGTCCTCATAAACATGAAGTTTATGTTTACTTCGACACACACACACACACACACGCGCGCACACACACACACACACACACACAGAGAAAGAGAGAGAGAATTTCCTTTGTACTCAGAGGTGGTTTATTTTTTGTGTCTTATCCAAAACCACAAGCGTGGCAGGGAAGTCTTTTTTGTGACCCTTCTTTTTCAATACCAGGGACCTGTGGTGCTTGCCCTCTGGGGAGCGACTGTCACCACTGTCTGCAGTATCACCTCACTGCAGCTCAGAAAGCATCAGACATCTCTGCTCATCTGCCTCCATCCCTGTCCCTCAAAGGGTGGGGCGCAGAGGCCTGCTTCTGGGGTGGTTCAGGCCAGGATGAGCTGCTTACGTGCTGGTGGGCCAGTGCCCTTTACTCCTTCTCCTAAGTCTCTAATTTTGCAAGTAATATATAAATATATCCTAATTAAATTGTTACAGTTCTGGCCCAGGTTCTCTGAAAGATGCCCTTTTCCAAATCCTGTGTCATGTTCACTGTTTAGGAATTCTACAGAATTTCATTGGCCTTCACTTATTAAAATGTTTTTTGAATTATTTATTTATATATATAATGAAATATTTACTTAGAAGAAATCACAAAAAATTACGAACTTATATGAACTAACACCACAAATATCACCAAATCTAGAAAAATAACGTAATGTTTTTATTAACTACCTGACACTTCTAAATACCTTTTTTCCTGCATTTTTGACTTCATCTGTTTTGACCACCTCTTCATTTGGCAATGATTTTATAATATTTTATAGACGGAACAAAAAGATCCTCTGGCATTCAGGTTTCTTGCTTCATGGGTGGCAATTTTGCATGCCATTTTATCTAGAACTTCCAAATTTTATAAGCATAAGATGTGTTAGTTAAACGAAGATGGGATCATGTATGTTGTGAGACATGAAACTTCAACCTTCATCCATAGATGTGTTTGTTTCTCCTTCACTCTCCACATGCCTGTGGCACTGGGCTATGGGACTCATTCATATCCTGCAGTGCAATAAGACATTCAATGTACAGACATTCGTGTCATGATAGAGGTTGAATTCATATGATGGGTGGTAGGAATATTCCTGGAAGCCATTTCTACACTGAGATGGCTGGTCATAAGTTCCCTAGAATCAAAATGAACTGCACATCAATATATTCTGCTAAACCCAAGTTAATTGTGTCCCCATTCTAATTTGCCTTTCCATATCCCCAAACTGCCCTTGCATTGGCCTTTACTTTTTATATTAGGGCAGGTAATTATTTGTAGGCAGGTACCTATTTAGGAACTTGGTAAATATGAGATTCAGCTGCTGTTTTACTGGGCTTAATTATCTTGACGTAGTCATTTATGTTCCCCAAAAGTATTAATATTATTGTTTTCTCCAAAGTGCCAAGGAAGGTTAAGGAGAAAGTCACAATTCTTCCTTTAAACATCCCATGCAACCTTGTATTTTTTAAAAGCTTTTCCTGCCTCTCCCTGCTTTAGCAGATTATTTTCATTGTGTGTGAATGTCAACCCTGCTTCCTAATGTTTGTTTCTATTCAGATGTGCAAAGGAAGCAGGTTCAGGTTCAGGGTGACAGTCCTACAGAGCCTTTGTTAGCAGGGACAGGCCAGACTTGAATGTTTTCAATTGTTTAGCTCTCTAGGTAAAGACCAGGGCAGTAAGGTGATCCTGCAACCTCCTCCAGTTATGGGTAACTGACATTGGATTTCTTACTCTATTCTTCTGATTCTTGAGATCATATCTCAGAGCTTTTCTTGATTTCTTAATGTACTGCATGTTCCCATAGTTAACAAAGATTTATTTTACACTGGCTATATAATAGTGGTCTTGTTGAAAATTTTGACAAAGGCCTTGTCAGCAGCTATAGCTGTAGTATCACATTCTTTTTCTGACTGTATTTTTTTGGACAAAATTAATAAGAGGAACAGGATTTCTTTAAACAATTCTAACAAAGTCCTTTAGAACAATCATGATTCTATGTGACCAAATCCTGGCCCCCCATCTGAAAAGATGAATTCATATCAAGTGAGGGAATACTATGACCTACTTTGGAAAGTTATTTTTAAAAATCTTTTTAATAATTTGTGACATTCAAGCTGTGTTTTCACTGAGCATTGAGATAGATGTCCAGGAATTGTAACTTTGCCATAGTGGGAGCAATTCCTAAAAGTTGTGTGGTAGACAAGTGCCAGTCAGATCCCAAAGGGATCTTCTGCTTTCAGCACCATGGGCTTTAATTATACCTTGGATAGCCAGGAAACATCACAGACCTGAGAAAGACTGGAATAACCTGCTCCTTTAAGACCACTTAGTTTTTGTCCATTTTAAAATCAGCTTACTTGATAGATTCATGGGTTTCTGGTTTAGCTGGATTGTATCTAGTCTTTGTTCTATGTAAAATTGTGCAGGCTGAATATTATTTCCAATGTATCTTCTCATAAAATATCTCACTGTAAAGACGCTGTGGGTGCCCTTTACATTTAGAATCAAATGTGCTCTTTATCATCTGATGAATTAATAAAGACTTCTGACCGTATTTCCTTGAAGGGAAAAGCCTTGACGTGTTTGTTCCAAATAAAAATGGCTCATATGTTTGGGAAGGCATTTCCAAGTCAAATAAACTACTTTCAGTATTAAAAGCAAAGAAGTAAATTAATTGTAACCATGGTTCTTCTTCAGGTCAGACAGATGGGTGACAAATCTGGTAGGCTCAATCAAAGGATTCTTCTTTCTGCAGGCAGAATGCCTAGTCATTGAGTTGAAGCATAAACTAGCTCCTCGCATTTTCAGTCAGACCATCTTATAGCTAGTGTATTTATATAGGCTCTCTTTCTGCTTTCTGTAATAATTTAATTCCTACCCAGAAGGCTGCAGAACACTGAGAATAACTCATGTTCAGAGCATTTCTTGGCTCTTGAGCTATAGGTATTGGTGCCAGCTATGTGTCTGTGCACATCAAATGTTGCCCTCTGGAGGTAGAGATATGGCTAAATTTCTGATGACGACTTGGATCTTTGTGCAAAGTAGAAATCCAAAAGATACATTTTCAAGTTGCAGTGGGGCATGATGACTGGAGGCCATGAATTATAACCTTCTTATGGCACATGATGTTGTGGCATCTGGATATGTTTTCAGCTTCTCCTGATCTACCATATCAGCCACTCATTCAAGAGACGTGGTCAAGACTTCGTGTTAGATAAGTGCATGAATGGGAATCAGTGGTTAAAATAATGACCCTTCCCTCAAATTAACTATTTTAGATTTAAACCTATGCTACTTAATGGATGTAAGAGACTGAGTTATTAGGATACAAGTCTCCTTTTTTAATTACTTCTAAGGATAAGTTGACATTTCAAAAAAAAGTAAAAAAACTTCTAAAGTACTGAAGGAAAAAGATCAAATGGAATTTTAATAACGTTTATTTTCAGGCTGTGAAAGGTGATTAGAGAAAAATAAATGAATAGTCTTTGATTCCCTTTTCTTAGGATGTTTTAATGAGTTTGGCCAAAGCTGTTGCCAATGCAGCTGCCATGTTGGTACTAAAGGCAAAGAATGTTGCCCAAGTGGCCGAAGACACTGTCCTACAGAACAGGGTAATTGCTGCTGCCACCCAGTGTGCCCTCTCCACCTCCCAGCTTGTGGCATGTGCCAAGGTAAGCCAGCTGGCACCCCAGCCCTTTCTACCCAGTATCACCTGCTGTTACCTGCCTCCAGGCATTTGGTGTGTAGCAGGGGCAGAATTTGTTTAAATAGTCCGAGATTTAGAGCTTCCTTAAAGTGTCTTAAGTGATGATAGGATTTTAGCATAAGCGGTCAAATTCTGCTTTTATCATTTGTTCTTTGCCCAAGTCCTCAGGCCGTTGGTACTTTTCACTAGTTCATTTCTATATGCAAATTGCTGTGTCTCCCCTTTGGACTTCTCAGTGCATCTTTACACCTGCACAAAAATAGTTCTTGCAATGCGTGGTACAGCATTACAAATGGGTTCAGAAATAATCCACAGAGTTTATGGGAACCCTTTCTAGGCTGCACAGGGTCCGAGTGGGGATTTTAATTGTTGCCAGGGTATACACACTCAGTGTGTCATACATCACCTCATTACATCTCCCCGGTAATCCTGCAAATTAAGCACCATTATCTCTAGTTTACTGATGAGGAATCTGAGGCCCTTAGATGTCAGTAGGTTAAGGCCACAGAAGTAGTAAGTGGCAGAACTAGAGTTACAACTCAAGTCCATCTGCCTCCAAATACGCTTTCCCCTCTACTTCATGTGTCCTCTCGGTGATGATGCAGCAGAAGATGGGAAATGTCCGTTTCTGGAATTGATGGCCTGTCATGTTGTATAGATCTGTGATCTGGCTCAGCTTGGCATCAATAGCCTGTGGTAAGATTTGCAGCATCGTCTCCCTCAAGCTTTCATTGTCCACGCTGCTAGAATTTACAAGGAACTGACAGAACCCCCCTGTTCTTTAAAGGACTATGAGGCAGAGTTTCAGGTGTTTCTGGGAATAGAAATAGAATTCTTTTAGGTAGTCTTTGTATCCCAACTCAAAAGACTCAATTCAAAGGATCCTAAAATGAAGGAGGTATAATTGGGAAATCTCAGAAATTTCTCTGTATGGAAGTAGGGCAGTAGTATGGACTGTCACATGTGACTAATGAAGTTATAAATTAGTGGGACATGTCAAATCACAAGGATGAAGTAGAATAGCAGAGCGTGTGAGACTGAAGCAATGGTTTCATTGAATGAAATGGTCAGGTAAGTAAGAAACCGAGCAGTGGTCCTGTAAGTAAGAAACCGAGGCCCAGAGCAGGAAGGGCTTTGATGGGACTGCGGGGGCACATGGAGAGGGACCAGGATTCAACCACAGTGCCCAAAACCTGTTCCTGTCTCACTTCAGGTTGTGAGCCCCACTATTAGCTCCCCTGTGTGCCAGGAGCAGCTGATTGAAGCAGGGAAGCTGGTGGACCGCTCGGTGGAGAACTGTGTCCGTGCCTGCCAGGCGGCCACTACCGATAGTGAGCTCCTGAAGCAGGTCAGCGCAGCGGCCAGCGTGGTCAGCCAGGCCCTCCATGATCTCCTGCAGCATGTGCGGCAGTTTGCCAGCCGAGGCGAGCCCATCGGCCGCTACGACCAGGCTACTGACACCATCATGTGTGTCACCGAGAGCATCTTCAGCTCCATGGGTGACGCTGGTAAGGCACTGTGCTGTGGGTGGGTGGATGGGTGGCTTTTGATGTTCCTGATGGTGGTGCTAACCCATAGGGAAGGTGAAGGCTGCCTGGATGACTGGCAAGGGCAAGTTCTCTTCAGTCTCAAAGACTTCCCCACTGAAGCTCAGAAAAAGATATAAGACTCTTCCATAGTCATGCTTACAGATTTCTACAGAGTTCACTGGGTTTTTGTTATAATGGTTAGATTTTGTTATTTTGTTAGATTTACAGTGAATCCCCTTTGTTCTGCGAATGCACGTGTTGGGTACGGTATGGCAAAGTTGGAGCAGCCACAGAAGGAAACAAGATCAAGGCTTGGAATTTAAGAAGTTTATTATACTTGCATGTCCCCTGGAGGGCTCACCACATGCCGCACAGGGTCATGGGAGAGCACCGGGGTGGTCAGGAGGGAGAAGACAGAGGCAAGGGGAGGGCCTAGACCATGGCCTTTATTGGAGCTTCCTTGGGAAATGCAGGGCAGAATAAACAATTTAGGATTGGCTAGTTTAAATAATTTTGGCAGGCTCTAAATTATGGAGGTGGTGGCTAGTTACCTGGTACCTGGCCCTGGGGTGATCCACGCAGAGGAGCAGTGTCTCCTGGGTGTCTGGGCCAGATAGAGGAGGAATAGCTCTGGGTTGGTTAGTTTGCATATCAAAGACACGTTCCCTGCTGAGCCTGTGCAGTCTCTAAATTGGCCAGCCCTAAGAGGACAGTTTGTCTCCAGCAAAAGGGTGTTTTCAGATTCCAAAGCATCATACCTAATATACAGTCAGTTTAAAAACATACGCAATACACCTTTTTATAATCTATTGAAAAGTAAGTCTCCCCAAACCCAGCTTACCACTGTGCCATCAAAATTCCCGAAATTCATAACCTTTTCATTTTATATATCTTAAAGACTTTTTTTTTCTTTTTTCTTTTTTCTTTTTCTTTTTGAGATGGAGTCTCACCCTGTTGCCCAGGCTGGGGTGCAGTGGCACAATCTTGGCTCACTGCAACCTCCACCTCCCAGGTTCGAGAGATACTCTTGCCTCAGCCTCCCAAGTAGCTGGGATTACAGGCGCCTGCCATGATGCCCGGCTAATTTTTGTATTTTTAGTAGAGATGGGGCTTCACCATGTTGGCCAGGCTGGTCTCGAACTCCTGACCTCAGGTGATCTGCCCGCCTCAGCCTCCCAAAGTGCTGGGATTACAGGGGTGAGCCACCATGCCCAACCTGGACTTTTTTCATGTCCACCTGTATGTTAATCTTTTTAGTGGCAGCATAGTATTCTATTTTTTGAAGGTATCATAATTTAACCAATAATCTTTTAATGGACATTTAGTTTTTTTGTTTGTTAGTTCATTTTGCTTTTACAAAAATACTACAATAAGCATTCTTGTAAAAATAGTTTACTTTTCCTACGTAGGGTAAATTCTTATTAATGGAGTTGCTGGGCCAGTAGGTAGATTTTTATTTTAAATGTATTTAAGAAATTTTTCTCCAGAAAGGACCCACAATTTGCAACCCAACTAGTAATCTGTAAGAGATCTATTTTTGTGCTTCCTTGCCAGCATAGAACAATACCTTATAACGAGTTTTGGTGTTTTTAGAAAATTGTCTTGTGTTCTTCTGTATCCTTAAATAATTTAACAAGATAGGAATGCTTCACACATTTGAATTTGTTGTTGTTTGTTTGTTTTTGACAATCCTTTTATTTTGAAATACTTTTAAATTTGCAAAAAAGTTGCAGAGGAAATATGGAGAGTTCCCATATACCTTTCCCAGTTTCTCCATTTTTGACATCTTCCCTAAAGGATAGCACATTTGTCAAAAACCAGGAAATTAGCATTGGTATTTTAGTGAACCACTAACTAAACTACAGACATTTTTCAGATTTCATCAGTTTTTCTGCTGATGTCCTTTTTTTTTTTTTTTTTTTTTTTTTGATGGAGTCTTGCTCTGTTGCCCAGGCTGGAGAGCAGTGACACAATCTCAGCTCACTGCAAGCTCCGCCTCCCAGGTTCATGCCATTCTTCTGCCTTAGCCTCCTGAGTAGCTGGCACTACAGGCGCCCACCACCACGCCCGGCTAATTTTTTTGTGTTTTTAGTAGAGATGGGGTTTCACCGTGTTAGCCAGGATGGTCTCGATCTCCTGACCTCGTGATCCGCCCACCTCGGCCTCCCAAAGTGCTGGGATTACAGGCGTGAGCCACCGCGCCTGGCCCTGCTGATGTCCTTTTACCGTCTCGGGATCCAGTCCAGGATACCACAGTGAATTGAGCACATTTTTATTTTAGTAAAAGCTTTCTTCTTCCCCCTTTTTGTTATAGTGCTTCGGCATTCTTCTCAGATGACCTTTGCTAGAGGAAGATTTCTTGCTAGAGGAAGATTTGAATCGTTCTATTTTTTAATGTTGGTTGTTATACTCCTCCTACTTCCAGAAGGAAATTAAAATAGATTTCAGTAAAATCACAGGGACAATAAGACCAAAGAATAATGCAAGATCAAAATCAGTGCTGGGCAAAAAAGGATGAGCAGAGAGAAAATTGGCAGAGAAAACTCCAGGCCAAGGCAAGTCATAGCATTTGAGCATGAAGCTAATAAGCGAAGGCCAAATGGCACACATTGAATGGATTGTGTGATATCCCTCATCTGGTGCTAGGTAACCTACACATTAATACAGAATTTAAAAGTAATTTTGTTCTGTGCCAATTCTTCAAAAAGTTTATTATAGACGCTTTTGTGTAAGTGGTTTTCAAAGTGAAGAAAGCAATGTTTTCTAAATAAGTATTTACTAATGCTAAATCCACGTAATTTTGTTCCCTGCCCTCTCTTTATAGTGTTCCTCTTTGGCTGCTTCTGTTCTGATTATGCCTCATAGTGAAAGGTTGAACCTGGCTGTGTTTGGGGAGCCGCATCCTGGCAGCCGCAGGGAATATTTTCATTTTGGGCTCTAATTTGGATGCATGGCTTAGGACTAGAGCATGGAGGTTCAGTTTTTTTGCTCCTGCTTACCAGAGGAGTAGAGACAAGACTGTAGTGGCTCCTGAGGTTTTACTGACCTTTGAAAAGCAGACAAACAGACCTCATCCTCTATTCTGTCTTCTAGGTGAAATGGTGCGCCAGGCGCGGGTTCTGGCCCAAGCCACATCAGACCTCGTCAATGCCATGAGGTCAGATGCAGAAGCCGAAATCGACATGGAGAATTCAAAGAAGCTCCTGGCAGCAGCAAAACTCTTAGCTGACTCCACTGCTCGCATGGTGGAAGCTGCAAAGGTATTCTACTGGATTTGTTTGTATGAAAAGTGAACACTATTAAGTGTTAGGATTTGGAAGGTACTTTCCAGATGGGGCATGGTCATCCGAGTGTGCATTTTTGTTTGCTTAAAACCTATATGGCTTGTAACATCTAACCCTGTTCTTGTGGCAAAGGCGGTAATGGAACATCTGAATGAAATGCTTCAGGGAAGTGGTACTGACTCAGCCATAGTAGCAAAGTGCCCTCTTTAGGGAGGCCTCTTTTTCCATTTGGTCATCACTGTTGGCTTCATTCAATGTGGTGACTAATTTAAACCTGAGATTTTTCAATAGCAAATTCACCTAAACCTATTCTCTTCCTTAATGCCTTAATGTTACTTTTGCCCTCCATTTGACTTCTCAACTATTATCAAGATTTTGCACAGTAGACTATTTCCTACTTTACGGTTCTTTAAATCCCAGTTGCAGTTTTAAATATTATAAAATGATGAGGAGTTAAGAGTTCCTTTATGCTTTTTGACAGCTGTGCTATAGCATAATGCTTACAAAACCTAGTGATTCTGAACCAGCGGTCTGATACACAGCCCCCTGTGGAACATATTAAAATGCACATGCCTCAGTTTCATCCCCAAAGATCCTGATTCACAAGGTCACTGGTAGGACTCAGTGTGTGTGTGTGTGTGCATGCGTGCGTGCATGTGTTTAAGTTCTTCAGGATATTCCGATGTGCATCTCTAGGTGAGAACTGTTTTAAATGAATAAGGCTATATTTTTCTGGGTTTTTTATTGTGTACCTAGCACACATTTCTTATAGAATTAATAGAAAATGCAGATAAATGTGAAAAAAGAAAATAAAAATCACCTTCAAATTCCTGCCCTCAAAATAATATTTTAAATGTATTTCTATGCATATAAGATTCATTAAGGCCAGGCACGGTGGCTCACACCTGTAATCCCAGCACTTTTGGGAGGCCAAGACAGGTGGATCACCTGAGGTCAGGAGTTCGAGACCAACCTGGCCAACATGGTGAAACCCTGTCTCTAATAAAAACACAAAAAATTAACTGGGCATGGTGGTGTTCGCCTGTAATTCCACCTACTCGGGAGGCTGAGGCAGGAGAAAATTGTTTGAACCCAGGAGGCAGAGGTTGCAGTGAGCCAAGATCGTGCCACTGCACTCCATCCTGGGTGACAAGAGCAAACCTGCGTCTCAAAAAAAAAAAAAAAAAACAAAAAATAGATTCATTAAGTGTCTCCACATCTTACCTCATCTCCCTGGCTTTGGGAATTGGTATCTCAACCTAATATGTGTGTTACTTCACTTAAAATGTATTGTGGGCTGGGCATGGTGGCACACGCCTGTAATCCCAGCACTTTGAGAGGCCGAGGTGGGCGGATTACCTGAGGTCAGGAGTTCAAGACCAGCCTGACCGACATGGCAAAACCCTGTCTCTACTAAAAATACAAAAATTAGCCAGGCTTGGTGGCACATGCCTGTAATCCCAGCTACTAGGGAGGCTGAGGCAGGAGAATTGCTTGAACCTGGGAGCCAGAGGTTGCAGTGAGCTGAGATCGTGCCATTGCATTCCATCCCGGGAGATACTGCAAGACTCTGTCTCAAAAAAAAAATGTATTGTGACACATAGTGAGCCATGTAGAGGACCTCTCCTCACTCAACTGTCCATCATGTTACTTGAGGGACTGAGAGTTCTTAGAGACACCTCGTGGGTAGGGGTGAAAGAGAGACCCAGGGAGGGACAGTGTCTGAGCTTCCTTCCCTTGTCTCCTAATCCCTGTTTCAGCCAATAAGCTCTGCTATTAACCCCCTTCTTTAAGCCATATATATATATATATATGCTGTGTGTGTGTATGTGTGTGTGTGTATGTATGTATTGGGTTTTATGTAGTAGTTGAATTTTTTAAAAGGTTTTACTAGTTTACCCCACCTCTCTCAGTCTATACATAGATATTTGAGGCAATCTTATGTTCATAAAAAATTACTTGGTAGGTTGGAAAGAACTGTAGGGTAAATCTAGTCCGTTCCTTATTTTACAAATGAAAAAAATTAAAACTCATAAAAGATGAATGCTAATGCCACATAAGCAGTATTGAGCCAGGCCAATGTGCACGTTTTTTTTTTTTTTTTTTTCTTTTTTTTTTTGAGACAGAGTCTCACTCTGTCACCCAGGCTGGAGTGCAGTGGCACAGTCTTGGCTCATTGCAAGCTCTGCCTCCTGGGTTCACGCCATTCTCCTGCCTCAGCCTCCTGAGTAGCTGGGACTACAGGTGCCTGCCACCACGCCCGGCTAATTTTTTGTATTTTTAGTAGAGACAGGGTTTCCCCGTGTTAGCCAGGATGGTCTCGATCTCCTGACCTTGTGATCCACCCGCCTCGGCCTCCCAAAGTGCTGGGATTACAGGTGTGAGCCACCGCGCCCAGCCACGTTTTGTTTCTTGATGTGACTGTTTATCAGGCCAATTCACTGCATTTACCAAGTTACCAGAAACTCGTTTCTTCTAAGTATTCATGTGATTTTGGTTATTTATATTAAATGAGACAACATTAAGTGTTTCTGTAAATTCTTTTAACTTTTAGTTAAAAGTTTTCATTTTGTCTTTGTAGCAATATTTTAATTTGCTGAATTTTGTTGAAAGCTAAAGAACACGCAATGGTTAGACTTCCAAGGATTATATTTAATGTGCAGAAAAAATATATTTCATGATTAGTAACTAAGATTTCAGGCCAAAATTAGTACCCCATATCTGATACATATTCATCATAAAAAAAGACATTGCTGAGCAAGGACCCAAAGCATCCACATCAGTGTGAAGTGCAGAAGTGCTGGTTTCCAGCTGCTCAAAATACATAAAATTAGGCTGATGTGCACTTGAGACATATATAAAGGAGCAGCTTAGAAAATACCTGATGAACAGAAAAAAACAAAATGACTTTCATAAACTTGCAAAAGAATCCAAAAGTAGCCCAATCCTTTTACATGTGAAATGCAGAAATAAAAATGTTTCATTGCTAGATTATGAGAGTGGTTAAAGTTTGAAAGAATAGGAGATTCTATTCAAGAGGGTTGCCAAAAGAATTCTACCACAGCTGTTAAAACTATTCCATCCTGTATGCATTGCTATAACTTTTATAAATAGCTCAAAGAAATAGGTTCTTATAAATTGGTAAGTTTAGCAAATTGGCCACTTGGAAATCTAGACGTTTAGAAAATTGACTTTTGATAAATCGGTGTGCTGTTCTTCCTGCCTTGAGAGCAAATATTATTGCCTGAAAGCGTTCATAGGAAGAAACTCATTGATCTATAGACATCAAGCACATGTTACAAAGCATTCAGGCCCTGGTGAGGGAAATCTTGATTGCTACTGTTATAGTTGTGGGAGA
The DNA here is from genome assembly GCF_000001405.40 of Homo sapiens. Lineage (NCBI taxonomy): Eukaryota > Metazoa > Chordata > Mammalia > Primates > Hominidae > Homo > Homo sapiens. The sequence goes on from NC_000015.10 coordinate 62,715,460, forward strand.
GGAAGGCTGGATGTGCTGTGAGCATGTTGAATTATTATAGAGTTAAAATTATATCCTTTCTCTACATTACCATTAGCCTTCCCCTGCTTCAGAATCCCACCCATCTAAATAAAATCCACTTAGATTTCTAAGACATGTTCAACTAAAAGCAACAAAGTAAAAGGGGCTGTGGGGCTGGACAAAGAAAGCGTGACTGGCATATTGCCTTCCTCTTTTTCTGTCAGGTGGACGGCATTACATTTCTCTCATTAATTCAGTACATTTGGATACCATCTCGACTTTATACTAGACCTTCCAACTCTGTCTCTCTAGGAATGTAATTTCTGGGCATGGTCTTTCTTTAACAAAATTTCCTTGGAGTGTTTTTGAACGGCATTCCTGAGCCCTCCCTCCATCCTTCCCCCTCTTCCCTCTGTCCCCACCTGAGTTGATACTGGACTCTTACCCCTTCACATTTACCTGTGCCACAGGGTATTTCAGGAGTGACATGAAGACATGTGTCATTACTGTGTCATGCCAATGAAAAGAAGATTCTCCCTGGGAGAGATGGGGAGAGGGGAGATTTAATCTTCCCATCTTTTAAACCATGGGTTTCTGTCCACAGGTTAATTTGTATGGACAACCAAGGCAATGTTCTCAAGTGTTTAATTATTACTTTGGATTTCTAACTGCTTAGCTATGCAATTTTGAAACATCCCCTGGTAGGTATTTTTTGTTGCATGAGGAAACATCTTCATCATAAAGATATTGCTTGTGGCATTTGACTATCCTTGCAAATGCTTTCTATTACTAAGAAAAAATAATACTGAAGGCATGAATTCAGTGATGTCTCCTGCTGGACCACTTGAAATCTTTATTTTTGCCTTTGCAGGGGGCTGCAGCCAACCCAGAGAATGAGGACCAGCAGCAAAGGCTGAGAGAAGCTGCAGAAGGCCTCCGGGTAGCAACCAACGCAGCTGCCCAGAATGCTATTAAGAAAAAAATTGTCAACCGACTGGAGGTAAGGAAAGAGGCTGCCTTTCTGGGATGCCCATCTTAAATTGCAAAGAGTTATTTGAAAAGATAGTTGAATTAACAAGGTGTTGACAATATAAAGAAAGCCAAGTCAAGGTTCACATCATTGTTTGAAGGTTTGAGTACTATAAAAGCATTGACTCAATTGGAAAAAACTGCTTCCGTAAGCTCGAATCCTTTCTAGCATTCAGGAATAGAATTTAGACTCTTTTCAGGAGGAACCAGATTTTTTTTTCTATCATTAAAGGATATACACATTCAAGAAGGACCTTTTGCTGAAAATATTTATATTTTGTTGGAGTCAGTGACTTTGTCAGGGCTTCCCATAGGAAATATGGACTTCAAAGACTGGAGGTGGAGATTAGGCTTGGGTGGATAGGTATAGAAGGGAGTGAAATATATTTGTTATTTTTTGAAATAATTATTCTGAAAAAGAAAGTTGAAATAGTAATAGGCAAAAACTATGTTTTTTTTTTTTTTAAAAAGTTTGTCTGACAAATGCACACAGGAGACCCTTACACTGAAATTTGAGAGTTTGGAAGATGAGACCTTTGCCTGTGTACTGAGAAGTCCCTCCATATGCAGTCTGCTATATTCTGGAAGAAAAGTAACATTGTTGTTCTTGGACAAAGACAAGAGGGTAAACACAATTAAGTGCCCTGGTTGGAAAGTCTCTGCATTTTGGAACTAAGGCTTCTGAGTGCTGAGAGAGGAGAGTCATGGGCACCAGCATTTGTGCTTGACACAGAACCATCTACGCTGCTTGTGGGAGATTTTTTTTTCCACACATTTAGACTTGGTGCAGCTTGTCAGTGTCATTATGATCTTGGAATCATCCTTTTTGTTTTTGAGAAAAACAAATGAACTTCAAAGCTTGAGCTTTCAAGCGTGCCTGTCTTTGTCACTTGTCTCAGAGGACGTCAACACAAGGAAGATAGCGTGTTGTAAGATTAGGGTCATCACTGGTTTTAAAAGGCAAAGCCTGCTCTTTGGAGTTCTTTTAGAGCCACAAACCTGTCCTGACTCTGTGGTGGAAGTGACCTGTAGAACATGCATGTATATTGCATATGCAGATCCTGACTCATCTATCACTCCTCTGCAGGTTGCAGCCAAGCAGGCCGCAGCGGCAGCCACACAGACCATCGCCGCCTCCCAGAATGCAGCTGTTTCCAACAAGAACCCTGCGGCCCAGCAGCAGCTGGTCCAGAGTTGCAAGGTGAGGTTCCAGTGCACAGAGAGCCAGGTCAGCTGCAGATGACCCTGATAACATTAGAACACCAAGTCCCCTGGTAGTTCAGTAAAGACAGATTATCCAAGCTCCTAATCCAATTTGCCCCAGTTCCCATGTTCCAGGTGTCTACACGTCTGGTTTTTGTCCATTAAGTGGATGGCCTGTGTTTGGAAAGTGTGATTTTCTTCCAGCGTTGTCTACTTTTGTCCACAATTTTCTTTTCAAGAGACTGAGCCAAAGAGGATCAATGACGAGGCCATTTTAGGGCTCTGAAATGGGAAGGAAGTGTTGAGTTTCCAGAGTGCCTTTCTTTGAGAGGCAGGACTTCAAATTCAGCCTCGCTCCCTGGAGCAGGGTTCATTTCCTGCTTTCTAATAATTGCACCTCAAGGATTTATTTCATCCCATCTAGCCTCTGTGACTTTGTACTTTGGTGCTTTTTGTTGTTGCTCTTTTGTCTCTATTCTTCTGACACCTGGGCCTTGATGCTAAGTTGAGGCCAGTTTACTACAAAAGGTACAGTAAACACCCTTGTTGGTTTCTCTAAGAGCCCAGGGAGTTGACTCCCCCAGGGCTCCTCTTAATGGTGGCAGACACAAAGTCCAGTTGCAAAGCCACTGCCCACATGTGGGTGGCACATCTGGCTGGCATGTCCTGGAAGTATTTGCAGCTAGCTGTGGTGGCTGGCTGGGAGGCATACCTGTCTCTGCTGGGGTTATGAGAGCCAACTGCAACCCTCTCTGCTTCTTCAAATCTCTGCCAAATGATTCACATTTGTGAGGGGTGCCACTGCTCCCACTTCAGAAATGGCCTTTGCTTCTGATGGAGCCCTGTATTCCTGAATCTGGATTCTCTGAGGCCAGCCCTACTGCTGTTGTGGACTGAATGCACTCCAGGAAGAAAAGCCTTAGTGACATAGTAGGGTCCTGGGCTGGTGTCCTTCGGTCCTGTGTGGATAGAGAAGGAGTCTTGCTGAGAGTGAGGCCTCTGCTGTGGAGGAGTTTGCTTCCTATTGGGTCCTCAGCTCAGCTGCTAGCAGGGGTGAAAACTTTCTTCTCAGGAAGCATGTGCTGCTCACATGCAGGGACATGCCACAGGATGAGTGAGACCTCTCGCCCCTCTTCTGCAGAGAGACTGAAGATACTAGGTCTTGAGTGTCACTACCAGGAAATGAAAGGATTGAGATGGAGAGGGGAGAGTGGAGCAAATGACTAGAACTAGCAGAACTGGCAGTCCTAAAGGGGGCCTGGGAAAAATTCCATGGAAATATTTGTTTTAACTTGTGCTGGAGCAGTCCTAGAAAAATATGTCATCAGGCCAGTATGCACTGGGCACCTTTATCCACAACGATGGCCACAGTGCTGTGGCCTCTGAGAGCCTCATTAACCAGAGAAGGAGGTGCGGGCACAGAAAGGAAACAGGGACAGAACACAGAGAAAGTAAAAGGCTCATCTCCCAAGGCACACTGTAGGAGCCCATTACTGTACAGCAGCACTGCCTCACAGAATGCCGTGCCTCTCTCCTTTCCCCTGGCTTTGGGCTTTCCAGTTTGAGAATGAGAAGTCCTTCTTAGACAAAGAGGGGCCATGGCAACACAAAGGCGCAGAATGTGTGCCTGCAAAGTAAGAAGCCAAAGCACTTACATGCACTGGTATCCAAGTATTTCCCTCACCTTCTGAACATGGGGCTGTACACTTCAGTTTACCACCTGTGAATCGTGTAGATCCTTTGATTCTAGGTTTGCAGTGCCAATGAGCCAGATGGTGTGAGTTGCAACTAAGGAAATTCTTTTAGGCCTCATCATAGACAATCATCTTCGAAGGAATGTATCGAGACTTCCAGGACCACAGGGTAGAGTATGTGTAGAGAAAATGCCCAGAAAATGGGATTCAGTGTTGGTAAGGACCCAGCTGGCTTAATGTGCAGTGTCTATCCAAGGTCTGGGGCTGGCGTCCCCTGGGAGTAGATGGCACATCCAAAAAGCGCACTTGGGTCATGGTCTAGCTTCTTTGGATGGTCCCACCATTCTAGCCATGCTGTTTTTATTTCCTTGCCTTCTGCAGGCAGTGGCTGATCACATCCCTCAGCTGGTCCAGGGAGTGAGGGGGAGCCAAGCTCAAGCTGAAGACCTGAGTGCCCAGCTGGCTCTCATCATCTCCAGCCAGAACTTCCTCCAGGTAACAGGGCTGTGGTCACCTTGGGCTCACTCAGAGCCCTCTTCTGGGCAGGGGCTGCCCTTTAAGGAGAGGAGTTAATGAATTCCACAGCCTCAGCTAAGTCTTTGCGGTAGGCAGGGCTTGAAGGCCTCTTCTTTACCTTTCCAGTTTCAGGAGAGGTGGGTTCAGCTTGGCAAAGCAAAATGCTGATATGCAGGGAAATTGCCCTGTGGAGATGGCATATGTTCCGTTTTCCTCAGGATTATCGTATTTATTTCTCTTCAAAGAGAAGAAAACACGTAAAATGTTGCAAGTTGTGATGAACAGCCTAGGACTAGGCATTGCTTTAGGTTTTTGTTTCCAGAGATCCTAATGCCATTGTTCATGGACCGGGAAAAGAAATGTTAAGTGCGTCTTCTCCAAAGATATGATCGTTCTTTGTGGCAATTGTACAGTTAGTATTGTCAGTCTCTGTGGGGTGAAGGGTAGATTCATTTTAAGGAAAATAAACGAAAATATTAAGTTGTGGAAAAATTCCCCTTTACGTGCTTCTTATATTCAAATCTCTCTACTTTATCAGCACTTTTTCTCGACTTGTATCTCATAAGCAGTTGATATTATGAGGTGGGTCAATTCCTCATCCCTTTCTAGTTCAACTGATAGTTGTAGGACCCAGTGATACATCTATTTGGTTCATTTTTCAAGTTATATAACTCTAACATGCAGAAATAAAACATGAAAGGTTTGATATATCTCCTCATATTTTAACTACATACATATACAACACAGGTGTGTGTGTGTGTGTGTGTGTGTGTGTGTGTGTATTCTTTTAAATTGGTATTCATTGTATATAGGCCCTTTGTGTTTTTCATCTAACATATTATGAGTGTTTATGATTTTGAATAATCTTCTGTTATATGACTATACTCTTCATTTAACTTTTCTCTCATTATTGGACGTACAGGTTTTTAATTTTTTGCCATCATGAATAACGTGATAAAAATCTTTATGTGCTCAAGTCTTTTCTTGAATTCCTAGAGAGAGGATTGTAAACAGCTTATTTTTATCTTTAGGACTTTGCAGATTATGACTTGGACAAGGCATTTCTCTCTTCATTTGGGAGGGGAGAGAGCCTGGAGCCATTTGTGGGTACTGTCTCCACCCTGACAAGATTGTAGGGCATTAAGATAGAGCCGTGTAGATGTGTTCCTGGTTCCACTCTGTCCCTGCCCTTGTTTTCCCTTTTTCTTTTGTTCTTTTAACTTTGCTAGTATAGATACTCAGATCTTTACGAGAAAAAGGGAAGGTTGAAAATAAATAGAAATTGAATTGACAGATCAAAAAGTTTGTACATTTTAAACTTCATGTTATAACATTGCTCTTCCAGGAGGTTGAACAAATCTAAATTTACAACTTAGCAGTATATAGAGCATGCTTTTAAATATATCTTTTATGAGATTGGGGATTCAACTTTTAAGAAAACATGTATGTTTTTGCCAGTTTGCTCTGTAAAACTATTTTTGTTTGGTTTTGCATTTCTCCGATATTCACAATGTTAAACATTTTTCATAAGTTTCAGTTATTTTTTATTATGCAAAATTATGTTTGTGCTTTTTATATACTCATGGTAGCTTTTATAAATATTCATTAATTCTTTAAATATTAAAAATATTAACTTTTGTCCTTAATATTTATGATCTGGCACTTGTTGGAACTTTTCTAAGTGTAGTTTTATAACATATATATTAAAAGTCTTAAAAGTATGTATGCTCTTTGATCCAGAAATTCAACTTTTAAAAATTTATACAAAGAAAATTATAAATATGTACAGAGTTAGCTGTAGAGCTGTTTATCATAGCATTGTTTATTAAATTGGAAAAAATGGAAACATGCCCAACAATAGAGAATTGAGAAATGGCAATAGTTGCATATACTGGAATATTATATAGCTCTTTAAAAGGTAGGATATGTGAGACAAGGAGATTGTGAGATAGAGTGAACAGTGTGATCTTATTTTTGAAAAATATGTACATGCACATAGATGTCCCTTCACTGGCGAAGTTATTTTGCTTTGTGAGGTGCGAGGTCATGTTAGCTGTTTTATTTATCTGTCTTCATTTTTCTAAGCAGTCTTTTGAGTGTACGTGAGACTCAGAATAAAGAGCTATTCTGAGAAATACAGTGAAACCTATTTAATAAGGAACTCTCTTTGAAATCGGTTTTAAATGAGAATTTCAAGCCACTATTCTAATTTTGCCTCCTCTACCCTCCATGACACCTCCTTTTTTTCTTTTTTTAAACATTCCTAGAAGGTACTGCCCTAGAGTATCTGGCTTGAGGTGGCAGTTTGGGAATAGGGGATGAGTTGTTTAATATTCCTTTTTTTTAGGACAAAATCAGTTCTTACTGCTGTGGAGACCTCGCTGCTTAGGTCTCTCCTCTCTACCTCTTGCTGCCCAGGAGCCATCTTACTTTCTTTTCATCTCTCTATAGCCTGGAAGCAAGATGGTGTCCTCTGCCAAAGCCGCAGTGCCCACCGTGAGTGACCAGGCCGCAGCCATGCAGCTGAGCCAGTGTGCCAAGAACCTGGCCACCAGCTTGGCGGAGCTGCGTACCGCCTCGCAGAAGGCAAGTGGAGCGTGTCATAGGGGTTAACTTGTCAGGAAGGGAGCTGGGGTGGCATGGGTACCACCCAGGGCCTGAACACTGCTGAACCTATTTCTTGGCAAAGTTGTCCATTCTACTTGCATGACTATTAAAGATGCCCCTGTGGGTTGGCTTTTGTTGCATTAAGCCACTATCTCCCAGACTTAGTATTCACTTTTTGATTTCAAATGCCTTTCGTTGAACTATTTTGAGTTGTGTACTTCCTCCTCCTCCTCCTCTTTCCATATCCTGGAACAAGCAGTGGTCCATTTTTCACAAGTCTTAGGGGAGAATGGTAGTCATCAGTGTCTCAGTGCCAGCTAAATTGTAGTCCAGAATAAGTGATCATATATTCCAGGTATCATTTTGTGAACTTAATAACAAATTATATAGGCAGAAAATCTATTTTGAAGTGTCATCTTTATTATCTTTTTTGCCCTGCAAAGTTTTCACTTATTGCGTGGGAGCATTCACCTTAACAAGGTCTTCAAGAGAACAGAGTTGAGGACTAAATTTCTGTCTCTGGAGCATATTAATTACCAAAGGGCCTCATTTACTACTCTGTTTGATGTGGTATTAGCATGAAGTTCTAGCATGAATTCACTTTTCTTCATTGTAGCAATCCCTTTATAGAAACAAGCAGCCTCATAAATTGGTAAGAGAAGAAGGTAGAAGTTGACTGAATTCTTAATATGAGGAGAATGCTACACTGCCAAATAAAAATATCCAGAGCTTTAGACTATAGCCAATAAAAAAGTTATTTTGACCTGTGTTTCTCAAAGAGAGCTCGTGGTACTGTCTACACTGGAATCACCTGGGGATGCTTATTAGAATGCACATCCCTGGGCCTTGCCTCTGAGAAACCAGATTAGAATTTCTGGTTGTAGAGCCTGAACATCTGCATTTTCACAAGCTTCTTTGCTGAGTCTGAGACACACACCAACATTGAACCACACTGCTCGAAAGCAGTGACCCCTAAAGTGGGACTCAAGCAAGACTGTCCATTGGGTACAGGAAGACACACTGTGAAAACTTTTTTTTTTTTTTTTTTTTTGTGAAACAGGGTCTTGCCCTGTTGCACAGACTGGAGTACAGTGGTGCAGTCATGGCTCACTGTAACCTCAATCTGCTGAACTTAAGCAGTCTCCCACCTCAGCCACTTGAGTAGCTGGACCACTGTCATGTGCCACCACATCCAATTAATTTTTTTTGTTTGTGTTTTTTTTTAGAGATGAGATTTCATCATCTTGCCCAGGCTGGTCTTGAACTCCTGAGCTCAAGTAATCCTCCCACTTGAGCCTCCCAAAGTGTTAGGATTACAGGCGTGAGCCACTGCACCCGGCAATATTTTTTAATATGCAGCATAAGGATTAAGAGTTCAGGCTCTAATCCCAGCACTTTGGGAGGCCAAGGTGGGTGGATTGCTTGAGTCCAGGAGTTCAAGACCAGCCTGACCAACATGGTGAAACCCCATCTCTAATAAAAATACAAAAATTAGCCAGGTTGGTGGTGCATGCCTGTAGTTCCAGCTGCTCAGGAGGCTGAGGCATGAGAATCACTTGAACCCAGGAGACAAAGGTTGCAGTGTGCCAAGAGCATGCCACTGCACTCCAACCTGGGCAACAGAGTGAGACTCTGTCTCCCAAAAAAATAGAAAAAAGAGTGCAGGCTCTGGAATCAGACTGTCATTGACTAATTTGGTGACCTAGACAAGTTAGTTAACCTCTCTGTGCCTCAGTTTCCTTCTTGAGTAATAGTGGCACATAGAAATCAATTAGTATTTATTTCTGCTGTTATTACTATCATCTAAAAATGGAAAGAAATGAAAATGTACCAGTATTTAGTATACTGATCAATAATTACACGTTTATATAATTATATGTGCATGTGTATATTGAGGGATGTTATCAAAGCATTTGGAGATCAGTGTTATACGTGACCAAGAGATAAAGTAGTTTTCATAAATTACTAAGGGAAAAATATTTTGTAATCTTCAGTACAGAAAAGTAATGATTTATAATCTAGAAATTTGTAAAGAGAAGCAATAAAGTTGACATAGACTTGCCCCCAGAGTCCTGGGTGTGTTCATTTGTTCATTCACTGCATCTTTCCCATGACTCTGTGTACACACATGGCTGTGCTAGGTGCCCTACCTCTAGAACTCAGCCACAGTGAATAAATGATCCACTGAGTCTAAGAGGCAAGTGCATTTCAGATAAGGGTCACTTCCGGAACTCTTACTATATCCAGTTATGAGACATACCTAATTGATGGTTTAAGGAAGTTAAGAGTAAGGTTCTAACTGAGGATGATTTTGTTCTCTCAGAAAAAATACTTGCTTTCCTTGCTCCTCCTGCTGGATTTGGAGAATCACTGGGTATATCCAGAAGGGCATTTTATAAGTTGCAAAAGTGTTGGGGACACTTTTCCCAAGCAGACTGGGTATACATATTTCCAACTCTGTTGGCAGGCCCATGAAGCTTGTGGTCCGATGGAAATCGATTCAGCTCTGAATACGGTGCAGACGCTTAAGAATGAACTGCAGGATGCCAAGATGGCAGCCGTGGAGAGCCAGCTGAAGCCACTTCCAGGGGAAACGGTGAGCTGTTAGAGCCAGCTGGGGTGCGGGTGTACCTTTTGTTATGACGTTATTAAATTGTTTGTTGTTAGGGTGTTTGCTAAAGTTGCGGCATGTTGAGAAGCTTCTAATCCTGTGGTCTTTTTCTGAAAAGAATGCCCAGGGCAGCTGGAGGAACTAGGTTTGGAGTTATGAGCGCTGGATTCTACACTCAGCTGTATCATCAACTAGCTGTGCACGCGTCCCATATCTCCTCTATGTCTGAAGTATTTTATTTACGAAGTGGGTAGCAATGAGGCTATCATGATGCACATAGAAAAGATTATCAGCAGTCATTTTAAAAAAACATTTACTTAATGCAAAGCACTAGGATGGACAACGGCAAAGTGCGTCCATACAGGAAAGCCATACTGCAAATGGAATAATGGCACTAGAGGTCTACTGTGGTCGTATTACCACACCTCCTGATGCTTATGTCAGAGTTTTGTTGGCTAAAACTTTACCAGTCCTCCTCATTTGTATGTACTTCCTTACATGACTGAACATTGCTAGTAAAATACCACCATGTATTAAGCACCTGTGAAGCACTGTACACACACAGTGTAGTTTATCGTGATAGTAACTTTCATGAGCAAGTTTTATTAACCCCGTTTACAGATGAGAAACACAGAGGCACAGAGTTTGTCACCGTTCTGTCCAATGTTATCTGCCAGTTAGGAGCCAAACCACGGTTTGAATTCAGATTTGCAGGACTCTAAAACCTGTGCTTTTGAGAGCTTCTGGCTCTTTGAACGAACTGAAGACTTTTAGAATGTAAAGGGGACTTCAGGCGTAGAACAATGCCTGGTACATAGAAAGCACTCAGAAAATATGTGTTAAATCAAGTTCCCCTAATAGTAAAAAAGAAGAAACTCAGGCTCAGAGAGGTTAAGTCACTTAACTGAGGTCACCCAGTTAATGACAGCGTTGGGATTGCCTCCTGGGCCCACAGCTTTGCAAAGTGGTCCGGAAGTCTCTTTGCAAAGTTCTATACCCCAGGGAGTGCAAGAGAGGCTGGCATGACATGTAATTCCATCTTTACGTAGAGCATAGACTGGTCAGTTAGAATGCAGGAAAACATCATGAATTTTTAAAGAAATTGCTCTAATAAAGTCTGTATTGTGTTGTAACATATTGTTTGCTATAATGGACCAGGCTCTATTTTTATTGGAAAGCATTGCCTCTCTTGGAAAACATGTTGCAAGGTTTAAAATGCATTTGTTTTCTGATGCCTTTTTGTACTCTCGCAGTATACCTGGAAATTCTCTTCCAAAACCTCATCTAGTAATCAAATAATTATCCATACCCTAGGCCTTTACTGACTTCGTTCCCTGAATTTTTTATTCAGTTTACAAAGCAAAATAACATGCTGTTCATGGGAAGCAAGCACTGTGCCCATTTTCATAATCTCATTTACCACTCCAACCCTCTATTTCTATTGCATTTCCTTTCAGTTGGAACTCCTCAAAGTATAATGATCAAATTGAACAATGTTAATGGTCCCACATGCCAGGAAGGTGGTGCAGCTGGATGTCTGCCCACTTCCTGCCCAGCCATAATTAATTCTCACTAAGGATTTGTTGCAGACTTTCTAAATTAGCTTCTAAAGGCATAATACTAATAGCTACCATTTGTTGAGAGCCTACATTAATTCTCTGAAAACCTTCTGAGCCTAGGTATTATGATCTCCTCAGGAAACTGAGGCTTGGAGAGGTTCAGTAATTTACTCAGTCTCATGCTAGTAATTGGGAGGGGAGGGGGCATGGGGCAGGGATTTGCACCCAGATTTGTTTGTTCTAAAGCTCGGGCTCCTTCTCCTGTACCACCCTGCTGCGGCTTAGTGCCATTGGTGGGAAAGAGCTAGGGCTCAAAGTTTGATCTGCATGATTTTTCTAAATTATTTTAAGACCTCAGCAGATGTTCCTTTTCTTCTACGTTCTTTCCCTCCTTGAATATTCTTGTAGCTGGAAAAATGTGCTCAGGACCTGGGAAGCACATCCAAGGCGGTGGGCTCCTCCATGGCACAGCTGCTGACCTGTGCTGCTCAAGGCAACGAACACTACACAGGTGAGACCCACGCCCTTCATGCCACTGTGGCCAGCTTCAGGCCACTGGGTGTAGTGGGGGAGGAGGAGGAGTTCATTCCTTTGACAATACACGTGACATTTTTCTCCCAGCAGTTCACCGTATATTTTTCAAGCACCATGTGCTTGTTACCGGGCTTGATACTAAGCACACAAAGACTAATAAATTGTGATTCCCCCAAACCATTTATGGATTACCCCCATTAGACTATAAAGAAATAGTAATTGTAGACTTCCAGGTCTATCTGTGAATCCTGGAATCCCGCTAAAGTAAAGGCATAAAAAAAGGTTAAAGAGAATAAGAGATGACAACAAATAAGATGTCAATGGAATGTGTGAAAATGGAAGGAGACAGATGCGTGCTAATAGGTAGAGGCGAGTGAACAGAAAGCTGAGGGGTAGGGGAACCAGCAAGGAAGCAAGCTGATTTGTGCTGCAGAACCCTGTGGGGTGAGGCCAGGTACCCCTGAAGGTAGGAGACTCCTTAAACATCTCTATAAGGAACAGATTGCACAATCATCAACTCTAAGAAAAGCAGAAAAGTTATACAATGAGGAAATGTTATTGTGGTAGGAAGTCTATACATATCTCAAATTTTAAAACCAAGAGGTTTCAGTATGAGCACATTTCTTAAAAATATGTATGGAAGGAAAGCTTAAGGAATTGAGTGGCTCTAGGAGTGAGGGTGAAGAGGGGAGGAGTGGGTTATGGATCATTGCTTTTGTTATACAGTAACACGCTTGACTTCTTTTTGAAATATGCATTATTATCAAAGTATAATATATGCACAGAAGACAGCATAAATCCTAAATGGATACCTTCATAAGGTCTCACAAATTGAAAGCACCCAAGAAGCCACTACCAGGATCGAGGAATCAAAAACATCTTCAGCCTCCCGGATGCTCCCTTGTGCCCCCTCCCAATCACTGTATCCCCACTCTCCTTCCCCAGAGTTAAACGCTCATGGCTTTTAACAGCATAGATTAATTTTGCCTGTTTTTGAGCTGTAAGTAAATGGAATAATACAATATGTGCCCCTCGTGCCTAGCTGCTTTTTCTCAGCACTATGTTAGTGAGACTCATCTGTGGTACATACAGTGCTTCTTGCATTTCCATTATCTCTATGGTATTATATTACATGAATATAGCTATTCTTTATGCTGTTCTTGGGCATTTGGGTTGTTGCCAAAAGACACTGCCAGGAACAAGTCCGGTCCACGTTGTTTAGTGAACATAGTAAGCATTTTCTAGCTGTGTACCTAGGAGTGGATTTCCTAGGTCAGAGCTTCCCCATGTGTTCAGTACATTTCTTTCAGCAGTGTATGGAAGCTCCAGTTGTTCTCTATCCTTGTCACCACTTTGTATCGTCAGTCTTTTAACTTTAGCCCTTTTGGTTTGTGTGTAATAGTATCACATTATGATTTTAATTTGCATTTCCCTGATGAACAGTGCCATCGAGGATCTTTTCATAGGTTTATTGGCCATTTTGTGAAGTGTGTTTGTGTCTTTTGCCCATTATTTGAAAATTGGGTTATTGTCTTTTCCTCATTTATAGGAGTTCTTTGTTACTTACATGTATTTCTTGTATATTGTGATTTGCATTTTTAGTCTCTTAAAGTGCCTTTTGATGAACAAAAGGTTTTATTTTAATATATTCCAATTTATACTTTTTTTCTTTATGGTTAGTACTTTTTGTGCCCTATTTTAAAACTTTTGCCTAAGATTAATGCAGATGTTCTCCTCTGTCGTATTCTAGAGCTTCAGTGTTAGATTTTCATGTTTAGAACTTTGATCTATCTGGAATGAGTTTTATTTATGTGCAGTAGGATTCATTTAATTGTTTTTCCACATAGATATCCATTTGACCCAGCACCACTGATTGAAAAGGCTACTTTTTCCCAATGATCTTTAGTGTCACTCTGTTGTAACATAAGTGAACATGTATGTTTGGACCAGTTTGTGGTATTTGTTCTTTTCCATCGATTTAATTGCCTGTTCTTATATTAGTACTATGCTTCCCTAATTACTATATTGCAGTTTTATACTAAGTCTTAATGTTTGGTAATGCACATCCTCAACTTTGTTGGTTTTCCTCAAGTTAGTGTTGATTATTCTTGGCCTTTTCCATTTCCACATAAATTCTAAATCAGCTTGTCAATTCCTACAAAATAATAATAAAAAATACTGTTTTCTTAAGCCAGTATTTTTAAACCACTATTGGAATAACATTGAATCAATTTGGGGAGAATTGACTTCTTTATATCATTGAGTCTTCTAATATGTGAATATCCATTTATTTAGGTCTTCTTTTCTCTCAGTACAGTTTTATGGTTTTCTGCATAGAAGTCTCTGTTTTGGTTAATGTGTGCATGACATACCTTTTTTCATTCTTTTACTTTCAATTTTTCTTCATGCTTATATTTAATGGATTGGGTATCCTCTGAGTTTGTCATTGTTCTTTGGGGAGGGCAGAGAGTATTTGGTGGTGTAACAATCTTTTTCTTTCAATTGGAGTATTTTGTGTATTTATAGGTAGTGTAATTACTGATATGTTGGGGTTCGAGTCTATCATCTTACTATTTGTTTTCTCTGTGCCTGCCTATGGTAAGTTCCTTTTTTTCCCCTTTGCTTGCCTCCTTTCAGATTCATATGCATTTTCAAATTCTATTTCCTTCCTCTTGATTAGTTAGTTGTACATTCATTTACTATTCTTTTATGATTTCTTTAAATCTAAGTTACTCTGTTTACCTCTTCCTGCATAATGCAAGAATCTTGAGACATGTTAACTTCATTTACCTTTCTTTCAATTATTTTATTGTTGTCTTTTTTTTTTTTTTTTTTGAAATGGAGTCTCATGCTGTTGTCAGGCTGGAGTGCAGTGGCACTATCTTGGCTCACTGCAACCTCTGCTTCCTGGGTTCAAGCAATTCTCCTGCCTCAGCCTCCTGCCTCAGCCTCCTAAGTGGCTGGGACTATAGGTGTGTGCCACCACACCCAGCTAATTTTTGTATTTTTAGTAGAGACGGGGTTTCACCGTGTTGGCCAGGATGGTCTTGATCTTTTGACCTCGTAATCTGCCCTCCTCAGCCTCCCAAAGTGCTGGGATTACAGGTGTGAGCCACCGCACCCAGCCTTATGTTTTAATTCTAGGTATATTTTCATCTCCGCAATACAGTCTCAGTGTTGTTCCAGATAGTCCTTATTCATTTGGATTTCCTCCCATAGTTGCCCTTTCCATCACCCTTCGTTCCTTCTGCGTCTCCAGGAGCTTTCATTAGGGATCATTTCTCTTCTACCTGAAGAACTCCCTTCATTATTTTCCTTAGTATTAATCTACTGGTGACAAGTTCTTTCCATTTTGGTTTGTCTAAAGATGCTTTTGTTTAGCTTTTATTTTGGGTGGATAATATCACTTACACAATTTTAGGTTGGCAGTTGTTTTCTTCCAGCACTTTGGAGATGTTATTCCATTGTTGCTGGCTTCCTTTATTTCTGTTGTGAAGCTATGAAGGTAATGCGGTTTTATTTTTCCCCTTTCCTTGCTTTTTGAGTTTTTTTAGTCTTCGATTTTCCAGCAGTGTGCCTGGAGGAGTTTCCCTGCATATTTATCCTCCTTTGGGTTGCAAGTGCTCGTTGAAAATGGGATTTGTTGTCCTGGGCCAGTTTTCAAAAAATCAACCTTTGTTTCTTCAAATATTGCTTCTGTCCCATTTCCTTTCTCTTATGCTAAATCATTTCACAGTGTTTCCTACATCTTCTGTACCCTTTTCTTCTTCATAGTTTTTCTTTTCATGCTTTAATCTCAGTATCCGCTTTTGATCTATCTTCCAGTTCACTTTTCCTCTCTTTAGCGGTGTCTATTCTGCTTTCAACCCCTTCAGTTGAGATTTTAATTGTAAGTATCATATTTTTCAGTTTTAGAATATCCATTTGATTATTTACTTATAGTTTGTGTCTCTGCTGGAATTCTGTATATTGTCATCTAATTTCTTCAACATATTTATCACAGTTATTTAAAGTTGAAATCCAGTATCCTAATATCTGGATAGCCTGTAGCCTGTTTTTATTGTCAGGGATTTTTTTTTTTTCCCACCTCTTGGTTTTTCAGCCATTGGTTTTGTCTCCTGGTGTTTTCTTTTTTTTTCTTTAAGACTGAACATTGCTGTTTTAAATTGTAGAGATAGTTTGAGGCCCTGAATTATGTTTTTTTTCCCTACATAGGATTACTCTTCGCTTCTGGCAGGTGGATAAGATAAGGACAGATCACAATAAAAATGCAGGAACTGAGCTGATTGGAAATTGTGTGGTCTGTTTCCATTTTACCTTTGAGGGTGTAGCCCTTGTGTGTCCCGTCTGAAAGGGTTGCTGTTTACCAGGGCTATTCTGTTTTTTTGGGCTCAGAACTATGCTTTTTCTCTTCCTAGCCCCATGAGATATCAAGAAACTTTACTCAGCTTCTTGGCAATAGGTTACAAATTAGGAAATGCCTTTAGAGAAAAAGCAATCCTAAACATTGGACTCACTCCTTCATTTCAAGATCTTGGCCCTCTTTACCTTGGTGCCTTGGTATTTCTCCAGTGTCTTCAAATAAATGTTTTATATATGTTTTCCAGAGTTTCTGTGTGGGAAGGCTGATTTTCAGTAAGTTATTCTGCCATCACTACAAGCAAAATCCTCTTTGATTTGTAAAAACTGTATACATTTATTACTTTGAAAATAAAAATTTTAATGAGCACAATAGGAACACAAAGTTATAGTACAGTATATAAAGTACCTGCAATAATAAGAATGCAAAATTTGATCCCAATGGGAAGGTAGGGGAAATTTTCAGAGCAGAATTGACACTTAGCGAGGGCTTTGTGGATTGTTTAGGACTCCTTTAGCATTCTAGGAGGAGGAAAGGTATGATAAAATTCTTAGAAAATCATAGGGTAATATGAGAGATTTAAATTTCAAAAATGTCTACACTTTCCCGAAATCTTGCCAGCTGTTGTGTAGATGATGAAATGCATATTTAGTAGAGAAAAGACTACTTTACATGTTGCGTCATCTCATACCAATAACACCCAGGAAGACATGCTGTCTAGTTGGTGTCTGAAAAACAGCCTAGAAGTAGCCCCATTTAATTTTGGCAGGCACTGGAAGGCAGTTGCATAAGTGAGCACTGCATGTATGATGCCTTAAAGATGAGAGAAGGATGATGGAAGGAACTGAAGATGGTGAAAGTAATAGGCAAAGAGTAAGTGAGAAATAAGAGGATAACGCTGAAAAGTTAGGCCAGGGTCAGATCCTAAAGGGCCTCATAAGCTAAAATAAATGAGTTATACTTTAATTGAAGAATATGTGAACATGTTTTTCATCTGTGGACACAGTTCAGATTGCTTTTTGTATAGGTCGCCCTTCCTCCTGTGTGTAGAATGGATTGGACGGAAACAAAGTGGTAGGCAAGCAGGCTGTTGCATTAATCCAGGTAAGAGATGGTAGTGTCCTACAGTGGAGACGAAGTGGTCGATTGAAGAAGCAAAAACCCAATCGTTCTTGGTGACTGGTTAGAAGTTGGTGGAGATGGTAACATGAACGGTTCCAAGTGTTTGGCCTTATAGCTGAGTGAAGAGTTGTATGAATCACTGGTGGGAACACAGGACCATTGGTAGGAGCAGGGGAGGTGAAGCTCAGGAATGCTGGGTTCGGCACTAGATATATTCCATTTGAAGTGCTTGGAGAATATGCAGTGAGAGCATCATTAGGCAGCTAAATCTTTGGCTCTGAAACTCAGTAGAGAAGGCTGGGCTGGATGATACAGATTTGAAAATTATTGGTAAAATGATAATGATTGGAAGTAGATAATTTTGCCAACAGGGAGTGGTAGAGTGAGAGACAGCTTATCAGTTGTAATCCTGAAGAACCTGGCTGGTTAGGGAGGAAACTGGCAATGGAAATCTTTGAAAGAAAGAAGAACATGGAGCTGTGGAGAGGGCAGGGAAACCAGGAGAGAGGGATGTCTCTAGAGCCATAGACACAGTTGCTGCCCAGAAAGTCATGTCAAATGGGAGACTTAAGCATCCATTAGCTTTAGGAATAAGGAGATCACTATTCTCCTTGTTGAAGGCAGTTTCAGGAAGGTTGGAGAATGGATGGGAAGCAAGGAAAGAGAGAGCGTGTGTGGAAAACTTCTCCATGGGTCTCAGTTTCCTTGTCCATAATTGAGGTGTGTGGGGTTTTCAGAAGTTGCATGTGAGCTGCCACTGGGCTGTATTCTAATGCAAGTGTGTTTCTGTTTGGCCAATGCAGTCTTCAAAATATATTTCTGTATAGCTGATTACAATTACACATAACCCTTTGTAAATACTTTGGAACAGATAAAAGATTTGTGTCATACCTGGTCTTTGTCTTCTGAGGTTGCTATGTGGCCCAATACTGTCTGGATACACAATCCACATGAATTCTGGTGAAGAATAGCAACCATTATGTAGAATGCTACTATATTTGATATCACTTGATATGCCTGTATAAGACTCTGTTACTAAGTATCATTTAAGATCCAGATGGCAAGAATACTGTGAAAGTAATCTGTGTTTTCAAAGGACTGTGGTTATTGAAACAGAAATCTGCTTTAGTATTTCACACTGGTGGTTCTGGTATTGTGGTGCACACTTTGACTACAGGAACAGTTCCATTCGGTGGGTGTTGTTTGCTTGGGGATCTGATCCTGTAGTGATGACCATTGAGAATGTTGCTGTGCGTTCAGCCATGCACCGCCATGGGTGTTCACTGGGCTTTCTGACCTCTCGTGGCCTTCTTTCGTCCTTTTGATGGTATGGGCTTCCTGTTTCCAGAAACCTCATCTCTCTCAAGAAGATCCTTGATGTGCTTTGAGATTTCACAGTGAGTCCTTAGCAGAAAACACATGGGATGGACCAGGTTGTTCTTGGAATTTAGCTCTTCGGATTTCTGCGTTTTTTTAAATTGTATGAGTCTATGAAAGGTTTTTCACTAAATGGGTTTTGCATAAACATGTCTTTTCTAATTACATATGATAAATGATTTACTCCTCCAAACTTACATATGACTCAAATAGAAGTGGATTCAAGAGTCCATATGACAAATGGGAAGACAAGAGGAGAGGTCTAGAAATCACAGCCTAGAATCTGCAATGGTCAGAGCTAGGAACTCAGCCTCTCCTAAAACCCGTGAGAAAGGGAGGCCCAGAGGGAAAAGGCAGCAGTCTAGACCACACAACTAATCAGCAGCAGAGCCAGAGCCAGATGAGGTCTTAACTACATCTGGCGCTTTTCTGAGCAACAGCATCCTTCAACCCTGTGCCAAAAGCTTAAGCGTAAAATGGAATGACCATTCTCCTCAGATTGTTTCTCTCCTTCACCTTAGCTTTGTTCACCTTTGTGCTTTCTCTTCTGGGCTTCTCCTCTGCCATAAAAAGCACTTAGTTTAAAATTCTTTTATTCTGCCAGCTGTACTCAGAAGTGCCATGGGATAAATGATAGATTGGCAGCTTTGTCATTTACCTTGATTAGATCGTAGTTTTATATCCCAGCTGTGTGATTTACTAAATATTTACATATTAGCAAGTCTGCAGCACTGCAAACCCATCTGGTTTTATGGATCTGAGGCCTTTCACACTCTATTGTATCTCAGAGCCTCACCCTCAGTGAGGAAAAGACCACCTGCTGTGGAGGTGCTGACTCAGCTGAAGCAGTGGCTGGTAAAGACTACACTCACTGGTGCCGAGAGACCTTCCAGCTCAGTCCTGTAGAAAACAGTCATTTCAAAAGTTCAGTGCGAGAGAGACACTGATTTGCGTATTTTTCACGTAGATCTTATATGTTCTAACAGAAAGGGCTCATAGTTCTCTACTGCAAAGAGCACTATAAAGAATATTTGACCTCAAAGTGAGGAAAGCTCAGATCTAGCTCTCTTGCCACCTCTGGAAGTGTTTGTGGGCAAGATATGTCTCAGCACCAGGCTTCATCTGTGAAATTTCATGAGATGAGCTCTAGGGTAAGCTGTTCAGCGATTCTCAGGCGTTATATGTGTCCTGGCATCTCCAGTCTTCATCCTCTTCTTGGGTGTGCCAAGGACTGTGTGCCAGGTAGTAAGACTCACGTTTATTCCGCATGAGGTGGTGCTACAGCTTTAAAGGACTAGTTTATATTCATCGTTTATCACCAAATCCCATCATCTGTTTAGATGCAAATTTAAAGAGAAGGAGGCACTTCACAAAAGAGGATATCTAAATGGCCATTAAGTACATGCAAAGATGCTCAACATCATTACCCATTAAGGACATAAAAGTTAAAACCTCATTGAGATGCAGCTACACATGCATCAGAATGATTAAATTAAAATCCGATGCTACCTGGTGTTGGCTAGGATGTAGAGCAACTGCAGTTCTTACAGATTGCCAGTGGAATGTGTAATGGTAAAGTCATTTTGGAAAACTGTTTTTGTAGTATCTTCTAAAGCTAAATATATACTTACTGTATGACCTAGCAGTTCACCTCCTAGGTTTATATCTAAGAGAAGTGATCCCATATGGCCACTTGAATATATATATAAGAACTTTCTTGTTAGATTCATTTATAACAGCCCCAAACAGGAAACAACCCAAAAGTCCATCAACAGGAGAATGGGTCAACAAATATTGGCATATTTGTATAGTGGAATACTATATAGCAAGAAAAAAGAATGAACTGCCAGACATCACAACTTAGCTGAATCTCACAGCATTATGGTCAGAGAAAGAAAGCAGACACAAAAGAATATATATATGTGGTTCTGTTAACATGAAGTTTAAGAACAGGTAAAAGGCTGGGCGCAGTGGCTGACGCCTGTAATCCCAGCACTTTGGGAGGCCGAGGTGGGCAGATCATGAGGTCAGGAGATCGAGACCATCCTGGCTAACACAGTGAAACCCCGTCTCTACTAAAAAAAGAAAATACAAAAAAATTAGCCGGGCGTGGTGATGGGCATCTGTAGTCCCAGATACTTGGGAGGCTGAGGCAGGAGAATGGCGTGAACCTGGGAGGCAGAGCTTGCAGTGAGCCAAGATCGCGCCACTGCACTCCAGCCTGGGCGACAGAGACTCTGTCTCAAAAAAAAAAAAAAAACAGTAAAAGTAGTCTAAGGTAATAGACGTTAGAATGGTGATTACTTCTGGTATGAAGGGAGCATTGACTGGCACAACTGATGGTGGATATGTGGCTGTATCCATATGTACCAATTCACGGAGCTGCACATGTAGACTTGTTCACTGTAGTGTACTGTAAGTTATGCCCCAGAAAGGCAATTGAGAAGAAAGGTGCTTTTAAATGGCCTCCCGCAAACATGTGCAGGTAATTCCATCTGTGTACTCACTGCCATGCACTTGGTGTTCTAGGTCTAGGGACAGTGGGGCAGTGGGAGCAAGGGAAGTCAGGGGGAAGAAGTCTTTAGTATTGCATTTGTTATTAATGTGTCTCTTGGTTTGGCCCAGAGCCAGGGGGATATGTTTCTGAAGCCAGCTACTTCTTTGAGAAACACAGCAATTCAAATTTTATGAAGACTAATCTGCAGCTCCCCTTCTGTGCCAGGCCCTGGTCCAGAAGCTTATTCCTAAGTAAAATGTGCCATTTAGATGGAGTCTAATTGGAAATCTGATGGACTTTTTCCCCCAGGGGTGGCTGCTAGAGAGACGGCCCAAGCTCTGAAAACACTGGCCCAGGCCGCCCGTGGAGTGGCTGCATCGACAACCGACCCCGCGGCCGCCCATGCCATGTTAGATTCTGCTCGAGACGTGATGGAGGGCTCCGCCATGCTCATTCAAGAGGCCAAGCAGGCCCTGATTGCACCTGGAGATGCAGAGCGTCAACAAAGACTGGCTCAGGTGAGGCTAGGAATGAGAAATTGTGGTTGTCATGGTCATCATTAACGTGGACATGTGGTCGGGCTGTCTCCTGGGCACTTTTCCCTGATATGAACACTGACACAGCAGATGTTTTCAGAAACTTCCAAAGGTCATAACGATGCTGGCCATACATGATACTCACTTTTGTAAGTCTTGCCTAGTATTCTCCACAGTAATGTGTGATCTGCTTAATTCACAGTCAGCAGAGGGCATGGGGGCCTTTGAATTCTGTCCTTGGGAGTTTCAGAGCCAGGACATAACATGCTTGTTTTGGGCCTATGTGTGCTGAGCTATATTGCTGTTCCTTGCCAGGGAATGAGGTAGATCCGCTAGGGCTGGCCACTCAGAAGTTTTCAACCCTGGCGCTCTATTACTTCTTTAAATGATTCTTCGACTGCCTGATGGAACCAGTTGGCTAAGGAGCATCCAGGCAGAGTCCTGGACGTGGGGCTGGGAAGGAGATGGCTTAGATGAGAGGGAATGACACTCCCCACCTCCAAAGACCTTCCTTTTAATTGAGGATACCAAAGAATGCAAACAGGGAGCCACCAAACATTTCTAGGCAACGTGAGGGCAGCTCCAGGTTGTGCTCAGAGCACCCCACTTGCCCTTGGGCAGAGTGAGGTTTGGGAGGATGGCCCCATGAGTCACTGAGCAGAAATTAACCACAGGCCTTCTAATTGTGATCCAAAAAACTCAAGGTCTCCTTCCACCTCGGCGACCTCAGCAGGGCTCCCAAGAAGGGAGATATTTTCATTTCTCTTGGTATAAGAAATCTTTGCTTTAGAACCTGACCTCATGCTGGAGAGTTCTATGTTTGAATCACAAAACTGTGGCTTACCCTGGCTTTGGGGAGCAGGTGGGATGTGCTGTGTCACTGTGTCGGACCCTTTGCTGAGACAGAATATTAACCCCAATAAGAGGGTGGAAAACATCTCTGGGACAAGGGGCCTGGATGAGGTGATGTAAGACAGGTAAGAGTGGCAGGTGGATGCTGGTGGGTCATTTCCGTATCTGCTTCAGCTCTGCATGTTTCACTGCCCATTCCCAACAAATGTGCAGAAATGTTTGTACTTAAAGGTGCTTCTCTCTCTCCACGAATTCAGGTGGCTAAAGCCGTCTCACACTCCTTGAATAACTGCGTAAATTGCCTCCCTGGGCAGAAGGATGTGGACGTGGCCTTGAAGAGCATCGGGGAGTCCAGCAAGAAGCTGCTTGTGGATTCGGTGAGAGGTTCTTAGATTGAGAAAGGACACTGGGGGACTAGGCTCGCGTTAGGTGTGAGTGAAGTCTTCTTCTCTCCATGAGATCTCTGAGCAGCTAACCCTTCCTTTAGGAGTCCTGTTTTTCCCGCCAGTCTTTGTTTTCCATGTTTTGCTGTCTGATCAACAAAGTTCCCAGGTGGAGCTTTTAAAGTTTACTTTTTCTTTGAGCCCATGTTGCCATTTCCTCTCGGATCGTCCCGGTGAGACAGGCAAAGGGGTATGTGATCACCTGTCTTCTCATCAGGACATCTCAGATAGTGACAGTCAGGTGTTGGAAGGGTACGTGTGTCCAAGCCTCAGTGAGAGAGCGAGTAGTCTGAGGAATTTCACCTTGGGGCCTGTTCCCTTCCCTGCTTTGTGAGTCTGCTGAAGGAGGGTTTGTGCTGGTGCATCTTTGTTTCTTCTCTGCACAGGTATAGAGGCAATGTTTGTGGGTGATGAATAGAGTCTAGCTTAACTCCCTAGAACTTTTCACAAATGGTTATCAGTCTGCTAGATGACATTTAAAAGTTATTAGCAAAGGCCACTAATATAATTGGTGGCTATTAGTTTGGAAGAACGTGATTTGAAGTTTGAGAGCATCTGCCTTTTAGTTTACAAAGCTAAAACTTAGCTTTCATCTTAACAGAGACAAAATAGGGTAGAGTTTTAGAGAATGGACCCTGGAGTCGGATTGCCTTGGTGTGGATCCTGTCTCTGCCACTTAGGAAACCTTGAGCCCCTGTAGATAGCTTACATTTTTAGATCCACAGTGTCTAGCACTGAGCAGGTGTTTGATACATTTAAATGAATGAATGGATGTATATGTTGGTGGTCAAACCTATTAATAAAATGGGCTCAGATGACTCAGAGCCTTTTAATCGTGATGACTCAAATGCATCTCTGAAGAGTCTGTCTCCCTTCCACAATACCTTCCTTTTATCCCTCCCCTGCAAAGCAGAATGTCTCATGGGGTGTGCCGTCTGTTCCCCACAGCTACCTCCAAGCACGAAGCCTTTCCAGGAAGCCCAGAGTGAACTGAACCAGGCAGCAGCTGATCTGAACCAGTCTGCTGGGGAAGTGGTCCATGCCACCCGGGGCCAGAGTGGAGAGTTGGCTGCAGCCTCTGGAAAGTTCAGTGATGATTTTGATGAATTCCTCGATGCTGGCATTGAGATGGCTGGCCAAGCTCAGGTGGGTGTGGAGGTGGTTGTCTGGAGTTGACCTTAGCCTCTCCTCTCGGATGGATAATCCATCCTTGAGACTGACTGAACAAATAGGAAAAGGAACCTGGAAACAGGCAGGCCATGGTTGCATTCTTTTTGCTGCTTAGGAAGCTCATGCCCTCATGGGAATGGCATTCCCAAAGATGCTATCAGCTTATGCATGAGGTGCTGTTAGTAATAAAGAATAACTTCTCCCACGATCCTCCAGCAGAATTCATAGTCTTACTATTTGGAGGGAGGGTAGGAGGAGGGAGAATGTTTAACAAAGATTAGAACAGCTCTTCAAATGTGGGATAATACAATAAAAATATATATGTATTTGAGGTTTAATGGACCATTCAGATGGTCTGTGTCTAATACAGAGTGTCAAGTGATTAAAAATTACCTCCTTCAGATGAACAGATAAACCCCTTGTTTAGAACAAGGGAGCTTGACTGATCTGGTGTCAGCTTGCAGAGCTGTGTTTTTTGTTTTTTTTTTTTTTTCTGCGCTCCTTTGACCTCCCTAAAAGAGATAACCAGGGTGTATCTTCTTCTAGTATCTACAAAGAATTGTTTCTCAGATGGCAACCGGGTGAGAAATGTGTGCTTTCCCGAGTCAGGAACTTCAGGGATGCAGTCAGCTCTGAATATCGAGACAGTGCTGGTCGTTTGTGCCAGGCCGAGATGTACAGCTCCTTGACAACTCCAGCATTGTTGAGCAAGATGCTGGAATCGCTGCCTGGTCTGTGCATTGGCTCACAGCTCGCTCACTCTCCTCCCACCCTGCTCCCCGCTTAATGCCTCTAGTTGTGAGAAAAGCACAGCTCTTGGCTGACCCACTTGGGGATGGATTTCTTTCCCTGTGGCATGCATCTTGATCTGAGCATCTGTTTGGAGAAGGGTAGACACTGGTCAGTGTCTCAACGAGTTAGGCATCTGCGGGCTAACTGGGTTTAATGTGATCTATACGGATAACCTGCCTGCATGTCAGGATGCTGCTCCTAGCTCTCTGAATGCCTCCTTCAAGAAATGGACAGGCCCTAATAGCTCCGGCTCCTTTTGACCTTCCAGACAAAAGAAGACCAGATCCAAGTGATAGGGAACCTCAAGAATATCTCGATGGCATCCAGCAAGCTGCTGTTAGCTGCCAAGTCTCTCTCTGTAGATCCAGGAGCTCCCAATGCGAAAAATCTCCTGGCTGCAGCTGCAAGGTAGGAGTGGGACACAATGTGCTTTCGTGTGTGGTTAGACAGTGTCATTGCAGTCTGAAGATGTGCCTGACATCCTCCCACTTTTGCTGAGCAAAAGAATTGGTGCTGTCCTTAGGTCATGGGAGGTGGAGCTGAGAGTGATGGACACTCTGATATTTTATAAAACTGGCTCATTTCCATGTTCTTTCCCCACTAAAAATATCTTCTGTCTTCTCATACAGCCTTTTCAGTAGAGACTTGTTTAGACGTAAGGTCCATTTTGACTTGTAAATGCAATGAATTAAACAGATTTTTTTTAAGTAGCATTATATCTTTCTGATTATAAAATAGTATATATGCTTCTTGAAACATCAGAAAATACTGAAAAGCGTAAAGATGAAAAGCAGTGCTCATCAAGTCATTCAGCAGACTTTTATTGAGCACTTAACCCTGTGCCTGGCATCAGTGTTAGATTGAATGTAACATGTTGTATCTGTCACATGGGGAAGGCTCCACTTTAAGATGAGTAGGGAGGCAGTGGGAATAAATTGTTTTTGGAAATATATTAAAACATGAGTGTGAATTTTGGATGATTTGGGTGTCCTTCTTTCCTGTTGGTTTCACCCAGGGAAGTGGATAAAACAGTATAGTTTCTGCTCCAGGGCCACAAGTTAGTTCAGTAACTAGTGGTTGAATGTGGTATGTGGAGCACTGCAGTGACAGCCCAGGGGGTTCTCGTATCAGCAGCCCCTCTTTCATTTTCCTGAACCCAGAGAGTAGGGTGGTCATGATTCTGTGGTGGTGCAGGCATGTTTTTTTAGCATTATTTACCATCATATTACGTATAAGAAAGCTGACAGTGGAGAGAGATTAAAAGCAGGACTATTAGGGGATAGAGAGTAATTGGAGGCCTTTTTATAATGTGCAGATTCGTGATTTTTGAAAAGCATAGCTTTGATTCTGCTTTCCTTTTTTTAACTTGGTTTTTTAAAATTTGCGCGTGTGTGTGTGTGTGTGTGTCTTTATGTCTCCCCTGGGAGATCATTGGCTGTTTTTTAAATTGTCGGCATCAAGAGACCTGAATTATATTCCAAGCTTTAATACTTGACTAACTCAGTCGCATTGGTCAGGTTGCTCAGCCTGTCTAAACTTTCCCATCTGCAAAGTGGGGGTATGAACTACATCATCCTTAAAGCTCTCCTTAGCTCTCAGCACATAAGATCTCATGGTACTCATGGTCCAAACATGTCCTTCCTCCCTCTTGGCTTGTAGTGGGGTGTGTGTGTGTGTGTGTGTGTGTGTGTGTGTGTGTGTGTGTGTGTGTGTGAAGGGTTAGACACTGTCAGAGCAGTTTGCTTGCAAACCCTTGAGTTTCTTCATTTATTCCTGGAAGGTACATTTTAACTGCAAACAATAGCTAGAGCCACTAGGGGACTGGAAAATTATCTTCCCATCTCATGCTTTGTTCGTGACTGTTCTAGTAAATAAGTGACCTCCCTTGATGGTGGGAGAGATGGGAGGTGGGGTTGGGGGTGATGTCTGTTCTGTTGAGCAGCTGTTTCTGATAGAAAACCCCCTCTTGATCGTTGCTTTTTTTCCTACAAAGGAGCCTTTGGATAAGGCAACTGACATTTCCAGGTATCAGAACTCAGATGTTTTTCATTATCTTCAATTTTTTGCATCATTTCAAAATTACAGTTTCCAGCTTGGAATGGCTTCACTCTCCTAAATTGTGGGAAGGAGGGGGAATGTATAAATTGCCCTTTTGAAAGCCAGATATAGAAGGAAACAGAGCCGGAAAGAATATTGCTGGTGTATGGCTCTGTGAATAGGTGCAGGCCCCCTGGTGGTGGCTTCGAAGAAAGGACATGGGGAAAAGGGGAAAAAAAAAAGCTTTCGTTGCCTTTCTGTCCTGGCTTTTAGCAGTTGACGGAGAATTCCCAGCCTGGTGATTTCATAGCCAGGTAAGCACTTAAAAATCATCACATGAAAATGATTGTCTTGGGATGGAACTGTTGCGAGAAAACGCTGGCACATTCTCCTTGGTTTTTTGGCACATTTTGGCAAGCTTCTGCTCCCTGGGGCTGTTTCTCAGCAGAGACTCCAGCCAGGTCAAGAGGGTCAGGCAGGCTCCTCTTGGGACACAAAGCTCTGCCAGGCTGGGGTTCATTCATTCATTGTCTTATTCATTCATGTCTTCATTACATAGATTTTCATCACAGGCCTGATGTGGGTGACGCCCAGTGCTGAGTGCACACTGTGAATAAGACAGGGCCTGTCTTATTATGTGTGTCTTTATATCTTGTGTATTTATAACCCTCATTATGTGGCCCTGGTGGAGTTAGGCAGGACTCACCACATGCTCCGCTCATTTCATCTGGGCCTAGAACAGTCCTGCATAAAAGTGCACAGGAAGCTGGGCAGAAGGGATCTGATCATCATAGTCTCAGTCCTCAGTCCTCTGTCCTCCTTGTTCTTGAGACTGTCAGGTCCTGCCTGTCCTTCCTGTGTGTATCCTCAAAGTCCCCAGAAATGCCACTGCGGGGACCCAGGCCTGGACCAACTCAGCCCTGTCCCACTCCTGTGTTAACAGTCTCAAACCCCTTATTATTTGTGGTCTCTGTGGTCCTTCTTGCTCTGGGAAGAAAAGGTTTGCTTCTGGAGAAAAAAGTAGAGGATGTCTTTTTCCTCTGTTCTTAATTCTGCTTCCGAGCCTGGGTACGTTTTTGGGACCCTACCTATCCCCTTGGTTTTGGATGCCTAGGGGAGAGGAAGTCATTTGCTATTTAGTGCCTGGTTTGTTCATTTTCTTCCCGTGTAACTGTTTGGGTTCTGGCTCTTTTCTGACAAGTTGGGTGGAGCTGGAGACCCTTTGTCACCCATTCATCAGCCTTTTTCCCCCAACCAGGGGCTGGTCAGGTGCCCCCTAAACTTAGTCAAGGAAATAGAAAGCTAGCTTGCAGTTGCCAAAACGAAGGGGGTATCCTACCTCTGAACACCTTCCCTGAATCACTGCTCACCACCACAGTCATCCTGGCCAGAAGGACTCCAGAACTGAGAAGGCTTTAAGCCCACAGCGGCCAGCATCACACCCCCGGGCCAGGTTTCAGCTGCTTTCCAGTCCACAGAGGATGCTCCCTAGGAACTCAAGGTAGCACCTGCCCCCCTGGCTCCCCTTTGGTCTGAGGTTCTTGCTGGACGGGGCTCCTCCTGTCCCCAAAGACTGTGAAGATGGATGGTCTAGCAAGCAGCACAAACGAGAAGAGTGCATTTGCTCCGTAAACAGAAAGGTGTACAAGAGACCTTTGCTCTCTGTGGGTCTTACCTAGAATGTTTCCTTCCCTCCATCCAAATCAGGATGTCACTCAGCCCTGACTTTTCCAATTGCTTCAGTCTACATCGAGCCCTCCCTTTCAGGCAGACTCTGTGCCCGGCAGCTGAGGCTTTCATTTTCTTCCGGCTCCCTGCGAGTCCCTACATACCTCTGGTCCCTTGCTCAGCGATCCATCATGCCCTGCCGGGTGTCCCGCCCTGGTACTGCTTTCTTTCATCCAACTTCTTTGTACCTTGTCTTCTCATTGTCTTGCCTTTTCCATTAGATTGCAAACACCTTGCCATCCTAGAGAGCCATAAAAGATTATTTTTGTTATTTTTAATTTTTTTTTTTTTTTTTTTTTTAAAGAGAGGCAGTCTTGCTGTGTTGCTCAGCCTGGTCTGGAACTCCTGGCCACAACCTCTGGAGTAGCTGGGATTATAGGCACAAACCACCATGCCCAGCTAGATGATTATTATTATGTTTTTATTTATTTTTATTTTGAGATGGAATTTCGCTCCGTCGCCCAGGCTGGAGTGCAGAGGCGCGATCTCGGCTCACTGCAGCCTCCACCTCCCGGGTTCAAGTGATTCTCCTGGCTCAGCCTCCCGAGTAGCTGGGATTACAGGCGCATGCCACCATGCCCAGCTAATTTTTGTATTTTTAGTAGAGACGGGGTTTCACCATGTTGGCCAGGCTGGTCTCAAAACTCCTGACCTAGTGATCCACCCACCTCGGCCTCCCAAAGTGCTGGGATTCTAGGCGTGAGTCACCGCGCCTGGCCTAGATTATTTTTTAATCTCTGTGCCTTGACATAACAGGACCCTGGGAATACAGAAAGGTCAATTTCGATTTGCTCTTTCCTCCTTTCCCAGGCGCCTCTTCCCTGGAGGCAGGCAGACAGATGTCTGCTGCTGCTTTTTACCTTCTAAGCTCCTGACTGGGTGACTTGTGCTAAATAGGTAATCAGAAGCACAAAGTGGTTGATTTTCTTCTCACACTCCACCCCACTTCTGTATCTACTTAAAACTTCCAGCCAGAGCTCTCACACTTCAACTGAACCTATTCAGCATCTCTGAACACTAAATAATGTTTTACCTTAACCCTTTTTAACCATTGAAGTTGTAGATCCCAAGTTTTTTAGAAACTGAGAGTAGATAGATAAGCCTAGATGAAAACACTATCTCTGTAAGGTAGCATTATGGTTATTTAGCTTTTTTGTATTTTTAAAAATGAACTTATGTGGCTTTGATCACTAAAAAAAGATGGTAAAAAAAAAATAAAAGTAACTGTACTTCAGACCTATTTGGATTTACAAAGAACAGAGACCCTTCTAATTTTGGCCAGATTTTTTGTGATAATGTAAATTGATTAATTTCTAATGGGGGGTAGATTTATTGAAATTTTTTCTTTCAAAATAACATTATAAAGTCCCTTCACCTTTTAATATATGTCGTTCTATCATTTTCTATGCATATATATGTTTATTTTTAGAGGGGTAGGCCCATTCTATTCTATTTTGTAAGTTTTATTTTCCTTAATCACGTAACACATATATTCATCTCTGACATTAGTAATATGCTACACACTGACTTTTAATGGGTCCCCAGGATTCCCTTGAGGGCTGTATATTTATTTAATCCTCTATTCTTGCGTATTTGAGTTGCTCCGTATTCTTTGCTCTTATAAATAGCTGCTGGGGTTTAAAACATAAATATTGTTTTTCATTGTCAAATTTACATAACCGTTTGCCTCTGGACCACTTAGCACGTATTTAGCATGTAATCCCGACTGTAAAATTAGTTATGGGAATTCGTGATAGCTAAATAATGCTTCTTAGTTCTGGATCAGTATTACCCAAGCATCTCACTTAGACACACGATGCTGTGCTGGCACTTTTGTGGATTACCCAACCACAAACCCTTAGTCTGTTGGTTTTTGTCCCAAGTTTTTATTTGAAAAAAATTTTACATCTACAGAAAAGTTGAAGAGTTGAGGAAAACTGGCGGCTTTCCCACAGCTGTATATCCTCTGGATTCACCAATTATAAACACTTAGTTTTCAATGGAAGAAACTTTTATATAGCAACAAGGTTTTTTAAAAAACACAGATAAACAGGAAACACAGAGAGAATTAAGCTAAATAGAAAGTTTCTGTGATATGTGGAAATAGCACATATGTTGATATATGCCAGCCTATCTCAGAAGCGTGTCTCAAGGCCACCACCATGTAGAACAGGGTGCTGGACTCCCCAGGAGGTACTTTAAAAGCGCGCATTGAGGACTACACCCTCCGCAATCCTTGGAACTAGGGATTGTCCGGCTGTCTCCTTGTTCTTGTTTTGCTTTGCACCATAGAGAGCGCAGTGTTTCCCAGTGACACCCTAATTAAATAGTGGTCACCAAATAAATGAATCACCAGAGTCAATCTTACAAAAACTATTTTAGAATTTTCCTATCACCCTAGCTCAATTTGAAATTGAAAGCAGTATCTCCTCATCAAATAATTAAGCCGATTGCTTTTGTACATTGGCAACATCATTTTCTGTCTAATTTGATATTCTGTGGGAAGCTGCAAAGCCAATTTAACTAATAAAATGAGGCATCTTTTATATTAGTGTTGGTGATTAACAGCAATATGTGCCTATTTTATTTTTGTTTAACTTGCCAAAGCTGCAGTGGTTAGAAACTGAGTCGAATTCTGGGCCCTGCCAGAAGCGTGGACCAGTTATGACACTGCAGGAAAGAATTATGTATTTGGTTTTGGAGTCAGATAGGCATGAGTTTAAGTCTTATTTCTGCTGCTTATTTGTAGCATGCTCTTTGGGAGTTATCTCAGATTTTTCATTTATAAAATGCGTGGGTTTTCAATTTTAAGACTTAGTGTAAAGCTAGTCGTTAAGACAGCGTGGTATCGACAAAACATTGACCATGTAGATCAGTGCAACACATATCAATGGTGAAAAGATTGTCTTTTCAACAAATGGGGCTGGAACTATGGGGCTTACCTATGCAAAAAAAATGTTTTAAACAACTATGAGCTATATCTTATACTATACAAAAAGTTAACTACGAATGGCCATGACTTTCAAAATTATCCATGTCATTACTTCAGACAAATTAAACAGCGGCTGTCCAGGAGGGACAGAGTCCTTGTCAATGACTTGTGCTAAATAGGTAATCAAAAGCACAAAGTGATTAATTTTCTTATCACACTCCACCCCAATTCTGTATCTACTTATGGGCTACCTCTTAGAAACAGGTAAAGTCATATAAGAGTCCCTAGGTTATTTCTGTTAATGTTAACAAAGAAAATAGCTATTTTAATGAATAATTTTGTGGTCGCTTTTGGGAACCAGTCAATCATATAGAATTTAATGGAAGGAAGAAATTTTAAAATCATAGGCACAGTTCACTTTATATCCATGTATTTAAAAATGTACAAAATATTTTGTACATTTTTTATCTTGTTCCATGGGGTTATCTTGTTCCATGGGGACTGCTGATGAAGGGTCTTAAATAGTGCTAATATGGTCTATTTGCTTGTTGTGAATTCTTTCTTATGAATGTATTAGCTTTCTTAGGAGAACTACAGTGGACCCTTGACCAATGCAAAGGTTAGGGGCACCGACCCCTGCACAGTCAAAAATTCATGTATAGCTTTTGCTTCCCTAAACTTTACCAACAGCCTACTGCTGACTGGAAGCCTTGCTGATACCATGAACAGTTAACACATAGTTTGTATGTTGTATGTTAATGTATTATGTACTGTATTCCCATGATAAGTTGAGCTACTAACAAAATGATAAGAGAAAATGTACTTTTCACTAAGTGGAAGTGGATCATCATAAAGGTCTTCATCCTCATATTCGTCACATTGAGTAGGCAGCGGAGGAGGAGGGGTTCATCTTGCTGTCTGAGAGGTGGCAGAGGTGGAAGAGGTGGAAGGGGAGAAAGGAGAGGTAGACACACTGGTGTAACTTTTACTGAAAAAAAAACCCACCTATAAGCAGATTTGCACAGTGCAAACCCATGTTGTTCAAAGGTCAACTGTATTAGGACCCCTTCCAGATCTAGCAAATGAATAATCAGAGGCGAGGTAGGGTTTCTCATTCTGTCTTCCCTGGGTGTGGTTTATTTTTGGTTGTGTAGAGCCTCTGCAGAAGAGTTCTCCTGGGGACCCGAGCTGAAATAGTGAATTAATTGTATTTCTGGTGAGCCTGCAAAGCATTGTAGGGGAAATTACTGTTGATCTTCAAAAAAAAAAAAAAAATTCTGTTTCTGTCACAGAGCTGTGACAGAGAGCATCAATCAACTCATCACTCTGTGTACCCAAC
The DNA here is from genome assembly GCF_000001405.40 of Homo sapiens. NCBI lineage: Eukaryota > Metazoa > Chordata > Mammalia > Primates > Hominidae > Homo > Homo sapiens. The sequence continues at coordinate 62,748,398 of NC_000015.10, forward strand.
AAGCTCCGGGCCAGAAAGAGTGCGATAATGCCCTGCGGGAGCTCGAGGTAGGTCCCTGGGAAGGCTGCTGAGGACTTGAGAGAGGGAGTGTCTGTGTCTGTGTGTCTGTGTGTCTGTCTGTCTATGTCTGTGTCTGTTCTTTCCCTATAGGGCTAGTTTTCTCTTCTCTGTCCTTGCCTTTTATCTTTCCTTGGAGGCTGTTAAGGCCAAAGTTCCAATCCAAGTGGAAAGAAACTGAAGAGAAACTAGATTTAGTGGGATTATCATTCCTGCTTCTCCTGTTTCCAGTAGGATGAGATGTATTTTGTTAAAGGATTCTTTATTTCAAACAGGAAGAGGCCTGTGATGTTGGGTGTAGGCTGAAGATCAGCAATTTTTACCTAAAAAATATTGGAGAGATTATTCTGGAACAATGGGGAGAGAGCTAGAGGCTGAGATAGGTGTTCTTTTGAGTAAAAATGATTTTCCCATACACTGCATCTGTACCATGTAGGGAATATGTAAGAGGAATCCTAGGACTAACAGTACTTACACAGTCAGGATGGCTGTGGGGCCCCTAAGGGCCCAGAACACAGTGTGGGTGCTTTTCATTTTATATTCATACTCATTTATACTTGAAAAGTTATGTATCCCCATAGAATGTGTGTGGGTAAACATAAAATCAGTGTACCTACTTGTATGTCCTAACCAATGCCGGTTATATTGAGATGCCAGACGAGTATCTCAGTAGATGTGGGTTGGTTGTCCCAAGGAACGTTCCATTTTCTGGATGATCAGCATGGGTCTGGCATGGTGGGAATACCCACTGCAGCTTCTGAAGCATTTGATTGAGGCCCTGGTACTGGCACTAGGCCATTGTGCACAGCTGGAAATGAGAAGGGGATTGTTATCACAGGACCGAAGCATTCTGAAAACAGTTGAGAATGTTTCTTACATTGGCTGAATTACTACCCTATTCTGCTGTGTTCACATTTGCAAATATAAATATGTAGGTTGTTGATCTAAATGAGCTCTGTTGGCCTAGGTGCCAGTACTCCGTCCCTTATTGATATCCTTGGTTGAAAAATATGACTAGTTTAGGATTGCTGTTAATAGAACAATTTTGAATATCCAAGGAGTGGGAGGAGGTTCTTGAATGAAATGAGCTCATTCCTTACACTGCCCTCTTTCCCTCCCATCTTTAACAGCTCAGCAGTTCCCCTTCCTTCTCTCCCAGCCCCCCACCAGCCTTTGTAACTCAAATGACTGTCTTTTTGTTGGCTGTGTCCCAAAGATTGCTGGGTCCTAATGTACATTCTCACTCTCTGGGGAGGAGGTTAAATGGCTGCATCCCCAGGAAAAGTCCCTTACAAGTGGTGATCAAGTTCATTACAATGCCATGACAGAGCTAGCCATGGTTTTTGGTGGCTTAGAGACACAGAGCCAGGCCCTATACCCATGTATTTCTTTGATGAGGACCTAAACAACAAGAAACGTTTTCTATACTGTTTAAATTAAAAACAAATGAACCATCACAATGGACAGTTTGGGGGAATTACCTTCTTTCATGCCTTCCTATTAAAATGTTCCAAAATTGGAAAAACTGAGGGTTCTTACTGGTCATGAAGAAATGAATGGCCTTTTGAAATTTAAACTCCTTAGAATTATCCTGCTGAGAAGTTGTGCTAATTGACCACGCATGTATTGCCTTGTATTAATGTTCTAATATGTTTTAAATGCCATCCTTCTGTGTTTACCTTGTTTCTTCTCCTTCAAAACTGAAAACAAGAGATTCTCATCTCTGGCCAAGCTAACCAGAGACCCCCTCCCCTATAATGAGCATTGTGTTGCTAACAGGAAATCTGAAGTCATGATACCATGATGTAAATTCTCAAACATCTGAGTAAAAGTGATCATGACCAGAAACTTGTGTATGGAGGGAGAGTTGATAGTTGGCAGTTGATGTTGAATTTCTTTTGCTCTATGACATTTGCTTGCTTTTTATGTTGTGTTCTTCTTCTGTAGACTGTGAAGGGGATGTTGGACAATCCTAATGAACCTGTTAGTGACCTCTCTTACTTTGACTGCATTGAGAGTGTGATGGAAAACTCCAAGGTAAGACTGCCTATGCCGTAAGTCAGAAGTTAGCATTGCTTGTCAATGTGGGGAGAAGTTTAGACGTGCCTTCTGTGCATCTGCCTGTGGCTGGTCTGCAGGGCTAGCCACATGTAGCATGAAGCCTATTTGTGGAGCCCTTTGCTCAGGAGCTTCTCAAACTTGACGGTGCATCAGAATCACCTGGAGGGCTTGTTAAATACAGATTGCCTACCCCCAAGTTTCTGTTTCAGTAGGTCTGAGAGGAAGCTGAGATTCTACATTTCTGACTATCTCCCAGGTCCTGCCCCTGTGGTCCAGGAACCATACTTTGAGAACCATTTCCTCTCTTTTTTCACAAATGGGTCTTATTGTAAGTCAAATCGTGTATTTTCTACACCGGAACTGATTTGGAAAGTCCTTCAGTAACTTGACTTACGTGGGATCCTCTTATGTGTTCTTTTGCAGTCTATTCATGGCATGCATTCTCAAGGAGGGTGAAATTGTTTTGTTTTGTTTTGTTTTGGTAGGACATTGGAGAGATGTTGAAAAAAAATTAAGATAATATAATGGCTTGTTACCCTGCTCCTATCTTAACCTTACTCAACAAAATCTTATTCTTTGGCATTTGATTAGGAAAAAAAACATAAAAGGCTCCTTAGTGGAACAATAATAAAAAAAAAAACTGTTGAGAAACACTCCTCTGTAGTAATCATACCAATGTCTTTTGAGAATGCCTTCAAATCAGAAGGTGAAAATCAAATGCAAGGGAGAAGAATGGATGTCGAGCTGTTGCAATCTGGCTTTGTAGCTGAAACATGGTCACTTTTATTCTAGCGGGGAAACATCTGTGCTGGTAATGTCAAAAGGACTCTGTTTGATTTGGGCTAAAACTAGAATTTCCTCATCCAGTACCTTTTATGGAATTATGGATTGTCTAAGGGAAAGATGCATACACACTCAGATCCAAAGAAATGGTTCCTTTTTTGCAAATCCTTATGTAAACTGGATTATTTTGTATATCTAAGCAATTTTAGGGAATTTGTTCCCTTCCAAGATGGCTTATTGACAAATAGTCTCTGCCTTGGGTTCTAGACCTGGCAATACCACAGTCTCTCCACAGGGTAAAACATCCTTCAGTTCCATCATTGTTGCCAAGGAAAATATGACCAGCCCTCCTGGGGCATAATGAGGGAACACCAAATTTACATTGGGCACCCTGTACCTGCCCATGTGACCTTCACTGTGACCTTGTACAGGATGCATGACCACTCTGGGTTGGATTCTGAACACTAAAATCTCTTTCAGCTGTGATTGTAAAGATCTCTGAAGAAAGAATACACCACACCAGTGATTTTCAAAATAAGGCAAAATTCTTACAGTATTTAGGAAACATACTTAACAAAGATCTCTATTTAAATTTTACTGTCAGTAACTAGACAAATGATATCTGGAAGGGTGAGTATCATGCTTTCTGATTATGACCTCACCTACAGCTCGATGCATATGATTTTTATATTCTGGGAACTAGTTATCAGTTTAGACCATTCACCCATGAGTTGCCTTTTATAGACTCTACTATATTGTCTGTGTATATTAACTCTAACTGCTTGGAATACAGATAACTTTGGGGTTATACTTTCATTGTACTTATCTCTTTGTGGAATGGAAATGATGTAATTTTCTTCCATCTCTTTTTAATCCAAATAAAGGAGAAAATGTCAAATGTTCCAAATTAAGTTGCCTTGAATATTAAAGTTGGAGTGTAGCCTCCTTTACCCCTTGGTTTGAGGCAATGCTGGATAGAGAATGTTGCTGGCCGTTTGTTTTGCAGGTTCTGGGTGAATCGATGGCAGGGATTTCACAGAATGCCAAGACCGGAGACCTCCCTGCCTTTGGGGAATGTGTGGGGATTGCATCCAAGGCTCTCTGTGGGCTGACAGAGGCTGCAGCCCAGGTAAGGGGCTAGTCCCGATGCAGCCATGTGCCCTGTGCCAGATCCCTGTGGGAGGTGTGGGGGAACTCCAGCTGCACCTCTTTCTCCAAGTACCACCACAGAAACCATGGGAAAGGCAGTGGCTTCTGTGCTGGCTGGGGCATTTACACAAAACATGAGCCAGTTACCCCCGAGGAGCAGAGCAGCCATGGGCCAGGCTGGGGAGCATGGCAAGACTCAGTACAGACCCAGCATATAGGTTCAGAGGCCAACTTTTCAATCCTTTTAAAAGTTTTTATTATAGATGAGTTGTTTGGGGTAGAAAAATAAGCACTAAATAATTTAAATTTGCTAAGGCTTTAGAAATGCGAAACTGTTATGTCATGCTCTTTTTAGAATCAGAGAGAGAAAAAAATAAGATGCCATCATGCAGAGACATGATATGGCACATTCCTTGCCCTTCTTTGACTATCCTCTGTATTTTCAATGATGATTGACCTCCCATGACAGAAGCTTCAAAGATGTCAGCATCTACTTTAAAGCGTTCATCATTTGACAGTTACCTTGAACCTAGAAGATTTTACTGAACCACAGAGAAACATCACTAGTTTAGGGGATGAAATTATCTACCTTTATCCTTCCCCTCAGATCTCAGGAGAAATGAAATAAGATCAAAATTCCTATGCACAGATTCATTTTTTCTTTTTTATTTGGCTGACACATCTAAATGGAATTGCAAAGAGAAGCCCTTCCCTTGTGCCCTCTTGTCCTCTTGGGAACCAAATGCTGCCTTTTTTGTTGTTTCTTTTCTGGGCCATCTTACTCAATTACAAAGTTAAGATCCCTTCTGCTGTTGAAAATACTGACCTAAGCAATAAGGACATGCTTCGGTAAGCTACGAGATGAGGAACCCTAGGACAGGGCAGGCTCCACGGTTGGCTGACCCAGCAGCTCCACACCATTAGTCTGCATGCACCCACTGTTTTGTGCCTCTCCTGTCTGCCAGCCAAAGAGTCAGCTTCATGCTGAGGCTGGGCAGCCTCGTGATCACAAGATGGCTGCCAGAGTAGTCAGGGCTGCATCCATCCTTATCCATGCCCCCAAAGAAGAATTTCTTGAGGCTCTCTCAGAAGAACAAGGACACTTTGTTCCATGAGCCTGTGATAAACTACTTCTGGTATGTCAAGCTGGCATAAACCTGTTCATTATTACACCCTTATTGGTGAGCGGGATGAGATGACCTTGACCAGTTTGAACTGAGGAGTGCCTGAGTGTGACAGCTGCATGTGTAGTGCGGACCATCATCCCCAGCAGGCTCACCTAGGAGCACGGAGCCTGAGCTGTGGTTTTTCTCTTCCCTTTCTAGGCTGCATACTTGGTTGGCATCTCTGATCCAAACAGCCAGGCAGGCCACCAGGGCCTGGTGGACCCCATCCAGTTTGCCAGGGCTAACCAGGCCATCCAGATGGCATGCCAGAACTTGGTGGACCCTGGCAGCAGCCCATCACAGGTAACTGTTGGGGAGGATGTAAGATTTCAAGCCCTTAAGCAGCTCCTCTAGGTAAGTTGTGGGAGACTATGAGAAATTAGTAAAGAATCTTGTTCTTTCAGAGCTTGCAAAGGTAGCTAAATGCCAGCATTGTAGATAATGACTCAGGTGGGAGCAAATATTGCAAAATATGATGAATCTGGAAATTTGTAAGTGCCTTGAAATGGGGTGCCAGAAGGCAAAAGGAGTGAAGTAATCACAGTGAGATTGACAAGGAGTCTTCATTCATTTCAGGGGACGTGAATTGAGGGCTTGTTCTGTGCTTAGCTGTAAGGGTTCAATGTGCGCAGGGCTCCGTTTTCTACCCCTTGGCTCTTAGTGTGTTAGGCAAAGTTTGGAAAATGCAATGACCAGGGCACGATGACAGTGCCAGGGATGTGCAAAGGAAGGTGTGATTAATTCTCCAAGGGGGCTGTCAGGGCTCACTTCACAGAAGTGACGGCACTGAACCGGGCCTCAAAGTTGGGTAGAATCTGCAGCACAGAAAGAAGCCAGAATGACATTTGAGGAAGAGCCAGTACATGTGACATTCCATAACACCTCTCATACCTGAGTGGCACGGGGTCCCAGTCACTTATTAAAACAGTGTGTACTGCAAGGAAGGAGAAGTGGCTGGAATGGGGGTGGAGGAGGCAGTCTTGTTAGTGGCATGCCCACCATCAACCTGGGGCCCACGTTCTTGAGGCAGGAGAAGGGCCTGAACAAAGAAGGAAACACAAGGACCATGTGGACCTAAAGCAGCCCCAAGAGCTGGTGTATCTGGGAGTCCTTACCCATCCAGCAAGGCCAAAGGGGTGTTACCAGCCTCAGCAAAGCAGAACAGGTGGATTCAGGAAAGCAAATGAGTTGAGGCTGGCGGGGTGGAGCCTGTGGAACTTCCTGAGCCAGACACCTCAGTAGGTGCCAGCAGCCCTCCATGGATGAGGAGGGAGCTGTTGCACCTTGATATGTATTTTTGTCATCTGGATCTGGGCTCTACAGTATGGTGGCCACTGGCTACATGTGGCTGTTAAGCACTTGAAATGGAACTAGTCCAAACTGCGATGGGTTGTAAATATGCAGTGCACACTGAATTTCAAAGACTTGGTATGATAAAAAGATTGTAAAATCTCAATATTTTTAAATTGGTTATATGATGAAATATTTTGGATATACCAAGTTAAATAGAAGAAATTATTTCATTAATTTCTCTTGTTTCTCTACTTATTTTAAAGTGACTGCCAGAAAACTTAAAATTGGGTATGTGTAGACCTTGGTCTAGATGCTATACCCTGGACCTCCTATCTGGGGTTCCAAAGGCTAACTGATTACATCTCCTTTAAGACTACCTGGGGCTCAGCCTATCCCACCACTATGTCAGCACCTCCTTTTTTCTTATTCTTTCTTTATTATCTGTGCTTAAGATTTCTTGCCCTCCTCTTTCTTGGAGTGACTTTGAGGGTCGCAGAACTAGACATGCTTGTAATTACACAGGCTCTGAACATGTGAGTTGAACAGGAACCCAGGGCTGAGGACCGGGGTGGACCCCTCTGCACTGTAGCATGGGGTACCCCCAACCTAGCTCCATGCTTTGTAGGTCCTGTCAGCCGCCACAATTGTTGCCAAGCACACGTCAGCCTTGTGCAATGCCTGCCGCATCGCCTCATCCAAGACGGCCAACCCAGTAGCCAAGAGGCACTTCGTCCAGTCAGCCAAGGAAGTCGCCAACAGCACTGCCAACCTGGTGAAGACCATCAAGGTAGGTCGCTGGACTACCGGCCTTATTGAACTCTGTAACTCCTGTTCTGGCGGGGGAAGGGGAACAAGATTTAAGCTCCACTCCTCTCCTTGTCTAGTGAAGCTTAACTTCTAATTCAGTCTTATGGTTTGTGTCACTGAATAGGCATCCCTTACTAATGGAGATACTCTTCTTGAAAAACCAACAGGCTTGGGCTCTACTAACCTTTTAGATGGTGGGGAAGGAGGCCTCCCCAAATTCTGTACATGAGGAGCTTAGGGACAGAACTCTGGTGGGAAAGGGTTGGTTATAGGGCCTCTCTTAGCACTGTGCTTGCGTAGCAAATACCCTGATTTTACTTAAATGATATGTTTACTTGCAGCGTTTTTGGGTGGGCTAGTAGAGGGCTCTCCCATCATTGCTGAATATATCTGGACCAAGAGAGTAGGTGGAAGGAGAAGGGAATGGGAGATTGTGGAAAAATCACTTAAAACATTTTCATCATTCCTGTGATATTAATTCTGTTTATAGCTGTTTGAATGTTTTAAGTGGAGCGTCAACTTTTAAAAATAGAGCATCTGGTGTTCATTAAAAATTCACCTTTGCATTAAGGTATATGGGCATGTGGCGGGTGGGCAGGTTCACTTGCAAGAAGCAAGTGGGAATCACTAGGCCTTAGTACTTGTAGGTGGGCGATGAAGCCACAAACACAGTCTGCCCTCAGCTAGGACCAAGCAGGCAGCAGGCAGCTGACCTGTGAGAAAACAGCCACAGCCTGGACAACAGACCGCAGGCAGAAGGCCCAGCACCATCGCGCCAGCTCCCTCCACAGCCCCAGCCTTCAAAGGAGCATTGTCATGGGAGGCAAGATACCAGTTCTGTGTTAAACCCTGGACACCACTGAAGGGAAAGGCATTGAAGGAGTTAACACTTTTTAGTTAAGGGTTTTGTATTCATTCAGATAGGAGGTTTGGCTTTGCTGCTGGGACAGTCCTAGAGTAAGAGAAGTTTTCCCAGTTCTCTCCAGAGGATAGGACACTGCACACCTCATTTTGTTTTGACTACAAAAAGCCAGTGCAATTGCATGCAGAAATCAGTCAACAGGATGACCAAGCAGAGGCAAAAGGAGAGAACACCCAGCCCAGCGCTAGTTGGAAGCTGGCAGTCAGCACATGGGGCTCGCACCCCAGTCAGCAGCTTCTTAGCTGTTTAAACAAAGAGTCTTTTTTTTTAGAAATGAACAAACAAAAACCCCTCCCTATTTGAAGGCAAGAGTAAGCTCAGTTGAAGTTGAATAAAGCCAGTGTCCAGGTTCCCCATGATCCTGGTGGCAGGTTACCTGAATTACCATCATAGTTCACAGTAATTAGGAAGTAATAAAGCTTACATTTAAAAATGTTTATTTTGTGCTTTAGGTATGTTACTCATTCACTCCATACAACCACCCTGTGCTTATCCCCATTTTACAGATGGGAATCTGAGGCACAAAGAGGTTAAGTAACTTTACCAAGGTGACCCAGCCAGGAAGTGGTGGGGCAGAATTCAAACCCAGGCCCCAGAGCCCCTGCTTTCAGCCCTGGCATGCTGTTCACCTCTTTGGGATGGAGAGACGAAGTCATCTCTCCAGCCTGGGAAGAAAGACCTTGCTGTGTTTGCAGGGCTTGTGTGTGAGTTTGGGGAGGTAAGGGTGGAAAGAGCGATAGAGTTGACAGCAGTGACATCGTTGGTTGCTGTGTAATGAGCTTATCTCAGTTAAAATCAATCATTTTCTGGTCGTTAAAAAACATTATATTTAGATGGACCAACGGAGTAAAAACAGGAAAGACACTCTTTATTCTGTCGAAATTTCTGGAGCCCTTTCTTGTCTGCCTCCTCTTCAGTTTTAAATCCTGACCTATCTCTATATAAAGCATCTCTGTTAAGATCTCATGTTCTTTTCAGATTCTCCTCACAGTGTCAAACCCTCTTTGCGATTCCCTGCAGCAAATGAGCTCTCGTGATGGCCTAAAAGATAGGCCTGTGCAGAACATCAGGGGAGGAATGTCGGGGGGTTGTAACGTGGAAAAGATAAAGGCCTCCGTCTCCTGGCGCACCCTGGGAACGAGGAGCAATGCAAGAGGAACAGAAATGAACGTGCTGCCCCTCCGCGTGTGGAAATGGGCCTGGTTTTTCAATTCCCATCATGTGGCAGGGTTTGCTGGGAGCCATGAGCTTTGCTTTTAATTTACTAACAGGAAAGTGGTAAAGGTCATTTCACTGTAGCACATGGTACTATATACTGAATAGATTTCCTGTTTGAAGGAATGGTTATGTGTTCTGTCAAACAGAAAAACAAATGAATATTTAATTCCCTCAGTGCTTAAGACAGGTGCCCTGATAGCTGCATATTGCTCTTAAGTTTTATGCTGCTTAGTGCTGTTTTTTTCTTTTAACCATGAGGATGTGCCCAAGCCTAAATCCCAGCTGCCACACCCTTATAGTCATGAAGAAGGGAGGGGAGCCACCAAGAGAAGCACGAGGGAGCAGGAGCAGATTACCTCACACAGTGGCTCATCGGCATCAGTCACTACTGATGGCACTCTTTAAAATCCCAGAGCAGGGCTCCACGAGAATCCATTTCTGTGTTTCTGCCTCCTGCCAGGGATGGCTGTAAATGCTGGGCATGGTAGAAGGATGCACACCCCTAACCACAGCGGCTGTCTCTCCGAGTCACCACATACGCTGTTGCCTGCCTTTTTCCTTTCATTCAGCTCATTACCTAGTCTTGAATCAGATGTGTGGAATGGAATGTTATTTTAAATGTGCAGTCACTCACATTTGGGTGCCAAGTAGAAATTATGCAACAGCAGCGTTTGTTTTTCTGAGAAGTTGAAGTTTGGCCTTGCCCCTCACAGCAGAGTTAAAGCTCGGGGTTTTTGCAATTAAGCACTTTCAGTGTGTACCACAGACACCCGATCCAGCTCTCTTTAATCGAATTTGACTTGGCTGTGAGTATGCTTTCTTGGTCATCCCTATGTTTGGATTGGGAAAGTGGTTTCTTTAGAAGGAAAAGGAAAAAGGCTGTTGGGCTTTTTACTCCTTGTTCTGTTGCCTTTGTCTAAGGTCAGCAGGAGAGAAGGGAGCCAGGAGGCTCGGTTCATTGTTTGAGGCATGCCAGTGAGTAGCAAGGTGACCTTGTCAAGTCATGTCACTTTCCAGGTGCTGGTTTTATTGTCTGGAGAATTGGGAGTTTAAGCTTAAATTGTCTTTAGGGTCCCCTCTAACCCCCAAAGTCCATGAATCTGACTTTGTGCATACACAGAAATTGTTTCTCCCAGATGTCCGTGGTATTTTGCTAAGGGGGAACACTTGGAGCAGGCTCCGGGCTTGGGAGTGTTCTTGTTCTGGTGGGGCCTGGAAATATGGCTGAGTAAATTTACCCTTTCATCATTATGGCTGGTATGCCAGATGTTCTGTGACATGGAAACTCTCATGCTTGCTTGAAATGTCACCACTGGGCAGCTTTGAGTATTCAGTTTACTTGAGTGGCTCTGCTGTGCCCAATGGAAGCAGAGTTCAGAAGTGAAATAATACCTGTGCAAACTATCCTTTCTGACGCCGGATGCCTTTTCTGGATAAAATAACTTGTCCTTTTTGAGAATGGAAAATGATTGATATGGCTTGCTATTCTAGTTCATGTTATTCAAGGCTTTGACCTGCAAATAGCAATGGGCTATATGTTAATATGATTTTAGGGCCTGTGCTCAAAACAAAAGCCCCAAACAAACAAACAAACAAACAAACCCTGTCTTTATTCTAATAGTGCTGTCTGTGACACCTACACAATTAGAAAACCATTCCTTGAGATTTCCCTTGAGTTGTCATCTTTTTAGTCTGAAGAAGTTCAGCTTAGGCTTAGTGGCTTGATTGGCTGCCCTTCTTCCCAATAGACTGAGAGGTTTGTGGGAGCAGAAAGGGGAAGAGAAAAGCTTGGAGAGGTAAGAAGCAGGAAGGGCGAGCAGCACCAAGGGAAGGCTGAGCATCTCCTGTTAAGCTGGAAGTCGTGTGATCCCAGCTGAAGGGGTATGATTGGAGAAAGCCATGTAGCCACTGGTGGGGCTGGGACCTGAGTTTCTTCCACTCCAAAGTCCACTCTTGCAATCAGCCTGCTTCACTCTTTTGCCTGTGTTTGGGCCCATCTGTGTCAGGCTCCTGCTGAGTGGCACCCACCCTGCCTCGCACTGGTGTTCTCAAATTGCTCTGAAGTCTGGTAAACCCCGACCTCCAGGGATCTACCAAACTTCAGAGCGATATTAACAGTGCAACAAGATCACAGTACCAAAGTGGTTCACTTCTACGTGGCCAGTGCCGGCAGCATAAATCAACATTTACCAGCTATGTAAGTGGTAGTGAGAAATGAGGCTTTATATGTGAGCAAGAAGTAGCCGGCGTGCAAGGGTTTCCATTGGGCCTGGAAAAATGGCAGAACTGGAGAGGTGAGGGTAGGGTCAGGGCCTGTCTGGTGGGGGAAGGGCATGAGCCAAGGCAAGCCAGGTACTATATTAGCAAAAAACAGTAAATTAGCCAGGCTTGCGGGAATTCCTCTGAAAATATTAGCATTGTGGGTATGTAATTATTGTCCCAAGCTGCCAAGGCTTGATTGGAATGTAGTTGTTATTCAGAAATCGCCTTCAAACCAACGGTGGCTGCCTCCTCTTGCTCTACTGAAAAACAGAAATGCTCCCATCTCAGATCTGCTTTGCTTGGTAATGCCAGTGCCCCTGTTTTTTTTTTATCCCAATTGTCTAAATTGGCTTTATATGTTGCTCATAAGGGTTAAGTTAAAAGTTTAAGTGGTCATTTAACAAGGAAATTTGCATTCTTCTGCAAACATAACTGCCTTGTCAAGTGTAGCCTTTTGCTGGGAGGGAGGGTTTCTGTCATTGGGTCACAGGCTGTAGGTTCTAACAGTCTTGATCCTGAGGAGGTAGAGTCCAGGGCTGGGAACCTCATCGAAGTGTTGACCCTCTGTTAGCAGTCTAGCATGGATCACAGGCCACATTCCTGGATCCTTATCCATCCAGACCGTAAATCAGCAATAGGCCTGATCATGCAATGCCATTGTGTTACCTGCTGTTAGTTTTTTGTTTTTGTTTTTTTTTAATTATGAAGCATAAGATACACACAGAGAAAACACGTTATGTTTAGAGTTCAGTGAATTTTCTCAAGTGGAACACCCCTTGGTAACTCTAGCCAGATTAAGAAACAGAATGTTATTGACACCCAGAAGCTTTCCTTATGCTCTCTCCGGTCTTATCTGCTCTTCTAACACCCTAGATTAGGAGGGTCACCTGTGTTTGCACTTGGTACTAATGGAATTGTACAGGAGGCACCCATTTGTGGGTGGCCCGTTTTGTTAAATATGATGTTTGTGAGATTTATTTGTATGGCTGGGGGTAGTTCTCATCTATTCCTTCTCATTAGATTCCATTGTGTTCATTTCAGAATGATGACAGTTATGCCTGCCTTGCCTCCATCAGTCATTAGGGAATATCCAGGTAAAACTTAGAAAAAGTTAAAAGTACTGCTTTAAAATACAATACGGTATGTTTATTGTTTGGAAGAGAATAGATTTAATCTGAGTAAAATGAAGGCAAAGATCCCAAGGATTGTAGTCTCAAAAGTGAGGAGGAAAGTAGTCCCGCTGCATAGTCTGGTGCAGGGGGTCACGGGGCGTTGAAGAGCAGGGTGCTGTTTAAATCTGTGTCTCTGCTTCCTGGGAGTGGAAAGTTGACTGTGGAGTCAGTTGTCCTGTGAGCTACACATTTAATTCTCCACAACATCTAACTGGGCCCCTCTGCTTGATGGCAGGGGTCTCTTTCATCAGTTCCTATTTATTGTTTATGAAGTCACCAGAGATTTTCAGTGTTCCGGTTGAACCACCTTCTTTCACTAAGAGGTGATTACTGTGGTTCAGAAATAATTTGTGCTTCTCAATTGGGCAGAATCTCCCTGTTTTCTCCCATCAGGCCCTGGATGGGGATTTCTCTGAAGACAACCGCAATAAGTGTCGCATCGCCACCGCACCCTTGATTGAAGCTGTGGAGAACCTGACAGCGTTCGCCTCAAACCCTGAGTTTGTCAGCATTCCTGCCCAGATCAGCTCCGAGGTAGGGAGTGTTTACAGGAACATCATACTAAGGTCTTTGGCTAACTTTGTGTGGCACCAAATGAGTTACTAGTTAAAACTCCAACAGCTCTCTCTGTCAACATGTAGGCTACTGTTACTCTTGTCAATGATGGCATGTGCACAGTTAGTGAAACACAATGACTACACCTCTGTTGAGAGATAACATATATGTAGAGAACAATCTTACTGCCTAGGTTTGGGGCGATTCTTGGGATGTGTCACACTCAAAAAATGCTATTTAAGGGGCAAACATGGGCTTGAGTCCCCGCCATGCAGACCCCTGGTAATCCAGTCTTCATGGTTCCCTGCCCTCTTTGTCTCCTTCAAAGGGCAGAGGTGGTGATTTGGCAAAGAACAGGACCTTTCAGGGCCCACGTCATTCACTCATGTCTTCGACCCTGACTTTGATTTCTCTGCTGTTTGGTCTCAGGGTTCCCAGGCACAGGAACCAATCCTGGTCTCAGCCAAGACCATGCTGGAGAGTTCATCGTACCTCATTCGCACTGCACGCTCTCTGGCCATCAACCCCAAAGACCCACCCACCTGGTCTGTACTGGCTGGACATTCCCATACAGTGTCCGACTCCATCAAGAGTCTCATCACTTCTATCAGGTCAGTTTCCCATCCGGAGGTTGCTGCCAGCCTGCATCTCAGCGGGGAAGGAGGAGGATAAGCCCACCAGGCTTTTTACTTAATAGTGATATTGTTGATCATTATCATCTTTTTCTTTTCTCTTTGGGGCCGGAAGCACTGGTCACAATAGTAATTGCTAACTTAAGTACTTACCATATACCAAATACTACTACAAGTGCTTTATCTGTGTTACTTTATTTGAACATCACAATAGTCTTATAAGGTACCACTGTCATTATTTCCATTGTACTGATGAAAAAATTTAGGCAGAAAAATTTGGGTAATATCCCCAAGGTCACCTTAAGGCCCAATGGCTGTCTAATCACTGTACTACATTGTCCGTATCTAGGAGTTTAGTCATTGAGCACCGTTGTTTATTTAGCAGGATTTGTGGTTGCAGTTAGTTTGCTAATAAGACAAAGAATATTCTAGGGCCTGCAGTAACTCTGAGCATCTCTGACCTTGTCGATAGTGGGAGCCTAAAAAGACATCCCCAAGTAGATATAACATTTCTGAAGTTAACCAGTAAATACCTCGCAGCATGAAATTCATCTTTCCTTAATTATATTTTGCTTCCTAGTTGCTTTTGAAGCTCAAAACCACAGTTAACTTTATTTCTTAATGCCTTGCAAAGAAAAATTCACTACATGTTTTAATTCCTACTGTAGCCCAGGACTTTGTGACTAGTATGCAATGTAGAAAGCATAATATGTTTGCACTGGAAGCAGTGCTGACCTTTTTTTTTTTTCTTTTTTTTTTTTTTTTGAGTAAAAGTCCTGTGCTTAAGCCAGTGAATAGAAAATCCAAGTCCAAATTGCTTCCTTTGCAGTTGCCTGGTATCAGCCTAAGGTGGAGGGCAGGACCATATTCTTTCCACCAGAAATAAGTAGAGTTATCTGAAGTGTTAAATTAAGGAATGCATGGGCTGTGCAGTGAGACGTTGCCAACCAGGGGTCAGGGATTCCTCCTGAAAGGAGGTGACTGTGTCAGGGAGGAAGTGGACAGGGATCCTGGCCCACCAGTGCTGGAGCAGGCTGTGGGACTTGAGCCCCATGGAGCCTGTGTCCAACTTGCACTATTCCTTCCAGGGACAAGGCCCCTGGACAGAGGGAGTGTGATTACTCCATCGATGGCATCAACCGGTGCATCCGGGACATCGAGCAGGCCTCGCTGGCCGCCGTCAGCCAGAGCCTGGCCACGAGGGACGACATCTCTGTGGAGGTAAGCTGGGAATCTGGGGGCCTGCTTAGTCGCCTCTAGATATGTTGAAAAACCTTAGCATCAGACTTGGAGGGGTAGAGGTTGTAGGGCCAAAATGTTTCTGTTGCTGGAGTTTCACCATTAGACAGCCATTCTCTGTGGAGCCAATCTGGGAACTTTTTGGAGAGGGTAGGGCAGATGCCAAGTAGAGAAGGGTGGCTTGGGGGAAGGAATACAGGTACTGGGGTGGAAAGTTCAAAAGTAGCTGAAATTTGGAGGGAAAATATCAATATCAAGGTAATTTAGGGGTACGGTGGGTACCGTGTTTGTTTTAACACATCAGTAGAGTGGACCTAGGTATGTAAATTTTGAATAATTCTCTGTTGTCGTATTTCATCAGTGTGCTTTTTAGTTAGTTGGCCAATTCAGCATTAAACGAATGCATTTGGTCTGTTCAGAGATCAAGGATTCTGCCCTAAGTTATTCAATATCCAGCATTTGAGGACTTTGGCATCCTATTATTAATTTAAAGCCACTTTGCCCTTTCTTGCTTGTTTTTCCAAAGTTTAAAATGGAATTTTCCTGCTTTTTCCCTTTGGGTCTTTTTCTATTACCTGTCCAAAGGTTCCTGATTTTTACTTCTATCTCTACCGAAAGCACAATGCTTGACTTGCAGAAGGTGCTTAATAAACATGGATGGTCTGTTTATTGATGTTTATCTTCCTGCCACTGAATTCATTAACAATCAGCTTTTGGCCCAGAGTTAGTATTGCTCATTTTTATTAATAGAGCTGTCTATTTCGCTCCACCTTCACCCTCCTATTTCCAAAAAAAGAAGGATTAAGTTTTCTCAAACTGTGTGGGATGCCAGAATTATTCTTTTGGATCTGTTATTAAAGTCCGTATGTATATGCATGCAGATAAGGGTACCACTTGATAAATTATCACCAACTGAACAGGCCTTTCAACCGGCAGCCAGATCAAGAAACAAAGTTGAGGCCAGGCGCTGTGGCTCAATCCAGTGCTAGGATTACAGAATCCTAGCACTTTGGGAGGCTGAGGCGGATGGATCACTTGAGATCAGGAGTTCCAGACCAGCCTGGCCAACATGGTGAAATCCCATCTCTACCAAAAATACAAAAATTAGCCGAGCATGGTGGCGGGCGCCTGTAATCCCAGCCACCCAGGAGGCTGAGGCAGGAGAATTGCTTGAATGTGGGAGGCGGAGAGTGCAGTGAGTGAGCCGAGATCACACTGCCGCCCTTAAGCCTGGGACAACAGAGCGAGACTCCATCTTAAAAAAAAAAAAAAAAAAAAGTAGCAAAGATGACCAGCACCCCAGAAGCCCCCCTCATCCCCCCATCCTTTCACCATATCCTCCCTCACCCAGTACATCTTCTGTTTTAACTCCCTCACTAGGAAGAGAACCCTTCCCCTTTAATTGCATGTGCTCCCTGATCATACACCCTATTTAATTTAACAAACCATCTGTAATAAGACAGCACTGTTGGAATATTCTTGTGTTCTTGACTATAATCACATTATGAATATGAAGATAATAAGTAATTAGCTAAATAAAACCCTTGGCCGTCTTGGAAGTTTCTCTCTGCCTGCTCCCATCTGTCTCTGTTTCCCTTTTTCCTTTTTTTTTTTCTTTTTCCAGGGTTTTGTTTTCAAGTTTGCATGTTAGTCTGCTCCTCTTTTTGAGGACACTCTGCCCGCATCCCTCCCGGCCCACAGGCAGCATTGTTCTGTGGGAAAGTAGTGAAGGCTAGAGTCTCATTTCTGATGAGCAGGACATCGCTACTTTGGCAGAGTTCACTCAATTCCATGCTGGTGTGTGCAGACGTAAAACGCCCAGTGCACTGATGCATTAATCCTGTATCTATCAGTGAAGCTCGTATGAATAGTCCTACAGAGGGATCTGATCTTTCCTGCCACTGGCTAAGAATCTCCACCTTTGAATCCCCCATCCCCCACACTCTCAGAATCATCTAGATATCTTTCTCTGTCTCTTTACAGCATGATTCAATTCTTTAGGGGTGAAGAGATTAAACCATCTCTCAAACATGAGAAGAAAGGTCTTGAGGGCACCGTGTTTAATATTTGCATGCACACTACCAAACACAGTGGACTGAGATCTAAGCTGAGCATTTTCACAGTGCACTGTTTGGGAAGTAGTCCTGCTTTCAAGGAGCTAATCTCATTTTTATGTCACTCTCCCTCCTTGAGGGGTTATTAGTTCTGAGAATACAGTGACCTGGAATGTTCCCTCAGACCCCTCCATTATCTGCCTGCATTTGGAAGAAGTTGTCGTTCCTTCTTGGAAAGCCATGACTGTTCCGCATGTCTACTAATTCCATCAAGGAACCTAAAGTAAAGATACCAGTAGCATCAGTTGTCAGGGTTGACAGGAGCAAGAAGCCAGTTGCAAAAGCATCTCTCATGCCTGCTTCTTCTCTCTTTCTCGGGAGGAGTCATCACTGAGAAGGTCAGGGCAGGGTGCAGTGGCTTGATGGCACACACGCAGGCATTCTAATGTCTGCTTTGTGTGGCCTCTGTCATTTTTCAGAGGGGCCTTTTTGAATCAGTGCAGCTCTGTGGGGAGCTGTTATGGGATGAACTTGACACTTCTCTCCTTATCAGGCCCTGCAGGAGCAGCTGACTTCGGTGGTCCAGGAAATCGGACACCTTATCGATCCCATCGCCACAGCGGCTCGGGGAGAAGCAGCTCAGCTGGGACATAAGGTAATGCACACCGAGGGGATCCTGCGAGGGTGTGCGTGTTATCACAGGAGAGAGGGTTTTATTGACTTTACTGTTATCATTCCCAAAAGCCTGTGGTGCAAGTATTGTGCCTGAGTCCAATGCTCGTTTAAGCTGCAGAAAATAACACTGAACCTCTCTCTGGCATCCTCTCCAGAAATTATCAGTTCAGGATCTATTTTTACCTAAGTTCAGAAGAAAACTTCAGTGCAGTTTTTCTGGTTGTGGCCAGAGATGTAATTTGGCATTTACAGTCATCCGTTGCAATCGACCTTTGCTGAAAGAAACCAGAGACTGAAGCAGACACTCCTAGCCTGGAGTCTGCCACCTTTGGCTGGCTGGCCGGCCAGCCCCATTCTGGTATGTTTAAGGGTACATTATTCTTTTGTGGTTTCTAACATAGTGTCTACTCTTAGACATAATGAGGCAAAGCAGACCTCTCTGGATGACCAAACCCTCCCTAGGTGTCCACTCCAGGGGAGCCGTTCAGCTGGGGATTCATACCCACATTGTGTTCAGACCCAGATGATATCTTGCCTGGTTGGGGTTCATTTTGCAAATTCTTCAAGGACGGTTGGCTTGTTATGCAGCCTGTGCCTCAATAAGGAGAGGCCAGAAATTGGATTTTTAACCACCTTGGGTTTCCTAGCATTTTATCAGTGCAGCTATCAGTATAGATGTACATAGGAAGAAATACAGTAGCCAAAATCTTCTTGGCAGGTATCGATTTTAGAAAATCAATATTCTTGCTTTTTTAAATTACAGAATAGCTTAAGGGCCTACTCACCTTCCCAGTGGTTCCAAGGAGGGATTTTTAAGATTTGAAATCTCAAAGGCCAGTGTCTTTCTGCCTTTTTAAGTGTGGCATATTTCATTTCTTTTTCTTTTCTTTTCTTTTCTTTTCTTTGTTTTTTTTTTCAGACAGAGCTTTGCTCTTGTTGCCCAGGCTGGAGTGCAGTGGTGTGATCTCAGCTTACCACAACCTCCGCCTCCCGGGTTCAGTCAATTCTCCTGCCTCAGCCTCCCGAGTAGCTGGGATTATAGGCATGCACCACCATGCCCGGCTAATTTTTGTATTAGTAGAGACGGGGTTTCTCCGTGTTGGTCAGGCTGGTCTCAAACTCCCAACCTCAGGTGACCCACCTGCCTCGGCCTCCCAAAGTTCTGGGATTACAGGCGTGAGCCACTGCGCCCGGCTGGCATATTTCATTTCTTAGCTGAGTTTCTTTATACGGCAATTAGAAAAGGGCTTGTCCGTCTGTCTGAAGAGGTTTGCAGGGGTAGGAGAATGGTCTGGACACTGGGGCCACTGCCTATGTGCCCATAAGGGAAACTGAGTTTAGGAGAGAAGCTGGACATTTTTTCAGCAGTTACTTTTGATTCCAGAACTTTTGTAATAGAATATTTCTGGATGTCTTTGGAGGACAATACCCATGTCTCTGCGGATACTTCATTAGTATACAAGATTAATTCCTATGTTAGTGGTTAGCATCAAAAGAAACATAATATATTTATGTCACTTGACTTACAAATTTACTCTTGACCCTTGGGCTAATCCATCTCTTACCTTCTAAAAGAGAATTTTGGACAGAGGCAGTCGGTGCGCCCTCTATCCAGAAGAGCCGTGGACTGGGAGTTCACACCCACATTTTCCCCAAGGCTTCATTGCAGTGCTCGTGTGGGGCCCCAGATCAGCAGCTTCAGCAGCACCTGGGAGTGATAAGAAATGCCAGTTCTCAGACCCCAACTGTGTTCATGAAGTTCTGTGGCTTAAAACAACAGAAATTTATTCTCTCATCCAAGGTCTAAAATCAGGTGGTGGCAGGGCTGTGCAGTCTACAGAGACTGTAGAGTGGATTCCCTAGAGAATCTGTTCTTTGCTGCTTATATCTTCCTATGGCTCCTGGCACTCCTTGACTGTCGCGCTGATCCCTGCTTTCGTAATCACATTGTCACCTGCTCTTCGGTGTCTCTTCTGTCTCTTAGATGGACACTTGTTATTGGATTTAGAGCCCGTCCCGGTAACTCAGGACATTCTTATTTCAAGGTCTTTAAATGCACCTGCAAACACCCTTTTTCCACATGAGATCACATTCCCAGGTTGCAGGTGTTTGAATATGGACATATCTTTTGAGGGGCCACCATTCAGTCCACCGTGTCCCTAGACCTAGGAATGAACGTTATGTACCAAATACTCAAAATTCTGTGTTATTTTAATGCATGTGCTAACCCAAGGAAGGATGTTTCCTGTTCTGTCATGTCTCAAGAACTAATGGTGTTAAAGTACTTGCTAAGCTCCCTAAATACAGAGAAAAGCACATGCCTTCAAAAAGCTTTGCCTGTAATATGTGAGCACCTAGCCTTTACTGAGTACTTCCTATTTGGCGGTTAGCATGGTGAAGGGCTTTCATGTACACTAATCCTCCTACCAGTCCTGATGAACTCTCAGTGCTATTATTAATCCCCATTTTACAGATAAGGAAACTGAAGTGGAGCAATTGGAACAATTAGCTAAATATTTCTCAGTAAGGAATTGGCAGGGAAGATTCAAATCCAGTGATTCTGAAGCCAGAGCTGAAGTCCTTCATGGCCCAGCCATGCTACCTCCATGGGGGAGCCGGGCTCCCATTTAGTTTTGCATTTAATTATTCTCAGCACACAGCAACCGCTGACATTTGACAGTTGCATTGATGAAACATACTTTGAAAATAATAAAATTAACCTAGAAAACATATAAGATTCTAATGCATTAAACATTTTGACTCCTCCTTTAGGACATAAAGGACCACCCTAAGCCCTCTGTCCCGATGACCCTTCAGTGCTCCGTTCCCTTTGGTGGTGACACCAGTGCCCTTCCTGGGGATGAGGATGAAATCAAATGCAAGTGTGTGGAGCTGCTGCCTGTGGTTGTATAGGCTGTGCCCTCCACAAAGGCATTTGGCTGAAGTGGGAAGTAGGGACGAAAATTCAGCCCATGCTCTGCCCTGGCGTCGCTCATGTCTGCCCAAAGGACCCCTTTAAAATTCATTCAAAGGCTCCCTAAGGGCCGGGAACAGCCCTATTCACCAGGTTTGAAACCTCTCTGTAAGATAACCATAGAGGAAATAACAATGTAAAAATAAGTTTTATTGTTGGCCAATAATCATGTCTCACTATTAGCGTTAATTAAGTTTTATTTTTTGGACACGTTCCCTCACCTTGCCCTAGCCACCCCCACCCCATCATCCTCCACCCTCTCCTGCTGGCCCAGTGACTGCTCATGTGAGTGGTCTTCCTGTCCACATCCCCACAACACTCATTCTTCTAACATGTGATGGGAAGAAGCGTTAAGGGAGGTGCTGGCTAAAGGTTTGATCTTAAGTTCTCTTAAAGGGTGTAATTTAGCCATTAGTCATTACCGCACAGAATGAGGCATTGAACAGAAAAGTGTGATTCATGCCATTGTATTTTATCTGAGTGAGGATAGATTCTGAGAGGGGATAGATTCTGGTGTCTGAAGTGAATATAGCAAAATGTTAAGATCTCATATTCTGATGCCAGGTAGAGGGTCATCCAAACACCAAATGATAAACTTCTAAAAGTGCGGTGCTCCCACAGCAGCAGGACTGGCATCCCAATGAAAGTGAAAGAGACCACAGACTGTGGCAGCTGAGAGCCAGGGCTGTGGGGTGGGATGCCGCTGTCTCCACCTCTTAGCTGCATGAGATGGAGCATGCGTCTCAACCCCTCAAAGCCTCGGTATCTTCATGTGTATCTGCCTCTTAAAGTTGTGGAGGCTCAGTGAGGAAATGGAAGTTAAACTTTCAGCAGAGAGCCTGGCATAGGGGGTGCGCCCGCTAGATGTTTGCAACACATGGCCCACAGCGCCCAGCTGGTAGGCGAGCTTTAGTGAGCGTGGATGGATATGCATGGCAGTGCCCTCCTGGAAAGAGGCCTGTGCGGAGGCAGTGGTTCCTGTCGGGATAAGCTTTTTTTGTTCTCCCAAGTTGGGCGAATCATAAACAGAGCATCTAGGCTGATGTGAAATCATTTGTGCTGTTTTTCCAAATCAAGGCTTGGTCAAAATGCTCTGGGCAAAAGGCAGTTGGGATTGGCTTCCTACAAAGCTTTTGAAGGTTTCTTTCATCTCCTGCTTTTTTCTGCTCCCCTGCTACCTTACCCTTTTCCACTCCTCCTTCCTCCTGAGTTTGTAAGATGTCTTTAGTTCTTTTAAAAGTTGTTAATTTATAGAAATTGACAGTTTGTAAAATTGAATTCAATTCTCATATCTAACTCTGGATCTTGGAATGGGTTTCTTAGCACCTCTGCCATATTTAGAGAGATGAAGAACTCCCTGGAGAAAGTAAAAACCAAGAAAGAGTCCATTAATTAGCAAGCACTTTCAGCAGTAAATTGCAGCAGATCTGCCTCTCCCTGTGAGTCAGCCCAGTCCTGTTCCCCTCCCGCGCCTGACTGTGGAGCCCCTGAAGGAGACACGTGTATTTACATGATACATCTCTGGCTTTTTTTTTTTTTTTTGAAAGGTGACACAACTGGCAAGCTATTTTGAGCCCTTGATCTTAGCCGCAGTTGGTGTGGCCTCCAAGATTCTTGATCATCAGCAGCAGATGACGGTGCTGGACCAGACCAAGACTCTCGCAGAGTCTGCCTTGCAGATGTTGTATGCAGCCAAAGAAGGTGGCGGAAACCCCAAGGTATGGTCCAGGATATCGGGGACTCACTTAGGACCACTAAGAAGCCATCATGCATTCCTGCTGTAATGTGTCCTTCCAGGAGAAAACACTTCCAGTTCTTGCTGGTGGCATTTGAGCTCCCACTCTGAGATCAGAAATAATCTATTGGCCTTCCCAAGGTTCTTAGGGAGGAAATGAAGAAATATACATAAAAGTTATTTTTTTCTTGACAGAATGTGTAGACAAGTGTCCTTGGGGAAGAAAAATGTATGGTGCGATGATTACAGGAATGAAAACTGTAATGCTTGCTGGGTCCCTGCTCAGCACTGACACCCAGCTTGCACAGAGGAATGTTCTATTGTGCTCCAGTAAATGTCATTTTGATTCCTAACACTTAAGAGACTGCAGTTTAATATGAAAATCTCCCATACCAGTTTGCAAGAGGGAACATTTCTTCAGCCTGTTGTGTCACCCAGCTGCTTTAAGTGGCCAAGTATGACGACAGCCTGTCATAGGTGACTTTGCACCACATTTTACCCTGAACTTGGGAACTGAAGAAGAGAGAATAGCATATGCAAAGGCATAGGTAGATTTATTAAAGGGTCATGATTTCTTCAGGAATAGTGAGTGGTCTGATCTATCTGGAGCATGTAGAGCTGGGGGACCACCAGGCAGGAGGATGGACTGGGCTGCAGGGTGACAGGTCTCTTCCACATTGCGGACTTCAGTCTTTATTGTAAGTAGTGGGGAGCCATTGGCAGTTTTTAAGCAGGGGAATGGCACAACCAGTCCATATTTTAGAAACATTTAAACTGGTAGCAGTGTGAATAATGTCATGGACTTTCCTTTTCTTTTCTTTTTTTGAGATCATGTCTTACTGTATTGCCCAGGCTGGTTATGAATTCGTGGCCTCGTGCCTTCTTCCTGCCTCAGCCTCCCAAGTAGCTGGGGCCACAAGCACATGCCACCATATCTGGCTAGCCTGCTTGCTCATTTATTTACTTATTTACTTAATAAGTTAATTAGAGGTGGGGGGTCTCACTATGTTGCCCAGGCTCATCTCAAACTCCCGGCCTCGAGCAATCCTCCCCATTTAGCCTCCCAAGTACCTGGAATTATAGGTGCAAACCACAGCACCCAGCTTGGACTTAACATTTTCTATGTTCAATTTTTTCATTCATGTACTTGGCAGTTATTAAGAGCCTCATTCTGGGGATGCTGAAATATTAAGCGCCAGCCACTGCCCTCAAGTTGTTCAGAGTCTTTTGGAAAAATAAGTTGAGTTGCTGAAGTGGTGGAATGGAGTGAGAAAAAAAAGAATACTCTTTTGACTGCGATGGAGAAACGATAGGGTGCCCTGCAGTCGTGCCAGCCCCCTTTGCACCCTCAAAGGGGTGCCTCCCCCAAACTGGAGGAGGCAGAACTTACCCTCTGACTCACTTCTGGGTTGTCTTTTCTCCAGGCTATTGACTGCCACATGTCCCCACTCCTACCTGATGGTTTCAGTACTAAGAGAATAATTCAAAGGAGGAGTTTTCTGGATTTATTTATTTATTTTTTTTTTTTGAGACAGAGTTTTGCTCTTGTTGCCCAGCCTGGAGTGCAATGGCGCGATCTCGGCTCACTGCAACCTCCGCGTCCCGGGTTCAAGTGATTCTCCTGCCTCAGCCTCCCGGGTAGCTGGTATTACAGGTGCCTGCCACCACACCCAGCTAATTTTTTGTATTTTTAGTAGAGATGGGGTTTCACCATGTTGTCCAGGCTGGTCTTGAACTCCTGACCTCAGGTGATCCATCCTCCTCAGCCTCCCAAAGTGCTGGGATTACAGGCGTGAGCCACCACACCTGACCTTTCTGGATTTTTAAGACATTAACACATCTGCTTGGACTGTAAGTTCAGAGTTCCTGATGGAATTTTATTTTCTCTCAAGGAACCTCACAACCTCAACTTCTGCTTTCTGGTAAAGCAGAGTCTGTTACCAGAAAGCTTACAGTGCTGACTGTCTGTGCTCCCAGCCATCAGAGATGGGGTCTCGCCATGTTGCCCAGGCTCATCACAAACTTCTGGCCTCAAGCAGTCCTCCCCCTTCAGCCTCCCAAGTACCTGGGATTACAGGTGCAAGCCACAACACCCAGCTTGGACTTAGTTTCCTGTGTTCCCAGCCATAGAGCACACACAGTCAGCACTGTAAGCTTTCTGGTAACAGCCTCTGCTTGAAAGTGGTGTCTAGCATAATTTTCTACCAGTGTGAAGTAGTTTTCAGTAAAGCATTAGATGATGAAGTAAAACACGATGAGTGAAGGCAAGGCAGGTGATCACTTCTGTCCCTCACTGGTCTCATTCAACCTGCTCTCTTTCTGCAAACCCTGACAGGCTTAGCCCAAAGTGCGCCTGGGACACTACAAGTCTGCTTTTTTCAACCCTTTCCTTAGAAGCCTGATGCCAAGACTTAATCACCTTGAGTGTTATTCTTTGGACACATATTTACTAGGTTTTATTTGCTGTGTGCTAGGTGTTATATATCCCTGTTTGCAGAAGAAATAAAGGTTTGTCAAATAGTTATGGGTAGCTTTGATACGGTGAAAAATAGCACAAGCTTTGGGGTCAAACATAATTGGATTCAAATCCCACCTCTGCCTCTCACGAGTAAATTACTTCATTTCTTTGTTTCTGCACCTAAACAATGAAGGTAATTATGAATACCTCCCTAAGGTACTGGTAGAGACTAAATGAAATAATGTGCCTGACATAGTAGATATGTTTTTTAAAAAAGCGGCAGCCCAGAACCTGGTGTTAATGAATTACCTGCTTACCGAGGCGTTTGCAGTGTAGCCTCTCCCTCACTCCATTGAGCTCTTCTGCGGTATTCTCTACCCCGCAGAGCTCCCTTCTCCACTCATCCCCACCCCGCCCAATTCCCTTCTGCGGCATCCTTGATGGGCCACCACAGATTCTGCCCACAACACTCCAGCAGAAACGCAGCCCTCTCCACTGTTGGACAGTTCTAATTATTCCTTGTTTTTCTCCCTCTACCAAAGTTGAAATCTGCTCCCCTGTGGCCTTCTCCCATTTTTCCATACTCCTGTGATGTCTGTGCCTGCTATCCTGGGCTTTGTATTTGAAGTGCTGTAATAAAGAAACAAGGCTCCTTTGGAAGCGGACTTCAGACATGTGTCTGAAAAAGAATGGAATCTGGTTTTTCTCTTGTGTGGTGCCATGAGGAACAGTAACAAGGAACCCCTCCGGAATCTAAAATAACCACCTCATTGTTGGGCCCACCGATGCCACTTATGAGATTGCTGTCGGTGGTTTAAACAGGCCTTAATTGAGATCCAACTGTGTCTTTGGGTATCTGAAACTATTGAGCTCTACTAGCAGGTATGTGTGATTTGAGATTAGGCTGTCTGATAAAGATGAGACTTGCCTTTGGTGTTCAGAAGAAAAGGCCCTGGGTGAGGCCTGGAGTAATTGGAGGAGGCTTCATAGAAGAGGTAGACGTTGAGCTGACCCTCTAAGAATCTGTGAAAAACTTAACCATGAGAAGTGAAGGAGAGCAGGCCTTCTAGAGAATTCATCAGCATGAGTGGATGGGGAGGTAATTCATTTCTGGGATAGCCAAGAGCAAGGATATGCTTTTATAGATTTCAGTGACCTGGCACAGGACAAGTGTCCTTTAAATTGTTGAAGGAGTTCAAAAAGTTTTGTGATTTACTGCTGCACCCAAAGTTTGCTTCTGAACCTTCCTGAGCCTGCATGAGAGTACAGATCCTTGGCAAGCGGTGCTCCTGTCTCCCCCAGAAGGTATACTTAATTTTCATATGAATGTGTAGAATTGCTGGCTTTTTTTTTTTTTTTTTTTTTGAGATGGAGTCTCGCTCTGTTGCCCAGGCTGGAGTGCAGTGGGGCGATCTCAGCTCACTGCAAGCTCCACCTCCCGGGTTCACGCCATTCTCCTGCCTCAGCCTCCCAAGTAGCTGGGACTACAGGCGCCCGCCACCACACCTGGCTCATTTTTTGTATTTTTAGTAGAGACGGGGTTTCACTGTGTTAGCCAGGATGGTCTCGATCTCCTGACCTCGTAATCCACCTGCCTCGGCCTGAATTGCTGGCATTTTTGTGTCTGTAACAGTCATCTCATTCTAAATGAGATGTAGAGAAATATGCACCCTCCCTTTCACCTTCTGTACGAATAAAAATGTATGAGATGCTCTTTCTGGAGAGTAGGTCCAAGAGGTATCACCTTTCACACTTCTATCATCAAAATAAAGCAATCTGCACATTTTGTGTTTTACCATGTCTGTGCCGTGAAATCAGCTATCAACCCAAATTACCACTTTACTTCACTCATCCCAAAGAGAGTTCTGTGTATCCTGACACCGTTGCCTCAAGGATAACCATCCATGATCAACATATTTCCCATCTCATCAGATGTCATATTTGAATAACTTTTCTTGCTTCCTATGGCTTTTCAATTCAGACATGGCCAGTTCCTGTGGCTCACATAGCCTCTTGGAATTCTCTTGTATTTAGAAAATCACCCAACGAGTTCTCGTTTACTGCTTTCCACTGGCTTCTTTACCTTCTCATTTACCAAAGTAAAGATGCAGTATCTTGGCCTTTTGAAAGGGTCTACTTCCCCAACAAGGTGGCTCAGGGCGGCCGTAGCCACGGCATGGGTAGACCCAGTGCCTGGATGTAATGCAATTCCGACCCTGAAACCTGACATCAGGTCAAATTTTGCAGAGCGAGGGCATGATTTCCTCCTAGACTGCCCTTATAAATGGCAAGGCGCCTGCAGCCATATCATCCCACACTGCATAGTGTTGTTATAGTTTTCCCCATCCTACCTAGGAGGACTCCAAGCCCAGGGCCACTTACCTAGTTAGCCAGCAGTGGAGCCAGAACTAGAACCCAGGTTTGTCTGTCACCTTGGCTGTTCCCCCTGCATCTTGCTGCTACTTGAGGTATCTTTCAGGGAGCCCAGGACTGCCATTGTTTCATTGTTTTCATTCATTCATTCACTTAGCCCCTACTCTGCTTGACACAGGTGTGAAACACCTACTTCCTAATATGGTCTAAGGAATGCATGGGTACTCAGGGCTTTACCGGCAGGGCTCCATGCATTTCTCCAACCTCATGGCATATAATTTGTGACATAGTTTCAAAGCCTATTAGGCACTCTACAAATATATTTCCCATAGAGGTACCTACATTTCTGTAATCCAGTCTTATCTTTAGACGGGGAACTATAGTGTGTTGGGCAACTTTGAAGAGACGTACATTTATTTTAAGCACATTTTTTCATTATATTATTTTGTAAATGTATCAACTTGTATATTTAGGAACCTGTGGCATTCTCTTTTCTACAGTCCTGAACATAGTAACATATAAAATTGGTCATGTCATAAGATTTTGATATTGCAGTTTTATTTTTCCCTGATTGTAAAAAGAGATCTTTTTCTATTTGTCTTTCTGATTTTTATTTACTTTGCAAACAAATGGCCAAACATAAAGAAAGGGAAGAAATAGAATAGATCGCTGTGCTCCATTGTGGGGGTATGGTTTTATATTCTACTTTTGAAGGTTATTCTTAGAAGACTGAGCACCGCTCTCTTCTGCTTAAGGAAATGTTTCACAATTCCCTTCTCAGGCACAACACACCCATGACGCCATCACAGAGGCCGCCCAGTTGATGAAGGAAGCCGTGGATGACATCATGGTGACGCTGAACGAAGCTGCCAGTGAAGTGGGGCTGGTTGGGGGCATGGTGGACGCCATTGCAGAAGCCATGAGCAAGGTGGGCATGGGCTCTAGGGCTCTCTACTCCCTTATCTCCCTCACCCATGGGCCTCGCGTGCTTTTCTCTAAGCTGTCAAGGCTCATAGCAACAAGCCTCTTCTTTTCTTGAAGGTTCTAGTTAATGTACAGATATCCAGTCACATGTCCAACATATTATTCTTTATTATTAATGCATTACTTTTGTAAGCCAGTTGTGCCTTCTAATTTTACATGAAAGAAAAAGATGGACATGGAAAAGATATCATAGGTTTCCTCAATTGTAAGATGGAAATTGATTATCTACTTCATAGGGTTTGTTGTGGGGGAACAATTGCCAAAATGAAATAAAAGTGATTCCCGCCCGGCCGGGCGCGGTGGCTCACACCTGTAATCCCAGCACTTTGGGAGGCCAAGGCGGGCGGATCACCTGAGGTCGGGAGTTCGAGACCAGCCTGACCAACATGGTAAAACCCTGTTTCTACTAAAAATACAAAATTAGCCGGGCATGGTTGCGCATGCCCATAATCCCAGCTACTCAGGAGGCTGAGGCAGGAGAATCGCTTGAACCCAGGAGGCAGAGGTTGCGGTGAGCTGAGATCATGCCATTGCACTCTAGCCTGGGCAACGAGCGAAACTCTCAAAAAAAAAAAAAAAGTGATTCCCAAGTGCTAGTTTTTGGAATGGCTATTTTGGAATCATGTGGAGCTTTAAGAATGTAGATTCCAAGGCTCCACCCCCAACCCACTCAATTGGGTTACATTTTAACACACTCTTTTTAATTGCTCCTTGTGGTTCTGATATCTAGCCAGGCACAGAAACCACTGAAATCGTATATATGCAAAAGCCCATAGTAAACTCTTGTAGGCTACAGACATGTAAGAGAACATGAGTATCATTTTCTCATTTAGTGACCCATCAAATGAGTCAGATCATTAGGGTGACATGACTGGAGACAGTTTCAACTCCATATCTCCTGTTCTTTCCCCCAAAGAATCCTTCATTAGTCATGTAAGTTTGACATTCATTAGAAAGAATGCTTGTTCATCAGCATCTAATTGCCATCCTGTGATAGCATGCCAAGAATTTTAGACATCGTCTATGTTTTGAAATGTCCATTGTCAGATTGTGAATACATTAATAAGGTTTTTCAGGATAATAAGCAGTCTTTAATTGCTAATTTAGAGAAGATTGGTTGTTCATATCTCCATGAAGAAATGATATGCTGTAACTATAATTAGAATAATTATCCTTAGGCATTATGCAGTCATTGTCAGCCTGAGAACAAACATAACAAGCCCAGGGTGGAATGCTGCGTCTCCCTTTAGAGGCCGCAGGCTCTACTTTGTCAAATCATCCATCAGTTTCTGCTGTGGGCTTCTCATGCTGCAAATGTGGACATTTTGGCAGAAAATGAGTGAAATTTCCCTCTTCTGCGGGCCCTTGGATAAGTCTCAGTAGATTTGTTTGGTTTTCAGGACATCAGAACACCAGAGCTTTGAAGATAAACCGTGTATCTACCTAAGGATGTTAAATAATGGAGCCCAAGGTTTCTTGGTGCAAATTAGAAATTCAAATGATAATCTTTTTCTTCTTGGGAGAAGATATTTTTCAGTACCACTCAAATGATAGGGAAGGATTCCATAAATCCTAGGAAGATGGACGTCAGATCCAAAGTCTTTCTTTGATAGCCCTGTGCCTTATGCACTGTGATGGGCTGTGGACAGAGAGAGCAGGCCCTGCACCACCTGCCATTAGTGGTATAGCCTATGCTGTCTCAGCCAGAGACACATTTGATTCTTTTGGATGGGCTGGAAATAAGTCAGGTGTTACTTGATAGCAGTAATTAGGAACTGCCAGCCAACACAAGCCACAGAGGCCAGGAGCTGTTCTTCCCCCCTCAGTTCTGCAAAGTATATAATTGGGGTTTCAATGTTGCCCCTAAACTCTTATCTACCCTGGCCTGACATCCAGGGCACCACACAACACCTCTTCCTCATTCCCATTCTCCCTTTGCTCAGCATGTTGCTGGGGACTTCAAATTAAGTGACGTTTCAGGTCCTTTGGGTCCCTGTGCAGCAAGCGTTAGAAAGCTGGCATAGTCTCTCAGAATTTCATTAATTTGGTTAAAACTCTGAGATACTATTAGACTCACTGTCTGAAATTCTCAAAGCCAGTGAATTATAGAAAAACCTGAGTGTAGCCAGAGTTAATTCTAACTTGGATGTGACTCCTGACACTTTGGGTGCTTTCACTGTGGAGCTTCTCTTTGAGATTCTCTCTCGTCATCTCAGCACTAGGAGGTTTGGAGACTCACAAGTGAGTATGAAGTAATCAGCTTTCCGGGTGACCTTGGACAGGAATTCAAGCTCTCGGGACGTTGATTTCCTCATTCAGTGAGGTTGGTAGGATCCTGTGGGATTTTGTGATGTGGTATCTTTTCTTTGTTTTTGTTTTCGTTTTGTTTTTGGCCAAGTAAGAAAATTAAACAAAAACAAACAAAAACTGTGCCATCTACATCACGGCTGTTTTATAAAAGAAAGGTCATGCTAGCACCCACAAAAGGAGGAAGGCTGTACTCTCAGAGTAAAGGGAAGTTCTTTCAAATAAATGAAATTGAAATCCTAGTCACTACTTTGTTCTTTCTTTTCCCATTGTCCTCAGACTAGTTAAAGGTTCTTTGGCTGGTGGCCACTGGCCAAGAACTCTGAGCTGCCCTTCAGCTCCAGCATCCTGGCATGTGGGTAGTGATGTCACATCTCACATGCAAGCTCCTAGCATGTGGCCTGAGGCTTAGAAGATGTTCAGTCAGTTTACAGCAAGTGAATGAGTATGCAATTCAGTCTCCTTTGACTAGCAGGGCCCCCGTGCCGTGATGGGGATATAGCATCTATCTGCCTAATAGGGAAAGCTAAAAAAGTCTAGTGTGGAGTTTGTGTTAATAGTTTGGTGAAAATTATATGCTGGGCTATGCAGCCACATCACGCATAGGCCACAGTGATGCCTTCCTTTCACTCACAGTGCAGTACATGCCTGCTCATGACATATAGCTGTCACTGAAGATACCAGCTAACATTTTCCTAATTGACCACTTGGCCCCAATCTCATC
Source organism: Homo sapiens (assembly GCF_000001405.40). Taxonomy (NCBI): domain Eukaryota; kingdom Metazoa; phylum Chordata; class Mammalia; order Primates; family Hominidae; genus Homo; species Homo sapiens. Next base: position 62,779,998 of record NC_000015.10, read on the forward strand.
TCTGACTCTGAACTTTATGGCACAGAGCTGCCAGGGAAATCTCAAATACGTCATTGCTTACCCCAGATCCCACTGTTGTCGTCATGATTTCAAGGTTTTCCATAAAACAGATGCAGCCTCATTCCCACTGCTGTCAACAGCCCCCTCCTGTTCAGGTCAGGATGACCTCACTAGACTCACTCTGCCTGTATTAATTTCTGTTCACTTTGTCTCTTCGCCTGGAATACCATTCAGCAACCAGTGGTGATGGTGAGGATGGTGGTGGTGAAGATGGGTTGCCTGTTTCTTCATCATTGGCATTATCATCTTTATCATCAGCATCTTCATTATGGTCATTCTCTCCTCTTCCTGTATATAGTTCTTGACCAGGTGTAGTGTTGATTTTTACTGTAACCATGTGATGCCTGGAAGTTACCACTGAAGGACTAGAGATCAGAGTTTAAGTAAGCAGCCCGAGGTTCATTCACAAGCCTTGGAAACACATTTTGAATACAAATCTCCTACACCAATATGTCCCCAAGCCTTCAAGGGACATAGTCCCATTGTCTCAGTTCTTCCACCCCACAGTGATCTTGCCCTTCTCTCAGTTCCTATTGCATTTATAGTCAGGTGAGCAACAATTTATTCCTAGTGCTTCTAATTCCTTCTATTCCCCGATTGTGCTCATAAAGAACGGTTCCGTGGATAGCCATGGACTCGACCATTCCTCAGGAAGTGCTTCCTGATGGAGAGTCTGCCTCCTTTCCCACCTCATCTTCTGGCACTTTGCGCTTCCCTAGAAGTGTCAGGCTGGCTCCCGCCTCCATGTACGTGAATTCTGTTCCCTTTTCTTGGGATGCCTTTCCCACCTTTTACATGTGGCAGACTCTTCGCCTGGTAAGACTTGGCGGAAACATCACTCCTCTGGAAGGCCTCCCACTCCTCTCAGGCAAGGCTGGGAGCCTCTCCTTGCCATGTACCCTGAATGCCTTATGTGCCCTTCTGTTGAAGTCCTTATTGCACAAGTTGGGTAATTGAGTTGACACTGGGCGAAAGAATCTCTGAGGCCCTCTCTGTTTTTCAAAGTTCCTAATTCTCGTAAATACAGTCTACACTTCAGCAGGCTTCTTATGACCTTTGGATTCTTTTCCTCTCCTCTGTAGCTGGATGAAGGCACTCCTCCAGAACCAAAGGGAACATTTGTCGACTATCAGACGACTGTGGTTAAATACTCCAAAGCCATTGCGGTGACAGCTCAGGAAATGGTAAGAGGGAAGAGAGCTGCCCTCCCCACTGTTGTTTGCCTTTTTATCCACTGCCGCCGCTGAGCCTGCAAATCCCAGATCTGTGTCAGAGAGAGAGCCCAGACCACTCTCTAGTCCCTCAGGGGCTCCAGCTTCTGTCCTTTATCTGTGGTCTTTCTGGCTGCCTGTGTCCAGTAGCCCCAGTCTGCTGCAGTTCTTTTCTCATGAAAAAGCTGCAAGAGGGAATTAAAGATGGCTGAGACTTGGGCATGAGGACAGAGGAGCAAAGGAAGGAGAGAAAATGAAAAGACGGGGAAAGCAAGGAATTTGTAGTTAAGGAGAAAGGGGGAGAATCTTATTCACCTCACGAAGGACTTGAGGTGTTTTTAGTAGATTAAAATAACAGTACAAGAGAAGATATTTGGGGATAAAATAGAGATGAGATTATCTGATGAAATCAAGTTATAATACTTGGAAAATAAGGTATTGCCAGTCTTTCAGGCAAAATGAAACAGTATGGTTATGTAATAAGAAAAAAAAAATTCCGACAGTAGAAGGCATACAACTTTTGGAGGTAATGTTTTGGTTTGGTTTGGTTTTTGTTGTTTTGTTTGTTTGTTTGTTTTTCTAAAATGTAATGCAACTAGAACTGTATTATATAGATTCTTAGATATAAATGGCATTGAGAGATAGTGAATGCTATCTGATATGTTAAGCAGTTATACGAAAGATGACAAATGTTGTCTTCAAAGAATTGATAGGAGTCCATAGAAAAAGTTTCTCCCAACTTTTAAAGGCTCAGATGCCATAAGATAAAAGTTTGAAAGATGCCTCTTTGATACTTGCCACATAAGCCTGGGTTGAGAAATCAATGGGCCTTCCTCGCTGAAGTGACCAGAATGAGCCACCACATGGTTGCTGTGCCCAGGTCCCCTCTGAGTGGTTTTGTCATGTAATCATGTGTCCACTAGGGGTTGAGCTTGGACCACAAAGTCATCCCTGGCTGCTGCCATTCATTCATGGAAACTCTGTGATTGTGCCAGGCTTGTTTAAAAGAATTCGGGCTGGGGAATGGTACACCCATCTCAGTGTTTTGTGAAAAGCTGGAGCTGAGCCCAGTCTTGTCCTTCTCAGGGGAGCATGGAGGACGGATCCTAGTCCGAGCCAGCAGACTTTCAGCACAGATTCCTGTTGAGCAGGAAGCACAGTGCAGCAGCAGTCATGTTTGAGCAGCCTCATGGTGTTTCTGGAATGTCTCCAGAGCCAGGTCCTGAGCTGCCTTGGCTTGACCCTGGGTGTCCATGAGCTTAAGGAGCTGAGCCTCAGGCTGCATGGCCACTCCTGAGATAACTGGCCTGGCTCTTTGTGTGAAAGAGGCCCTTCTCACCCCGTCAGGATGCCCAGACTCCCAGTGCACCTGTTGGCAGGTCGCAGTGGAGCAGCACGTGGCAACACTCACTCTCGTGCAGCTCAGTGTGCGTTCCTTGGCGGCCACATCTCAGCCTGAAGCCTGGGACGTGTCCTTGTACACATGCCTTAGAAAGGGTGGACATTCCTGTCCTGCCTTGATGGATGGAGAGTCATTCAAAAGACATTTTAAAAGGCTGTTTAAAATCAAGGTCTTAAAAGGCCACAAAGAAAGAGACAGTATTGTTATCCAGAGCAAGAGGAGGTGGAGCAGGAGGGGAGCCCCTTGATGAGGGACAGTGACACCCGTCTGGGTGGCAGATTAAAACTGCTTTTGTGAGAATTTAGAGGTATTTTTGTCCAGAGGAAGAGGAAACACTAGAAACTAGCATGCCAGCTGCCTTAGATAATTGAGATGCATCAGTCAATGAAACAGAGAAAAATCCTGAGTATCTTCATAATAAAGGCAGAACTTGACCATGTGGGCTACACACTACTCTTAACTAAATTTGTGGCTAAAACCTTGTCATTCTTTGGCACAAATTTACTGCAAAGCTGTATCCTCTATGAGTGTTTTCCTCTAAAACACTGACTTATCCAGCACTTGTCATTCATGGTTTTCTTAACAGCCCTGTCCTCATGCCCTCTCTCACCTGGGTGGGACCTGCTTCAGGGCACCCAGAGACCAGATCAGCCCCCGACAGAAGCCTTGGCCCAGGGGTGAAAATCGCATAGGGCTTGTGCCTCCTGGGGGTTTCTAGGGGGAATTCCTCTGGTGACCCCCCAGGGCTGCGCTGGCGAGGGGCTGGCACACTCACCTGCCAGAGGGTGGGCCCTGGGCACTGGCTCCAAGCTGCACAGCCCGAACGCTGAGCATGTGCCCACTGGGCCCGGCCAGAATCTGTGGCCTGAGCGGGGCCCTGCGAGGGCTCTGGCCTTTTGTGTGCAATGCAGCATGGGCTTGGCTTGAATTGCCCTCTCCAGCATCTAGCCCCAAATGCAAGGCCTGGCCTTCACCCCCTCAGGAGCTTAAAAGTGAATGAAACCCTTTGGCTTCCAGTGATATTAACACATGGTTCTCATGCGTTTCTCTCTGTGTGTGTGTGTGTGTGTGTGTGTGTCTTGCTTGTTTTCTTTTTCCAGATGACTAAGTCGGTTACTAACCCGGAGGAGTTGGGAGGACTGGCTTCACAAATGACCAGTGACTATGGGCACCTGGCTTTCCAGGGCCAGATGGCAGCAGCCACGGCGGAACCAGAGGAGGTCTGCCACCTTAAGACCCCTATTTTAAGATGCACACACACACTGGTGCCCACTCCTGGGTATTTCTTCATAGCTTAGCTCCACTCTGGAAGACCCCAGCCCAGTAACCAGAGCCCAGTTTATTTCCCCACCACTGCACAGCACAGGTCCAGACCAGGTAGCCCCAGGCTGTACTCAAGTCTCACTGCCCCTTATGGGGCAGACTGGCCAAGAACTGGGGCATGGGCTTTCAGACAGAAGGACTTTGTATACAGTGTTCTATCAGGTCCCCTGTCCCTAGCCCTGTCACCTGTCTCTTTTAGCATGCCCAAGCTTGGGACTGCCATCTTATCACTTCCTACTCCAGTTAGCACATCCCCCGCAATTATTTTTGTTTTCCATAGGTTCACAGAAGTGTTGAAAGATTCAAGTATGAAAATTAGCTATCCCTCTCCCTCGAAAGAGCTACTTTCATGAAACAAAGTCTTGCCTGAATATTCTGGGTGGCTAAGAATTAGCCCAGACATACCTCCTGTGGACTCCTTTTATTACTTCCCTGCCTTTCCTAGACCAGCTTTCCTTAGTGGCCAGTGTAGACTTGGCTTTAGAATGCCTGTACCCGTAAGAGTCTAACGGTAGCCAAAGTTGGGCCCCAAAGGCCACTTTCTAAGAGCTGCCATCTCTCATACTTCTAATGGGGTGGTCCATTGGGAAGGACACAGGTCATGTGTGGCTCCAAGGAGCTTTGTAGCATCTATATCAGTGTGAACACATAGAAGGAGTCCAGGGCTTGGGGGAACCACATGGCTTCTTAGAGAAAGGAAGCCCAATTTAAAATGAAGATTAATGGAGTGGATTACAGGGACACTTAAAAGATAAAAGTAATTATATTCTGTGAAATTCAGCAAGCTGTTTATTGAGCGCAAACCATGTTCGAGACGTTCCTAAATGAACTGAGTTGTCAAGGCAGAAGGTTGTAATTGGTCTTCTCTTCTCCTTATAGTGACAGTCACTGTCCCCAAGTTACTCAGTGCTGCTATTTCTCCTGGGAGTCAGATCTAAGTATGTTTTTACAGAGACTCCGAGAGATATTCCAGAAATGAAGTCCCAAAACAAATCACTTTCTAATGTGTGTGGTAACAATGCATGTAAATAGGAGTACCATATATGTATGTACTTGCATACATAAATATCTAGCATGGGATTACTTAAGTCTCTAACAGTGCCTGCATTTTGAGATATTAGAATAATTGACTAGGCTGTAGCATGAATAATTCTATTTGCAATGAGTGTGAAGTCACTACCAAGAAAAGAGAGTTATCAGATACCCACATTAAGATTCTGTTGATTCTTTACACAGGCCTATCATTTTTTTTTTAAATAGACTCCCTGTTTTAGTAAGATCATCTAGATTTATAATTCATTTGACTAACCTATAATTTTGAACTCCATAAACAAATGTAAGGGAACTTCTGTTACAGTAAGGAAAAGTTTGCTTGGACAAAAGGAAAAGTGGGCTGGGCGTGATGGCTCACGCCTATAAGCACTTTGGGAGGCCGAGGTGGACAGATCACTTGAGGTTAGGAGTTCAAGACCCAGCCTGGCCAACATGGCGTACCCCCTTGTCTACAAAAATACTGGGCGTGATGGTGTGCGCCTGTAATCCCAGCTACTTAGAAGGTTGAGCCAGGAGAATTGCTTGAACCCGGGAGGTGGAGGTTGCAGTGAGCCAAGACTATGCACTGCCCTTTAGCCTAGGCAACAGAATGAGACTCCATCTCAAAAAAAAAAAAAAAAGGGGAAGAAGTGTTTGGCAAGGGAGGTTTGGATATCTGTCCACAGAAACCTTTAAAAATGGAATCTACCACCATCTGCCTTAGGTAGTTTAACTACTGTCTCCCTGAACTGTCTGTATAGCCCTTTCCACATGAGTTCTTGTAAGCTACCCACCCAACGTGTGAAACAAGCAGATTTTTTTTTTATTACGACAGAGACCATTGAACCAAAGTATAAAATAATGCCAAAACAGCAAGGAAAGAGAATGTGTTGCTAAAAGCACAACAACAGGTTACTTTGGTTATTGGCCCTGCATTTGCAGCAGCTGACGTTTTCATTAAGGTTTTCCTTTTCACTGTTACATCTTGAGATGTATTTTACATTCCAGACACGAGAGCAGTGTGACCTGGAGTGAAAAGGGGCAGAGAGAATATAAAATTTCCAGTGGCTTGCTAAGGAAAATTCTTTGTGTACATTTGCCAGACAGATATTTGGGGAAAACTGAGAAGGTTAGGAGATCCCTGAAGCAATGTAGTTTTTTATTCCAAGATCGTGGAATTATTTGTTTACCCAAGAGGGCCCCCTATCACAACATGTGAAAATATTTATATCCAGGGGAAATAAGGAGCTGCTCCCTTCGCTGCAGTCCCGCAGTCCGCTATGCAAGGTCAGCATTTTGGTCTTTTCCAGAATGTGACAATTACAGGAAAAGTCATAGCTCTGCCCTGGAACATCAAGCAGGAGCTTTATCTGCTTATTTTTCATGGAAAATTCAAGCCTTTGTTAACATCACTTTGAAAACTTCTTTCTTTGGAAAAGTTAAAAGCCTCCAGCAGCTTTGCAATTTAAGATTATTTTCCCCTTAAAAAAAGAAGAAGAAAGAACTCGAGATCCTATGAGCCACAACTTCTAAATGTAAATCCTGAGGAAAAGATTTAGCGACAACAGCTTTGTCTCTGAGGAAAATGTGCAGTAACCACTTGAAATACTGGATGCCTTAAAAGCTGGCGCAATCATTTGTTAAGATGATTTGTGAGAACCACAGCCCTTTCCCCCAGATGAAATGGATGTCTGCTTTAGAATTCTCTAAAATTTTCCACCCCAAGACACACGTGCTGGAGGTGGGAAAATGATGCCCCAGTGCCATTGGAACCACTCTTTTATTAGGTTGGTGCAAAAGTAAATGCAGTTTTTGCCATTACTTTTAGTGGCAAAAACCGCAATTACTTTTATGCCAACCTAATAATAATTCTATTACCATTATTATTATTTTGAGCCGGGGTCTCACTCTGTTGCCCAGGCTGGAGTACAGTAGTGCAATCACAGCTTACTACAGCCTTGAGCTCTGTCCCAGTCTTAAGCAATCCTCCCACCTCAGCCTCCCAAGTAGCTGGGACTGCAGGTGTGCGCCACCATGCCTGGTTAATTTTTCTATTGACAAGGTCTCACTATGTTGCCCAGGCTGGTCTCAACCTCCTGGACTCAAGCCATCCACCTGCCTCAGCCTCCCAAGTGCTGGGATTACAGATGTGAGCCACCATGCCCAGCCACTTTTTTCTTCCATGTTTTCTATCTTTGTCAGATAAGTTCCATTCTTGCCTTTTCAACTTTCACAAGCTGTCCCAAGCAAATTATATTTGACCTGGTTTCAGATGTAGTTGTTTTTTAAGGCTTGGGAAAAACCAGTGTGTTTTGTTGTGTTTGAGGCAGTGAGGAAAGGCGATCAGGATTCCTTAGACCCCCTCCAACTGGAATCAGATCCAAAACTTCATAAAGACCAGGCTTTTAACTTCCCCCAAGGCACAAAACCAGGAGATGATTTTCTCCATTTTACTTTTATTTCGACAAAAAAAGAATTGAGGGTTTTTCTTGAGTCTCAAGTAACACTTTTCTAAAGTTGCCAATTTAAAACCCCACATTTTATGTCTTTGAGCTACATTCCTTTCTAATAAACACTGGTAGTTCGTTGGATCACCCTGTGGGCTGGTCATATTTACTGAGAAGCTCACTATTGCATGGAGAAGCTTAGCATTTTTAAACTCCTTATCTTTTTTTTTTTTTTTTTTTTTTTGAGACAGAGTCTGTCGCCCAGGCTGGAGTACAATGGTGTGATCTCGGCTCACTGCAACCTCCGCCACCGGGTTCAAGCGATTCTCCTGCCTCAGCCTCCTGAGTAGCTGAGATTACAGGCACCCACCATCATGCCAGGCTGATTTTTGTATTTATAGTAGAGACGGGGTTTTGCTACATTGTCCAGGCTGGTCTCGAACTCCTGGCCTCAAGTGATCCACCCATCTCAGCCTCCCAAAGTGCTGGGATTACAGGCGTGAGCCACTGTGGCCAGTCTAAATCTCTTATCTTTTTGGATACAGACTCAAAAAATGAATTTCCTCTGTGGCTCACGCCTGTAATCCCAACACTTTGGGAGGCCGAGATGAGTGGATCACTTGAGGCCAGGAGTTCGAGACCAGCCTGGGCAACATGGCGAAACCCTGTCTCTACTACAAATACAAAAATTAGCCGGGCATGGTGGGGGGTGCCTGTAATCTCAGCTATTCAGGAGGCTGAGGCAGGAGAATCGCTTGAACCCGGGTGGCGGAGGTTGCAGTGAGCCAAGATCGCACCATTGTACTCCAGCCTAGACAAAAAGAGCGAAACTCCATCTCAAAAAAAAGAAACAAAGAATTTCCTTTCAAGGATGTTCCCCTAGTAAAACAAAATGTTCTGGGAAATTGCCAGTAGACTGTTGGTTCTGTTGTCCTCTTTCATTTAAATGCCCTAGCTGTTCCATGTGCCTCTGCAAAGTAATGGTAAGAGAGTTATTATTTATCAAGTCCTACCGCATGTCAGATGCTGTGATGGGCCCAATCTTGTTTCTCCTCACAACTGCAGTGAGATAACAATCTTTTTTTCTTCCCCATTTCACAGATAAGTAAACCCAGGCTCAGGGAACTTAGTTAAACTGCCCAAGACCACACAACTACAGTCGCTAGTATGCGAGCCACTTTAAATAACTTTTTGGAATAAGCGAATGTTCCAAGTAAGTAAATAAGTTAACAAGTAAATATGTGGAGTAGCCAGGATTCAAACCCAGGTTAGTCGGGCATCACAACCCTGGCTGCCTCTCTGTACCAGTCTGCCTCCTTTTCCAGCAGTACACATTCATATGGCACTTTCATCTTTTTGAGATTTTCCACATGTACCTGTTCATTTGACCATCCCATCAGCCCCCAGAATGGGACATAGCTTCTGTCCTGTGTCACAGGGGAAGGAACAAAGGCCCCTCAAGGTTAATGGGCTCACCCAGAATGTCAGGTTCCCAAGGAGAAGGCAGAGCTGGATGAAGGTCCCTAGTCCTTTCTGCTGCCCAAAGGGGTGAAACATTGAGAACAGGGCTGGCTGGGAATCCTGAGATCCCATTCTTCCTCTTAAATTCAGCCCTCCTGGCCCATGAACATCAGTGGATGAAGCCTGTTTCAGCTTGTCCTTGATAACCCTGCATCCCTTCCGTGTGCTGTCCAAATAGGATTGTGCAGACACACATGCAAGATACCTGTGAGGCTGAGCCTCAAGGGGGTCTCCAGGTACCTAGATGACAGTTGCGTGACTTGGCACAGCGCTGAATATGGAGGCAAAGCCCTGGGTTGACTGAGAACACCAAAGGCCTTTGCAGCTGTTGCCTCACTTACTCTCATCCCCTTGTTTTCTGGTGCTGGCCTTCCTTGGAGCTTCTTAACTGGAATTTTATTTCTGATGACCACTGGGCCAGCTGCACCATTGATCATATACAGGCTCCCTTGCTATATGCATCGTGTCACCTCCAAGAAAGGGGCCGGGCAGCAGGGCACTGGGGTATGTTTTTAGAGCGTAGCCTTTGGTGTGGGGTGGCACTAAGGGAACACAAAAGTGTTGTTGAGGATGTGTCCCACCATGGATCATGTCATCCCATAGGGTTCAGGTTCAAGACAGCTCAAGAGCGGGTCCTCCCTCCCTCCCACTCTCAAGGGGATTTAAGATACAGGTGTTCGTCCCGGTGCCTTGCATTTTGCAAATAGAAAGCTCAGGCTGGACTCTGCACGGGAGCAGGAGGAGTGCACAGAGAAGTTTGAGAGCCTGGGTCTCTTCTAGCATCATGGTTTCATGCCATGTTCTTCAAAACCCACGGAGAAGGTTCTGCATGTTTGCCCCTAGTGTCACTTTTTAAACTTAATTTAACTATTGTAGAAACTGTTAGGAAAACCCGCCTTGCTGTCAACCTTTCACTCATGTGGGTGGCAGAAAGGAGCTTTTGAGTGTGGTCTTGGCCAAATGGGAACCCCTTGGGGGCCACCGGTGCTTTGCTTCAGGCTGCTGGGTAGTTTTGTGCTGATCTCAGGCTGCTGCTGCTGCATCTGCCTTGTCCGCAGTGGTCAAGAACTGGGAGGAAACTGCTCTCCTTTGCTTTCTTTATGCATGTAACAGGATTTTCTCAACACTGTGTCACCAAAGCAAAACACAGAAATAATTTGGTGGCTAAGGCTGTAACTAGCCTTCATAACCTTATCTGTAAAACTTTGATTCACTCAGTCTCATTTTTGGCTTTTTATTGGGTCAAAGATACACATTTTAACTCATAAAGGAAGAGTATACTAATAACCCATTACTGCTATCCGTTTGACGTATTGAGATCCACAAGAGATTTAATTTCGAGAGGGAGAGGAAGGGTTCTGCTGCTAAGTCGAAAAATCAAAGAAGTTAGAAAAACACTGATCTACCGAGTAGAGCACTGTGCTCAGGATTAAAGACCTGGATTCTCACCTAGTTTTGCCAGGGACCAGCTGTGTGATCTTAGGCAAATCACATCACTTCTCTGGGTCTGTAAAATGGGGAGGTTGAACTGGTAAGATCTTTTTTACCTTGAAATTCTATAAATGTTTCTAACTCCATTTCCTTCTTACTTGACTTTTCCAGCAGCACTTTATCCTTTAAAGATCTGTGGTCATCACTGACCTCAGAGCCCTTGCCTCTAGATTATCTTACCCTGAAATACTTAGGTTTTAACTCTGTGGATCTGGAACACTTCAAGAGCCAGATTGTTTGAAACTTTAATGGGGTATACCCCTGCTTCAGCTTAACATTATTTTCAAACCAACAAACATGTCCCGCAAACACATATATTTAAATGACATGACATCTGTGTGGGCTGGAGTGTTTTTCCCGCCTCAGCGGCAGCCATACTACTACACCAGTCCAGATCTGTTTGCAGAGCTGCCGTGTTGTGCAGTCCAGAGGTGCTGCTGCTGTTGTATTCTGCATGGAGGTAGTCAACAAGACAGCCCTGCTTAATTATGAAATGTCTGTAGCACCCTGTGTACGAAGGTGTATAGAAGTGTATAGAAAGCACCCAAAAGAGCAGCAGCTTGGCTGGGCCTGGTGGCTCACACCTGTAATCTCAGCACTTTGGGAGGCCAAGGTGGGCGGATCACTTGAGGTGGACGGATCACCTGAGGTCAGGAGTTCGAGACCAGCCTGGCCAACATGGTGAAACCCCGTCTCTACTAAAAAAAAAAAAATACAAAAATTAGCTGGGTGTTGTGGTGGCCACCTGTAATCCCAGCTATTCAGGAGGCTGAGGCAGGAGAATGCTTGGACCTGGGAGGCGGAGATTGCAGTGAGCCAAGACCACACCACTGCCCTCCAGCCTAGGTGACAGAACAAGACTCTATCTCAAAAAAAAGAAGAAAGTGTGTAGAAGACACCTAAAGAGCAGAAGCTCAACTTTGTCGATCACGAGAATATTCTACTAAATGGATTTAAAAGTTCTTTGGGCCTTTAAGGGGTTTAAAGGAAGAGAGTTTTTTCCCTAAAAACAGTGTTTCAATAATATGAGAAATAACAATTGCAGCACCCCTCATTCTCCAAAGTCACCCTTTCTTTAACTGTGACTAATGAGATGGTATTGGAAGATAGCATCCAGGGGGCCAAAAATCTCCCAGGTTTTATTCACAATACCTGAGATCTTTTCATAACTATTCCTGATAGACGCTGGAAAAATAAAAGCCATAGCTTCTAGCTCTTGTAGATTCTTGAAAATAACACTGACCCATGCTTAAAGTTTTGGTTAGGTTTGAGTTGCCTACCTGGGCTGGAAGGCAGATTATTTATGGCAGCTGTATCGATCAGACCAAAATGAAATTTGATGTGAAACAGGGCCGGAGGAATGCAAACTTCGGGGAGGTGGAAGTGGAATTTGTTACACCTTAAAGGAGACAGCTGGCAGCTAATCCACAGCGGAGCCCACTTGGCCTCTCTTAGGCAAAGTACCTTTTATAATCACACAACCCAGGAGTTATTAAAAGAATGTGTGCCTGCTGAGCTTTTAGCTCTAAAAATGTACCTTTTAAAGGAAACCTCAAACCTGGCCTGATAGGAAGTCTGGGCTTGGTATGGTCGCTGTCCCCATGGGATACAGCTGGGGAAGGGGGTGTTCTAGTTGGTAAACATACCAATTTTGCAAGAATCTGAACACTTCAAAATATGCTTAATACGGAAACCACATTTTGAACCTCTAATTACCCTCTAGAGCTATTTTGAAGAATAAATGAAATTAAACACATTACCTGCTTAGAAGAGGCCTTGACACACAATAGGGGCTCAGTAAATGCTTGTTGAATGAATAACAGAATTATCCCACAAAGTTCCTCTAATTAACATTCTTACCAGGTGGCTGGAGGAGCAGATAAGCTATAAACCAGGAAAGATATGTATCAAGGAGGGTATCACGCTAGGACCTCAAGATACAGCCTTGCTAGGTAGAGACTGGGCATTTTACAGTCTCTCAAAAGGGAAGCAAAATCAACCAAATTCCATACTTCACCAAACACAGACTCCTAATAGGAGTGGAATTTTCCTAGCCAGGCTCCCATAGGACATAGGAGAAATTTTCCACGTAGGGAAGGCCTCGATGGCAGAGTCCATCACGCTTCTCCTTCCCCATCCTGGGCTTGCCTCTGCAGATCGGATTCCAGATTCGCACTCGTGTGCAGGACCTGGGCCACGGCTGTATCTTCCTGGTGCAGAAGGCAGGGGCCCTCCAGGTCTGCCCCACAGACAGCTACACCAAGAGGGAGCTGATCGAATGCGCCCGTGCCGTCACGGAAAAGGTAAGGAGCAGCCCTCAGTTTAGAGTCACAAGAACCTGCGCTGGCTCTCAGTGATCCGCTGTAATCAAGGACAAAAGCAGGAAACTCAGCCAAAACTAACCCAGCTGACTCAGCTGTCTCATCCCGATCTTCCCCACTGCCCAGGTTCTCCCAAAAATGGGGTGCATCAGGGAGCTGGGGTGATCATAGGCCCAGAGAATTTGAGGGCTTAGAGGGACTATCCCATGAAGGTCAGGCCCTGGCACTCCCCCTTCTTGCAGGGCTTCCCCGTAGGCAGATTGTATCAAAGTCCCCATCAGCAGCCAGGAGCCCCTGGTCAGGGGAGGCCTGGAGCCAGAGCCCTTTCCTGCAACCTCTGTTGACACCATCTTTCTTCTCAAGGAGGCTGCTGAGGGCTGAGGGCTGAGTCAGGAGGAGTGAAAATCCCTTTGGTGTAACCTCTAATTTACAGATGAGACAGTGAAGTGGGGGTGGGTTAGGCCACATGGGGCAGTGGCGTGTGCCTTTGTGGAGAAGCAGAAACTTGTCCTCGGTTTTCTGATTCTAAAGACAGTTGTTTGTAGAGAGATTCCCATGGGGTAGTGAAGAAGGCTCTAAGATCTTAGCTAAGGTACTTCAGCTTTCCACAACTTGATTTCCTCATCTGTAAAATGAGGATAAAAATATATAATATCTGACTGATAGAACTGCAAAGATTTACTGTGCTGATATGTGTAAAAGTGCCTGGTACAGTGCCAGACACACAGTTACACATGTAATAAATCTAGCTACTGTTTTCTCTAACTTTCCTCCAAACTTCTTTTTCCCCAGGCAGTTTTCCCCAGTTAACCACGCCATACTCTGAATGTTTCTTCATTCCCAAGTAGCTCTTCTATTCTCCCCCAGTATGCGAGTCTTTTGCTTTGCTTTTTGTCTCGGAATCATTTTTCAGGTCAGCTGTTTTGCAGGCTGCTTGAGGTACAGGATAAAGCATCCAGGCTTGGTGGCTTTTCCCCTTCCCTTAACTCTGGTTCATAGGACACAGAGCTCTGTCCTGTTTAGAAACTTGGCAACAGACTTGAGGGGCGGGCAGGGGGGACCCTCAACTGGAAGCTGCTGCCACAGAGGCTGCTCTGTCCGTGGCCCTCCCTGAGGCCAAGCTACAGTCTGGCCTTCTCCCATAGCCCACAGGGCTGTCCAGCCTCCTGGGACTCCACAGACGAGGAAATAAATCTCTCAGCTGGAGGAAGGCATTTGCCTTCCTTTCAAAGCCCTTTCTTGTTATTGAAGTTATTCTTGCCAAGTTCCCCCATAAAAGGCCTTATAGCGGGAGCACCAGGAAGGGAGGAGAGGGGTCCGAGCTACATAGTGTTTGTAGGCATGGCCAAGCAGCTTGGTCTTCCTGAGCTGGCCTCGGCCGCTACCTGTCCCGGCTTTGGGTCCCTGATTTAGGACACCTGGAGGGACCACCAAAGGAGAGGAGGTGGCTCGTTCCTAGCAACTGGCCTTTTGACTGTTTCTTGCTGTGCGTCCCTGTCCTCTATGCCTTGTGTCTCGTTATATGCCTTGATGGTGTGTATAGTGTACCCACACACAGCCATGACTTGTCTGCCTTTGTGTCCTCAGACCCTAGTGACTAGCAGATACTCAGTAAACACCTGCTGGCTGGCACACCCTTCACAGAGGGTGGGATGCTATTTCTGGACTCTTTTTCTTTCACCTTGGCTAAGAATGTCTCTCTCCCAGACACATATACAACCCTGCAGGCTTCCCGTGATACTTGTCTTGGCCTTTGTCACCCATCCTCTGAGGGGCTTTCCAGAACCTGGATACCTCATTTCCCGGCCAGCTCTATGCCAGTCTGACTTGTCTTTTCCTGGCAGGACCTAGTAGCATTTGAAAGAAAGGCAGATGAGGAAGAGAAACAATTCCTTGTGGGCTGGTCTTGGAACGTGGTAGGTACCCAGGAAATGGTCCCTGTGCCTCTCCTGCCAGACTGTGTCCACAGCCTCTGCTGAGATCTCAGCAGCACGGGGGACAGAGTGTCTCATACTCCATGCCTCTTGCTGGCACGGTAACACAGTGACTCCCCTGCCCTGGTCAGCATGTTTGAAGAAATCTACCTACGAAACGTTGTCAGATTCTTCTTTGGGTCGTAGTCAAGGGTAGTGGGTGTGTGCACGCAGAGGTTAATACAAAGACTCAAAGAGCCTCCAGCCACTAGCCTGACACATGCGATTTACATTGGGTGCATTGGGCCATCCTGAGGGCAAGAACGGTGTGCTGTGGCGTCCCGGGAGGCAGGGCTGTCTCTGGAAGAGGAGAGCAGGGGGAGGTGTCCGGGGCTCAGCTGTTTTGCAGGCTGCTTGAGGCACAGGATGATACATCCGTGCTTGGTGGCTTTTCCTTCTTCCTTCACTTTGGCATCTGACGGGGCAACTAGTTCGGTGGCTGCGGGAGAGGGGCAGGAGTCGTTGCAGGCAGAGCGCAGACCCAGGGTGGAGAGGTGGGAGTGTTTGGGAAAGTCAGGAGCTGGCGGGTGTGGTGAGAGCCAGGTGAAGCGGACACATGACCAGAAACGGAGCTCAGCCAGGGGAGATTTGTAAGCAGGGTGTTAGTGTGGTCAGGTTTATGTCATAGGAAAGTACCTCGGAGCAGTGAGGGTGTACGTGATGGGTGAGGGTGACAGCACAGGATTTCTGACATGGAAGACACCCGAGTGAACTTGCTGGGCCCTCGGGGCACTGAAATGATGGTTCGGGGGTGGATGATGGCTTGCAGGAGTGTTAGAAGTGGAGAGGTCACATACACAGATCCCCTCTAGACTCCAGCCCTTCTGAACTCCATTCTGGAGAATTTCCATCCCAGCAAAGGTGTGATGAGTGTTAGCAGTGGCCTGTTCCTACTGAAAACCTAATAAAAGGGGATGTAATCGCCACACCTTTCACAGGAGTCTAATCCTTTCTCCCGTTCTGTGGTTTCAGAAACATAGCAGTAATTGAATAAATAGCATCTGCCCTCTGCTGAGTACTTACTATGTGCCAAATGCCTTGCTAGACACTTTACAGATATTTTTCTTCCTACTTAATTCTCTCAACAACCCTAATAGGCCAGAAATAGTGGCCCCATTTTACAGATGAGGAAACTGAGGTTTGGAGAGGTAAAGCAGCTTTGCCTAAGGTCACAGGGCCTGTAAATGGCAAAGCTGGTATCCAGACTGAGGCCGTTGACTCCAGATGTGTGTTGTTAACCTCTAAGCTACATCAACTCCTAGGAGAGAATTCATTATTTTCAGAATCTGCTTTTAGGTCCTGTTCTCTCCATTTCTTAGCTCCCCTCACATTCCCTTTCTGCCTACAGGTCTCCTTGGTGCTCTCGGCTCTCCAGGCCGGGAACAAAGGAACCCAGGCATGCATTACAGCCGCCACCGCTGTGTCTGGGATCATTGCCGACCTGGACACCACCATTATGTTTGCAACAGCGGGGACGCTGAATGCAGAGAACAGTGAGACCTTCGCAGACCACAGGTACGTGGGGGTCCTGGACGGGGAGAGGTTCAGGCTGGCCTGCCCCTGAAACTCATGATCGACTTGGAGACGCCACCTGGGAGCCAGAAATGTAGTTATCTGTTTTGATTTCAACAAGATGCACAAGTTGGGAAAGTGAACCATGTAATCAGAATAAGCCCCCTTTGCCAACTGTAAACACAGTGTCGTGGTTCGAGCTTTGCCTTTGACAGCCTTAAATCCAGCCTGCTACAGCAAAGGACAGATTTTAGACCTGCCACACGCTGAGCCAGAGAGCCGTTCCTCAAACTGCTGGCCAACCCCAGCAGGATTGGGAATGGCAGGGGCAGGCATATTTCGCTTAAACCCTGTTTTGGGAAGATAGGGGCTCAAAGCCCCTATCTCTGCTCAGCTTGCACTCAGCCTCTCTATCTGCTGCTAGGGACCCCTGAAACCTCACCACATGTCCTATACCTTTCTTCCCCTCTGCAATCCAAGGGCTGGGCTAGGGAGGCAGTTCCCAGAGCTCTGCTGTCCCTTCCCAAGCCCAGCCTCTGATCCTGAACAAGGTGCCCCAACCCATGTGTCCTCACAGTCACTAGCTATGGAGTATTTTAAGGGACAGTGGGAGTCACAGAAAAGAAGCTGACCTTTCATTGAACTATAGGGCTTGGGAAGGGAGCCAGGTTGGTGGGCCTGACTCTTTCACTGAAGTTTTCATGTCAGTCGGCTATGTGAATGAATACTGGTTGACTTTCTTCTTCTCCCCCCAGTTTTGCATTTGTGGAAGATGAGAGTCCGTTGGTAAAGGGAGGTGTAACACAGCACTTCTCTTCTTCAAAGCCCTTTAACAAAAGCCCCATGTGAGGGATTTCTTTTCTTCTTGAAGTAATCAAGCTTTGCCCTCTGTCTCTCCCCCTCTCCCCTGCCCTCCTGGCTCTCTCAGGGAGAACATTCTCAAGACGGCCAAGGCCTTGGTAGAAGACACGAAACTACTTGTGTCAGGAGCTGCGTCCACTCCTGACAAGCTGGCCCAGGCGGCCCAGTCCTCAGCAGCCACCATCACCCAGCTCGCAGAAGTGGTCAAGCTGGGGGCAGCCAGCCTGGGCTCCGACGACCCCGAGACCCAGGTACCAGCAGGGCCTGGGGAGTGCGTCCTCCCGGTCTTCCCGTGAACGCTGCACATCGGGCCTCAGAAGAGGCCTAAGGCAGAACAGGAACTTTTGAAGTAGACAATGTGTGTGTGAGTGTGTCTGGTTTGAGGAACCGGTAGGAGGCAGTCATCCAAGCGAGATAGTGGCACAGACTGTGGTGGTGGCCATGGGGATGGAGACAAGCGGAGGGATTTGAGAAGAGTCTAGAAGGAAGGCTTGGCCTGGCCCGGTGAAGGCTGGAGCACGGCATACCTGAGGGAGGGGAAGGAGTGAAAGGCGGCTCCTTGTGGGCCAGAGCAGGGCACAGGAGCTCCCTGAAGGGAGAGCTGGTGTGGGCAGGGGGAGGTGGAGGAGATTGAAGTGCCGGAGCCACACACAGGTAGAACTAGTGAGTGCGCGTGAGCCTGCCCAGGCACGGGGCTGTGGGTTCAGCGACTGTTGCCATAGAGGTAGCGACTGCAACCACACGAGAGGAAAAGCCAGGGAGTCGGGGCAGAGCCTGGAGGAATCCAGCATTTAGGACCACTTTACCGTGCAAGTGGCACAGGAGACGGAGAAGCAGCAGCTGCTGCAGGGAGGAAAGCCGCGGGCATCATGTTGCCAGGATGGAGTGTTTCAACCCACCAGAGACAGAGTTAAGAAAGAGGGAAGACTGGGAACTGGTTATTGGCCTGTTCCGGTAACCATCGAGTGCCATCGAGGACATTGGTGTCCCCAGCTGCTTGTGTGGAGTGGTGGGGCAGCAGCCAGATGGGGGTGGGGAAATGAACTCAGCACCTGTAGATGGCCCAGGTGAGAACTTCGGTTCTCAAGGAAGAGAGAGAAGAACTGGAAGGCTAGGGAAGGGCCCTGTGCTTCTGTGACTTCCGCTTCTGATATTTGGCAATTTCATTGAGATTACTTGCCTGTTCCTTGGTCCCCTTCCCAGACCATTGCTCCTCAAGGACAGTCACCACAGTTTGCTCATCTTTGAAACCTGCACATGCGGCACAGCTCTTGGCACATAGTGGCTACTGGCTACTGAACAAGTATATGTTCACCTGTTGTTGAACTAACAGCCAACAAAAGTCGCTAATAAATGGATGATGCCTGTTCCCAGAGTGCAAAATTTAAAAAACAAAAACAAAACAAAAAAAAAAAACCTCTGTTCTCTCTGTTCCCAGAACCGTCAAATGCCAAGCACTTCAGTTTTCACTCCTTAAACCATTCTCAGTAAACTAGTCTGTCTGGACAAAACTGGTTAGAAACCCCCTGTCATTCAGTGCCCCCAGGGGATGCAGTGACTGTGCTGGTTCACTTGAGGCCACCAGCTCGTTCCCTCACGGCATGACACTTCCCTCCCTGACAGCACCCATGAGTGGAGCACAGCTCCGAGAGGAAACATTCCTTATGCTACCATTTCATCCTTTCTGTTGGATTTCTGATAACATCAGAGTCCAGATTGGCTGCCTTTTGGAATTCTAAGCATTCACAAAAACCTCCGCTACAGGTGGTGGGTGCCTGTAATCCCAGCTACTCGGGAGGCTGAAGCAGGAGAATCACTTGAACCCAGGAGGTGGAGGTTGCAGTGAGCCGAGATCACGCCACTGCACTCTTAATACGTTGTCACATCTGAGATCCCAGTTTATCTTCAAAGCAATTTAATGAGGTAGATGGGGCTAGCAAGCTAATTTCACTGTGGATGAGGACCCAGAGCCACGCACACAGGCATGGCGCAGTGTGGAGGTTAAGACCGTGGCCCTCATGCTCACCAGACTCTGAATCCCAACTCTGCCACTGCTGGGCTCTGGGAGTGTGGACATAAGGGTTGTGGTTCCCACTCGAAAAGGCAGTGGCGAGGAGTAAATGAGATAATGTGTGTAGAGTGCTTGGCTCAGCACCTGAACACTGCCCTCAGTAAAGGGAAAATGTTTTTATTATTATAGAAATAGGAGTTACTGGAGCTACTGGACTGGGAACGCTTAAATGCAGTGCCCAATATTGTGTAATTCCCATCTAGACCTGGTACTTTTCACTCTAAATCCGGCACTTTGAAAAGATGATCTGTGGTCTCTGTGAAATTAGAAAAGCAAACACAGATAATGCATCACATCCAGGTTTATGTGGGAACGTACCTGCATCTTCATTCCACAAGTATTTACTGAGTACCTGCTGGGTGCTCATCCCTGTTACAAGCGTGAAACAAAGCAGAAGTCCAGGCCAAGCCTCCTGGAGCTTGCACTCAAGTTGAGGGAGAAGACAGATGATTTATAAGTGAATAAATGATAAAATAATTCCACCTACTGATAAGTGCTGTAAATAAAACGGCAACCTGACAGTTTCAGCAATTGTGGGAGTGGGCCCTTAGCTGAGGGATGGGGAAAAGCCTCTGAGGACATGACATTTGAGTTAAGGCCCAAGTGATGGAAAGAGCTGAGTCCCAGTTAGAACAATGAGCAAAGGTCCGAAACAGGAATGAGTTGAGATTTCCCATGGAGAAGAAGACAGGCTGACCTGTGTGCCTGTAGCAGAGCACCTCATAGCCAGAGAGGCAGGCAGGGCTGTTGTGGGGCCTTGAGGGCTGGGGTCAGGTGGGGATTTTTACTCAGTGTTCAGGGTGCCAGTTAGGAGTAAGTGGTGTTGCCTCTCTGGTGTCCTTTGTGCTGTCAGAGGCAGCTCATCGGCCAAGTTGCTGGCTAGGAGGTTTTACATAAGCTGCATGTTTGCACCTGACTTCTCCGTTCTGGCTCAGCTTCAGCCTCCCCTGGGCAGCTTTTCAAAGTCCTGAGTCCTGTATCAGAATCACCAAGGGTGGCTTCCCAGGAGGTCTGCCATGCTGCAGACTTCAGACTGTCTTTCTCTCCTCCCCCGTGCCCTGGCCTGCCCTCAGGCTGCATGCCTTGGTAAAGCCCACAGCTGACATCTTGACGCCTGCTCACCTGAGTTCTGTGCTCTCTTTCAGGTGGTTTTGATCAATGCCATCAAAGATGTGGCCAAGGCCCTTTCTGATCTCATCAGTGCTACCAAGGGAGCTGCCAGCAAGCCAGTGGACGACCCTTCCATGTACCAGCTCAAGGGGGCTGCCAAGGTAGAGTGGGGCTCCGACTGGGGATGAGCACCTGAGTTCTCTTCTCACTTAAAGGAAGGAGAGGCGTCCTTGCTCATAGCATGCGATCCAGAAGTAAAAGGAGTAGGGGCTGGACCTGAGTCACTGCACTATCTGTATTCATTCTCCCTTCCTATGCAGGTGATGGTGACCAATGTCACCTCGCTCCTCAAGACTGTAAAGGCAGTGGAGGATGAGGCCACCCGGGGCACCAGGGCGCTTGAGGCCACAATTGAATGCATAAAGCAGGAGCTTACGGTAAGGAGCCAGCAGTTACCTCCCTTGGGTACCAGAGTCCCACAGCTGACCCCAGTGAGGGCTCATTTGAGGTTTTTTACCAATGAGGTTTTACCTAAAACACCTGAACTGAGAATGCCCCTTCACCTGCCTGCTGGTAGCTTTATATAATTGAGACCCCATGTGTCACTGAGTTTGGCTGGGATTGATTTGTAAGTGTAATCAAGGAGTTAATTGAAATGTATCACTTAGGACTATTCAGGTTTACTTCCACTAAAATTATAGCACGAGATCAAAGCATTGTCAAAGATTCCTGGAAAAAGGGAAAGTCAGTATGACTGTGCTTACCTGGAGCATTAATTCTGTGAACAGTGCTTAGCCTTTCTTGATGCACATTGCTCTTGGTACCCGCACACATGCAAAATTGGAAGTCTGCCGTTTGCTGTTGGAAAAGCCTAGAAGCCTTTACCTGAGACACTTCCCTTTAAAATCCAGCTTCTTTCCATTGGAGTCATCTGACCTGAGAGAAATTGACCCTGTTCTTTTCTGACTTGTTCCAGCATTGCAGAGTTGAGGACATTCTGGAGTTACTGCAATGTGGATGATATCTGCTGTTCTTATGATCCCACAATGGTTGTGGATTGGCTCATTCTAATCCCCACAAATAGAAATATGCCAAAAAGAGTAGTTTCAAACAGATTTCTTTTTGATAGGAGGTCTGATCACAGATTCAACTTTTTTGGGAAAGAGGGATACCTGCCTTTGCTGCCAATTGTTCTGCACCTTTAAAGGGTCACCTGCAAAAGCGACCTAGAGCACTAGAAACAATAGTAGAACAATTTTGCAGGGTTTTGCTGACAGAAACTTGGGTTTTCTTGTCATATCATTAAAGAATCTAGCCTTGATTGATGTTGCGCTCAGTTCATGCTTTAAAGGAGAATCTAAAAAATACAGGAGTAACCTAAAAGCTGGTGGTGCCTTAAGTACCACTGCCTGGCACTTGCCTGGCTGCACAGGCTGGGTGTTTGCTACCAAAATCTGGACACAGCTCCTTTTTTGTTATTTGTTTATGTTTGATTTTTGTGGGTACATAGTAGGTGTATATACTTAGGAGTTACATGAAATATTTTGATATAGGCATGCAATGCATAATAATCACATCAGGATAATTGGGGTATCCATCATCTCAAGCATTTATGCTTTGTGTTACAATCCAATTATACTCTTTTAGTTATTTTTAAATGTACAATTAAATTATTTTTTACTGTAGTTACCCACTGTGCTATCAAATACTAGGTCTTATTCATTCTTTCTACTTTTTGTAGCCATTATCCCTCCCCACTTCCCCACCCCGACCTCCCACTTCCGTACTACCCTTCTTAGCCTCTGGCAACGATCCTTCTACCCTCTATCTCCATGAGTTCAATTATTTTAATTTTTTCTGTCACAAATAAGTGAGAACATGCAAAGTGTGTCTTTCTGTGCCTGGCTTATTTCACTTAATGACCTCTAGTTCCATCCATGTTGTTGCTAATGATAGGATCTCATTTTTTTTTTCCTATGGCTGAATAGTACTCCATTGTGTATGTGTACCACAGTAGCCAAGATTTGGAAGCAACCTAAGTGTCCATCAACAGATGAATGGACACACATATACAATGGTACACACACACACACACACACACACACATATATATAATATTGAAGAGATATCTGCACTCCCATGTTTATTGCAGTTTACTTCATATATATGATCTTGGCTATTGTGAATAGTGCTGCAGTAAACATGGGAGTGCAGATATCTCTTTAATAAACTGATATCCTTTCTTTTGGGTGTATACCTAGGAGTAGGATTGCTGGATCACAAAGTAGCTCTAATTTTAGTTTTTTGAGGAATCTCCAAACTCTTCTCCATAGTGTTTGTACTAATTTACATTCCCACCCACAGTGAACAAGGGTTCCCTTTTCTCCACATCCCTGCCAGCATTTGTTATTGCCTGCCTTTTGGATATAAGCCATTTTAACTGGGGTGAAATGATATCACATTGTAGTTTTGATTTGCATTTCTCTGATGATGAATGATGTTGAGCACCCTTTCATATGCCTGTTTGCCGTTTGTATGTCTTCTTTTGAGAAATGTCTATTGAGACCTTTTGCCCTTCTTTTGATTATTATATTTTTTCCTATAGAATTGTTTGAGCTCCTTACATAGGCTAGTTATTAACCCCTTGTCAGATATGTAGTTTGCAACTGTTTTCTCCCGTTCTGTGGGTTGATTGTTTCCTTTGCTGTGCAAAAGCTTTTTAACTTGATGTAATCCCATTTGTCTGTTTTCATCAGCTATACTATTCTGGAGTAAATGTTTTTTTCCTTCAGGACTTTAAATATGTCATGCCCCTCTCTCCTGGCCTGTAAGGCTTCCACTGAGAAGTCTGCTGCTAAGCATATTGGAGCTCCATTGTGTGTTATTTGTTTCTTTTCTCTTGCTGCTCTTGGGATCCTTTCTTATCCTTGACCTTTGGGAGTTTGATTATTAAATTCCTTGCAGTAGTCTTCTTTGGGTTAAATCTGGTTGGTCTTCTATAACCTTCTTGTACTTGGATATTGATAGCTTTCTCTAGGTTTGGGAAGTTCTCTTTGAATAAACTTTCTACCCCATCTCTTTTTCTACCTCCTTTTTAAGGCCAATAACTCTTAAATTTGTCCTTTTGAAGCTATTTTCTAGATCCTGTAGGCATGCTTCATTGTTTTCTATTCTTTTTTGTCTCCTCTATGTTTTCAAATAGCCTGTCTTCAAGCTTACTAATTATTTCTTCTATGTGATCAGTTCTGCCATTAAAAGACGCTTATGCATTCTTCAGTATATTAATTGCCATTTTCAGCTCCAGAATATCTGCTTGATTCTTTTTAATTATTTCAATTTCTTTGCTAAATTCATCTGATAGGATTCTGATTCCCTCTTTGTGTTATCTTGAATCTGAGTTTCCTCAGCACAGCTCTTTTGAATTCTTTGTCTGAAAGGTCACATATCCCCAGGATTAGTCCCTGGTAACTTATTTAGTTGGTTCAGTGAGGTTATGTTTTCCTGGATGCTTATAGGTGTTCATTTGTGTCTAGACATTGAAGAGTTAGGTATTTATTATAGTCTTCACAGTCTGGGCTTGTTTGTGCCTGTCTTTCTTGGGAAGGCTTTCCAGGTACTCGAAAGGACTTGGATGTTATGATCTAAGCCGTATCTGCATCGGGGGGCACACCAAGCTCAGTAACACTGTAGTTTTTGCAGACTCATAAAGGTACCATCTTGATGGTCTTGGATAAGATCCAGAAGAATTATCTGGATTACCAGATAATTACTTTCTCCCAAACAAATGGACTCTGTCACTCTGTGCTGAGCCTCCTGAAGCTAGGGGTGGGGTGACACAGGTACCCCTGTGAACATAGCTTCTGACATGCATAGGCAGGCCTAATGGTGGTGATCAAAGAGACTTGAAATTTGGAGCCATCCTGGGAAACTACAGACACATGGGTTATTCTGAGTATACCAGTGTTATTTAAAATTCACCCAGAGGCCAGGCATGGCAGCGCACGCCTGTAATTCCAGCACTTTAGGAGGCTGAGGCAGGAGGATTGCTTGAGCCCAGGAGTTTGAGCCCAGCCTGGGCAACATAGGGAAACCACATCTCTACAAAAAATTAAAAAGTTAGCCAGGTGTGGTGGCCTGAACCAGTAATCCCAGCTACTCAGGAGGCTGAGGTGGAAGACTCACTTTAGCCCAGGAGGTCAAAGTTGCTGTGAGCCGGGTTGACTGAATTTTATTCTGGCTGAATAAAATTCACCCAGATCGTGGGTTTCCATGTAGCGCGTGCCATGAGGGCCTCATTAGTGTGAAGGACTCTACGTGTGGCCTTCATTCCGCTGTAGCATTCAAGGGTGAAGTGGGGATTTGGGGTCCTGGACTGCTTAATTGCAGTTGCCCATTTTCAGCAGTGATGTTTGACATTGGTTGGCATTCTATGGGATGCCAACTGAGCCCACTCTTCTGCATCAGGGAAGCCTTCCTTGCTGAAACATGGTTGCCTAGGGCTGAAGACAGGGTAGCCCCACCTAGGCTAGGGGCCCTCGTGTAGGGACAGAGGCACATTCAGCACATACCCAGGGTACCAATCACTCATGTTAGAGAGCCAGAACAGATGAGCATGAAGCAGAAATGGGATATTGACTTACCATGGTGAATTTATTTCAGCCTCTCTAAAGGGGGTGGGTCGGTGGGTTGCTAAATAATTCACAGTGTCACCATGGCGCACTCGACGTGAACACCTCTGCACAATTATGCAGTTATATTTATAAGACAGGCTAAGAATAGAAGGAACTGATGCTTCATTTCCCCCAACCTCACATCCTCTCAGAGAGAGAGAGGTGAGTCCTGAGTGATGGGGCCAGGTCAGTCCTGCCCTGAAACCAGCACTGGGACTGAGAGTGTATGGAACTGCCAAAGCACCAGCAGGGATGGGGGAAGAGAACTATGAAGCCATACAACAACCTTTCACAGGATGGGTAGTGTGTAAATATTGGGTGTCAGTTTCTGCAGACCAACAGGTTAACACTCTAGATACGTCTCCCTCACCATATTGTTCCCATGAATGTTTAGTGTAGGTGCAAGAGGTTTGTCCATGAGATTCTTGAAAACAAGAACCATATTACTGTACTCAAATTTCTAATTTCGCCATGTGACAGTTTCTTCCAGTTACTGGCTCAGTTTTCAGACACAAGCTACAGCCTGGTTGGAGAAGAATAAATTATTTTTTTCGTTTCCTTTTTGATTTTTTTAACCTCTCTGTTTCTGACTTCCAGGTGTTCCAGTCAAAAGACGTACCTGAAAAGACATCATCACCTGAAGAATCCATAAGGATGACGAAAGGCATCACCATGGCAACAGCCAAAGCCGTGGCAGCTGGGAACTCATGTAGACAGGAGGACGTGATTGCTACTGCCAACCTGAGCCGGAAAGCCGTGTCAGATATGTTGACGGCTTGCAAGGTAAAGAGCTTGGCATGGTTTTGGATGGACAGATGATTCTCTGTCGTGACTGGGTTGCTTGGTGTAGTCTGAAAAAGGGGAGGGGCTCAGAACCTTAAACTTTGTAATAAAAATGCACACAGGGCCAGGGGTAGTGGCTTATGCCTGAAATCCCAACACTCTGGGAGCTGAGACAGGAGGATCGCTTGAGACCAGGAATTTGAGACCAGCCTGGGCAACATAGTGAGACCTCATCTCTTAAAAAAAATTTTTTTTAAGTAACCAAGTGTGGTGGTGTGTACCTGTGGTCCTAGCTACTCAGAATAGTAGCTATGGCAGGAGGATCACTTGAGCCCAGGAGTTCAAGGCTGCAGTGAGCTATGATTATGCTGCACTCCAGCCTAGGTGACAGAGCAAAACCCTGTCCGTTTAAAAAAAAAAATGCACGCTGAATATGGCATACGCACCAGCCTGTGGGAAATGACTCTCTAAGGCAGTTTTGTGTTTGAGAGGGGATGGAGTCAGCCTTGCTGGCCCTAATCCTCCCCCTTCTTTCTAGTTCTTCCTAAATAGGCAGGAAGCCTTCTTGCAGAGTGTGGTGGAGGCCTCTCCGAGGGTGGTGGATAGGGATTGCAGCACTTGGTTCCAGCTCCTCCAAATGGAAAATGTTTGCTCTTCCGCTGGACCCTTGTTTACCCCCATAGGTCAGCCATTGTGCACTAGGAGAGGTGTTGCCATCCCTGGTGAGGAAGTGAGTTGGAGGAATATAGCAGAACTTGGCGAGCTGCTTTTCACAGTCTGTGCTAGACATCTTGGAAAAATTCCTCTGTTCCTTAGGTAGATAGTTGGAGCAACTGCCCTGAGCCTGTGCTTGGTGAGGGAGCTGTGGAGACCCAGGGCCTGGAACCTTTATTTTTGATCTATTAGGAAAGTGAACTATAAGAGCCCCCACCCTAGGCCTTCCCCCTTCTTGGGACAGCCTTGCCCCCAGGGACTCCGGCTTCTGCTCAGCAATCAATTGATGATCCGCTGCCATGGTGAGTGAGGGCAGAATTGAAGACCAGCTCCTACAGCGTGGGGTCTCAGGGAGCAGAGCCATTCTTTGTGGTAAAGTGAGTTCTGCTGGAGTTGCTGCTGCAAGATCCAACTCTTATGGCTTCTTGGTGGCTCCTCAGAAGGAGAGGGAGGTAAGGGAGGGGGTGATGACGGAATTTGTGTGCAAGGGCCTGGCCCTGGGAGACAGTACCACATTTATGGGACCCCTGGGTGTGATGAAGGGTGGAGAGAAGAGGGTGTGTTGGAAAAGACAGGGCTGGAAAGATTCCGCTTTCACACAGGACGCAGGGCTTGCTAGATGAGGGAGTTAGGACTCTCTCTCCTGAGGCTGCAAGTATTGGCCACTTTGATATGCTCAGTGGAGTCCACCTACCATAAGAGATAACTGCCAAAGGGGTTACATCCTCAATCAGAGAGTAAAGGCCTGCATGCATTGTGGTGTACACACACGGAATCTCAAAATTTTCGAAGAGCTGTCATATATATTCTCTCATTTGATCCCATATGAGAAAGGCGAGAGTAATTATTCTGTTTGTTACATGATGAAATGGGCTCAGAGAGAGAAGTGGCATGACCAAGGTCACGCAGCTATTTACTGTCAGATCCAGAACTGAAATTAGCTCTCCTGATTTCTCAGCCAGTCTGTTTCTGCTACTCAGGGCCTCCCAGATGTAATGTTCAAGGTCGCTATGGTTGATGCGTGACAGACGCTTTTGTCCCCAAGCTACAGACGTGAACAGGGGAAACTGAACAGAAGAGAAACCATGATTAAATGGTCTTTTTAAAGGGAATGCAGCTCAGATGTTTAAGTCTCTCCTAACGTGTGCTCCCCTGTTTTCAGGGGAGGAGCTCAGGTAGAACAGTGTGGGTGCTATTTGCCCATCCTCAGCCCCTCTCTGTCATCTCGACCCTGGGATGCGTTATCTGGGCATTGCAGGACAAGATAGCAGCCAGAGCTCTAAAGCCTGAATGTCAGCTTCACACACCAAAATCAGACTTGACAGGAGTCACTGCTGAGCCCTGATGCTCCTGTTAGGATAGGACTGACTTAGCGAACTCACTAACATTTCCATTTCCCTTGATCTCCTGTATCCCTCACCCCTTTGCAAATGGAAATGAGGCCTCTGGCCGAAAGGGAGCGCATGCAATAATGCATAGACAGGAAACCTGGGTTGCTGAGTGGTGGTCAAGACGGAAGCCTTAAATGCCAAGCAGAAGGGCCGAGTCGCCCTAGTCCAGCTCTGCCTTTTCCCTGGTTACCCTACTCAGCCCACACACGGAGGGGCAGAAAATTACATACTGGCTCATCTTAGAATGGAAGGATTACTGCAGTTCCTTAGGCAGAGAGAAAGACTTACCTAAACCCTAAGTTAATTCTCATGCATATTTCTTTCTAGTCTTACTTTCATTTGCACATCTGTATATTAGATATAATTTTATGTCTACTATTATAATTAATGTTATAAAGCTATTTCTGTGTTGCTATATTGCTGACTTTTTAATGACTACAAAATACCCTTAATGAATATTATCTTCCCACTGTTGACAGATATTTAGGCTGTCTGCATTTTTTAAAAATCATGAACTTTACTGCAGTAAACATCTTTGGGCATATCTGTTTTTTTCTGTGCTTTGGATTATTTCCTTAGGCAAGATTCCTAGAAATAGAATTAGTGGGTCCAATAGTATAAGAGTTTAATTAGTGCCACATTGTTCTCCCAAAGGGTTCTACCCGGTTACAGAGCCCCCAGCAGTGCACGCAAGCACCTCAGCTCCACCTCTCCCACTCCCTACACACGGGCTTGCACATAACCTGCTGGAAGTGACTCTGAGTAGCATCCGGGCCTGTGTCTTCCCGCAGTGGTGTCTCATCAAACAGACGTGGGGCCTTGTGCCTCACCGTTCGAGGCACAGGGGTATGAGGATGAACAACAAGTGATGGTGGGTGGCTGGGAGCATGGCTTTTGGTTCCTGCCTCCGAGCCCATTAGTCCTCAGATGAGGAAAAGCTGGCTCATACATGACATGCTGGCCATGAGAATTAGCCCCACTCTGTCCAGGGACTGGGGGTAAGTCAAGGGGGGAGCCCAAGGTATTCCCATCAGCACTCACATTCCTAGGAAGAGGGGCTTGAGTGGATAAAACATGGATCCTGGTCTTTGCCCTCAGCTTTTACCTTTTATCCCAATGTGTGATTTGTGTTTGTCCTGATTAGCAGTGTATTTGTAGTTTTATGTATTTCTGCAAGCCCCTCAGTTTCTTTCCAGAGGGAAGCTGTAGAAGGAAGGGGTAGGGTTGCTAGTTGTAAAAAATAAAAAATAGGATGTCCCATACTTGCTAAAAATTTTTTTTCATTGATTATCTGAAATTCAAATTTAACTGGGTGCATTTTATCTGGTGACTCTGTGAATGGGTATCCCTTCAGAAATGATGTAATCATGAATGACTCAAGTTAGCAGGTCGTAAGTACAAGAAAAAAGCTCAAGATGCTGTGTTAAGCATGTGTGCTGGTTTGTGTATCTCGACTTTTGTATAATATGAGATGAGTTATGGTGCCTCTAGGGTACTGGGGAGCTAGCTATCTGAAGTTTCCCAGGAGCTAGAGGGCCCTGGTCACAGAGACCTCACTGACTGCAGCATGGTCAGGCCCAGGGGTGAGAGCCTGGGCTTAATTAGCCTGTGAGCAGAGAGGGGCTTTCAGGACCCCTTAAGCTGCTAAAGAGAGGCAAAGCTGACCCTAGGTCAGTACGTCTCCAGCTGTAAGCGCTGATCATGAATCTTGCCTGGATGTTTTTGTGCATGTGGAATTTTTTGCATTTCAAAAAAATGTGGGGTGGGAAAAGGAGGAACAAAGGTCCAGATTGAGCTGTTTCTATCGTTTGGCCCCAGGGCACTAACAAAGTCTGCACACAGACTGCATCAGAGGGCCTGCTGTGGGCAGGTGGGAGGTGGCAGGAGGACGTAGAGGAGAGATACCTCTTCTGTCCAGGGAGTCAGGGCAGTTTCTTGAGGTCACCAGGGTTAAGGTCTCTTGCCTCTGAGTCTGGGACTGCCCAATGCTGGCTTTTCCCATGTTAAGATTTCAGCATTCCTTTCTCTCTCCAGCAAGCATCCTTCCACCCCGATGTCAGTGACGAGGTGAGAACCAGAGCCTTGCGTTTCGGGACGGAGTGCACCCTTGGCTACTTGGACCTCCTGGAGCACGTCTTGGTGGTAAGAAAGCGCATGAGTCAGGGCTGGGGAGTAGCTGTGTCCCTCTAGCTGTCCTGGCTGATTCAAACTATGCTTTCCTTGGGAAGACCTCTCTCAGAGCCCTGTCCATTGCCACTGTGAGGCTGGGACTGGATTGAACTGGAATCTCCCCTGATGCACTGATCCGGCACACTGAGCTAAAAGTGCGGTCTGGACGAAGTTGCAGTTAGAATTCAGGAAAGCCCAGTTCTCTCATGCACCTAAAAGGCAGGAATAGCATGTAAAAGGAAGAGGGAGCAGAGTGAAGGACAAAGTGGGCGGGCGGCCAGTGCCAACCTGAAAAAGTATCAGGAGGTCTTGTTAGGAAACCCCCAGTACATCCTGCAAGGACATGGAAGGCTTCTGACAGAGCCATGCCAGCCTCCGTGGCAAGTGAGGGAGGCTGCCAGTGCTGCAAGTGACCCACCAGCCCTTCACAACTTCCATCCTCGAATGAATGGCTTAGATCCCATCGAGAATGACTCCCCCAGCCTAGTGTGCCTAGTGTGGAGCTGGGTTAGGAAGGCATAAGCAGAAGACACCAGGCAGGGGTGTAGATAGTCATGGCTGGTGGGCTGCCCACGTGGGAGCCTCAGTTTGTGCAGTTCCTAAGGAGGCGTGACTCGCTACAAACCCTAAGGACCAAACCACGGAGCACCAAGAAGTAGGTACAGTGTGTATCTGTCTCTGCTGAGTTCAGGAGCCATGTTTAGAACCATGTAAGGTCTAGGGCAGGCCTCCATAGTCAGGGACACCCCCAGAAGAGCGTTGATGATGTCTCTCCTCCATCACTACCCTTGCTCTTACCAAACCTAACAAAAGAGATCCAACAGGCCACCTTTAGATACATAATTCACATAGCTAGAGGAGGAGTGCCAAGCCCTTCATTTGCTGGGCATTCTCAAGTTTTCTCATTCTGTCCTTGCGCAGCCATGAGGCTTATGGCCAACAGATTGATCTGAGACCCAGAAAGCTTGTCCCTTGGTTGAAGTCACCCATCTGTTCAGCAACAGAGCTGGATCCAAATCTCAATTCTTACTATTCCCAGCTCTGGGCATTTCACTGCCTCCTTCTTAGAAATAAATTATCTTCTGATGCTAAACATTTTAGGTCATTTAAGGGATCATTATTTTTATTCTTTATCCAGGTAACTGTGGTCAATTCTGAAGTGCATTTTTTGGGAAAGTAGCCAGTCTGGGGTCACTAACATTGAGCTCCCAAAGTCTGAACCCTTGTAAATAGAGATCAGTGTATCATATGTAGGCCAAGGAAAGACATCTTAGCCAGTCAGCATTCACAGGCAAGAGCCTCTAGCTAGACAGGTTGGGAAATAGTTAAAGTGTTCAGTCTGTAAGTGTGCCTAGCAGGAAATGGAGGTTAAAGACAGTAACACCAGCAAGGCTTTCCAAAGACCTCTTTTTCATTATGGAACAGTATATTCTGAGTCATATAGAACCTTGTTATAACTAAAAATTGGACAATAGGGTGCAATCAGTAGATTTAGAAGCCTCAAGTTCAAATCCTGGTTCTGCCACCTAAGTAGCTACATGGCCACTGTGTTATCTGGGGTGCAGTTTCCTCAGACGTTAAACAGGCAGTTTATTAAGGATGAAATGAGCATGTCTGGAAACCTAGGGCTTTGTGGCCAAGCTAACATTTGCTGAATGCCTTATTAATATCTGCCGAGTGCGGTGGCTCATGCCTGAATCCCAGCACTTTGGGAGGCTGAGGCTGGTAGATCACTTGAGGTCAGCAGTTCAAGACTAGCCTGGCCAACACTGTGAAACTCCACCTCTATTAAAAATACAAAAATTAGCCAGGCATGGTGGTGGGTGCCTGTAATCCTAGCTACTCAGGAGGCTGAGGCAGGAGAATTGCTTGAACCCAGGAGGTGGAGGTTGCAGTGAGTCAAGATCACACCACTGCACTCCAGCTTGGGTGACAAAGCAAGACTCCATCTCAATAAATAAATAAATAAATAAATAAATAAATAAATAAATAAATAAAATCTGCCACTGGGAAGGTGCCATTTCTGGCTGGTGGGTGGTACTTGCTAACGGTGGGCTTGCAGCAGCAGTGGCCTCTGCCTCCTAAATGGGAGCTCTCCCCCTATGCTCCATTTCTCCTTATTTTTTCTCTCTCGTGCTTTTGCTGTTGTCTTGTTCATTTTGGGGGAAGGGAGGAGATACAGGGATCCTCGTATTTCCATTTCACTTCTCCCCAGTTCCATTTCTTAGTTGAACCGTATTTTCTCCAGCACCTGTGCAGCATTGATAATGTACATGACATCTATGGGTCCAGGCCCTGCACACATGGGCCTCAGGTTGGCAATCTGTACCTTTGCCCTTGGTGAGTCATTTAACAAGAATGTCACTGTGTGGGGTCTGCCTGCAGCTTTATGTCTGACACGTACAAAGGCCTGGATGGAAATGGAGTGAAGGTCTCCCCTTTCATTCTCCAGCAAAAATGCAGCTTATTTAGGGGAGAGGAATTCTTTCTTCGTAAGGAAGGGCAGGTGCCAGCATTTGTCTTAGGGAGAAGTGTCTCTCAGGGGAAAGGAAAATGGAGCTGTAACAGGGTCACTTCCCTGACTGCATGCCGACTCTAAACCCTATCCCAGTATCCGGGAATGAGGTGTTGGATCTGCTCAAGTGCTTCCTTTCTTGTCACTTCCCCTCTCCATGCCCACCTCGTTTGGGTGAGCAAAATAAGACAAGGCTGTCTTGTGTGTATGGTGTGCCTCTGTCCGAGGGGCGGGCGGGCAGATGGCTGGCCTCTGCCTGAGGGGAGGCCAAGAGGTCCAGGAGCTCTAGGAACATTATAGAAGGTCTAGGAACTTTCCCAGGCCACACATTCAGAGACTCCTGCTTAGTGGCCACCCAGTCGCTATGTCAACATCAGCCCTGATGGTAAACGGCAGCTTTTTCTGTAACAGGAAGAAGGGCACTTACTGACGGGAGACCCACCATCACAGGTCATTCAGGAGGTCACCATCAGATCTCATCTCATGGAGGCTGGAGATCGGAAGGAGGGAGAGTGACCACTACTTTCTTTGCCAGGGCCTAGGCAAGAACAGATTGCACTTTGTGGCCAGACGTGCTTCTCTGGTGACCATTGACATTTCAGTTGATTGATTTTCTGTTATGGATTCTTCCTTGTATTTTTTGTAGAATCAGTACTCTTAAATCTTGTGTGTTACAAACTTGCATGGTTGATATATCTGTTAAAAGCCTGCCAGCTGAGTTTCTTGTCCTCATTGTATACAATTATTGTCATTGTAGTTTGTAACTATGGTAGATATATCAATGTCCTAGTTCTCTAAGGCCATTCAGAGGTTTAGGGTAGTTGGTACTAAAATGAAATCACTAATAGGAAGAAAAGCTAAATGATAGTAAAACTATTCCTATAAAAGAAACAGAATCCATCTCATCTTTTGCGATAAGGATTTTTCCCCCTTGAGACTGAAAAGATCCAAATATATTTTAAAGATAAAATTGTCAAAAGTTAGCAACTAAGTATGAGAAGCAATGAAAAGCAAGATTAAAAGTTACCTCCAAAGTTCTCCAGCTCCAAGATTAGGATCACGGTAATGCTATTGACAGGGCAAGGCAGAAGAAAGGGAGATTTTATAGATAAATCTATAAAATTTACAATGTGCCTAAGTTTAATTAGGCATACTGTACATTTGATACATTCTCTAGATGTAAAGATGGAGGAGATATAGTTCTAGTGCTGGCAGTTGAAGGCTTTTATTCATGCATATGGGCTTTTTTTTTTTTTGGAGACAGAGTTTTGCCCTCGTTGCCTGGGCTGGAGTGCAATGGCATGATCTTGGCTCACTGTAACCTCCGCCTCCCGGGTTCAAATGATTCTCCTGCCTCAGCCTCCCAAGTAGCTGGGATTACAGGCACGAGCTACCAGGCCTAGCTAATTTTGTCTTTTTTGTAGAGATGGGGTTTCACCATGTTGGCCAGGCTGGTCCCCTAACCTCAGGTGATCTGCCCACCT
This sequence comes from Homo sapiens, assembly GCF_000001405.40. Lineage (NCBI taxonomy): Eukaryota > Metazoa > Chordata > Mammalia > Primates > Hominidae > Homo > Homo sapiens. The sequence continues at coordinate 62,814,059 of NC_000015.10, forward strand.
TGGCCTCCCAAAGTGCTGGGATTATAGGCATGAGCCACCAGGCCTGGCCAATATGGGGTTTTATTAAGAGCATACAGTATAGACATAAAAGAATAGAGTCAAGGCTAGATCTTGAGAAAACATGAACCAGTAGAAGGCAGGAAAAAAACTGGAGAAATAATGGAAAAAAGGGGACTTCAGAAATATTCGCTGAAAGAAGGGGAATACAAGAAAAAGACTTATCATTTGGGCTTTATGGTTGATTCATTAAGTCATTGTTTATTTTATTGACTTCCTTCTATAGACCACACAAAAGAAATATAAGCTAAGCACATAATGGCCCTTGCCTTCAAGTAGCTCCTAATCCATTTATAATCTAGTTAGTCTCCCTCAGTGGTCTTGGTTGTTGTTTATAGAATGTTAAAGAGTGAAACAATCAAAGATAAAACTATCAAAAAAAAAAAAGAATTTTCCCCCTTGAGGGTGACAAGTGCTGATGGCTCTGACATCCAAGGATGTGAATGAAATAGCATTATGTATTCATTTATTTGTTCATGTTCATATATTTTTTTCCTTAAAAAGCAAGACAGTCTTTGAAGAGTATTTTCTATTAAAAATATAGGCCGAAAACAAGCCTCTTTCTAGGGAATTATCATAAACATATAAAAAATACAAGTTCCTGGTGAAAAATTATAGAAACCCTCACAACAGTATTCGGTCACCTAAATTGTGGTGACATAGGTCATTGTCTTAGGTCTGCTGCCAAAAATAAATTCACGTTCACACAGTTAGCTTTAACTCCTAGAAATCTGGGTTAAAATAAGGATAAGAAAGAGGAGTATTGTTTCACACTGAGAGTCCTGCAAGCCGCAAGACTGACCGGCCAGTGCTGTATGAAGGTCCAACAAGAAATGAGGAAAATGAGAATGCCCAAGCCTGGGAAGTAGTGTTCGTTTTCAGAGGGGATTCTAATGACAATCAGAAAATGAAAGCCAAATTGCTAATCTAGAGAAGACATCAGAATTTTGTTGAAATTCTTTTTGGGGTAGAAGAAAAGAATATCTACTAAAATTTGATTAGTTATTTGCAGGTGATAGATTTAAAAAGCAATTAAAAACTGGAGATTTTTATTCTGTCTGTCACACACACACACACACACACACACACACACACACACACACACACACACACACACTCACTCGCTCTGCCCTTCACTCTGTTCTTTGGTCTCTGCAGAAAGACTCTGTATGATCATATGACCATGGCCTCTCCATTCTGAAAAAGAGTTGACTAAAACCAGACTGTACCTGTAGATCTTAGGGTAGTCTTCCTGAAATGCTTGAAAAATTGATCCCGTTTTTAACAATTCAAGGAGAATCGATGGAGATTCCTGAGAGCTGAAGAAAGGTCAGATAATTGTTCATTTTTTACAAAAAGGGAAAGAGAAAATTCCAGAAATCAAGGTTTAGAAAAAGTGTCCAGCAATCTGCAGAAATAAGTTGAGGTCATTTTCAGGTGGTACATGGAGAATCGGGGATCCTCTTCAGTGAGCTGCTTTTCTTAAATCTCGGCACATAAAAATATGCATGAGTTTATGGTGTCTTAGCCTTGTTCTGTTAAAATATCTAGAGCCAAGGATTCTTAGGCTTTTTTGGCTGGTTTGTATCTTTTAGTTTTTCTTTGGAAAATGCTTAAATAAATACAGAAGCTAATAGCAGCATCCATGTACCCATCATCTATGATTGACTAATTTTGTTAACAGTTTATCCTATTTGCTTCAGATGCTTATATTTTAAACAAACATACCAATAATAATACATTTTGTATCTGTTCCCACTCCTATTCTCTCTTTGCCTGTGTTACAGATGCCAATGACTATCATGATTTCAGCATTCTTCATCTTTTGTGGGTCATGGGCCCCTTTGAGCTAAAAGCCCGGGGTCATTTCTTGCCTTCTGCAACCGTCATCAAAGAAACATCAGCACAGACACACAGGTTGATCCCCAAACTGTTAAGAGGAGTCACAGACCCACAAAACCTAGTTAGAACCTTTTGGTATTTAGAGACTCCAAATGGAAAACCCCCGCCTGGGGAATCCTTTAGAGAATTCAGTTAACTCTCAACAAACATAGGATCTAATTTCGACAGAGCCATCTCCCCGCTGCCCCGAGAGCTGCTTTATGATGTTTTAGAGATGTCCATTTGAATGATGGTGGCCTCCTGCGTTTGCTGTTTGCTCGTTTATCATAGAGGATTTGTATTGCAGGACAAAAAGCCGCTACTTTGCCTCTGCAACTATCACAGTTCAATATTTCTGCAAAACCAGTTTGAGATCTTTGGCAGGGCTAAAATTATCCTTGCTTCCACTGGCAGAGCTTTAATTTGGATCTGTCTGTTGTCTGCTATCAGAAATCATGTTGACTTAATGGCAGAATAAAAATAGAACTCCTCTTCTCCTCCGTTATCTAAAGCTCGGGTTCTTTATCAGGGCTGTTCCCTGTCTGAGGGCTGTCATGTTGTACACTTCTCACTGAAGGCCCTCCTTTTAGAGACAGAAGTCTTTCATCATTCCACTCTGTGGGAATGTTGGTAGAAGTATGTGAACAAACATCCTTCCCTTGTCTTGAGCTTAGGGGAAAATCATTCAGTCTTTTGCCATTAATTATGAGTGTCCGCACCATACCTTTAACCCTTTGCTTATTCATGCTGTGTTGGCCACTTTAGAGAAACCATTTAACAATGCCTATGGACTGCTTAGCTACTGAGATCCTGAGCCATAACTATTAATAACCTGGTAGTCGTACAGCATATATTGTTGCAGACAAATATGGTACAAGCCTTTTGCAATTAAGTGGTGACAAATGCCACCATCTAAGTCTAGAGCAGTGGTTTACAACTATGGCCACATGAGTCACCCAGGGAACTTAAAAAATTCTTATGCCCAGGCTACACACCAGAAGAATTTTATCAGTAGCTCTTTATATATATATATTAATTTATATAACCTCACCACAGCTCTATAAAGGAAGACTGTTGTGGTCGCTTAATAAACTGAGGCTTAGAGAGAGGATAAGTACCTGTACACAGGTACATTGATATTGACTGCTGAACCTATGCCTAACTAAATTGCCTGCCCACTGGCTGTCTTGGAAAGTAAAAGGCATTTATCCCCTTCCTTCTATTTCTCCATGGCTCTAGTGTTCTTTTGGAACTGGTCTAGGAAGCCATCATAGTAGGACTTGTCCCAATAATGTATTGGTTTGCTTTTCACTCATTAATTAATTTGTTCATTCAAAGGTCTATGCTGAGTTCTTAATATCTGCAGAATGATATATATATAGGCCCTAGTGTGAGAGAGTGAGAATCACAGAGCACCTGGAATCATCATGGAACAGTAGCAAATATGAAAGAAGTATAAAAGATTATAAGAGGAGGGAAGATGAGGATAGATACATGTGAAGTAGTGCTCAAAGATTATTGACTAATCCATTTGTGCGTACGCATAATGTCATCTGTACACTGCCGTGTCTAGGGCTGGTCATGGTGTAACCCATTGACTCCTCTCATCGGTTTTTTTCTAAGCTTTCTTTATAGTCATGGTGCAAAGGGGTTAGTCCTGGGGTCTAAAAACCATCTTTCCAGATTCCTGAGAAAGACTGTGCTACCTGGGCAGGGGAAAGGAGTGTGGGGCACCAAGAAGGGAATTCACATTTAATGAATGTCTATTGTGTTCCAAGCATTGTGAGAAATACTCTCCATGTGTTATTCCATTCTATCTTTTTTTTTTTTTTTTTTTTTTGAGATGGAGTCTCACTCTGTGGTCCAGGCTGGAGTGCAATGGTGCAATCTTGGCTCACTGCAACCTCTGTTGAGGCAGTTCTCCTGCCTCAACCTCCTGAATAGCTGGGATTAGAGGCACCCGCCACCACACCCAGCTAATTTTTATATTTTTAATAGAGACGGAGCTTCACCATGTTGGCCGGGCTGGTCTCTAACTCCTGACCTCAGATGATCTACCCGCCCGAGCCTCCCAAAGTGCTGGGATTACAAGCATGAGCCACTGCGCCCAGCCTCCGTTTGATCTTTGTGCCAGCCCTGAGACATAGGCATTATCCCAGCTTTACAGATGAGAAAACAGGTTTAAAACCGGTAATGGATGAAGCCAGGTTTGAACACAAGTTTGTTCATTTCCAAAGCTGATGCTTTGTCCCCTACTCAGAGGCTCCAAAATTGTGCAGAGATAGACAGCAGTTATACTTCTCTCCTGACTGTCTGAACATTTCTAAATCTGAAGATCACCATTGGGAAACGTGAGAAAGAGATAACAGAAAAGAGCACTGGAAGAAGAATTTCAACATGAGGAAGGGATAGGATGGTGTGCACTAGAATTTAGATCCCTGGTGGAAGATGGGGAAGAGCTCTTATCCTGTGTCGTGGTTCCATTCATGGATGAGTTTGAGAAGAAATCAGCTGGGGATGTCTTAAAGGTGTTTAGTATTCTCAGTACCTTTTTTTAAATCCATAAAAAACAGAAAGCAAAAGACAATTTTTGAAAACTTTTGAACTAATTCAAAAGAGAGGGCAAATCCTCAGGACTTCTCCCAGGAGAGCTTGCAGTCAAAACTCTGGAAATGGATTGTTTTCTCAAGAATGATCCTCCTGAGCAGTTAGTTGTTGCTCACTTAGGGATTTTGTCTCAAGGACTTGAGTGGCGTGTTTCCTCTGGTCCTTTATTTTGTCACAAGTACTGATTGGCCCATAGCTTGGGGCTTTTGCCTTTACTCAGCATGTTCTTTTTTTTTTTATTTTTATTTATTTATTTATTTATTTATTTTAAAGACTGACTCAATCTCTCTGGCCAAGGCTGGAGTGCAGTGATGCAACCACTGCTCACTGCAGCCTTGACCTCCTGTGCTCAAGAGATCTTCCCACCTCAGCCTCCTGAGTAGTTGGGACTACAGGTGTGTGCCACCATGCCCAGCCAATTTTTAATTTTTTTTTAATTAGAGATGAGGTCTTGCTATGTTGACCAGGCTGGTCTTGAACTCCTGGGCTCAAGCAGCCCTCCCACCTCGGCCTCCCAAAGTGCTTGGATTACAGGTGTGAGCCACTGTACCCAGCCAGAATGTTCTTACAGTTTGGTTAAATTTCAGGTGCATGTGTGTGTTTTATGTACAAATAAAGGACAAATGAAGGTCCAAATAGAAAACAAGGACTTTGTCTCCTTTATGATCTTTAGGAGCTATGTCAGGAGGGACCTTAGAGGCACCACTGGTTCCCAACCTTTTATTTCTCACATGGGGAGATTGAAACCCAGTGAGTCGTAAGGGTTTTCCACAAGGCTCTGAAGTCACTTGGGACAGAGATGCAACTTAAAACCAGGCTGCCTGACTCCACATCCAGCAAGAGGAGTGTGCTTCTTTCCTGTCCCAGTGGTTACTATCCCCCTCATGCCTCTGACTTGTTCTTCACCTGTAGATTCTTCAGAAACCAACCCCAGAATTCAAGCAGCAGCTGGCCGCTTTCTCCAAGCGAGTCGCCGGCGCTGTGACAGAGCTCATCCAGGCGGCGGAAGCCATGAAAGGTAGGCTGGATTCTCACGTCTTGGTGGAGGGCAACCCTCCCAGGCAGTGCTAATACAGCAGACTGAGCAGAGGAAAAGCACAGACGGCAATGGCCTTTAGCTGGCAGATGCAGCCAGGAATACAGTGAGGACTTTCTGCAAGCAAATGGGTTTAGAGTTAACTTGAAAAAGAAACATCCTCCCTGAAGCAAGTCTTTTCTCTAGTCTTTGTATTAAGTGCTTCTACTTAAATGGTATCCTCCACCTAGAACCTACTCACTTTCCTTGGAGTCTCCCCATTTCTTTTTTGTCTGCATTTTCATTCATCAGGATATTTATTCTCCTTCAAATAGTACTTCATGTTTTGAAAATGATGCTACCTGAAAACATTGTTTGGACACCCTTTATGTTTACATAGAAGCAATCAACCCACCTGGGAAAGGTCTTCTCACCAATTTCCTTTACTTTGAATTAAGGTGAGGGGTCAGTCCTCCTGGGTTCCAGGGAGAAGAGAATGGCAAATTCCTGTGTGATGTACAGCATAGTGTAGTGTCTCCTGAGGATGCTTACTTAGATTCATGAGCTTTAAGTTCAAAGTCAGAGCAAAGCTCAAGCCTTGGTCCGTGAGATCATTTTTGAAGCTGCTTGGTGACTGCTCTGTGGAAGGGCCATACATGCAACTGATTTAGAAAACCAGGATTAGCACCCCCACCCCCCACCCCCATCCAGATGGCCTTTATGAGAGACGGAAGGAAGGTTCCTTAGGACAATGCAGGTCAGGCTCCTGGAGCCTTCATGCATGCAAATCCAGATAGTGTTTTTAATTAAGCCAGTGCCCTGAGGTCTGCAGCTATGAAGAATCACCTTCTTTTGGACTGATTCTAGGAACAGAGTGGGTGGATCCAGAAGACCCAACTGTCATTGCAGAAACAGAGTTACTGGGGGCTGCAGCATCCATCGAAGCTGCTGCTAAGAAGTTAGAGCAACTGAAGCCAAGAGCAAAACCAAAAGTAAGTGTTCATTTATGGTTGGCTGTCCGATGTCAGTGGGTTCTTCCAGTGGGTGGCTGTGAAATGGAGCTAGGAGTGCTGCAGGGAGCTTGGCTCCTTCCTTATGGTCAGACTAGCAAGCAGAAAACCGGATCTACCTGCCCGGCACTGCTTTAGAGTATGGGGGTAAAAAAATGGCTGATGAGTCTTTCAAGTTAACCACCCAGAAAAATTCCTCTGAGTATCCAAAGGAAGAATTGGGGCATTTGCAGTCTTGATTTAGTTCATTATCTAAAGCAGGTGTTGGATGCTTTCTGTCAGAAGTTGCTGTTACTGGAGAGGAGATTGTTAGCCTCCAATTTTCTGGTTTCTCTTTTGCTTTTTACAAAGAAATAGCACTGCTGGGAATCAGAGGGCAATGAGAACTTCAAAAGTGCACCCACTCCAGGCTTTGTCAGTATATGCTGGAGAGGATGGGTAGCTGGTATGTTTTTTCCTTCTGTGTTTGTCATGTAGATAAATGTTTAAAACTTAAGATTATAGGTATATGTGAAGAGAAATAGCCATTTAAAGGAAAGAGATACTTTTAGATTAGGCAGGAGGAAGGACACTTTCTAAATAAAAGGATGACAAGCTAGTGCTGTCTCCAGGGGCAAAGCCCCAATCCTGTTAAGCTAATACCTCCTACCCCACCTTCCATAGCTGTCTTCAGCAGGAAAATGGTAGAACCAGAGGCGGCCTGTTTTTCTTCCTATTCAAGTAAGTCCCTGGTGGTGCATGTAACTCATCTATTTCCAAGGACCCAGATATACTAGGAAATAATATTTGGCTTTTCCCCTCAAAAAAGGGCTGGATTCCACCAATTTAGGTATACCTAAAAATTTACCTATTTTTGTAAGACCAAGGGATGGAGTCTGGGCCCTGAAACAGAGCAGACCACTCAAAAGCAGTGCCTGGGCCAGTGTAGTGTATGAAATAAACACAGACTGAGTCTGTTCAGCTTGGGAACATTATTAAAACCTTCGAGTGCTTAGAACCAACCTCCTAATAGTCGCTCTGGACTTGGTAAAGGCACTTAAACGTTTTCTCATCAAGATGTAACTTAAGGATTTGGGCTTCTGATTGTGGGGTTTACCAGGGCTCTCTCTGCTGGACTCTACCTGGGAGTCTTGGGTTGCCTGATATTGTCAGAGTAAGAGCCAAGTGTGGGTGTTGGGACAACTCCATTTTCTGGTTACGCCTTTGTTTCTGCTTTGTCAGTCAAGTTAATCGTGAATGAAAAGTGTACTTTAAACTTAAGAGTCAACCATTAACTAAGATTTAGAGGTTTGGTGCATGATGTTTTTCCATTTCCTTGTCTGATTTATCACGATGGCCTTTCTTGGGGAGGGCTCTGTCCGCTAATGCCGAAGCCATGTCAGTTGACACATTCGTTCTCCTGGAGAATTAGCCTGGTGCTAATTTAACATTAACACTTCACCATATTCTAAGAGCTCCTGTTTCAATGTCTTTCCCTTTGTCCTTCCGCAGGGTCCTTCTGAGCTCTTGTCTGAGTCCTGGTTTCCCCGTGTCTGGTCGTTCACTTCACGACTCCAGATGGGAAAACAAAATTATTAAAGTTCCTACCCCATAGGATTATTGTTATAATAATTAAATAAGATAGTATAAGAACACTGCCTGACATACAGTGAGACTTGGTAGATAGTAACTATATCACCATTATTATCACCATCATCACTGAAAATGTGTGTCTGGGACTTACTCCCTAGGAAATGCCTGAAATAAAAATTATTCCACTGGCCCCTGAAGAAAGAAAACCAGGAAGCTCGCGTTGTTCAGCTGCCAAGCCTGTGCCAGGCAGTCTTCTGGGTACTTTATGGGAGTCACTCATCTGATCCTTGGAAAAAGTCCATTAGAATCAGAAGCACCAAGAGGCGAATTACCTTGCCAGGGTCCGACCACTGTCACTCAGCTGGGAGGGCTATGTATGGCCCTGGGTGGCAGTTTCAGTCCATACCAGCCCCTGTTTCCCACCCCATTGTCAGAGAAGGCTTGTCTAGTCCCACAAAGGCCATTTGTAGTTTATGTGTGCCCTTAGAGCTACTCCTCGAAGGAATATTATGCAGCTATAATATTATGCAGCTATGAAAAATAATGGTTGCTAGGACTGTGTAGCACGAAGAAAATGCTCATGGTATAACAGAAAGGATGCAGAATTATGTACTTATTATGATTACAACTCTAAAAACTCACAGATGAAGAAAATAAGTAGGGAATGTACAAGAATGATGATGGAATTGGGATGATGGAAGGGTCTGTGTTTTAACATTTTATAAAACAAAGGTTTAAAAAATAACAGCACCTTAAAAATTAATGACTGCTGAAGTAGGCCTGTGAGGACTCCCTACAGTACTCTAGGATCATATAGCCTTTGTGTTTACATTGAGGGTTTTTACAGGAAAGCCAAGGAGTCCTTCGGCCAAGGTCAAGGTTAACATAACTGATGATGTGAATCCTTTGTTTGAGGGTTCCTACCTTAGCTCACTCCCATCGTATTAGGAAGGGTGATGGGTACTTCTAGAATGCTTCACAATGGTCTGAAGTCTTTCTCTGCCTGATGGCCAGAGGTGGATATTATCTATGAAACTGTTTTGGAAAACCTGCAACCCAAACCATAGTTTTTGTGCCTAATAGGGCACATTGCAATAACTTTTGCATGAAATATCTTCCTTGCCTTTATAAAGGAATTTATTTCCCCAATTAAAAAACAATAACAACAATCTGCACCAAAATCAGCCAGTCTTTTGAGTTGAATCACTTCTCTCCATTCTCTCCCAAAACCTTAAAAAAATCCTCAGGGTACTGTCAGTAAACAATTGCTTATTACATCCCTATAACCCTACCCTGGTACACACACATGCCTTCAGTATAAAATGGATGTGTGTTCCTTCTGGGGAGTATTCACACTGCTTTCAGGAAGAGTTTGGGGAGAGACAGTAATTTTGTCTAAAATGCTCTGCTCACCACCGTCTCAGGTTGCCTGTTTTTAAAGGAGAATGGCTCATGGTCTTTGATGATGATTCTGGTACATTTCCACCTCAGGCTCTTAAAACTTAAGCATCACTTTTTGCCTGGGATCTCCCAGACATGCACCGTTGAATCTGCTGTTCACCTGGGGAGATGAGAATGTCAGTGAGCGCTGGTGCATGTGCTGACAGTATTGTTAATGGCGCCGTTTCCACATCTGCAGGCAGACTTGTGCTCCAAAGACAGTTATCGGAGTTGCTGCAAAAGTGACCACCCCCTGCAGCCGTAACCTTCAATACTGTGCCTAGTCTCGAGCTCAGTCAAACCTGGATGCCTTTTCTGCAGGCCTCTGTGTGATATGTTTGATATATTAGGTTGTTATTTAATCCAACTATATATCAAACATATTCCTACAGTGTCTTGCCCTGTCTCCGGGGGTTCCTAATAAAGTTTATAAGGCAACAGGAAAGAACACGTTAAAATCACAAGTAGATTTAGAAGATGGAGCACTCATTACAATTCATGTTATCTTCCATTTCTTCTTATAGCATTTGAGACCTGTATCAGTATTACTGGATTACTTGCTTATTATAGAAACAATAAGTGTTGATGTTTCATAAGAGCCTGGGGTATTCTGTGTGGCTTAGTTTTGTGCAGTGATGAATCCTTAAGGAATTCAATATGCTTGGTGGAAAAAACGGTTCCAACCCATGTCTGTGACACAGAATAAAGGTCAGGATTATAGCCTCAAACACATCTAGATTCATGTTTCATTTTGGTTCATTTTTATCCTGATCTTCAATTTAGAAGTTCATGTCAGGGTTTCAGCAAAAATTCAAGGAGCACAGATCAGTTTTCTATGACTTCCCTTTCCACTCACAGTAACAGAATGTATAAAGCAAATCCTCCATACCAGCTGCATGGATACTGAGTCAGTGAGCTTTGTACAAACCTTGGATATAGGACTAAATATATCTCATGAAGGTAATATAATGTTGACTGAACTCTTGAATTTCCTGTTATAGGTTAACTTGTCAGTGGAGGTTGGTAATATTTAGAATAAGCCAACAATCGGAAAGTAATATCATAGCCTAATTGACTGTGGCAGGAAGTTTGGGATTATGATATAGAAAACATTTTTTCTGGTACATAACAGCCTTCTTTGGTTGGTTTTGACCTCTTCCTTATAGAAAAGCCTGTGAAGTATGTGTGAGTTCATTCTGAGTTCTCTCAACAAACAAAATACTTTGTGAGCACTGCTTTCTGGAAAGAGAACTACTGTTCTCAATGTTTTGGAGGAGAAAAGGTGTAAGCAAATGGTTTAAACAGGTAGTCATGAAAGCTTCCCCTTACTGTGTCTAGAAGTCATTGCCACATTGCTTACAGGTGAATGCATAGTGACAGGGTCACCAACAGCAACATCAGAGAGGTGATGACACAGGAGAGGGTCCTGTAATGTTGGAGTCCTGGCTTCTGGAGTTACATAATGGATCCTGTCTCTGGAATCCTTCTCCATTGAGAAGCGATCTGTGTGTGTTGGCAGGTGCTCTGTCAGGCGGGTTTCAAGATGCTGCCCCAATCAGTCCCTCCTTCACACAGCTAGAGAACACCGGCTTTGGTTTTGAGTCCAGTTACATTGTTTGACTGAAATGGCAAATGGCCATGGAAAAGAGACAGCAAGTTATTACGAACAAAGAAAAACATGGTTTCAAAAGGACCTGCAGACGAAGCCCAGTTGTTTGAATTGATGTGATTTTCTTGTTTCTTTGGGTGACTTTGTCACTGACCAGCATGTTCTCTGTAGTGATTAATATGGTGAAGGGAAAAAGGAACCAACTGTTCAGGAAGGAGGAGGACAAATACAGCATTTTCTGTATGGCTGCACTTGGGCTTTGAGTGGCACTCATTGGTTCCAGACCAGGAGCATACAGGGTGTGAAAAGCAAGTATGGGGCCGGGCATGGTGGCTCACACCTGTAATCCCAGCAGTTTGGGAGGCCAAGGTGGGCGGATCATTTGAGGTCAGGAGTTCGAGACCAGCCTGACCAACAGCTGGGTTTCACCCAGTCTCTACTAAAAATACAATATATATATAAATATAAATATATATAAAAATATATTTTTATATATATTAAATATAATTATAATTATATATTATATAATATATTATATATTATAATATATATTATATATTATATTATAATATATATTATAATATATAATATATATAAATATATTATATATATATATATTTATATATATATATAATAAGTCAGGCATGGTGGTGCACGCCTGTAGTCCCAGCTACTCAGGAGGCTGAGAATCGATTGAACTTGGGAGGCGGAGGTTGCCGTGAGCCGGGATCGTGCCACTGCACTCCAGCCTGGGTGACAGAGTGAGACTCGGTCTCAAAAACATAAATAAATAAGAAAAGCAAGTATGGGAGACTCCCCTCCAGGGTAGACCAGTAGGTCCTTGTCAGATCCTTCACAGACACAGAAAGGGGGCTTAAGATGTAGGGAGTTTATCTGATACAGCTTGGGAAGAACCCTGTTATCTTTTGTCTGTGCTTTCTATATCGACATTCAAGGGCCCCTTAAACAGAAATAGTGATTAAAAGATTATTTCAGTGGCGTTGCTTTCCATTTTGAACACAAAAGTAAAGCAATGGATACTATGGGAAAACTACTCCCAAGATACTAATCATGCAGGTGCGGACCTTTTCCAGCAGACACTGCATGAACTCGCGCGTATTCCTCGGATGCGGAGGGTGTGGTCCCTCCCCAGTCACAGGCACAGCCATTTGGCAGTTTCTCTGCCACCCATTTTGCCTGTTTAAGGTCTCTCTGGAGCTTTCCCTGAGACAAGGCCAGCTGTCCATGCCTGGCTCTTAGCAGTTCCAGTTGTTCTGGGAGGTGTACCTTTTGTTTGAACTAATAAAGGTGGCAGTCCTGAAGCCACCCCATCCATGGGTCCTCCAGAGGAGAAGCTGATCTAACCTTTGCACAGTTTGGGGCTTTGCATACAGGCTAAGGCCTCCCTCAAGGCACCTCTCAGTTCAATACCAGAAGCAAACTAGTAGCAGCCAAACTTGCAACAACAAAAAAAAAAGAGAAATGTGGCTGCCTGCTCCACTCCGGCTTCCAACTGGCAGGAAAATGCCTCACTCCTGTTGTGGGAGTTCTAGACACTGGCCTCCTTTTTTCCCTCAAGGACATTTAAATTAAATGCAAAATGTTCACACTTTAAAAAATATATATCCAAGAGGGTTTTTTTAAAGTTTCTGATGCACTATGACCTTATTTTTAGTAGCAGGCATTCTGCAAGACTCTGAGTAACACAGAGCAAAGCCTGAGACCCCACTGGAAAGATGACACGGGTGGTTCTTCAGTTTGTGGAGCCAGTTGTGAGAAGGGCGACCATTGTGTTTTTAGCTCTCAACAAAGCATTCCCTCAAAGTAAGTTTTCAGGGAGGGAGGCAAGCCCTTTGGCCATCTCCTATGCATGCCTTATGCTCCTTCACCTTCAAGTTCATTGGCGGAAGGAGCTGTGGGGTTGCAGGGCATAAGAAAAGGCCAAGAAAAAGACCATGGGAGGACATTCTCTTCCCCTGCCCAACACTTGCCCAGGACCTGACAAGGACAGTGAGCAGGGGAAGTGGGTAAGGACGTTGAGGAGGAGCGGGGGCAGTGGGGGATGTTGGTAAGGATATTGAGGAGGAGGTCAAGAGAAATCAGAAGAGAAAAGGTAGTTCCTGCTTATTTTAGTCACCGCCTTCTAAGAGAAGTTTAATTTGGAACTGTCCATGTCTAGGCAAAAGGACCAGGAAGGTTGAGTTGCTCCTCCAGTGACAGAAAACTGAGTAACTGATACCTGGAGAAAGGGCAGCGAAGACTCCACAGTCACATAGTCAAAGTACAGAACAGTGACTACCACCCGGATTGTCCCACTCCTGGTTGGGTGCTGAGAGAGGAGCTGGTGCCCATCTATGCTGTTTGGTACCTGACGCTTACTGATTTGTGGGTTTTACTTATAATGAATTTAGGCTGTAATCAGAAATAGCAAGAAGAATTTTTATTGGAATTATGGATACATAACAGGGTTTAGACAGAGAAACAGATTAATTTAGCCCCAAACCTGAAAAAAACAATTTTTGATAATGAAATTGCTAATAGTTTTTGAGCATCTCCTATGAGTCAGCCATGCTTTACATATACTAATCACGTGCTTGTAATGACTCCATCAGATAGGTTAGGAGGGGAAGTAGGCTTAGAAGATGAATGAATTAGTGTGAAGACCATGTTCTCAGAATCCATGAAAGGCCAAATGTCAAAAGAAACATGAGGAAAGGCTGTCCCTTTTACCTTCTCCACTTTCCACACCACTTCCCCTACCACCACCATTTCCTCTTCCAGGGGACATATAGCTACTGAAACTTTAAACCCATCAGAGCAACATAAAGGGGTCCCAAATACTCTCCCAACTGGGAAACAGGGGAAGGGAGCCAACCCAATATATAGCCTTTCCCAAGAGGGATCTCACCAGACCACTGACTTTTTAAAGGGTGAGCAAGGAAGGTCAGCATGCAGGGAAGAGGTCAACTACAGGGTACTCAGACCTTTCTAGAAGCTACCAAAAAGCCCAGGTAGGGATAAATCTGTCCTCAGCAAGAGTTGGCCAGACAGCCCAGGAAAGACGATTGCTTAGAGCTGATGGGCACCTGGCCAAATAGCCTTTTCAAATGAAGGGGAAGGGGGAAAAGAACAGTATATCAAAGGAGAAGTTAATTCAGCATGCAGAGGCAGCAACAAACACCTTCATTAGGCAGAGTAGAAGCTTAGTTTGTACATCTGTTCACTCTTTTTCCCAGTGCTGTCTTGTTACATAAGAGTGCCTCTTGGTAAAATGCCACTGTGTTTACATTTGTATGTCCATGCATGACTAAATGTCACAAACTGTGAATTCCAGTTGAAGGCTGCAAGTAGAGTGTACAATTAACAACTCAAGGCCTCAAACAGGGCAGGAACTTGCTCATAGCTGTGTATGCATCTGTCCACCAGGGCTCAGGAGTGGATGCTAATGATGTGGATGCTTACTCTGTGTATTTCTCCTTCTCCTACCTTGTGCGTTGTGCTCTGGCTGAACTCTGGAACTTGGGAAATGCATTTTGAATGGATATATTCATTCAGCAAATGTTGATCATCACATGGGCTCCTCTGCCTGATTTTGTGCTAGAGAAACATAGGTTGAATAAAACACAGTCTCACCCTGGAGGGGATCACAGGCTGGTAGGTTTAAGTTAAATGGTGTTTGTTTTCCTGAGTCCAGGCCAGCATTTCCTACAGAGTAGTGTGTAACCACCTCTGTAAGAAATACAGATTCCTGACTCCCACCCCAGACCTACCAAAACAGCATCTGCATCTTTAACCAGATCCTCAGGTGATTCTGCAGTGAGGGCTATCCATTTATTTATTTATTTATTTATTTTTCTTTAAAATTTTTTTCTGTTTGGTTTTTGAGGGTACATAGTAGGTATATATATATAATATATATTATATTATATATATATAATACATGAGATGTGTTGTTACAGGCATTGTATTAGCTTGTTCTCACACAACTAATATAGACATACCCAGGACTGGGTGATACATAAAGAAAAGGTTTAATTGACTCACAGTTCCACATGGCTGGGGAGGCCTCACAATCATGGCGGAAAGCGAAGGGGAAGCAAGATACATCTTATATGGCGGCAGGCAAGCGGGCTTGTGTAGGGGAACTCCCCTTTATAAAACCAACAGATCTCATGAAACTTACTCACTATCACGAGAACAGCACAGGAAAGACCTGCCCCCATGATTCAGTTACCTCCCACCAGGTCCCTCCCATGACATGTGGGGATTATGGGAGCTACAATTCAAGATGAGATTTGGGTGGGGACACAGCCAAACAATATCAGGCATGCAATGTGAAATAAGCACATCATGGAGAATGGGGTATCCATCCTCTCAAGCATTTATCCTTTGTGTTACAAACAATCCAATTACACTGTTCTAATTATTTTAAAATGTACAATTAAGTTATTGACCATAGTCACCCTGTTGTGCTGTCACATGTAGTAGGTCTTATTCTATTTTTTTGTACCCATGAACCATCCCTACCTCCCAGCCCCTCACTACCCTTCCCAGCCTCTGGGAGCCATCCTTCTACTCTCTATGTCCATGAGTTCAATTGTTTTGATTTCTGGATCCCACAAATAAGTGGGAACATACAATGTTTGTCTTTCTGTGCCTGGCTTATTTCACTTAACATAAGGATCTCCAGTTCTAGCCATGTGGTTGCAAATGGCAGGATCTCACTCTTTTTTATGGCTAAAGACTATCAATTTATCCTGTTTAATGAAATTGTTTTCTAAAGTTCCTTGCTTTAGCTTGATGCCAGTAGTTATAGAGAAACATAAATAGCCACATGCACAGGATTAGTCATAATCTTTAAAAGATTATTTTAGCGGGTCTTTACATGATCCAATTGTGGAAAGAATGAAACACCCAGAAGCGAGGATTCCGTTATCCCCTTTATAAACCAGAAGGAGAGATCTGACTGACCCTGGTCAGGTCAGTAACATCTCAGCTAAAGAGGGCCTTAAGACACCAACCAGGTGAGCCTCTCTGGTGAGAAGGTGAGAATGAGA
This sequence comes from Homo sapiens, assembly GCF_000001405.40. NCBI lineage: Eukaryota > Metazoa > Chordata > Mammalia > Primates > Hominidae > Homo > Homo sapiens. The sequence goes on from NC_000015.10 coordinate 62,830,307, forward strand.
GCTCCAGGAGAGGGCCCAGCCTGCAGATTCTTCCCCGGAGTCACTGTGCACCATGTTGTTCTTCTTAGTCTCCCCAGTCTCTCAGCTGCAGTGGGGACTGTTCCATTAACAAATTCTGCATTTTAATTGGGATTCTTTTATTTAGGAAAGTCCTTTGAAGACCAAGCCAATTCTGTTTCCTTCTTGTGATATGGTTAAGTGTGTGTCCTTCCTACCTTCTCCCCTATTCCATTCTGCATGCTAATGGGAGCTGGAACTGATGGGGCACCTGGGTTTTTGACCATGTCTCCTTGGCTTGGAGAGATGCCATTTTCTCTAAGGCTAGAAGTTGTATGGTATGAGGACACGTTAAGTATTGGTGTCTGATTTCAGCAGTAGAGGTAGGGTGGGCAGTGCGTCTTAGTCATAAACCTGGCATACAGGAAAATAGGGACACAGCAGTCAGAAGGCAGGTTTCATCAGGGTACTCTGCCCAAACTGTAGTATCTAACATTAGCCCTCCATCCCTGTGCCATCCCAGTCAGCCTTTCTAGGGAGAATCTTAATACTTTCTTATCAGAGCAAATGTCTCCCAGAGATAAGAACTTCTGCCGTATCTGTTTTAAAGCATAGAGATGTTGTGGGAAGAAAAATAAAAATTCGTCAAAGAACATTACAACAGTTGCCATTACCAGAAAAATCTGTGGGTGTCAAAAATATTTCCAAGTTGAATATCTATTATTACAAGCTTGTGTTTAAAAAAAAAAAAAACTCCAGGCAGCGGAAGATGTGGGAGAGGCTCGTAAAATCAGTTGTGATGAGATGATCCTATCAGATCTACCCCTGCTAAAGACGTAGCACTTAATTTTAAAGAAATTCCATTTTTGAAAATCTTAAAATTTGGGAAATAAAAAGTCTGACAGAGTATTCCACACTGTAAAGTGGACTCGGGCGTGGAACCCATAGAGTAGCTGAGGACACCTGAGGCAAGAGCGTGAGAGACTTCAGGAGCCGCCATGAAGAGCTCCCACAAGCCTCCGTTTCCTCATCTGCAAAATGAGATGAGGAGTTTGGAGTCAAAAATTCTGTGATTTCCCTGGTGCTTTAATCTGTTATGTGCCTGACATTCTTTGGCAGAATGAATTTCCAGAAAAGCTCTTAATCTCACGGTTATTAAAATATACATTATTTATATATTTAATATATATAAATTAGAGCCTACTATAATTTATTTGGGGACTGACTACACAAGAGTTCCTTTTATACGAGAGTGTCTTACAATGGATCATTTCCGTATTTCAGTCACCAAATTCTATACTCCACCAGTCCAAAATGAGTCCAGTAGAACTAAATTCATGTCTGTCCTGAATACTCTTAGAGCAAGACTTGGTCAGCAATAAGAAAGAATGCACAAGTCTGTCTCAGAACTTCTGAAATGCTACCATCATTCAGATCCATTAGAAGTGCATTGAAATTGTATTTTGATAATGTAGGTTATAAAGAAAAAGGATTAGCACCTTTCATGGTTCAAGATGTGGCATTATGAATGGAGAGCTGGAGAAGACTTGTATCCCTCCTGTCTGACGTTTCACATGGGAGCGTTAGCAAGCTGACTTTGAACCTCTGGCACAAACCGTTTCTCACTGATGCCCCAAGGGGTGGCTTTGGCTAGTTAAAGTGCCTCATTTTGGAGTCAGATTTAGGTTTAGATTCTGGTTTAGATGCTTCATGCTGCCACATCACCTTGGCCCAATCATCTACCTTCCTGAGCCTGGGTTTTCTCACTGTAAAAATAAGGATAAAGATAATTCCAATATACGATCTTTTTTTTTTTTTTTGGTGAGAATTAAGTCATTGTATGTAGAAGTGCCTAACAAAATACTTGGTACACAGTAGGCACTCTTAAAAATCTACTACTGTTGGCACAAAGTGTGAATGTCCGTAATGCCACTGAATTGTACACTTAAAATTGGATAAAAGGGTAAGTTTTGTGTTACATATATTTTACCACACATACAGAGAAAAGTATTGCTGGGCCTGGCCATCATCTCTCAATGCCTGAAAGGTACCACCCACATCTTCAACACTGTGTGACCTGAGGGCAGCTTAACCAAATTGACCTAGAGTCACGGAATGTTGTCACACAGGTCTAATCTGACCACCCCCCGGCAAAACTGTGATGCTCCAACCCATGAGCCTGGGACCACAGTCTTTATACTTGTTCCACTTCTCCAAAGCTTCTTTTCAACTTCCTGAGTTGTTTTAGCAGCAAAGGAGATGGTGGTGAATTTAGACCAGAACCCTAATGGTCTGATAACACCTACACAGTGGTGTCCAGTGTTCTTCCCAAGGTGGATCCCGTGCCTCGGGTGTCCAGAGGACAGAACAAGCTCCACCTTGATGTCGTGTTGCCCTGGTTTCTTTTTCACCACTGGGCAATGTGTGCTTGGTCTATAACTCTCTCAGTGCTCAGCCACAGAAATGCCAGTGCTGTTTGGCTTTGATTTTTACCCAGGAAAAAGACAACTTTTCAGAACTGGTAGCCATCTTTCCTTTTTTTTTTTTTAAAGTCCATTTTTGAGGCTTAGGCTCTAGAAGAGAGTAAGTGCTATGATCTACTGTTTTGATTTTATTATTTTGGTTTCAGTTATTGATGTTGCTAAAACCATTTGAGTGTATTTTGTTCACAGTGAGTGTATATCTTTAAAGATTTTGTTCCAGAAAATGAGTCTGTCTGCAAATTTCCGTGGGATGTCAAGCTAACGGCTTTTTCCTTTTGGAGTTAGGGGGAAGGGGCTGCAGGTGGAGAGGCATCCTGACCTTTCTATCCTGGTATTGCTGTTGTACAACAGTGTCAGTGTATTAATACTTAACATTAGGTAAAAGGGTAAATTTTGTGTTATATATATTGTACCACACATACAAAGAAAACTATTGCTGTGCCTGGCCATTGTCTCTTAATGCCTGAAAGGTACCAGCCACATCTTCCACACTGTGACCCGAGGGTGGCTTAACCAAACTGACTTAAGAGTCCTGAAAGTTTGCACAGGGGACCTGTCATCTGCTTCTTGTTAAGGAACCATCCCATTTCAGGTGTGGTTTGTCAACAAAAAACAATAGGCAGGTGAAGAGCCAGGTGACCCGGCAGTAAGTAGTTTGGAAGAAAGAGCCCTTTGTGGATATGAATTGAATGTGATGCTGTTTTCTTTTGGTTATAGCAAGCGGATGAGACCCTGGACTTTGAGGAACAGATCTTGGAAGCTGCTAAATCCATTGCTGCTGCCACAAGCGCCCTGGTCAAATCGGCCTCAGCAGCCCAGAGGGAGCTGGTGGCCCAAGGAAAGGTGGGTAAAGCCGCTGACCACATGCGGGACACTCAACGTACGAGAGCCTCAGGGGGCCCAGGAAAAGAGCTACAAGCTTTTGTCCTGACCAAGGAAACACATGCAGTGCCTTCCCTCCCTGAATTGCCACTCTCTGTGCTGACCGACTGAAAACTACAGCCTTCAGACCAACAGAATAAGAGGTTTGGCTTCTGGGCCTCTCATCTGCTTCTTGTTAAGGAAAGCATCCCATTCCAGGCAGTGACTGGGGCCTGAACGAGATATTTATATTCCCACTGTACATTAGGCTACGTAAAGATGTAAACTGTCATATTTTCCTGGTGGGCCGCTCTAGAAGCACCGCATTCGGCGGCTTTTATGATACCACTTTCCAGCTCCAAAGGGTTCCGTTTGTTTTTAGGACTGTCGAGCTGAATACTGGCCAGCTTCGCAGTTAGCACTTTCCTAAGTCTGCTGGTGAATGGGCCAGTCAGATTTTAAATCTGAAATTTCTTCAGCTTTATCTCTAGTCACCCATTCCATCTACTTTGGCATAAAAGTATAGTGTTTTTTGTTTTTTTTGAGGATTCAAAGGATTATTAGTACATTAGTAATTCTGGATATGGAACAGTCTTCCGATTTAACATGTTCCATATGTCTTGTTATTTACATACACATGGAAGCATGCTATCCACGACTGGCTTTCAGAGAGCCTCTCAAATGGAGAGGCGCCACAGAAACCTGACCGTTCGTGGGTTTGGGAAATGTGGTCACCATCATTGTCATTCATTTCTGTTTGATATTAAAAGGACTTTGCTGTCAGTGTACAGATAGGTAGAGGTGAGTTGTGTCTTGACCCAAGAACTCGCAGTACAGACAGGGAGGTTGTGCCTCACCATAGGCTGTACATCTTCTTCCAGGAAGTCTTTTGTGAGCTTAGCCATGGCTTAAGTCCAGTCCACATACCTTGAATTCTCTTTCTAAACCATTGTGTTGTAGGTTATTCAGTATTGGTCCATGTCCGTCTCCCCACCTGGCACACAAGCTGTTCTCTCCATCCTTCCCGTTGATCCCCTGTAGAGCCAGCGGAATGCCAACCTTGTCCGTCCTGTACTCAGCAAGTTCTTGTTGGCTGGTCAACATGTAAAGATGACAGATGTGTCATTGAACGGAATATCCTATGTTTAAAAAAAAAATCCTGGTTATTTCAACATTGATAAAGGGCTATGTGTCCAACACATTGCTTAGATACTAGAGAATCCAACTTGGACATGGCAGAGTCCCTATCTGTCCTCCAACGAACTTACGTGTTCAAGCATTTAAAAAATTGGTGAAGGAGGTTCAGCCAGACTTGGGTGAACTATAGTATTATAGGCAGGACCTTGGAGTTTTACCTGACATTCAGCAATCCCTGATGTGGCCCTTTTATTGCTGACACACCCCCAATTTCATATTCAAATTGAGATACTCTTACCTCACCAGGCACGTCCCACAAGCTTCAAGGTATTTCCTCCTGTGGCTTCTCCCTCTGGATGTGGACAGAAAATGTTCTACTTGTTGCCATGATTTCTAAATAGAAACAGAGATCCATATTTCTCTCCCACCCCTGACAAATGGTATTTCCTTAAGACAAGGGTCTGCACTCAATTGTACCAGAGGGAGTTCCACCACACTTTTTTAACATCATCTGCCAGAAACGCAGTGTGGTTTTCAGGGTCAGTAATCGGGAGAGATTTAAATTTCTCTTAGCCCTTGAAAAGAGGAGGCCTAGTGGCTCCCACATATGAAATGGAGAAAGCTCAGCAGAGGAGTAAGTGTAGAAAGACAGCCCCAGGTCATCATTCCTGAGCCGTTTCCCAGAATTGCAGTACCTGGAAGCTAAGTGGAGCCATTCTTAGCATTTCCTGTCGCCTCTTGGTGGCGAAACCTGCCAGGATGTGCTGTGCAATCTTTCTTGGCATGGCCTGAGTCCCACGTGAGAAAGGTTGCTCCATTCTCAGGCCTGTGCTGTTGGCAGGAGGCACCAAGCGGGGTACAAGTCTGGTTCCCGAGCAAGGTCTGGGGATGAGGGGCTGCGACCACTGGGGCTGCCTGCCCTCATGGCCAATTTCTCGACTCTACTCTCTAGGTGGGCTCCATCCCTGCCAATGCTGCAGACGACGGACAGTGGTCACAGGGGCTGATTTCTGCTGTGAGTTGCCTTCTCCTTCCTCCCAGTTTGCTTTTGGGGTCCCCTGAGGGAGGTTTGGGCCTTGGGTCACTTCTCCGTTGACTGTCCCCAGGCCCGGATGGTGGCGGCTGCGACCAGCAGTCTCTGTGAGGCGGCCAATGCCTCCGTTCAGGGACACGCCAGCGAGGAGAAGCTCATCTCATCTGCCAAGCAGGTCGCCGCTTCCACGGCTCAGCTGCTGGTGGCCTGCAAGGTGAAGGCCGACCAGGATTCAGAGGCCATGAGGCGGCTACAGGTAATGGTCACTGATGCTGGTGGGAAAATACTCCTGTTGGAGCGGGTAAGTGTCACCAGAGGGGACAAGCCTCACTTCCTTGGCATGACCCACCAGGCCTTCCATCAGCCAGCCCTGTCCACGTTCCAGCCTCATCTACTGCGTGCGTCCATGCATCCTCCACTGCTGCCCCACCACGCTGCCATTCTCCTCGTGTGCCTTCTGGTCTCATGCCCTGGGGCCCTGCTCCTCGCCAGCCCAACCCAGCAGACCCCTACTTGTCCTTTGTGACTCATCTGGGAAGCCCTCCCTGACTCCCAGGGTTTGGGCAGTTTATCCCTCCTCTGTGCTTTGAGAGCCCCTAGCCAGACCACTCAGGTTCCCATCACATGGTGCTACTGTAGGTCTGTCTGTGAGCAGGTTGTGAGCCTCTTAGATGCAGGCACCACATCTTCATCTGTGCCTCTCTCATACGTTACTAACTCGGTGCCTGCTTCAGAGGAGGCCTTCAGCCAGTGTCTGCTACAGAAGGGAGTAAAATGACTGAAATTCTATGAGACTGTTGCTGTTTCCCAGAGCCCAGAGAACATGTTAGGAAGGTAACAATCAAGTCCTTCTCAGAGCAGATACATTTTCCTGATTGCTTTAATTATAAAAATATTTTAAATACAATAAAAGAAATGCTTAAATGAAAAAAATCACACAGCCCCAACATCTTCATATAGCAAACGTTATCATTGCTTTCTGTTCGTTTTTATCTACATATAAAATAATTTTGTCCAGTTGTAATCATGGCGAGATACATTCTGCTTTCTTTTCACTTAACATTTTATCATATGTAATTTTTCCTTGAAGATAAGGCTTCATTAACTTCTCTATGCAAAGCTAGCTGGCCCATTCTTCATGAGTTCCATTTTTAATGATTGCATGATATTACATCAACTGATTATGCCAGAATTTCCCTATACTTTGGACATTTTGTTTCCAATTTTCGAGATTTTTTTATTGTAAGTGTTAAAATGTAGATTGTCTGTATTGCTAAAAGTATGTTTACATCAGTCATGTAGCAAATCATAAATGGCAGAAATCTCAGAATTCTTGTTGTATTGTGAAAGGCCTAAAGTGCATTTCCATTTTTTGGCCCTCTTGAGTCCCTCTCTGACCCACACCTCCCTCACCTTTATTTGATACCTGGGATAAACCCAGGGAAAAATTGAGGAGCTGCATGTTCGTTTGTGAATATGTGATTTCTGGGTCTGGGGGACACTTCTGAGGAAAACATCCTGAGTTAAGAGAGACCTGGTTCAAGTCCTGCTTCTGCCATTTATTAGGTGCATAATCTTATATAAATCACTCAAAACTTTTCAGGGGTTTCATCTGTAAAATGGGGATAGAGCCATCCACACTGACTCTTATGAGGGTCAAATAGGAGAATGCATATGACAGTGCTTTGTTAGGTCCTAAGGATTTACACAGATAGAATGCAGCATCACTCTTGTTCCCATCATTACCGATTTAACTGGATGTTGCAATGTTTTATTTGAGCCCCTTATAAATGACTCAGGAGTTCCCTGGGGCTAGATGGACCTATGTGCAGATCCCAGCTGTATAACCTGCTAGCTACAAAATGTTAGGTTTCTTAACCTTGGTTTCACATCAGAAAAGTGGGCTAAAGATTTCTGACCTCATAAACCCTTTGGCAAATAAGCACATGGTGATTACTTGTCAAATATTAATTGGTTCGCGTCCCACCCTGTGCAAGCCCTCATAGTTTGCATTGGTCACTTTAGTTCACAGACCAGATGGGGCAGTTAACTTTGAATGAGAAGAACTCTCAACTTTCTGATGGCGAACCCTCAAGCACAAGCCTTCGACTCTGAGGGGGCGCTGGACAAGAAATAAGAGAGGTTTAATGAAGCCTTAACCACTTTTAGAAGAAAATTCCAAACCTCAGCTGGCATGTCCCTGGGGACATGTTTCATGAGCATTAAAAATAAGCCAATACAGGCAATAGCCCTTAAGGAAGATCTAAGGAAAAATGAAAAGCTCTTCTTTACCTGTCTCTAGCAGTCACTCCATCTTAGAGCCTGTGGTGCTGAGACCCTAAAAGTACGAGCAAAAGGCCGTAGTTACTATGAGGCTCCCAGCCCTTCCACAGAGGGGTAGCCCTTCATTCCCTCAAAGCCTTCAGTGAGCACCAACCATGGACAGCCACATTGCCGCTGCTAGGGATGCAGGGATTCCGGTCACTGCCCCTGCCTTCAAGTTGCTGACTGTCCAGGAGGGAACAGCCAGCCACAAGCGTGGTAAAGGCTGCAGTGAAGCCGGCACAGCACACTCCAGGCACACAGAGGGAGAGGGTATGGGTAGAGCTAAGGGAGACAAGCGAAAGTGATGTCTGCGCCAAGTCCTCAAGTATGTGCTAAATCAGATGGAGGCAGGCGAGGTGGTTTTCCAGACCAAGGAGGCAGAACTCCGGCATGCCTCTGTTAACACACACATCACATTGCTGGGATCATTTATTAAATATTTACATAATTGTAATTCCCCTCAAAAATGAGTATTCCTTGGGGGTAACAGGCACTTTGTCTCATTCATCTGTGAGTGACCAGGTAGGTTCCAGTGTTGGCAGAATCCACGGATGGATGGACAGACAGATGGGTACTCTCTGGCTACAGAACTTGATGTTATAATTGGATAATCAATTGACTCATGGTCTCACAAACTGTACCTTCATGTCTATTCTTGCCAGGCCCAAATGGCTGTTTCTAATGATATAATGTATGTTTTGTTCACTCTCCAGGCGGCAGGAAATGCTGTGAAAAGAGCCTCAGACAATCTTGTCCGTGCAGCCCAGAAGGCAGCTTTTGGCAAAGCTGATGACGACGATGTTGTAGTGAAAACCAAGTTTGTGGGGGGCATTGCTCAGGTTTGTAATTAAATCAAGAATAGTATTTACTTCCCGAGAGAGGTGTTGGGTTATAACAGAGACAAAAGAATAGTGACTTCAAGATGAAAGTTTATTTCTTCCTCGTGTACCAGAGATGGTGTGGTGTTTCCTTCATGTCTGAGAGCCAGATCCATCTGCCTTTCTATTTCACCATCCCTGAGATGTTACCCTTGGCCACGTGGTCCACGTTGGTTCAGTAGCCCCCTCAACTTTCCATGTGGCAGGAAGAGGGAAAGGAGGGGAGGCCATGACCGTAAGCTGCAGGCATTACGTCCTCTCACATACCATTGGTCAGCACTTAATAATGTGCCCAACCCAGCTGCATGGGAGGCTGGACAATGTAGTATATATTTTTTGTGAGTAGCATTTGCCTAGATAAAAATCAAGGATTCTATTGTAGAAAGGAAGAAGAGCAAAAATGGAGGACAGCAACATTATTTAAATAAAATGATGCATTTGGAGGTACTGCCCACTGCAGACATTTGGCCCTACAGAGAATGCTTTCCCTCTCCCAGAACTTTTATAAGAGCAGGTGGGATTCTGACTTACGCAGGATTGCATTCTCACGCATGGGAGTGAGGAGAAAGCTCTAGGAAGTCAGGCTTAAACTTTCTGATGTGTCTCCATCTCGTAAATCCATTTTAGGGGACTGTTTTATTTATCCGCATCAGGAGCACTGAAGTTATTCATTCCCCATGTCTGCCTTAGCTCTTCCTGAACCACGCCCTGTGTTTGGCTATGCACTGCATGTATTTTTACCAGAATGTGTTTCTCCATGCGCTAATTTCATGAGAAGTTTCACAGAGAAGGGGCTCTGATCAAATAACACTGGAGAATACTGCATTCAATAACCCTGCCCTGGTAATAATGATAGTCGGTAGCCTAGTCAAGGCTCTGGAAAGCCAGGAAAGGAACTGACTTTGCTTTTTTGAACACAACTTTCCCTTTCCACACAATACCTATCAGCAAGTCTTCCTCAGATCACACCTTGAAAGCGTGAAATAAGCATTTGAGGGCCATCTGGTGGTCCAGGGCTCCGCTTTAGCCTTGCCCATACCTGGACCGGGTCTTCCTCCACTGGCTGGGTGACTCCAGACAGTGGACCTACATTGCTCAGCTTCAGATTTCTTCTTGGAAAAACAAGACTTTCAACAGGGCATGCTTCACAGGGCAGCCCCTTCAGTGAAGGGACTGTCTACGTGGAGTGTTTGCACCAGAGCCTGGTACATAGTAAGGCTGCAAGAGATGTTTGCTGTTCAATCACAGGCCAGAACCAGCGTGTTTTCATGGCTCAGCTGGGTCATTAGTCTCAAAACCCAAACAGTGACAGAGGCTGGTCGCCAGAGCTAAGAAAGCTGTTCCGGATGTGCTGCAGTGTCCCACGGTCGCGGGAGCCGTGGAGCTCACATGAGCAGTGGGGTGGGTCGGAGGGTTTTCTACAAAGTGTTAGGTCCATCCAGCTTGTTGCTTTCTTTCTAGATCATCGCCGCCCAGGAAGAAATGCTAAAGAAAGAGCGAGAACTGGAAGAAGCAAGGAAAAAACTGGCCCAAATCCGCCAGCAGCAGTATAAGTTTTTACCCACCGAGCTGAGGGAAGATGAGGGCTAAAGGTGCGAGCCCAGATGGCGAGCCCCAGGGGATGGCCCTGGCTGAACTGGACAGACAGTGTTCCTGAGAGGCTGGGCACTTAGCTGGAAACCGCCCACCTCCCTCCCGGGTGAGCCTGGAGCCCTGCGTGCTTGTTCTCACATCTCTGTCCCGTCGGCACTGGCTGCATGATCGTGATGTCACACGGTACAATGTCCTACCCACAACTCCTCTGCCGCCTCCCCTCATGCCTCACCGTGTCTCAGGAGAGAGGGGTGCACGTTTCATGGACTGTTACCAACAAAGAAAAGTCAGTATTATGTTGTTCTCAGACACTTTGGCTTTTGTTGGTCCTTCTCTTAGGCCTGCTCCTGGACCTCTTTATGATATTGTGATAGGGAAAAAAATCATTGACGTCATAGAATATTCTTCTTCCTCTCAGGAGAAGACGGAAGCTGGAGTTGGACATGGTTCATAAAAGCCAGAAACACAAACCCGTGTGGACTCCGGGAGGGTGACTCAGGTCCTCCTTCCATGTCTTGAGCACTGGCTCACCCAGGGGGTGAAAAATTCCCGCCCCTGTTTGCACGCTTTCTTGCCTCCGTGTGTAAGCTCCTTGTACAACCCAGACCCATCTTGTATTTTGTGGCCCAGAAAACTGAACGATTATTTTGTTCCTCCGTAGTCCAAAGGGCAGAGTTGCGGAAGGCCGTCGGGGCTTGGTGAGCAGGGGCTGTAATACAGTCTGTGGGCTCCTTACCCTGCAGAGGCTGTTTCAGCTCACACAGAGTCATCCACACAAACCCACGGCTCCCAGTTGACAGTCAGTGGAATGCTCGTCTCCTTAGCGTCCAGGGTGGGGATTCTGCTGGAATAAAGAGCTTCCTCAGTGACTCATCTTTAGGTCCCACGCTGGTTTCTGTGCCTTCAGAATGGTCACAAGCCCGGATTGGAAAGGATCTGCTTACAAACCTGTCCCCTGTCCTCCAACCCAAAACGCCTTTTTTTCTGTCTTAATATCCAGAAAATCTAAATGCATCCTAAAATCAATGTGAACCTTTAACAAGATAGTTTTACTTATTATCACATAAGACATAAGATGTTTTCATTTTCTGGATGTCACACTTCCAGAATTTCATATTTTTCCCCTCTTTTCTTTCCCCTTTTCAGAGCCCTCCCATAGGAAGGGAAGGGCTTGAATTTACCCTTAATCTGCACCTTTAGCCAAGGCAGTGCATGGAAGATGAATGGCTCGTGGGACAGAATCTAATGCCAGGGAGCAGGAGTGTTTGAAAGAATTCATAGTGGGGAAGGTAAAAGTTAATGGAAGTACATGATTTTCAAAACTGGTAACAGTTAAAGGCACTCACCCTCCGCCTCTCTCTCTCTCTCTCTCTCTGGTGTGCTATCATGTCTTGGACTCCATCCACACTATAGTTTCAAAGTTCCACTGACGGGGGAAAGTTGGTGCTTTGGTCCTCCGAAGATGTCACCTTTCGACCTTGCCCGATCTTGTTTCACCAGACTCTAGCCCATGTCATGGTTTTAAAATACATAAACTTCTGACAGCTTCCCATATTTATAAGTTACTTATAAGTGCTGCACGTATTAGAATTTTTTTTTTTCAGACCAGTAAAGTTAGAGAAAAGACGCTGTAAAGGAAAAGCAAGTGAGAGTATGTGTAGGACACTGACAGTGTGTGGGCACCAGTTCTGAAGAGGAGGGGAGCTGCTGGAGCCCTAGCCTGTTGGGGAAAAGCTGGCACACTCTTGGCTCGCCCTCTTTGAGTGGAGCTGATCCAACACCTCATGCCTGCCTTGGCCGGACACTGAGAGGAGGGGCACACGTGCTTCCAGAGACACTCAGGAGTCAGACCCCAATGCTCAGAGTCACAATGTGTTCATGGCCTCCTGTAACAGGACTCTGGGGATCCCCTCTGTGGCCCAGCCCACCCCACCCTCTGCTCTTCTATGCTGTGCCCAGGGCAGCTGCCCTCTTCTGCCTGTGCCCCATCCCATCCTGAAAACCCAGGACCAAGGCAGGGGCAGGCAGCCAGTTCTTCCACCTTGCCTCAGAGTCATTTAAAACCTTTACTGCATTTGATACCAGAAAAGCCTCCAGAGACAAACCAAATGCAAAGGCCTTTCCTTTATAACTCTAAAGAACAGGCATCGAAAGTTTATTTTTGTAGGAGCTATATAAATACTCACCTTTCTGGAGTCGTCCAGTGCTGGGAGCTTTGGGGAGTTTGGTTCTCAGTTATCACCTGGTATGGTCCCAGTTTCTCATCTGTCCTTTCCTCATCCACCCTGCACATGTGTATGTGAACGGCTTCGTGGCCGGTGTGGTGGTTTCTCATTTCATAAGATAGTTGAAGGGCCATGCCTTGTCTGGATGTTATTTAATAGGCACTACTGCGGTGTCCTCAGATGGTACTGAGGGGGCCTTCTGGTCCTTCAAAGGAAAATAACACAGGCATGAGTTCATTTGGGAGTGTGAACTTTCAGAACACCTAATAAGAGAGTGGTGTCAGAGTAAAAACGGCCCCAGGTCTGGAGCATAGAAGTGTATCTCTGTGAAGAGAGAGCCGGTGTGTTGACATGTGGTTCTTCTCACACCCCTCTACTCCTCGAGGGCTTTGAATCCTTGGGCTGATTTTTGTGCCAGAAATTGCTGTTCCCGATGGCCAAAAGGGGAACCTGAACTGGATTTCAGAACTGCCCAGTGATTTGAAAATTTAGATTTTACTTGGGCCTTTCAGGAGTCTTTAGATAGGGATGCTGAGGTCATATTTAGTTCAATGAACAGCCCTTGTTTAAGTTTTGCCAGTGTCCAGCCAGCTGTGGCCCTGGCCATCTGTGCAGGCAGGTTCCTCAATTCCTGGTTGGCCCTGCAGTCGGTCAACACAGTCCCTCCAGGTCGGCTGCAGAGGCAGCTGCCCAGCCTGCAGTCTATGCACGGGCCTTAAGAAATGAGCTGCCTGTAGCCTCACGGCATATGCTTTTATCAGGGAAAACCCTTCGAGCTTCTTCTGATTCTCACCTGCTTGCTTTCTGGCTGTCTTAGTCAGTGTGTTTACAGGCAACTAAAGCCTGTTCCTAATTTATCAAAAAATTATAACCAAAATTCACCATAGCCTAAGAGAGTAAACCCCACCTCCAAAGTGATGCCAAGGCCAAAACCTCATCAAGGAACCAGACACAGGTCAAAAGTGGTGAGCAAGCCATGGTCTCTGCTCCTGGGGAACTCACACGCTGACCCCCGAGGAGCCTTGGTTTCCTCCCTGGCAGATAGTCCCCAGAATCTTCTCTCCCAGCTTTGAGGTTCTGGGCTCTGGAAAGGCCTCTGGGATGCTGGCCTTAAGATCTCAGCACAGACTATCAGCATGTTCCATTCTCAGATTCCTGGAGGAAAGGTACCCTCTGTTGACCAAGGGGCTGGCTGCTTCTGAGACTTACCAACCCAAGAAATTTGGAGACATTCCCCTCAGGCTAAAAGGCAGCGGTCCCCAGAGTTCAGAAAGCAAAAGATCTTGACAACTGTGCCAGTAGTGGCTCTGGTCCTATCTCTCCACAGTGCTGGCCTCTGCTGGGGAAGGCATCTTTCCCAAAGGTATCCCCAAGTACCATGTTGAAAATGTCCTCAGTCTGTTGCTCCATCTTTCTGAGCCTCTGCTTGGTATGTCATGTTTATGGTCACTACGGATGAGTGTGTGCAGAGTTTGGGTTGATTCTTTTAAATGCTACAAACAAGAGCTATTTCTTTTCAATAAAAAAGGTTTGGATTCGGCCTCTTCCTCTGAGCCCACCTCCCAGCCCTCCAGGGAGCATCAGTGTACCTGAGTCACTTTGTCTGCATCTCTTCATCCCACAAAACACGAGGCTGGGTCTCATTCAGCGGCCTCTCACCAACCTTCAAGATCCAGAAGAAAACAGGAACGTTCAGCTCTGCCCTGTGTCGTATCTAATCACATACATTAATTTATCTAACCACATAAGTTATTTTTTTTTATTTGCCAGAAATAAACCTTTAAAGGAACAAACCTGTGTGGAGGACTCATGGGAATGGGAGGAAGATGGAAAAGAAGGGGGAAGAGACTGTCTTTATCATGAGAGTAAAATTCCACCTTGAGGACTAGCTCCATAGTTACCAGAGGTATGTCAGGAGAGAGCACGTGTGTGTGAGTGAGTGACAGACGCAGAGCCACAGGGTGCCACAGAATTTCATGTAGCTTTGCTGACAAGAGTTAACTTGGAGAAACTCCAGGAGCAGGCGTCCTGGACAAGTAGCTAGGGGGCTTTTTGGCTTTACATACCGCCTCTGTCAGAAGACCGCACAGCTGAATACAGAAGTGCATATGGGATCATCTCCAATCTTGACCCAGGTCCTGGCACAGGAAGGTTAGGTTCACTTCTGACAGCTGAGGCCACAACTGCAACCCCCGGAGACTGCCAGGCCCTCCTTCCTGTTTGGACTGGGAATTGCTGGGGGCCAGAAGTCCTTGTTTGTGGCGGGGCAGCCAGACTTAGAAAAGTGTGAGGCATTTCTAATCTGCAAGAGGGGGTGTCAAAGAATCACCATCGCAACGAAGAGAGTCACTGGTATGTCTAACAACCAATAAGAAAGATTTTTTTTCACGCTTGAAAGGATGATTTAGGATCTCTAAGCCAGTTGATAATGAAGGTTTTTATATCTTTGATTAACAAGAACAACAAAAATGAGATTGGAGCTGACCACACCCAAAATGAATGTGGGAAGCCTGAGCCGACCAGGAAGGGGTGAGAGGACTGACTGACTTAATGAGCCTCCTGGGTGTCAGCTCGGTGCTGCTGGACACCCAGAGCCCAGCCCTCCGCAGCTGTGGGGAAGGTGGTGTGGCCATTTTGCAGAGCGGCAAACCAAGACTCATGCAGAAGTGGTGTCTGCAGGAGTTCAGATCCTCTGCACACGCAGCTCAATCAGGCTGACCCATCAACTACGACCTTAACTTAGAAGTGCCCCAGCCCCTGCTGTGTGTAGGACTCTGGGGACCCGAGCCTAATTCCTGGAGGAGGTCACAGTCCAGGGAGGGCAAACATTGACCCAAGGGTGTGGGAGTAAAGGGCAGAGCCCTGAAGCTGGGAAGGATTTCCAAGAGGAGGACATTTGGCCCGACTCCTAATAAATAGGAGTTCCCCAGCAGAGAAGGGATGGGGGTGGCACTCCAGGCTGCAGGAACCGCACTTAGGTAGGCCTGGGTTTCTGAAGAGGCAGTTGCTTAAGGAGGTGAACAATTCCCTGAGGCCGGCAAGGAGGCAGCCAGGAGCACACCGTGAGGGGCCTTGTGTCAGGGAGGGCACTTCAGGTCCAGTCATAAGATGAATCACTCTGCAGGAGATCAGGAGAGAGATTCTGTGCAGGGAAAATGCATGATGGAAACAGGAGATGCACTAACAAAGGTCAGCAACTGGAGAATGAATTCGGTTCCAAGGTAAAAAAAATTCAAAGCAGGGTGAGCTGGGCCACAGAGCTGCCCAGTGGGAGATGCTGTAGTGGGAGGGGCTGCTGCCAGAGGTAGGATGGGGGAGCCGCGTTCCATCTCTAAGTTAGCTAACACCTACCCTACACCTACCACGTGCCAGACACGCACCATTATCACCTTTATTTAATCCTCACAACTATACCCTGTACAACGCATGGGTGCTCTTATCTCCATTTTATAGCCAGCAAGGCTGAGGCACAGAGAGGTTAGGTAACTTGCCCAAGGCCACACAGCTAGCAGAACGGGGATCTCCCAACCACTATGTTAAGATCACCCAGCTAGTGAGTGGCAAAGCAAGGATTGAAATTCCAATTTGTTTCCAAAGCTTTTTTTTTTTTTTTAAATCAAGAGCATAGGGAGAACCTCAGTCAGACCTGGCTAGTGGGATAGATATTAAGCAGGCAGACACAGGGAGAGGGAGCTGGGGGCAGACGGAACTGTGTGCATATGGCAGAACCTGGGATGTGCTGGGGGCTCCTGGGCGAGTAGGGAAAGAGACCATAGGGGCTGGTGGGGGCTGCAGGAGAGGCCAAGTCTGCACATGTCTGGTGAGGGGAAGAAGAAGACATTCTGAGACCACTGAGTGAGCCCGTGCTACCGAGCTTGTTCTGTATCATGCAGTCACAGAGAGCCTTGCTTTACTTTATTCCCACTGAGTGTCTCCAAAACCCTGTTTTCAGACCACAGCTCTATCCTGGGTTTAAAACCACAGCGTTCACAGGTAGTTCTGTGGTTCCGAGATACTCCACCAGGCATTTTTATCTGAACACCTTCCACCCCAAGCAGAGCACAATTGCAGGAGTTCTGCTGCCTGAACTCCCCAAGGGGAGAAGCCCCAGCCCAGACCCTCTATGGCCAGGCTGACCTGGGGGTGGTGGGCGGAAAACCCTGCCTGTGTGGGCTGGCACCTAGGAGGGGCAGTAACAGCCTGAGCTCTTGCGGCCATATTCAGAGCCTCCTGCCTGTTTGGGCCTCTCTCAGGATAATCTGCAGCTTATTTTCAGAAAGAGAAGTTTAATTCCCTTAAGCTCACAACTAAATGTTGGAGAAATGCTTTCTGGACTCATCAGAAGGCTGACCATGTTCCACATGGGGTCCAAGACTTGGGGTAGCCCAGGGTGAGAAGGGGCCCAGAGGGAGGCCCTCAGTCCCATGCGCCCAGCACCCTGGTGTTGCAGAGGCATTTGGAAAAGCAGGAAGGGAGAGGTGCTTAGAGGCTCCGGGGCAGAGATGGGCTGGTGTCCTCTCAGCTCCCTGACTCTATGGGCATGAGAGGAGATGGAAGGAGAAGGCAAGGCACGGTTCTTCCCTCCAGAGATCTCAGACCACCCTGGAGAAGCCCGTCTCCTGCAAGGAGAAATGAGAGCAATGCCAAGTTATCCAGTGTGGTGGGAGGCCAGCAGGACTCCAGCCTCAGGGCGGGTCCTTGGGAGGGTAGGACTGAGGAGGAGGTGGGCTGGAGTAGATTCTCAAAGGATGGGAAGTAGCCTGGGCTACTGAACAGAGCAGAGAGAACATTTAGGGTGTTAGGCATGCAGGCAGGAAGGAGGGATACGGGGAGAGGACCATGCAAGGCCTAAACCTGGAGGGACAGGTAGGGACAAAGGCTGTCTGGCAGGGCCTGCACTCCTTGGAATCAGGGCTCCGTTCCAAAGGAATAAGGGGCCAGGGAAGCAGGGGAAGACATGACAAACCTTTCAGGCTGGCTGCCACTCTGCCTCAGTGCTACATTCTCCAATGTCTGCAAGCTCATCATCAGCTCACCTGATGGATCGGGGCATTTTGCTTGGCTACCAGCAAGCCACATAACAGTCCTGTTCCCTGGTTTGCATCCTAGAGGCACCTATGTTTGCTGATTCGATGGATCCTGACAGAGCAGTTTGCCAATCACGGAGCTTCCTGGGTTGCGTGGAGGAAAGCCCTCTGCACCCAAGTTTGCAGTCCTTGCTGTTCTGCATCCCAGGTGGTTCTGACCACAGGGGGCAGTGTGGTTCCATAGGACACCGATAGATCGGGTAGCCCTGTTTCCTGGAGAGAAAAAGGAGGTGTTTCATGGGTAAATAAGTATCAGAAATCAGGCTATGAAAGGTAAATAGGTTAATAATTTAATAAGTCTCTATGAGACTTCTTGGAGCCTTTAAGATACTCATATGCACTGGATATCTCCAAAAGGAGCCTATAATATATGGGGTTGCCCCAATTTGGAGGCCCTTGGAGCAGTTTTTAATTTCAGTATATTTTGAGGGACAGATATTCCAAAGATCACACCTTGGGAAACACTGCTCCCAAATCCTATTGCAATTACTGTCTCTCCTCCCCTCTTAGCATGTCACATATCCCGTCTAGTGTTACTAGGTAGTATTTCGCCTGTGCAGCAGCCTCATCTAGGTCGGAGGCAGGGATCTCATGCAGCCTCCCTAGCACCCAAAACCAAGCCTTGGACATGTGAGATATTTAATAAAGATTGATTGCCTGGGAGAAAACTTCAGACCATGCAGTTTGTAACTCGTGTTTATGACCTGCTTGGTGTCAGCTGCTTTGAACTCTGGCTGATTTGAGCTTGAACAAACTAAAAAAGCCTGTTCCCAAACACCTACCACCCACCACAGCTGTCTTCTTCCTCCTCCCCACCTCCCCGTGGCCTTGCCATGCCACAGGGCAACATTATTGCCTAAGACTAAAATAGTTTCTCTGAAAATCGCTTTCCTAGGGTTTCCTTCCTGAAACAGCTGCAAGGAAACACAACTTGATCCTAAATATCCTGCCACCTCCTGGTAACTCTCCCCATTGTCCAGCAAAATCCAGAAGACAGGCTCCAGCTCAAAAGGAGTCGTTTGTTTGTTGAGACAGAGTCTTGCTCTGTTGCCCAGGCTGGAGTGCAATGGCGCGATCCTGCCTCACTGCAACCTCTGCCTCCCAGGTTCAAGCAATTCTCCTGCCTCAGCTTCCAGAGTTGCTGGGATTACAGGCACCCGCCACCACAGCCAGTTAATTTTTGTATTTTAGTAGAGACGGGGTGTTGTCATGTTGCCCAGGCTGGTCTCAAACTCTTGACCTCAAGCGATCCACCCACCTCAGCCTCCCAAAGTGCTGGGATTACAGGTGTGAGCCATCATGCCCCGCCAAAGGGAGTTGTTACTGAAATATTGAGAGGACCTTGGACGGTGTGAGCCAATCCCTACACAACGGTGCCCCTGGTCTGAATGCCAGTGGGATGTGAGGACCATCTGAAAAAGAAGGGAAAGGTAGAGGGGAAAGGGTACTTTAAGAAGCAGAGTTTCCTCCTGCAGCTGCATGCTCCAAAAGGGCACTTGAAATTCAACTCCCTAATCCTTCCTTCCCTTTTCTTGCCTCATGTAGTACAATGAAGTGAAAAGAACCTACAAGGGCTTTGAACGTCAGAGAGACATGGCTCTGAGCAAGTCTTAGCTTTCACGCCTGTTGATAGACAGTGTACTTGACTTCCCAGCATCTACTCCCCTCTGCCTATGGAGTCCAGCAATATTTGGGGGGAGTTGGCCTCAAGTCAAGGATAATACCATTCCCCCTGCTAGTGACTGGTTCTGGAATGGACATATAACCTGATTCTGGCCAAGGAGATAAGAGAAAATATCTGCTGGAGATAAGAGGAAACACATTCTTGACAGTTTACTGAGTGGATAATATGTATTTCTCTTTCCTACTCCCAGATTCCAAATTCCCTGCTTTTTTGGCCCACCTCACCACAAAAGCTCCATAGTTTATTCATCTAAGTTTGCATGGATGCTTCTTTGGGGGAACTGCAGGAGTTCATGGAAGAGTTTCAGAAAGGAATGAGAATGCCTCAGGAGTTGTTCTGTGATGGAAATTGGCCTGTTGTTCTGTTAATGCTGCTAGAAACTTACAGCGCTTAATAAAAATCTATTCTTTTAGTAAAAAAAAAAAAAAATTATTCCCTTTTCTTTCATAGCTACATGAAAGCAATCTTGAAAATGTGACCAATGAAAACGGTGTTATCCTTGACTTGAGGCCAAGTCCCCAAAATATTGCTGCACTCCACAAGGCAGAGGGGAGTCGATGTTGGGAAGTCAAGCACAATGTCTATCATATATCCCCAACAGGCTCTCTCTTCCCTATCAGTAGTGAATGAAAAAGCCACTTTCTGACCACAATCAGCACCAGCCTCATCGTGGAGCCTCCCGCAAGGATGGTGGAATGAAGGCAATCGAAGAATCTGTATCTTTGGTGGCAGTGTCGATCGGTTTGTCTAACCTAATTCTTCCAGGCTTCCCAATCACTAACCAGATACACTTCTGCCACATTTAAGCCAGACAGAGTTGGGCTTGCAGCCAAGGTGCCCTAACTAATGCCAGGTAGCAGTCGCATGGGAAAAGGCCAACAAGCATTTGACCACATACTAGGCATGCAGCGAAATTTTGTTCCGTTTTCCTTCACACCTACATGAAAGCAATCTTGAAAATGTGACCAATGAAAACCCCACTGCGTCCACTTTCAAGAGTTAACTGAGCACTCGTGCCCCTAACGTGGTGCCAGACTCACAGTAGGTCTTCAACAAATGTTTACTTTTTGATGCATCTCTAGAGTGTGATGTTGGTAACACCCGGATTCCAGTATATGGCTTACTTGATGGGTATGGAAAAGGATAGCAGACTTATTACAGACAGCAGCCATCCCAGTCCTGTTTCTAGACTCTGGGATGAGCGGTCGGGGCACAGGTCTCCCCACCCCTAGTCTCCATCCCTGCGCTCTGAGAAGCTAGAGAAGTCTGTGGCCAATCACCTACACAGCAAACCATGTGAGGAATGTCTGGTATTTGGGTATGTGGTATGGTATGGGTTTGTTTTTCCTGTTCATCATCACTTAGGATGGAAATCTTTAACTATTTTGACTGGAGGCATGAGCGTGGAGCTCAGGACCCCAGGGATTGGAAGGTGGGGGAGGGCACAGGACAGTCCTGGTCTTTTTTCTGCTCCTGGGACTAAATGGCACCATCCCTGACCTGGTGTGTTGTGCTCAGTCTCTGACTTTTCCCTGTGGCCCCACAAAAGCGTTGATTTCGAAGCAGCAGTAGCAGCAGGGGGAAGACATTTCCTCGGGCAGGGAATCACTGAAAGCTACAGAGACGAGTCTGGCAGGAAGGAGACTCAGCCCCTGCATGGCGGGGCTGGTTGTCCTTTGTGCTCAGTGTCTAGCTCCTAAGTTCCGCACAGGGGACAGAATCTGGGCTGAAATCTGAGACTTAGGTTCTGGTTCTGGCTGGGTGATCTTGGGCAAATTTCTTTATTTCTTGGAAACTTTTTGTTTTTATGTATTAACAGGCCTTTTGCCATGACTCTGAGTCTGGATGGTGAATATCCTTGATCTTTGGCAGCTACCAATTCTTTGAGAATAAATTATATACTAGGTGCTCTACTGGGTGTTTTATGAATATCGTTATTTTCCTCATCACAGATAACATTTATTAAGTGCTTACAATATTCCAGTCGACTACAGTTCCAAGGGCTATTTAAATACTGAGGTAGGGTCTAACCCCATTTTATTTTTTATTTTTTATTTTTATTTCTTTGAGACAGAGTCTTGCTCTGTTGCCCAGGCTGGAGTGCAGTGGCGCGATCTCGGCTTACTGCAAGCTCCGCCTCCCGGGTTCACGCAATTCTCCTGCCTCAGCCTCCCGAGTAGCTGGGACCACAAGCACCCGCCACCCCACCCAGCTAATGTTTTTGTATTTTTAGTAGAGATGGGGTTTCACCATGTTAGCCAGGATGGTCTCGATCTCCTGACCTCGTGATTCGCCCGCCTCGGCCTCCCAAAGTGCTGGGATTACAGGCATGAGCCACCATGCCCAGCAACCCCATTTTATAAATGAGGAAATGGAAGCACAATAAAATCAAATGCAACTAGAAAATTTTGTGCAACTAGGAAACAACAGATCCAAGAAGCAAACCCTGGCAGCCTGGCTCAGAATTTGTATCCTCGACCACTGTCTTCTATTATTATTTGTTATTTAATTTTTATATAACAACATTATATAAATGGAGCATTATATCCACTTTATGGCTGAGGATACTAAAACTGAGAGACATCTTACAAGTCAGCCAATATGACACAGCTTTTAAAAGGTGGAGCCAAGAGCTAAACCGAGCTGTGCTATCCAAAGGTTTCCACCACCCCGGGCCACCTCTTTACAGATCAATACACCCACAGAGAGAAGACTCCAGACTCCAGGGTGACCACTGCAGCTTGGTGGATTTGATCTTGGAGGTCTCCATTTTTGTAGGCATGATGAGGATGTCAAAGTCTATTTTTCAAAAGTTAAAAAAACATGGCTCATACAAATATACAGTGAGCATGTGTCAAAGATTTAACTCACTAATCAAAGAACCAGCACAATGACAAGGTTCATTTAAAAATATGTAGAATATTCATCATCACTGAGAAAAAAGAATACTGCAATTAAGATTCCTAAATTAGTTATGAAGTTAATTATCCTATCAGGCAGCAAAACTATAACCTTTGGGGTTGTCATCTATCCTATCGGAGAAAATTACAGCACTTCTATTCAAGAATCCAATGAGTCTCTTATAACTGAACATCTACCTGGGGTAATGTAATATCCTCATCAATAGAAAATAGATCAAAACAAAGGAATATATCCCTAGAGAATGGCAGAAGCCTCGAAAGGATCTGTGAGTGAATTCCAAGTAAGTGCGGGGTGTTCTTTCTAAACACAGGGCACTGAGCCAGTGCCCAGCCATGGCATTGTAAGCTAGAGAAGCACGATGTCTAGATGAGAAGACCAACAACAAGGTTCAAAGGGGGTGCCACCATTTTGTGTGCTTGTGCTATGCTCTCTGAGCCACAGCTTTATTTTCTGTAAGAAAGAAGATTCTGTTTTTTAATTGGGAGAACAATTCTCTCTCTTCAACCTCACAGAATTTTTGCCAGGATCAGCCAAGAGTGGACATAATAGGACTGGGTCAGTGATTGCTCTGGCTTCTGATATAAGGGAACAACCATTGGCCTCAGCCCCTGGAGGCCCCTTAACCCCTTAATGGAAAACTGTTTTTTTCCTTTTTTTTTTTTTTCTTTTTTGGAGACAGAGTCTAGCTCTGTTGCCCAGGCTGGAGTGCAGTGGCACAATCACAGCTCACTGCAGCTCAACCTCCCCAGGCTCAGGTGGTCCTCCCACCTCAGCCTCCGGAGTAGCTGGGACCACAGGCACACACCACCATGCCTGGCTAATTTTTTGGTATTTTTTGTAAAGATAGGGTTTCACTGTGTTGTCCAGGCTGCTCTCAAACTCCTGAGCTCAAGCTATCTGCCTGCCTCGGCCTCCCAAAGTGTTGAGATTACAGGTGTGTGTCACTGCACCTGGCCTGGAAAACTCTTATGTGGCAGGTGAAAAATGTAAAAGCCCTCAGCTTTCTGTGATGTTCTAGCAAACACTGGCACATCCAGAGGAACATGTGCCACTTTCGGGCCAAGCCAGCAAAATGATTACGAAAGTCTTTGAAGACCTAAGTCACATTAATGACTCAGAACTGCTGTGTTTTTGACAATGAAGCTTTGGATGGACACACTGACCCAGTGTCGTCTCACCAACCATCCCAGGGTGAGCTCAGAAGGGGACATATGTCACAGTCTTAATCAGCAATTGGCAAGTTTTTCCTTTAAAGGGCCAGATTGTAAATATTTTAGGCTTAGCAGGCCACATACAGCCTCTGTTGTTGCATTTTTTTTAATGTGCATGTTATGTTTTTTTTTTGTTTGTTCTAACATTTTAAAAATGTAAAAGCTATCCTTGGCTCACCTGGCTGTGCAAAAATAAGCAGCGGGCTGGATTTGGCTCATGGACTGCAGATTGCAGGCCCAGGTGTTCCTGGCTTATTTGCAGGTGGTGGAAAGACCACAGGCTTTGGAGCTGAAACTGACTTTGAATCCTGCTGTCCTCACTTTCCAGCTGTGCGAGCTTGGACACGCCTCCTTACCCCTGAGCCTCTGTCCTAATCAGCAGAATTCTTGCATGAAATACTCGCTGCACGTCTACTACCTTGCCAAGCACAAAAGCAATGCTTATGAGGCTGGAATAAAATGAAAAAGCTCCGGCATGGGAAAGGAATGTGGCAGAAGGCACGCTGACTATTGCTTGAACCCTGAAGTGATTTGGGCTGCCCTGGGTGGGAGACCATGAAAAGGGCCTTCGGTTCCATGATGATAGCCTAGAATCGGATACGCTGCATGACAACATCCCAAGGACTCGAATTCAGCCCACTGGGGCTGGGTCCCGAGCACCTGTATGTTTTAAATACAGATCCTCCAGGAGTCTGCCCTGAAGCCTGGGTTTAAGAAGCCGCCAAGGAGTTTCCCACAAGTTTGTGGGTCCAGCGGCAGAGGCTCCAAGTGGTCTGAAAATGGGCATTCATGCAGTCGGCACGGCATCTGCCTGGTTCCCACCTGCACCCAGCTAAGCCTGGTAACCTTCAAATCAAAGCCTTTCCCCCCAGTTTGCTAAGGGTGAAACATGTGCTCACAGCACCAGCTTAAAAGACTATTTCATGCCAAAATAATAACAAGTGTTTTTATGACAGCACAGAAATGGTACCAATAGTCATGGCCCAACATCCCATTACCACCATCGCAGGGAAGAAAACTGGCATTTCGGAGCGAGAACTGATGTGAACCCGTTGTCTGACGCCTGCATCTGTCCCAGCCTTGTTCACAGATGCAGATGCTGAAGCTCAGAGGCATCACCCAAGGCCCAAGGCCACAGGGTTAATAAATGATTTTGATAAAGAGAGAGAGGCCCAGCGAGTGTCCAGTGAGAATGGTTTCTCCTGTGAATTGCAGTCCCGTATAGCAAGGGCTCACCTAAGGTCATCAATAGGTTCTTGGAGTCTTGACTTTAAGAGAAGCAATAGACAGCAAGTTTCCAAATAATGTCGTTTTGTTCAGTGTGATTTCATTATAACATTGATGAGGAAAAAAATTGGTTTCGTCCATCATACGTCATTTTGCTCAAAGTCACAGTTTCCAAGAACCTAATGACATTAAGTAAAGATTTACTGTGGATTTATGGACACTTTGCTTTGTGGCATTTTCTTATGGGTATAGAACAAATGTTCCATTGTTCTGACCTATACCCATAGGTTGTGTAGGTCAGAAAAATGGGACATTTATGCCAAGAATTTTCAAGTGGAATTTTTTTTTAATCTTTTTGAGCTCAAGTTTCTTTAATTTAAAAAAGCAAATTCCAGCCGGGCACAGTGGCTCATGCCTGCAAGCCCAGCACTTCAAGAGGCCAAGGCAGGTGGCTCACGAGGTCAGGAGATCGAGGCCATCCTGGCTAACACGGTGAAACCCCGTCTCTACTAAAAATACAAAAATTAGGCAAGCATGGTGGCATGTGTCTATAGTCCCAGCTACTCGGGAGGCTAAGGCAGGAGAACTGCTTGAACCCGGGAGGTGGAGGTTGCAGTGAGCTGAGATCGCACCACTGCACTCCAGCCTGGGTGACAGTGCGAGACGCTGTCTCAAAAAAAAAAAAAAAAGCAAATTTCTCTTACTACTGGGGGCAATTCTGAGCTGGAGATGCCCAGGTGGTCACTAAATCTATGCTTTACCCAATAAATATATTCCTGAAGAGACTGAATAAAATAAAATCAATACATGATTTTAAGGGAATCTCTGGGTATGTTTTGGGTTTTTTGTTTGGGCTTTTTTTTTTTTTAATAGAAGAATCCTTCTGCAAAGAGAATAATTTGCATTTGGTTTGCAGATTTGGATTTTCTGAATTATAGTATATTGGGTTTTCTTAATTACGTCTGTGATTTAAACTACTGTGTCTCTAGTGACAGTGTCCTAAATTCCCACAGATGGCATTTACACTGTGTGAACACGGACTCTGTGGTACCTAGAAAGAAAGTAACAAGCAGCATCTCTTCAGCACCTCCGTACCGGTCACTGCTCGAGCGATCACATACACTATTTCATTGACTCTTCACAAAAATTCTGCCACACGGGTTGTGTTGTCCCATGAGGTGCAAGCTGTTACATAAAGAAACTGAGGTGCAAGCTGTTAAATACGGGAAGGGAGAGAAATGACAATTCCACCTTAGCTTTTTCTGACTCTAAGGCAAGTGCTTCTCCCAACTCAGGAAGCATGAGGTTTTCCTCATCATTGAAAAACTAAGATGGAGAAACTTCATCCTTCACCCCTCTATTCCCCAGACCAAACACCTTCAGGAAATCCAAATTGTAGGTTGACATGAAAACATTTGATATTAACCCAGCTACCCTTTTCCACAGAGGGAGAAGAAGCTGGGTTGGACAGGCAGAGACGACAGTGAGGCTAGCCTCTCCCCAATCAACTGGAAGCCTGGACCGGCCTCTGCCAGGCAGTGCAGGACCCGAGCCCAGGGTGGGCTGCAGCAGAGTGGTCTAGGTGTCCACATCCCCTACTGAGCCCTGGCACTGCCCTCTGCTCACTGAGGCTCAGCTTCCTCGTCTGTGGTGGGAACCTGCTGCCACCGCCTGCACAGCAAGGTGGCCAGGAGGGGCAGGGTCCACCCTACCCACAGTGGTGTTGGCAGGTGAGGGACCCCTCATCATTTTGACTTTCCTAATCCACGGACGCCCTCTCAGGTATGAGCACCATCCCTTCACACACACCTTGTAAACCCGGAAGGACTTTTTTAAAATGAAAATTTCATTTCCAGCCTCTTACCTGGACACACCATTCCTGGGTTCCCTGATGTGGTAAGGGCCATGGGGAGGCCAGGACTATGCAGGGGCGGGGTGGGTGTGAGACAGCACAGGAATGCACATGGGGGCTCCCTGCTTCCCCAGAGGCCTTGCTGGTTATGAGGCTGCTCCCCGCATTCCCTCACACCCTCCCAGACCCTCTCTCAAGGCACGGAGGAGGAGAGCAGCCACTCCTGCCACCACCAGCTGCTCTTGGATACCTGAGGAATGGAAGGAGCCGGAAACCACCTGGCCTGGACTTGGCTCCCGCCTCTGCTCCTGGCAGGCTTTGGGACACAGCAGATAACTAAGCTCTCCAAAATAGGGCACTGCCACCTCTCACCTCAAATGGCTGCAGGGAGATTAGAAGAAGATAATTAGGAGAAGGGTCTACAGATCAGTGATTTGCCAACATTGAAATGCCAGTCAGAATCACCCACAGGGTGTAACACACAGGTGCTGAGTCCCCTCATCTCTGATTCAGTGAGTTTGGGGCACGGCCCAAAGAGTTTGCTTTTCCATCACATTCCCTGCTGATGCCCGTGCTGCTGGCTCACGGGCCACACGTGGAGGGTCACTGCCACAGATGACAGTTCATGTCCTGTTCCCACTCTCACTGCCACTTCCCACAGGGCTGGAAGCGGGGCCAGCTCCCCGCCAGCTCCTGGCCAGCCTTAAGGATAGGAGGTTGTCCCTAATCACAGTCTTCCCACGGCAGGTACAGGGCTGTGATGAGCACCCATGCCCTCCTCCCCTAACCACATCCTCACCCTGGCAGAGGTGCAAAATGGGTGTTAACCCTGGCAAAATGTAACCTGCTGAATGAATGCCCCAAGGAGTTTCAGAAAAATATGAATCTGGCACCTCAACCACAGAGACTATGACTCAGCAGGTGCCAGAGTGGGCCCAGTCACCACTCTTGTTCCTAAGCACCCAGGTAGTTCCGAGGCAGGCCAGCACTGGAGAAACCCTGCTCTCTTTTTCCAGGTCTGGCCCTTGAGGCGATGGAAGAACAAAGGCCCGTAGCCTCTCAGATTGGCCTCAGCTGATGCACAAACCAGCTTCTAAGCCTCCTTAGATTCTTATGGAGTAAAGTAGGGATTTAAATTAGTAAATAACAGCTAAGTTAGATTGATGCTTAGCTTTTAAATCTTGAAAAAGAAACCCTCATTAGAATTCTTTTGGTCAATATTTCACTTCCAGGTTTTATTTCCAGATCCTATACTTTTTATATAATCACAGCAAATAGACAATTTAATATTCAGCCTTTGCAGTGACCATATTGCAGGCATTTCCCAGTCATTTTGTGTAATTGTTTGATGTCTCAATCCCCCTTTTTCTCTGCTCCTAGAGCAGTGCTTTTCAGAGGTTTAGGTGAATAAAGACTTCATGCCAATTTCAAATGGTTCCCAAAACTCATATTTTATCTTATTGGGCAATTTTCTACGTTCCAAGGACTGTCTTAGGCACAAGTCAACGTTCACAAGTCAATTCCTCCAGTAGATACATATGACAGTTATCTTAGAGGTGGAGGTACATGGAAACTTTCTAGATATTAAATCAGATGAGCTCATGAAACATCAACACAGTTCCTGGCTCATAGTCAGTGCTCCAGGACCCTGTGGGTCAGGCATGGGCCAGGTGCAGAAAATCCAACGATGAACAAACAGGGAGTTTGCCCTCAGGAAGCACACAGTCTGCAGGAAGATGAGTCAGGTGCAAAGAAAACAAAGAGCAAGTCATGAGCCTTACAGAGAGTAAATGCCATGGGTGAGGCTGAAGGCATACATCTAGATCTTTGAACTGTCTTTCCTCAAAGTTTAGAGAAAATCAGAAAATTTCTCTGCAGGCCAAATACCTCTGAGTGGGGCTGACAGGACGACTCAAGCTCCTCACAGCTCAGGGGCCCTTGCCGAAACTAGCTGCACAGAGCAGCCATGCAGACTGGAATGAATTAAACCCAGACTGTCCTGCCTGGTATGGTTCAGAGGCTTTTTGTATGCCCAATGTAGCCAGCTTGCCATACTGAGCAGAGATTTGCCCAAGAATGAATTGTAGGTACAAAGTTCTTTCTAGAAAACATATTATTGAAAAACTTTTTTTCTGAATTATATTCTGCTCAGCATAACAGATATTATTAAATATTAGTTGAAATGAGTGACTGTTCTGTGTCAAAGTATAATGGTCACAGGAGCACCAGCAGGGAAATGACACTGCACTGAGAAATAACAGTTCTCACCCTTTAACATGTAACTACTAACCTTTTTGGTAATAAAATCATCATAACAATAATATTTAATACAATTTCAGATTTCTTCTGGAATCTCAAAATTCAGTTGTGACTTTTGGCTTCAGCCTCAACTTTAGCCAAATATACATGTTTAACAATTTGGCCTTTTGCCAACATCTGATGAACATCGATGCAAAAATCCTCAATAAAATACTGGCAAACCGAATTCAGCAGCACATCGAAAAGCTTATCCACCACGATCAAGTTGGCTTCATCCCTGGGACACAAGCCTGGTTCAACATACGCAAATCAATACATGTAATCCATCACGTAAACAGAACCAATGACAAAAACCACATGATTATCTCAATAGATGCAGAAAAGGCCTTCAACAAAATTCCACAACCCTTCATGCTAAAAAGTCTCAATAAACTAGGTATCGATGGGATGTATCTCAAAATAATAATAGCTATTTATGACAAACCCACAGCCAGTGTCATACTGAATGGAAAAAACTGGAAGCATTCCCTTTGAAAACTGGCACAAGGATGCCCTCTCTCACCACTCCTATTCAACATAGTATTGGAAGTTCTGGCCAAGACAATCAGGCGAGAGAAAGAAATAAAGAGTATTCAGTTAGGAAAAGAAGAAATCAAATTGTCTCTGTTTGCAGGTGACATGATTGTATATTTAGAAAACCCCATCGTCTCAGCCCAAAATCTCCTTAAGATGATAAGCAACTTCAGCAAAGTCTCAGGATACAAAATCAGTGTACAAAAATCACAAGCATTCCTATACACCAATAACAGACAAAGAGCCAAATCATGAGTGAACTCCCATTCACAATTACAAAAAAGAGAATAAAATACCTAGGAATACAACTTACAAGGGATGTGAAGGACCTCTTCAAGGGCAACTACAAACCGCTGCTCAGTGAAATAAATGAGGACGCAAACAACTGGAAGAACATTCCATGCTCATGGATAGGAAGAGTCAATACCGTGAAAATCGCCATACTGCCCAAGGTAATTTATAGATTCATTGCTATCCCCATCAAGCTACTAATGACTTTCTTCACAGAATTGGAAAAAACTATTTTAAATTTCATATGGAAGCAAAAAAGAGCCCACATAGCCAAGACAATCCTAAGCAAAAAGAACAAAGCTGGAGGCATCACGCTGCCTGACTTCAAACTATACTACAAGGCTACAGTAACCAAAACAGCATGGTACTGGTACAAAAACAGATATATAGACCAACGGAACAGAACAGAGGCCTCAGAAATAACACCACACATCTACA
This sequence comes from Homo sapiens, assembly GCF_000001405.40. Lineage (NCBI taxonomy): Eukaryota > Metazoa > Chordata > Mammalia > Primates > Hominidae > Homo > Homo sapiens. The sequence continues at coordinate 62,860,383 of NC_000015.10, forward strand.
ACCATCTGATCTTTGACAAACCTGACAAAAACAAGCAATAGGGAAAGGATTCCCTATTTAATAAATGGTGCTGGGAAAACTGGCTAGCCATAGGTAGAAAGCTGAAACTGGATCCCTTCCTTACACCTTACACAAAAATTAACTCAAGATGGATTAAAGACTTAAATGTAAGACCTAAAATCATAAAAACCCTAGAAGAAAACCTAGGCATTACCATTCAGAACATAGGCATGGGAAAAGACTTCATGACTAAAACACCAAAAGCAATGGCAACAAAAGCCAAAATAGATAAATGGGATCTAATTAAACTAAAGAGCTTCGGCACAGCAAAAGAAACTATCATCAGAGTGAACAGGCAACCTAGAGAATGGGAGAAAATTTTTGCAACATATCCATCTGACAAAGGGCTAATATCCAGAATCTACAAAGAACTTAAAGAAATTTACAAGAAAAAAACAACCCCATCAAAAAGTGGGCAAAGGATATGAACAGACACTTCTCAAAAGAAGACATATAGGCAGCCAACAGACATACGAAAAAATGCTCATCATCACTGGTCATCAGAGAAATACAAATCAAAACCACAGTGAGATACCATCTCACGCCAGTTAGAATGGCAATCATAAAAAAGTCAGGAAACAACAGATGCTGGAGAGGATGTGAAGAAATAGGAATGCTTTTACACTGTTGGTGGGAGTGTAAATTAGTTCAACCATTGTGGAAGACAGTGTGGTGATTCCTCAAGGATCTAGAACTAGAAATACCATTTCATCCAGCGAGCTCATTACTGGGTATATACCCAAATGATTATAAATCATGCTACTATAAAGACACCTTCACACGTATGTTTATTGTGGAACTTTTCACAATAGCAAAGACTTGGAACCAACCCAAATGTCCATCAGTGATAGACTGGATTAAGAAAATGTGGCACATATAAACCATGGAATAATATGCAGCCATAAAAAAGGATGAGTTCATGTCCCTTGTAGGGACATGGATGTAGCTGGAAACCATCATTCTAAGCAAACTACCGCAAGGACAGAAAACCAAACACCGCATGTTCTCACTCACAGATGGGAGTTAAACAATGAGAACACATAGACACAGGGTGGGGAACATCACACACTGGGGCCTGTTGGGGGCTAGGGGAGGGATAGCATTAGGAGAAATACCTAATTGTAAATGACGAGTTGATGGGTGCAACAAACCAACATGGCACATGTATACCTATGTAACCAAACTGCACATTGTGCACATGTACCCTAAAGCTTAAAGTATAATAATAATAAATAAATAATTAAACAATTTGGCCTTTTGCAATCTGGCCAACTGTATATTCAGAGCACCTCCATGCTCTTACCAGGGGAATGGGAAACAGGAGACCCTGCCTGGACTGGTTTCTGTTCCCTGACTCCTCCGCTCTTTCCTGCCTTCCTGCCTACCCCAGCCCCCAAATAAGCAACTGGGCCAAGGATGGACAAGTGTCTCAAACCAGGCTAAAGCCCTTCTGCGTAATTTTTCTAAATGGAGCCAGCAGGGAAGAACTTCTTTTTATTTTCTTTTTTGGAAGCTGAGAGGGATTTGACCTCAGAGCTGCTTCTGAAAGCTTTGTTCCTGGGCATGCAGGAAAAATCAGGCAGGAGAGAAAAAAATGAAAGAGAATTGGTGCCCAGGATCTCAGAGCTGCCCTACCTCCCATAGCTCTTCCTTACTGGTTCTGTAAGCTAGCCCAAGGTCCTTCCAATAAATCCTCCACTTATATTGGTCTCAGTTGAATTTTTGTTGATTGTCACCAAATGAGCCCTGATGAATGTAGCTAGTACAGGGCTTAGCACAGAGCCTTGTACATGGTAAGCCTGTGATTGTTGTCAAGCATTTGTGTTCATCTGTGTCCCTAGAGTCAGAGCAGTGCCTCGCACAGGTAGGTAGTTATAAACGTTGACCAAATCTCCTGACCCAGTCTACATAACAACCAGCTAACAACAGGATGACAGGACCAAATCTGCATATGTCATTATTAACGTTGAATGTAAATGGGTTAAACGCCCCACTTAAAAGGCACAGAGTGGGAAGTTGGATAAAGAAGCTAGACCCAACTATATGCTGTCTTCGAGAAACCCATCTCAAATGCGGGGACACCCCCAGGCTCAAAGTAAAGAGATGGAGAAAGATATATGAAGCAAATGGAAAATAAAGAAGAGCAGAGGTCCCTATTCTTATTTCAGACAAAACCAACTTTAAACCCACAATGATCACAAAGGACAAAGAAGGGCTTTAAATAATGATAAAGTGTTCAATTCCAAGAAGACTTAACTGTCCTGAATATATGCGCACCCAACACTGGAGCCCCAGATTCATAGAATAAGTTCTTAGAGACTTAAGAAAAGACTTAGATAACCACACAGCAAAAGTGGTAGACTTCAACACCCCACTGACAGTGTTGGACAGCTGATTGAGGCAGAATACTATTAATACAAGATATTTTTGACCTAAATTTGACACTTGACTAAATAGACTTAATAGACGTCTACAGAATATTCCACCCAACAAAAACCAAGATACACATTCTTTTCATCTGCACATGACACATACTCTAAAATTGACCACACCCTTAACCATAAAGCAATTCTCAACAAATTCAAAAAAATCCAAATCATACCAACCACACTCTCGGACTACAGTGCAATAAAAATAGAAATCAATACCAAGATCTCTCAAAACCAGACAATTAAATGGAAATTAAGCAATCTGCTTCTGAATGACTTTCGTGTAAATAATGAAATTAAGACAGAAATGAATACAGTCTTTGAAACAAATGAAAACAAAGATACAACATACCAGAATCTCACAGCTAAAGCAGTACTAAAAGGAATGTTTATAGCACTAAATGCCAACACAAGAAGTTAGAAAGGCCTCAAATAAACAAGCTAACATTACATCTAGAGGAACTGGAAAAAAGAGAGCAAACCAACTCCAAAGGTAGCAGAAGAAAAGAAATAACCAAAATCAGAGCTGAACTAAGCAAAATGGAAATGAGAAAAACCATGCAAAACACTGCTCAAAAAAATCAGAGACAACACAAACAAATAGAAAAACATTCCATGCTCTTGGATAGAAAGAATCAATGTTGTTAAAATGGCCATACTGCCCAAAGCTATTTACAGATTCAATGCTACTCCTGTCAAACTACCAATGACATTTTTCACAGAATTATAAAATATCATTCTAAAATGTATTTCAAGCCAAAAAAGAGCCCTAATAGCCAAAGCAATTCTAAGAAATAAGAACAAAGCTGGAGGCATCACACTACCTGACTTGAAACTGTATTACAGTAACTAAAACAGTATGGTACTGGTACAAAAACAGACACATAGACCGATGGAATAGGTTATAGAACCCAGAATTAAAGCCATACACCTACAACCATCTGGTCTTCAACAAAGCTGACAAAAACAAGCAGTGAGGAAATGACTTCCTATTCAATAAATGCTGCTGGAATAATTGGCTAGCCATATGCAGAAGACTGAAACCGGACCCCTACATTTCACCATATACAAAAATCAACACAAGATAGATTAATGAGTTAAATGTAAAACCTAAAACTCTAATGACCCTAGAAGAAAATCTAGGAAATACCATCCTGGACATGAGCTGAGGCAAAGGCTTCATGATGAAGACTCCAAAAGCAACTATAACAAAAACAAAAATACCAGCCTGGGCAACATGGCAAAACCCTATCCTACAAAAAATTTAAAAATTAGCCCACCATGGTGGCATGCATCTGTAGTCCCATCTATTCAGGAGGCCGAGGTGGGAAGACTGCCTGTACCCAGGAGACTGAGGCAGCAGTGAGCCGTGATCATACCACTGCACTCCAGCCGGGTGACAGAGCGAGATCCTGTGTCAAAAAGAAAAGACAAGTGAGACCTAATTAAACTAAAGAGCTTCTGCACAGCCAAAGAAACTGTTAATAGAGTAAATAGACAACCTACAAATGGGAGAAAATATTAGCAAATTTTGCATCCAACAAAAGTGTAATATCCAGAATCTATAAGGAACTCAGACAAATCAACAAGCAAAAAAACAAACAACCCCATTAAAAAAATAGGCAAAGGACATGGACACTTCTCAAAAGAAGACATACATGCAGCCAACAAGCACAGAAAAAAAATACTCTATATTACCCATCATTAGAGAAATGCAAATCAAAACCACAATGAAATACTAATAATCAAAAAATAACAGATGCCAGCGAGGTTGTAGAGAAAAGGGAACGCTCATACAATGCTGGTGGGAATGTAATTAGTTCAGCCACAGTGGAAAGCAGTATGGATTTTTCTCAAATAACTTAAAATAGAACTACCATTCTACCCAGCAATTCATACCTAAAGATATATAAGTCATTCTACCATAAAGACACAAGTACATGTATGTTCACTGCAGCACTCTTCACAATAGCAAAGACATATAGTCAACCTAGATGTCCATCAGTGGTGGACTAAATAAAGAAAATGTGGTACATCTACACCATGGAATACTGTGCAGCTATAAAAAAAAAAATGAGATCATGGCCTTTGCAACAGCATGGTTGGAGCTGGCGCCATAATCCTAAGTGAATTAATGCAAGAACAGAAAATCAAATACCACATGTTCTCCCTTGTAAGTGAGAGCTAAACACTGAGTACACATGGACACAAAGAAGAGAATAAAAGACACTGGGGCCTATTTGATGGTAAAGGTGAGAGGAGGGTAAGAATTGAAAAACTACCTACTGGGTATTATACCTACATGGGTGACAGCATTATCTGTACATCAAATCCCCGTGACATGTAGTTTATCCATGTAACAAACCTGCACGTGTACCCCTCGAACCTAAAATAAAAGTTGGAAGAAAAAAAATATCCTTACTAGTGAATGTGGAATAGAGCGGGATGGCCTGGAAAGTCACCAGCAGTTCTCACGCCCCATGACATAGCAGTGTTGTAGGCACTGCTGTAGTCTTGGTATGAATTTAGCTCTCAACTGGGTAACCATGGGCCTTACAAACAGAACCATCATCATACCAGAGACAGCAGTGACTAATGTTGATGGAGTACATGCTCTGTGCTTGGAACCAACTCAGGAATCAAAAAGGTTTCCAGGGCCAGGAGCGGTGGCTCATGCCTGTAATCCCAGCACTTTGGGAGGCTGAGGCAAGTGAATTACCTGAGGTCAGGAGTTTGAGACCAGGCTGGCCTACATGATGAAATGCTGTCTCTACTAAACATCACAAAAATTAGCTGAGCGTGGTGGCATGTGCCTGTAATCCCAGCTACTCGGGAGGCTGAGGCAGGAGAATTGCTTGAACCCAGGAGGCAGAGGTTGCAGTCAGACGAGATTGCACCACTGCACTCCAGCCTGGACAACAAGAGAGAAACTCTGTCTCAGAAACAAAACAAAACAAAACAAAAAAGGCTCTCAGGGTGAAGGAAGTGGGGTCAGGACAGGGGAAAAATCATGGAAGACTTTCTGGGAAGTTTACATATTCGTTTAACAAGTATTTACTGAATACCTGCTATGAAGATAGAAGGGTGGGGGTACTGGAAAGAGTATGGACTCAGAGTCAGGGCACCTGTCTTCATCACCCGGGCCCTGACACCCTTGTTAGGGATCTGTGAGAAGTCACCTCCCCACTCTGAGTCTCAGTCTTCCCAGCTGTGGAGAAGGTGGATGAGGTTGGCAGTTTTCACTCTGAATTTCCTTGGAGTTCAGGGTTTTTAAGAGGTTCCTAGGAGCCTCCTGGGCAGGAGTCTATGAAGAGGAGGCTAAAGGTTAGGCCTGGACCCCCACACCTGCTTCAACAGCACTGCTTTTATCTGCTTTTTGTATTGGGGTTCCATGTATATTCCATTTGGAAAAATGTTCTGCTGCTTTAACAATGATTAAGAACAAGGCAATCTCCAGGTCCCCTCCAGCCCTGCCCATCCAGGACTATCTGTGCCAGACCCTGTATTCCATGCTGGGGAAGCACGGCGCTGGAGACCCTGCCCTCCCAGAGCAGAAGCAGATACAGAAGCAGGAGCGGAAGGAGCTCCCTGAACACATGGATGATGCTCTTCTGTCCCGGGAAGAATCCCTTCATGCCCACACTCTCCTGGGGAAGGACACGTCCCCCGGGGAAGCCACAGGCTCCCAAGAAGCAGCAGCTGCTGTGGGTCAGCAATCAGGAAACCCAACCTCTAGTCCTGGCTCTGTCCCTTCCTCCCTGTGTGAATTTGGGAAGGTTGTTAAACCCCTTTGAGCCTCTGTTCTCTTGAATCATAGGCTCCTTTTGAGAATGAAATGAGAGGTGGTCATGGGACCTAACAAACAAATGCTACTGCTATTGCAAAAGAAAACTCAAGGCAGAAGAATCAATTTGAAGCTACCTAATTCCAATCTCCAGCCCTGCGTCCCTGGGCCCAGCCAAGAGACACTGTGTAGTAAAACAGTGGCTGTAGGTGCATCCCAATCTTTGGTTTGAATTGCTTTGTCTAAGTGTAAGTATCATTTCTTCCTAAATAAGCTCATGTGCCGTGACTGGTAATGTCCCAGGCTGTCTTTCACCATCTTAGCCCTCCAGTAGCTCTGTATTGCACGCACTTGGGAGGTGGCCGCAAAATGGTTAAGAGCCGGGCTGCTCAAATCCTGCTCTGCTACCTAACAGTCTTTGTACCTTAGTTCCCTCTTGCAAGAGAGTAATGGAAATGGTACCTATGTCAGAGTGATATGGAAAATTAGATGCACAAATATGCATAAAAGGTCTAGAATGGTACCCAGCCCAAAGAAAGGGCTCAGTAGACGTTATTATTCGGCTAGTGGCACACTTTGTCTCCAGCACCTAAAGCGGTACAAATGATGGCTTCAAAAATATTGGTGCAATAAATGAATAACAGCAAATGTTTTTATCTCTGCTGTAAGCGCTTTACACATATTAACTGGTGCAATCTTCATGCAACCCTGTGAGGTACAATTTATTATTCCCATTTTATAGATGAGGAGACTGAGGCACAGAGAAGTTAATTATCTAAACTAATGTACACAGCTACTAAGTGGCAGAGCCAGGACTTGAGCCCAGGCAGTCTTTACTCTTTTATTCCCCCTAATGTTTATTAATTAGAATATTTACCAGATTATACAGCTAATGTATTCAAGGTAAAAAAAATTTTACAATACAAGAAAGTATCATTTTAAAATATCAATTTAAATTCTACCACCCACAGGTGAGCACTTGGTGAATGTTCTTTCTGTGTGTCCTGTGTGTTTATGTGTAAGTGTAGTATTTGTACATAATAGGATCACGACATATATGCACTTTTTTCTTTATCGTGAGCACACTCATGGGTTGAATTTTGTCTCCCCCAAAATTCACATATTGAAGTCCTAACTGCCCCCCGAAATCACAAAATGTGACTATTTGGAGATAGAATCTTGACAGAGGAAATCAAGGTAAAGTGAAATCTTCAGGGCGGCCCTAATCCAGTATGACTGGTGTCCTTATAAAAAGGGGAAATGTGGAGACAGACATACAGAGGGAAGATGATATGAAAAGATGTAATGGGAAGACGGCCATCTGCAAGCCAAAGAAAGAGGCAGCTGGAAACAGATCCTTCCCCGAGAGCCCTCAGAAGGAATCGACTCTGTCAACACCTTGATCTTGGACTTGTAGGCTCCAGAACTGTGAGGCAGTAAGTTTCTATTGCTAAAACACCCAGTCTGTGATGCTATGGGCAGCCCTAGAAAATTAACACAAGTACCTTTTCAGCATTTCTTTTGGTCTCTGCTTACTTCTTGCCCCTTATCACCAACCTCTATTCCTTTGCCCTACCCCTGGAGTCCATCCTTGGATTAAACTTTCTCCCTCATCCCTTTCCCCAGTAGTGTCCTTACTCTTAACCTTTACACAAATGAATTACTTAAGCCACTCCTTCTGCACAAACTTTTTTGGACCCAACTTGGTGAAGGACCCCCGTAATTTAAAAAAAAAAAAAAAAAGTCCAAATTGTCTCTAATTCCTAGTATGTCTGCTCTGGGTAATGGGGCCAGAAAGTCTTTCAGAAACTCCTACAGAGTGCCCCAGGGGGTCCACATTCTAGCCCCAGCCTAAGCCTCAAGTTCCTAAGAGAAGATGAAGATTATGGAGAAGCTTGTAAGGAAGTTATTCCCAGCTGTAATAATGAAGGAGGCGGAATGCCCATAAACTATTGTTAGCATTCCCAAAAGCCTGACGAACATCCTAGCTTCTATTCTTCATGGAACTGAATTAAGTACTAGACCAGCCAAGCAGCTGTCCAGGTCGCCAACATATGAAAGCAATAAAACATATTGAACTAAGCAAGAAATACAGGGTGACTTAGCTCCGGCCTCCAACTCCTTATTTGGCTGGTTAAAAGTAAATGAAGTTGACAGCATTCACTGGAAAAAACAAGAAAAGAGGCCTGGCGCGGTGGCTCATGCCTATAATCCCAGCACTTTGAGAGGCTGAAGTGGGAGGATCTCTTGAGGCCAGGAGTTTGAGACCAACCTGCGGAACATAGTGAGACCCCATCTCTGTAATAAAACAAAATAAGCCAGGCATGGTGGCACCCACACACAGTCCTAGCTACTCATGAGGCTGAGGCGGGAGGATTGCTTGAACCCAGGAATTGGAGGATGCAGTGAGCCATGATAGTGCCACTGCACTCCGGCCTGGGTGACAGAGCAAGACCCTGTCTCAAGAAAATGAAAAAGAGAGCGAGTGAGAAAGGAAAGGAAATGAAATAGGAAATCGCTTCTGCTCTAATAAGACTCTGCCTAGCCTCTTGGTTGCTCAAGTGAGGAACATGTCCTGGATATGCACAGAAGCACCTGCAGCCCTCAGCTTGGCCCATCAACAGGGACCTGGAGGGCCAGTGTCAGTCAGCTGAACACCAGAAAACCAGGAATGTGCCCATCACAGTGCCATTCCTTGGAATATTGTTATCCAGGTTTTAAATCCTGCCTTCCAGGAAGTTAGCTCAGAAAATCACAAAAGCCACCAAAAAAGAAAATTAAAACTATGAAAGTCCATTTATAAAAAGAGAGAAGTTTTAAAATTCCACTAACAGACTTTTTATCTATTGCCATGGTAATAACTCTGTCCTTGGTGAGTGGATGAGTCTCATGCCATCCATGTACAAATGACAGAAAATGTACAATGAAAGACAGTTTCAAATAAGTTCAATGTATTATATATCCATTATTTTGAGCATGAAGAAAAGTATAATAAAGAAAAATAGGCAATTTGGGAGGCCAAGGTGGGTGGATCACACTTGAGGCCAGGAGTTTGAGACCAGCCTGGCCAAATGGCGAAACATCATCTCTACCAAAAATACAAAAATTAGCCAGGCGTGGTGGTGCGTGCCTGTAATCCCAGCTACTCGGTAGGCTGAGGCAGGAGAATGGTGTGAACCCGGGAGGCAGAGTTTGCAGTAAGCCGAGATCGCAACCCTGCACTCCAGCCTGGGCGACAGTGGGTGACTCTGTCTCAAAACAAAATACAAAAAAAAGAAAAGAAAAAAGAAAAATAGCATTATATATCTCCACCCCTGTGCTATATCAATTTGGAAAGGCCTAGCAAAAGTGTATCCAAAATATATTTTAACCTAAAACTGAAAGCCAATGTATCAAAATAAATATTCAACAAAAGCCAAACATCACGATCACAGAAAACCTTCTGAGATATACAAATAAACCTGTAATTTTATTTTTAAATTTCAATTATTTTTATAATTTTATTATGAAAATCTTATTTTACTTATTAAAATGTTAAACTTTGACACGATACAGGAAAACAAATAGCACTGTCCGTTGCTGGATTGCTCCTACAGTTATTATACTGCATATTTACATTACTAAGTAGTTGTTCACTTTTAGCTGGCACATTTGATGATATCACTAACCTTTTGACTCAAGGCAATGTAATTTTGGAAAATGTTTTTCAGTAACATGTTTTTATGATTTTATGATTTTATGATAGGAAGAACAAGAGCCCACAAAGAGGTTTTATGATTTTATGATAGGAAGAACAAGAGCCTACGAAGAGGTTCACATTTTAATAACCCAAACCTGTGAGCATATTACCTAACATGGTAAAAAGGATTTTCTTTTTGATTTTGCAGTCTTCTTTTTTTATTTATTTATTTTAAGTTCAGGGGTACATGTGTAAGTTTGTTATATAGGCAAACTCATGTCACAGGGTTTTTTTGTTCAGATTATTTTATTTTTGTCACCCAGGTACTAAGCCTTGTACCCACTCGTTATTTTTTCTGCTCTTCTCCCTCTTGCCATCCTCCACTCTCCAGTAGGCCCCAGTGTATGTTGTTCCCCTCTTTTTGTCCATGTGTTCTCATTATTTAGCGCCTACTTGTGAGAACATGCAGTATTCCTTTTTCTGTTCCTGTGTTAGTTTGCTAAGGATAATAGCCTCCAGCTCCATCCATGTTCCCACAAAAGACATGATCTTGTTCTTTTTTATGGCTGTGTAGTATTCCATTGTGTATATGTACCACTTTTTCTTTATCCATTCTGTCACTGGTGGGCATTTATGTTGACTCCATGTCTTTGCTATTGTGAATAGTGCTGCAAGAATATTCACATGCATGTATCTTTATGATAGAATGATTTACATTCCCCTGGGTATACACCCCGTAATCGGATTGCTGGGTCTAATGGTAGTTCTGTTTATAGCTCTTTGAGGAATCACCACACTGCTTTCCACAATGGTTGAATTAATTTACACTCCCACAAACAATGTATGAGTGTTCCCTTGGCAAAAGGGATTTTCAAGATGTAATTAAGATCTTGAAATGGGGAGATTATTCTGCATTAACTAAGTGAGCCTAATGTTTATAAGTGAGTGTAAACTTTATAAGGGGAAGGGAGAGGTATGGAGTCAGAGAAGGAGGTGTGACAAAAGAAGAGGTGAGAGAAAGAGGAAGGGAGAGCAATAGCGAGCGGGGTGCAGGCGGGCAGGTGGTGGGGGAATTGGTTTGAAGATACTACAGCTGGCTTTAAAGATGGAAGGAGAAGCTGAAAGCCAAGGAATGCAGGCAGCCCGCAGAAGCTGAAAAGGCAAGGAAATGGATTTTCCTCTAGAGCCTCCTGAAGAAACACAATCCTGCTAATAACTCTGGGCTCAATAAAACCTATTTTTGACTTCTGACCTCCAGAACTGTAAGATAATAAATGTGTGTTGTTTTAAGCCACTGAATCTGTGGTTACTTTGTTATAGCAGAAATAGGGAATGAATAAAATAACTTAGGAAAATCTTTTAAAATTTTCTTATCTTCAGCTTATGAAAATGATTAGTGGTCTATAGCAATCATCCTGACAATTTAAAAATTTAGTCTCCAGGATTCAAAACTATAAGGAGTTATCTTCTTAAAGCATTTTTACAAAAATGTGTTGTTATGAAGTTTGATGATTAAGAAGATCAAAGTGTGTTTAGAGCCCCTCATTTTTCTCTAGCACTTCTTTGTTTCATATTCTTAATATTCTTTTTTTTTTTTTGGGACAGGGTCTCACTCTCACTCAGGCTGGAGTGCAATGGCACGATCTCAGCTCACTGCACCCTGGACCTCCTGGGCTCAAGTGATCCTCCCACCTCAGCATTGTGAATAGCTGGGACTACGGGTGTGTGCCACCACGCCCAGCTATTTTTTAATTTTTTTTATAGATGGGGTCTCGCTATGTTGCCCAGGCTGGTCTTGAACTCCCAAGCTCAAACGATCTGCCTGCCTTGGTCTCCCAAAGTGCTGGGATTAGAGGTGTGAGCCCCTGTACCTGGCTAGTATTCTTTATTATTTCTGGATTGAAGATAATTTATCATACATGTTTACATGATTTTAGATATTTTTTCCACCTTGTGAAATTTTGAGATTGGTGGCAAAACTGACATTCTGCTTTTAATTAATCTTTAATAAAATGTGAAGAATTTCCAAGTAGAATATATTCTTGAAATATTTTTGCCCTAAAAAATTAAATAGCTAAAAATTACAGTTCTTAATGTTTAAATGCTAGTGAATAAAAAATTCTACAAAGATTAGAATTATCATGCAAATTCTTATTAATCTCTTATTAAACTTAATATTAAACTCTATAAACTTAGTAAAAAAAGACAATATTCTTTCTCAGCTAATCTAGAGATAATGCATTTTTCCTAATATTTTTATTAACTAGTTTCCTAATTTAGAAAATTTCTTTTTTGTAGAGATGGGGCCTTGCTGTGTTGCCCAGGCTGGTCTTGACCTCCTGGCCTAAAGTGATCCTCCTGCCTCGGCCTCCCTAAGTGCTGGATTAAAGGTGTGAGCCACTGCTCCTAGCCTCTAATTTTTTAAACTATGTGAATTTAATATTTGTATTTTGCATAATATGAACAGCATTCACAATCCTCATTACATTTTGCATCATTTGACTCATACAATTACATATATTTCAAGGAGCTGTTTTTCTCCAAAGTATACACCTAGAATCCTTATCAGAATTTGAGAGGGCCAGGCATGGTGGCTCACGCTTGTAATCCCAGCACTTTGGGAAGCCGAGGTGGGTGGATCACGAGGTCAGGAGATCAAGACCAGCCTGGCCAACATAGTGAAACCCTATCTCTACTAAAAATACAAAAAAGTAGTCAGGCGTGGTGGCTGGTGCCTGTAATTCCAGCTACTTAGAAGACTGAGGCAGGAGAATTACTTGAACCCAGGAGGCGGAGTTTGCAGTGAGCCGAGATCACGCCACTGCGCTCCAGCCTGGGTGACAGGGCAAGACTCTGTCTCAAAAAAAAAAAAAAAAAATTAAGAGGAAATATTCAAATAGTAACAATATATCTATATAAAAGCAGAAAATGCAAAAAAGAAAGCAAATATTACTAATAAACAGTATATCTGATTGACATACTTTGTGCATACCACCACCATTATTTCATAGGCTAGCTATGATATGCAACCATGAGAGATACTATGTGTCAACTCCCTGACCTAAGCAATCACCCAAACCACAGGGGCAAGAAGCCTGGAAACAACGCTTCCCAGACTCTCTGGCTGGCAGGCTTCAGGTTAGATTCTACTCTCGCTTGTTTGGGGGATGCAGAAGAGAAGGAGAAGCCAGTGTTTGAGAGGCAGGACAGGCCAGCTCGCAGCAGCAGCAGCTGCTCCTGTGGGGTTCTGCATGGCGTTCGGGCATCTCCTTGAGAATCTCCCACTTTGATGCTGCTGGAAGCGGACACCATTCATGGCCACTTCCCCGGGATCTCTGAACTTCCAGATTTCAAAGTGGCCTTTCTGCCCTTTCTTCCCGCTGCTCTTGTGAGGTCATGAATGCCTCTAGTTCCCTGTATTGAACCTCTCTTCCTTCTCTAAATACCTAGAGTGGCTTCTGTTTTTCTGACCAAACCCTAATACAATAACATGCACATACAGTAACAAGATCATTGATCACCCTCAGGTTCAGGGAAGACACAGTATCTTGAAGTAGGCATTTGAGTATGTGGGCTTCCAAAGGCTGAAGACAAAGCAAAGCAGATCTTGCCTAACTACCAAGGCTAAAACCACATTCCTGTGCACCCCGATTTCTGTCCTGTCAGAGAAAGCCCACAGGTCTTCATCTGACCGTGACAAACTTCAGTGAGGCTTTTTTGTTGTTGTTGTTTTGTTTTTACCAGGATGAAATCAGCATAGTGAGGTAATAATACTGCTGGCCTGTGGGTACTGGGGCTCATGCAACATGAGAAAAACAACCATTACCAAGGCATCAAGTTGGTAGGTCGAGTCCTTCCACATGTGAAGGTGCAGTAAGTAGGGCTGGGAGTAAATGAACAATAAAATGCATCCTTTATGGTGCAAAGGACAGGAACGCCCTGCATCAAGGAATGGGGAAACAGGGCAAGGAAGACAGCTCAGAGCCAATGAAAAGAAAACCTACTAAGCACACAGTGTTGTGCTGGTCCAGCGGTTCTCTCCATGTTTTTGGTCTTGAGGCCCCTTAAAAATTATTGATGGCCCCAGACTTCTGTTTATGGATCATTATCATTTTATAAATTGAAGCTGAGAATATTTTAAAAAGAAGAATACACAGCACACATCCCAACAGCTGTCAGAGCCAGTAGCCTTTGGAAACCATGAGGGTGAGAAAATGAGAGTAAAAAGACAAATAACATCTTGGTATTTTCATGAAAACAGTGTTGACCTCAAAGCTACCCTGAAAGGGTCTTGCGGACTCCTGGACCACACTTTGAGAGCCACCGTGCTAGGCTGTTGATTCTAGTCTAGCTCATTTCATTCTCTTAACACTGAAATGTGTGTGATTACTATACCCATTTGACAGGGGAAGAAACTAAAGATCAGAAAGGCCTAAGTAACTTGCCCTAAGTAATCTTGCAGACCAGGATTTAACCCTGCTCTCTCTGCCTCCAGAGCCTCCGTTGGAACAGAGGACTTGACCATGGGAGGGCCAGGCCCAGGAGGGATTAGCTGGAGAGTCCCCAGGCGGTCACAAGGGTCCCCGCAGTGGGAGGAAGGAACCGTCGCCTCGGGAGCTGACTGGCCATGAGAAACTGCAGTACCCAGGCTTACCCCCACTGCGAAATGGGCCCGCATCCTTGACATTATGGTCTGGGAGAGGGAGGCAGCCTGGAATGGAGACCTGTCCGCCAGCGCGAGCTTTGCCATCTGCTGATGTTGAGCGCTTGGCCAGGCACCCCTAAGGGGTTGGGCTAGCGAGTGTCTTAGAGCAAAACACCATGGGGACTCCCCGCCAGCCCTGAGCTCTCAGTCCTGTATCCGGACTAGAATCTCAGGGTTGTCTCGTCAGCTGAGGGTGGGAGATGGGGCTGCATAGCCTGAGAGGGAAAACAGCTCTATTCTCACTAGCCCACATGGGCAAAGATCAGCCCAGAGAATCTGGGGCCTTTTCCAGGACCATAATAGGTGATTTCGCTCCAAAGCCTGCCAGTGGGATTATCAGTTTAAATCCACCGAGAGTAAGTTTTGTATTAGAATAGCATTCCATAGCTACTGCTGGCCTTCCACTGGGGAGCTCTGTTTCCAATCTCAAAGATGTCAAACAATTTTAAAGGCACAGAAGCTCAGTTTTACCCAGCCGGGCAGGCAATGGCAGAAGGCATGTGACTGCCAGCATTCCCACAGCAAATGCACAATGCAGCTTCACAACAGCCCCTACCCCAACCCTGACCCCAGACTCTGGTCTCTATTCTGCTTCCAGCTCCAAGACGGGCTGGAGGAACAGCTGGTCCAGAAACCTGGGGTGCCCATAACTACCCACTCAGACCTTCTGTGGGGTGCATGACTGTCCACGTCCTCAGGGAGGCCTGCATTTGCTTATTTAGACACCTAGCTCCTGGGCACACTCTCTGGAATCATAGGCCACTGCCAGGTCCCCCATGCCCATGGCCACGGCATTTCCTGCCAGCCTGGCATACTCCTCATGCCACCTCCCAGGCAGGGATGGCCACCCTCTATGAGCAAAAATAACACTAACAATAGCTCGCATTGTGAAGTTCTTCCCACTGCACACTTCTCATACCCTGTCTTGCTGGAGCTTAACAAAAACTTTACAGGGTTTGCAAGTGATAGCCCATTGTCCTTCTTCTTTATAGATGAGGAAGCTGAGGCTTGGTGCATGAAACGGGGTGTCTAAGGTCACTCCATGGGAGAGCTGGCACTAGGTCCCAGGTCTCCGTCTCAGCCCAGGGTTCCCTCTGCTGTCTGGCATTTTTGGGGTGAGGTGCAGAGCAGAAATGGTGCAGGGCACTGAGGCTAGAAGTGTAGTGAGCCCAGGGCCCCTCTCTTGCCTTTGTCTCATCACTGGTGGCCACCAGCCATGAGTCCTCGAGGGATCATTCTCTGAGCTTAGAAACACACAAATCAGGAGTTTCAATCAGCTAAGCAATGTTTCATTTTAATTTTCTTTTCTAAATTTAAATTTAATTAAATATTAAATTTAAACTTAAATGGAGAGATTTAAATTTAATACTCAAATCTCTCTCTCCCTATGCCTCCTGTTCCTGGTTTCTGGAGTAAAGAGCCTGCCTTTGGCCATCTCAGGAGCATTGGTGGGTGAAGCTCATCTTTGGGATCCTTCTTGGGATGTGGCCGTGGCCTCTCAGCAGGTTATTTAGCAACACGACTGGATGAAAGAAACCCTCCAACTTTCCAGACATAATGTAATAGGCCCTGTGTCCTCCCTTCCTGGGCTTGGGTCATGATGAAAAAGAGGGCTAACCTCACTTTTGGGACCTAAGTGAGGTTAGCCCTTGTCTTGGTAAAGCCACTTCTGGGAAGCAGCAATTTGCCCAGACCAGTGGTAAATGTTGGGGTGGTCCTACCAGGCACAGGCCTGGATGACCTCCAGGGCTCCCCGCCCCCAATTCTGCAGTGGTAGGAGGCAAGCCTTAGCACTTAACAGGCTGTTGCTGGACAAATGGGGCCCAAAGCAGGGGGTGGAAAGGGTCAGGCAGCCAGAGGGAGCCACATGAGGCCTCAACAGTGGGATCCCAGCTTGATCCAGGTGCCATCACCTCTGGCTCTTTACCCAGAGGAGTGGTGTGCAGGGAAGGAATCTCATGCAGCCTGGCCGAAGACACTGGGCTCCACATTGAGTTGCTCTGTCAGGAAAGACCTGATACATGAGTGTCACGGAACAGTACAGAGGACCCTCCAACCAAAGTCATGATCTCGCCACTCAGGGTTGGCTGGCTGTCCCAGCAGTTACAGGATTCTGAAGTGGACTTGGGGTGGAGAAGCACTCACATGGGCGCTCAGAGATTCTTGCCTCTAGTAAAGAGGAACCTCACACGTCTATGTCCGGAGAGATTCCGCTAAGAGGCTGCTGGAGCCGCTCTCTCGGGCTGGACAGAGAGCTGGTGGGTGACTCCAACCTTCCTTTGGGGGCCAGCTCCTCCCATTGCCCTGCTAGGAAAAGTCCTCGGGAATCTAAGGAAAGGCACTGTACCAAGCAAATGGCTCAGCTTTGTGCTATGAAGGCCAACCTTCCCCTTGACATCAACTCCTCTCTTTAGACCTGTGTACTCAGCCCTCAAGCTCCCGTGGCAGTGTGAGAACAGCACGCTTTATCCTTCACTCTTGGCCGTTTGGGTGCTGGGGTTGGCAAAGGTGTAAACTGCTTCCTGCGTCACCATTTGTGAATCAGGGGCTGATGGCTCACAGGCCTAAGGTGATCAGAAGCAGGTGGGACAGCAGGTGAGTAAACAAACGGCTGCAAGAGAATGTGATCTGTCCTTCATGGAGGCGAGGACAAGGTGCTGGGAGAGTGGGGGTGGTCATGACTAATGCTGTGGGAGCAAAAGAGGCTGTGAGGGCATGATGCCACCATAGTCTGCCATGGGTACTGCCTGCTTAGAAGGCTGACAGACATCTGGGGAGGCCCGGAGAGGTAAATGGGAAGACAAGGGCTAAAAGGAGGAGTCAAAGGGCTGCCCCAACATGTTAATAACTCCTAATATGGCTCCCTGGGTGGCAGGCCTGACCCTTGCCCACTCCTGAGAGCAGATTCTCAGAACAGGCTTCTAATGAAGGTGTGAAATGAGTCAGGGTCATTGGGTGCAAGTAACAGAAACCAGTGGGCCCATGTAAGCTAAGAAGGAATCTATAGGGAAGATGTTGAGGTGTTCACAGAATTGGCAGAACTTTTTGGAGAAGCTGGGCTTGGAAAATAGATAGGAACCAAGAGAGGCTGGACAGCAGCCAGCAGGTCAAGCGCACGTCCCAGAAACACCTGCCATTGCCAGAGGTCACTTTTCAATTATCCCTGCATCTTGGCATCTTTCCTCCAAGGGTCGAAGTTTCAAATGACAGAAACATGAATCCCAACCCCCGCATATGGCTGCCAGAGGGCAGGGAGCAGGCCTTTCTGGGTCCTGGTGTCTGGGGAAGGGAGGCCTGGACGCCTTAGGGACAGACATCTGGCTTTTCTCCATGCAGCCTTGCAGTGGCTAGAGAGCTGCTGACTTTGGGGATTGGGCAGCAGTTGCCAGGAGGAGGCATCCATTCTCCGAGGGGTTTTACTCCTCCTAAGCTATGGAAAAGTTCAGTAACAGCCCAGGGTTGGAGGCATCCCAGGGTCCCAGGTTGGGAGAAGGGCAGAAGTTACTTTTCTAGTTTCTGCCTTTGCTAATAACTAATTCATTTCTTTCTATGGCTTTTTGAGAAAATATCTTGTTATCATCTGTATAGAGATCCTACTGTGTACAGCACAAGGTAGAGGTAGGGAAATCCTAAACAGAGCATAATGAGGACTCCTCTGTAAAGGAATTTTCATGACTGAAATGTATTAAATGCCTACTGTATGCCAGGTGCTGGGTTAAGTACACTTTTATGTGGCAGGGAGAAGAATATATTCTAAAACCTTGCTACACACTATATGTAATAACCTGAAACTGGAAGCTACCCAAATGTGCACCAACACTAGAATAAATTATAATAAATTAATATATTGGAATACTGTGGTACAGCAGCATTCTTGGAGCCTGGTCTGCCCCTGTGGGTCCCTGTGATCCTTTCAAGGAAGCTGCAAAATCAAACCTATTTTCATAATAATTCTAAGATATTATTTGCCTTTTCCACATTGATGTACAAAAGCAATGGTAGGTAAAACTGCAGGTGACTTAACACAGATCAAACAATAGCACTAAACAGAACTAGTAGTCATTGAATTATTCACTCCCATACATCCTCACTACAGATTTTCCAATTTCACTGAAGATTGCATCTTGACGAAGCAGTAAAAGTTATTAATTCCAGTCAGTCTCAACCCTTGAATGCATGTCTTTTTAATATTCTGTGTGACAAAATAGGGAGTTTGCATAAAGCACTTCTGCTAAATACTGAAGTACAAGGGACGTCTTGAAGAAAAGCATTTGTGTGATTGTGTGAGTTGCAAATGGAACTAGCCGCTTCCTTGTATGTGATTCTTGGTGTGCAAGTGCAGCGACTCTTTGTTTGGGATGCAATTTCTAGGTCATAGAGTATGTGGATGTTCAACTTCATGAGAAAATATCAAACTGTTCTCCAAAGGAATTATTAGACCTTTACAGTTTTTTGGCCAAATGAAATGGTCTTTCATTTTGGTCTGGATTTTTGTTTTCCTAATCATTAATGTGGATGAATGTTCACTGGCCACACAGATTGCCTGCCACTGCTAATTTTGAATCAGCCTAGTCAGCTAATGTCACAGAATACAGCAACATGAGCACAGGTGGTACTAGTCAGGGATGGGAGAGGTGGTTTAGTGCGACCGTATTTAATGTGTTATAAGATGCCATCAGTTATAAGATGCACCATCAGCTTAACACAGATTTACTGAAAAAAAGTCATATCGAATTAAACACTTTTTTAAAAACAACTAATATTGTACTGTATCAGTCCATTTCACACTGCTATAAAGAACTGCCTGAGACTGGGTAGCTTATAAAGGAAAGAGGTTTAATTGACTCACAGTTCCGCAGGAAACTTACAATTATGCAGAAGGTGAAGGGGAAGCAAGGCATGTCAGGCATGTCATACATGGCAGCAGGAAAGAGACAGTACGCAGGGGAAACTGCCACTTTAAAAACCATCAGATCTCTGAGAACTCCGTCACTATCATGAGAACAGCGTGGGGGAAACTGCCTCCATCATCTGATCACCTCCCACCACGTCCCTCCCCCGAAACGTGGGGATTACAATTCAAGATGAGATTTGGGTGAGGACACAGAGCCAAACCATATCATGCACATTTATCTGTATAATCATATAGCATTTTCTTTTTTAATATCACCATCGACTCTAAATTTTTTTCACATTTACAGTCTGAAGACTCTTCCCAGTTGAGGCAAGTACTGTCATAGAAATGTAGACTTATGGAACCTGTACCCGTGAACTTGACATCCTGAGTATACTTAGTAGAGACAGTTAATATGCCAGGTTTTGCATGCATTTCCTATTTGGTTAAACTCATGGTTTCATTTTCTCTGCAACTGAATTACATATCACTGGAAATTTGGAAGTCACCCAGATACTTTTGACAGATGGATGTGCAGTATCTAGTGATAATCTTTCACAGGGCACAAATTAACCACAGCAGCCTCTCCCAGCTCTCAATTCTGCAATCTCCTTGGAAAGATTTAGCTAAGTTTGCATAACTCAGTGATGAAAACCATGTCACAACTCATTCCTCTATTTGCTGCTAGTAAATTTGGGTTGCCATCAATTAAAAGACACAACCCAATTTCAGAAACGTTCAGAAGTGAAAGAGTGTGCATCTTATTTTTCCTCTAATTATCTAGTAATTAAATTTTAAATGTGTATATATATGTGTGTATATATATGTGTGTGCATATATATAGGTGAGTGTGTGCACGTGTGTGTGTGTAAGTGTAGCCAACATTTATTAAGCATCTACCAGGTGATAACTTCCACGACTCCATGTCAGGGACTCTCCATTTATTATCGTTAATCTTTACAGTAATTTTGTGAGGTAGGTAACATCCTCATTTTAAAGGAAACTGAGGTTCAAAGGGTCAAGATAACTTGACCAAGACTCATAAGCTGCAGAATCAGAATTCAAATCTAGGTCTATCTAACTTCAAGGCCAATAAGCTTTCTACCACGTTATGAATCTCTTTTTTAGGTACTAAATTCCATGGGCCACTACTAGGTAAGACCTCGAATGAATTATTGCCAACTCTGCCTGTTATGTTTCTAAGGTTGGATGCCTCCCTTTAGGAAGAGGTTACTGGCAGGGACAATGGAGAGATTTACAAAAGAGTTGAGCAATGTTAAAAATAACAACAAGGTATTTGCTCCTAATCCTGTTAAGCTCCTTTGAGCTCTGCGCAAGCCGAGAAGGGGAGGGCATGTTAATTTGCTTGCGTACAGGTGCATCTAAGGTTGCTGTTGCAATCTCCACATCTTCCAACCTTAGCCAGGGCTTGGTGTCACTTTTTCTAGTGTTCATGGGTGCAAAACCCTGATTTGTTTTATTATGATGAACAATCATAAAACTGATGTGCTAATGTCAATAAGGAGGCTCAGTTTCAGCCCTGGAAATGTACTTCTTTTGATTAAGAGTGCCCTGGCCAGGCACAGTGGCTCACACCTTTAATCCCAGCACTTTGGGAGGCTAAGGCGGGTGAATCACGAGGTCAAGAGATCGAGACCATCCTGGCCAACATGGTAAAACCTCATCTCTACTAAAAATACAAAAATTAGCTGGGCCTGGTGGCGCACACATGTAGTCTCAGCTACTCGGGAGGCTGAGGCAGGAGAATCACTTGAATCCAGTAGGTGGATGTTGCAGTGAGCTGAGATCGCGCCACTGCACTCCAGCCCAGTGACAGAGCAAGACTCCGTCTCAAAAAGAAAAAAAAAAAAAAAAAAAAAAGTGATGCGTGGTGGTGTTGAATCAGACTCAGGGGTTTGTATTTTTTTCAGTCTCCAAATTACATACAGGTCCATTTGGAGCTTCTACAGACCTGAAGAGACCTGGGGGGCGGGGGGAGGGTTCTCTAACATCAGATACAACAACCCCTAAGCTATCTTGCACAAGTAAAAACTTGTGGGTACTCAGACTTTGCTGAAGGAGAGTGTTCCTTCATCATCCTCAAATGCATGGCTTAGTTTGGCCAGTCACAAACTTTTCATCACCAAAAACCCCATTCTATAACTTTTCCTGCTGGGCCTCTTCCTATGAAGTACTTTTATCCACCAACTTGCATGTTGGCTTTAAAAAATTCTCTATGAATTAGATATAATCAGCAGAAAAGAAATTCCAGCCAAAAGTAAAAGAACATGAGATTTTACTCAGCCTGCCAAGGGAATCTTATCTCAGGTAAAACATGATTTTCCTTAGGCTTTTTCTTGAAATGTGAAAAATAACTCCACAGTTCCACTCACTACCTTTTCAGATAAATCCTCAGGGGCCCACTGACCTGGATTTGAAACCACTGGTCTGATTTTCTGAACGCAGTTCACTTAACTTTGTGGTTGACCTCAGGACCAATCGTCACTCACTTTCCACTCCTGCCTTTGGATCAAGCCCATCTACACAGAAAACAAGGTACTATATTTCTTCAGTCCAGAGATACCCTATCAAACTTTTTCACCGAACTTTCCCCTCCCATCAGTAATTTGTGAGAGGTGTGGTTGCTCTCCATCTTCACCAGGACTTGATATTGTCATTATTTTTTTTAGCCATTCGAATAGGTGTGCAGTGGTTTTATTTTGCATTTTCCTAATAACTAATGATGCTAAGGATATTTTCTATGCTTAGTTGCCATCTATATATGTTCTTTGGTGAGCTGCCTGTACAAATCTGTTGCCCATTTTTTTGGTTAGGTTGTTTGTTATTGAGTTTTGAGGGTTCTTTATATATTCTGAATTTAAGTTATTTGTCAAATATATCCTTTGCAAATACGTTACCCTAGCCTGTGGCTTGTCTTTTCATTTCCTTAGCAGCGTCATTTACAGAGCAGGTGGCTTTAATTCTGATGAACACTGATTCATCAATTTTTCTTTTATGGACTGTGCTTCTGATATTGTTGTATCTAAGAAATTTTTGCCTAACTCAACATCACAAAGATTTTCTCTCTTAAGCTTTCTTCCAGTAGTTTTACTGTTTTAGGTTTGACATTTAGGTCTATGATGCATTTTGAGTTAATTTTTGTACAAGGTACAAAGTTAGGTACCTAGGGTATGGGCCAAGGGTCAAGATTTTTTGTTGTTACTTTTGCATATGGATATCCAATTATCCCAGCACAATTTGTTGAAAAGTCTATCCTTTCTTCATTGATTTACCATTGCATCTTTGTCAATTGACCACACCTGTGTGGGTCTATGGCTGGACTTTCTTCTCATTCCATTCACCAATACCCCTCTGTCTTGATTCATATAGGAGACGCCTATAGATGCCACCCCAAAATATGCCACTTTGGCAGGAGGATTGTTGTGAGCTGAAGGCAACTGAGAAAGAGCAGATACAAGAAAAGCTCTCTGCCCTCCCCTAAAATGTGCCTAAAAACCTAAAAGCAGGACGTAAGGCGTCTCTCCTCCCCTCTCTACCAAGAAAGATAAAGGTTGATTACTGAAGATAACTTTAAATCCTTATCAGTCTGAAGATGGCACCAGGGGAATCTACATAACAAACTCCTATTTATTTGCCTTAAGAGATAAATATTATTAACCTCATTTTTCAAGTGAAGAAACTAAGACTCAAAGAATTTAAGAAATTTGTCTAAAATAACAGAGCTTATCCTTTCCAGTGAATTTAAATCCATTATTTCTTGTCTCCAAAGTCCATGTTCTTCCCACTGCCCTAGACTGCCTGTGGTCCAAATCATTTTTAGTAGATATCAGTCTTGCCTACGGATGAGAGACTTCTGGGGAAGCTGCTAAAAATTAAGGCTACTAGAGTTCCCCCAAGACCAACTAAATCTGAATCTCTGGGACTGGTACCTAGGCCTGGGTATTTTTCAAAAGCTCCCCACTTGATGCTGAGCAATGGTCAGGGTTGAGAACACTGGACTTACCGCTTTCCAAAAGAAGGGTCCTCCTGCCCTCACAGCGCAGTGATCCGAGATGCCTGTTCCTTGGATTTGGAAGCAATGAGCAATGAATGCTTTGCAGGAGTCAACTGCTCCATCTGCTTTAGGCCTGGGAGGCTCAGGGCTATAAAAGGCAAAGCTTTCTCCTTCATTTATTAAATGCTAGTAAATCCAAGGAGTGTGTCATGGTATTTTAGCATCAACTTATCACACATGTTTGTGCTGGCTTATGGTTGCAATCCTGATGAAAAACAGGTGTAATTCCTCAAAGCTGCTGTTAAGGACTTAATGGGTTACAAAAGGATGCTAATAAAAACGTTGGATGAGAGGAATGTTGCCATTTCAGAGGATATGGTGGAACTCTCATTTCTCAGAGGGATTTGGCCTTCGGGGGCATATTTCAAAGCATAAAGCAAAGTTCCTTGCATCACCGTGGGAGGCAATAGCATCCTGGAGATGTGCTGTCTGGAGTAGTCTAGTGACTGAGACACAGAACCTGCTCGCTAAACTGACAGATTTAGGTCCCAGCCTCAGTTACTGGCAGGACAAAATGATCGCATTTTTAGGCTAGATCTTACTAAAGCTTCAGGATGCCTTTTTTAGAAGTTGTCCCACCCCAGATGTGACATCTAATCTGGGTAATATTTCCTTGCATGAAATGTCCCTATAACATGAACCATATTGTTGTTGTAATTATTTTAAGCTTAGTGTTTCCCTTTATAAAGTTAAAATCCACATCTTGAAAATTTAGAAGCTGCAGAACAGTAGTCCAACATAAAGCTAATGCAAGTTTCGCATGACTAGACCACGTTAGAACTTGATATACATCACCGTATTTAATCCTTGCAAGAACTCTCATGGGGAGAAGCCTTATTTCTGTTTTCAGATGAAGACACTGAGGCTTAATGACATACAACGGTTTGCTCAGAGCTCCCAGGGAAGCAGGTGGCCTGACCCCAAAGCTCATTCTCATCCCATTACACCTCCCAGCCTTAGTACATTTTGGAATATTTCCTTATATCCTTTCTTTTGTTAAGCATTTTTATTTTTGATGTGATGTTTGGATTCCAGTTTTTTCTTTTTGAGATGAGGGGGGGTCTCTCTATGTTGCCCAGGCTAGTCTTGAACTCCTGGGCTACTGGAATCCTCCTGCCTCAGCCTCCCGAGTAGCTGGGATTACCGGCATAAACCACTGCGCCCAGCTTCTGGATTCCATATTTTTGAGCACATGAAAAATCCAGTTTTGCTTCCAGCTTTTTTTTCTAAGTAACTTGTGAAAGTTGTCAGAATCAAAGTGGAGTCACTTGTGTTAAAAATCCTGACAAATACAACCAGGAAGGCCATGAAGAAGGGTTCTTATGCACAAATGCCTGATAACAAGATCACAAAAGACTGCAAAAATCACAACCTCGCCCAAAGACCATCACAACCTTACACATAAACACTTCTGTGAGGACAACTGCCCAGCAACTGCCTGTCCAACCTCAGAATGACACCACCTTTGTTATTGATCTTTGCAGGCAAGGATAATTATCTCAAAACAATTATGTCATCCTCCTCATTTTTCCTTTAAAAACCTTTGTCTTCCTTTACCTCTGTGAATGTCGCACAGTTTACTATGGCAAGAGTATTCCATTGCAATACCTGTTCCTGAATTTCCTCTCAGAGTCTGTTATTTAGGCTGACAAACTTGTTAATAGAAGTCGTTTTCCAGTTAGTTTTTAGCCTTTGAGCATTCATTTGCCAGACGACACATGCTCTGAACACTAGGCTTTCAGGGGAGTTCCTTCCAGGTAAAGAGTTTGTCTTGGCAAACTTGACTGTTGATGAAACTTGGTTCAAAGAGCAAATCACTCTCATGAAAGGGAGTCTGGTACTGGGGGAGCAGAAGTTGGGATGGCAGAGTCAAGGGAGGTCAAGATCTCTCCTTTCCCACCACACAGACAGATACAAGCCAATATTTTATATATATATTTACACACACACACACACACACACACAATGTATTTACGTATGTATATACATGTGTGTGTGTGTGTATATATATATATATATATATATTTTTTTTTTTTTTTTTTTTTTGAGACAGTCTCACTCTGTTGCCCAGGCTGGAGTACAGTGGCACAATCTCGACTCATTGCAACCTTCACCTCCTGGGTTCAAGCGATTCTCCTGCCTCATCCTTCCTAGTAGCTAGGATTACAGGCCTGAGCCACCATGCCCAGTTAATTTTTGTATTGTTAGTACAGACGGGGTTTCATCATGTTGACCAGGCTGGTCTTGAACTCCTGACCTCAGGTGATCTGCCCACCTCGGCCTCCCAAAGTGCTGGGATTATAGGTGTGAGCCACCATGCCCAGCCACAAGCCAAAGTATGTTTTAGCAAACCTCCATCCTGATTGCTCATAGGAAGGGACGCTTTTAAGAAATAAGGATTTTTTTTTGAGACAGGATGACATAGGAAATGAAAAGAACGCTCTTTCCACAATGATGTGTAAACCCAGGGGGAGTCGAGGGTCTGCGCTGGGTTGCTGGAAGAAATGCCCCCACCCTCCCTCCACCCTGTGGACTGAGCAGGCAAAGCCTGTGGGAAGCAGAGCAAACAAGACAGACAGAGACGGGGCTGTGAGAGACAATGGCAGGGCTGCAGGGGGCCAGGCAGGCTTGGGGTTCTGACCGCGAGGGCAAAAGCAGAGACCATGTTTGTCTTAGAACTCTCCAAAGCTATGAAAATTCAGGACATTTCCTGAGCCCACATAGTAGAGGTTGACTAATCTCTTTCATAACGTCTGTTTCAGGTTAAAGGGACAAAACCCACTTTCACATCTTTCTGGCTAAGGTCTTGCTTTGGCTTTCTTTGCTTCACAATAGAGTCATTGACCCACGCTGGAGTCTGTGGGTGGGACCACAAACAGGAACATTCACACGACAGAACAAACATTTCTCCGTGCAAACTGGGATCCCTGCACTTTCAACTTAAGGGCTTGCTGATGAACGACCAGGACTTCGGGGTGATTAGCCCCAACCCTCCACCAAATGACTGTGTTTGCTTCCTTTCATATTTTGACCCCGTGCTTTTTGGCTAAAGTATAAAAGAAGAGAAATCTGAAATGTGTTCTCAAACGTTCAAAGCTCCAATTGCTGCAGAAGAGAATTTAAAACAAACCCCCCTTGGACTCTCGGCAGGAGTGGACAGCAGTATCTCTGCTTAGAAGTCTGCAGGTGAAGGACAGGCTGAGCCAGAGGAAATCTGTTTCTCATTAGAATTCTTGGCGGAGCATTTTCAGGCTCATCTGGAAAAGAGATGAGGAGAAGGGCTGCCAGTGAGGTTTGTTTAATAAGCTCTTTTCTCCCCTCACACGTCTGCTGGCTTTCCCGTCCACAGGCCACCTGGGACCAGGTTTTCCAGTCCCTCTGCAGCCCCCTGCATGTGTCTGTATATAATCTGGGTATATGGCTTATAAAGTGGAGAATCCATATAAGGAAAACCCATTTCACTCTCATTTTTCTAAACGTCAAATGAAATTCTCCCTCAGACACTCTCCCTTTCACAGATGCGGTGGATATGAAGGGGAAGAGTCCGTGATAAGGATCCCTTTTATTAATTTGTTCAGTCTTCAAGGTGACAACTTAACCACGGCTTTTATCTGAGCATCACGACATTTGCTTAAAGTAACATCTTCATTTTACAGATGGGGAAAATCAATAACAACAGCAATGAAAATACAAAACCAAACCAAAGCTGAGGCCCAGAGAGAAGAGGTGAACTTACACAGTTTCACAGCCACTGGGAGTCGGAGCTGAGATGAGGAATCTGATTCCTGTCTCCCACAGTGTGCTGGAAATCAGAGCACCCCCCAGACCTCACCACGTTCTCTTTCCTGGATGTGCCAGGTCCTAGGGTAAATGCTGCTTCCGCCCAGAAACCCTCCCCGACCCAAACCCACCCTCAAGTCAGGCCTCCCTGTTGGCGCTCTATGCACGTTTTCTTTGTGGCACTTACCTGATTTTAATCAAGCTTTGTGTAATTATTTGCTTAAAGCTCCCTCTCCAGCAAGACTGTAAGCCCCCTGAGACAGAAACTGTGTCCTGTCTTGTTCATCATTGTATCTACACCACACTGCACAGTGTCTAGTCCATGATGGGCCCAAAAAAAATATATTGTGAAATAAATGAACAAATGAATGAAAAATTGCCCAATGCAGTGGTGAAGGCTGAACATACACCAGCTTCCTTACTTCCTTGGTGAGTTAGCCAGTAAGGGATTTCCCAAGGAAATTTCTACAGATTCTGTTGTTTCTCATTGACATTGGTGTTTTTTTTTTTTTTTTTTTTTTTTTTTTTTGAGACAGAGTCTCGTTCTATCTCCCAGCTCCCAGACTGGAGTGCAGTGGCGCAATCTCGGCTCACTGCAAGCTCCGCCTCCCGGGTTCATGCCATTCTCCTGCCTCAGTCTCCCAAGTAGCTGGGACCACAGGCGCCCACCACCACGCCCAGCTAATTTTTTGTATTTTTAGTAGAGATGGGGTTTCACCATGTTAGCCAGGATGGTCTCGATCTCACGATCTCATGATCCACCCGCCTTGGCCTCCCAAAGTGCTGGGATTACAGGCGTGAGCCACCACACCCGGCCTCATTGACGTTGTATAAAAACCTTTCGCTAAACATTGAGAAACTTCCTAAGGAGTGAGAGACTGAACGACTGTGAATTGTGCAGGATTTCTGCTTTTTGCTGGCCTAAGAACATAAGGGATGAATAGACCAGGAGTGCCAGCAGAAGTTAGTCTATGTCCTGTGGGTGATGTCCTGCTCCCTGTTCCAGCTATGTGTTCTAGGGTATCATCACTGCTTCCTGGGTGAGTGCATGAGGGCATGATTCAGTCTGAGTAATGGGCTAGTTCTTCCTGGCCTTGCCACCAGCCCTGTAGCCTGGGAGAGCACCAATCAAAAGATGGTTGTGGCACATATCATCCAGTTCATATGGGGAAACTGAGGCAAGTGGAGAGGACTGTTCTGGTAGTGGCAGAGCTGGAACGAGAATCCAGGGCTCCTGCCTCTTTGTCTGCTCTTCTCCCCAGCACTGTTCAATCAATCAGCCCTTGGCATGTGCTCAGTGCTGTCTATTCTATTAGGTTGGTGCAAACACAATTACAGTTTTCACTGTTATTTTAAATGGCAAAAACCGCAATTACCCACCTAATAGGTTCTGAAATGGATGTAAAAAGTCTTGAAAATTAAGCACACAAAAATTAAATACACAAAATGAGCATAGAGCATGGTCCCACCTTCCAGGAACTTACAGTTTTGGTGGAGAGTGAAACTAAATTCTTGAAACAATGATCCATGAAAGATTGCAAGTCTAGGTCATTACATGCTATGTTGTGTGCAGGACAGACTCTAAGCACTGAGAATTCTAAGAGGTCATTTGACAATTGTGCACAACTCTATCTTGAGTGCGCCTGTGACAGTGAAGAATTTCTGCACACCAGGAAGACCTGGAGGTCGCAGTGCAGCGGCAAAGGGCACACAGCCTTTGGAGTTAGACCTCCAGGCTCTGCCGCTTCCTGCTCTGTGACCGTGGGCAGGTCCTTGAGCCTCCCTCAGACTTGATCTTCTCTTCTGTAAAATGAGATGAGAAGACAATAGAGATACTTCCTTCGTAAGGTTGTTGTGAGAATTACATTCATGTAACATTTGTCAACTACTATAAGTTGAATTGCAACAAATAGTAGTAATTATCATTAATAAAAATAAAGCTATATGAAGATAAAATGGGTTGTCTTCAGGAGATTGAGCCCCCAGTCACCAATGGTATTTCAACTCTGCCTAGAAATTATAGAAGAAATTCAATTTTAGAAAGGAGTAGCTCCTAGAACCAGATGATATTTAAGGTCTTTCCCAACACTGATCACAAGATGAATTTTGTGGACATTAGCTGGCCCTTGAGAATGCTACATGTTGGCCAAGTGGGAAGCGGGGAAGGGTGTTTCCTAGAAGATGGGAACTGTGTGAGCAGAGGCTTGGAGGAGGTACAGAGCTTGAAGCTATTGTACTCTTATATCCCAGAACTTCATCCCACTTGTGTTTTCTGAACATGTTGTGGAGGGACTCTTTACAGCTTGTAGAGGTCCAGTCAGGGGGATTGCAGTAACTCTGAGGTCTTCCACTTGTGTGTTTCAGAATTTCATGAACCATTGAGGGCAGGGGAGTTTGTGAATTCAGCATTAATACAAAGGAGTTCTAACCACGTTAGTTCACTCCTGCTTATCAGGGTTGTTTTCTAATGGGCCTGATTTCCTTATGATCAGCTTCTGAACTCAACTGAAACAAACTTCCTCTACCCAAAACAAACCAATGAGGTCATTTTACCACCTTGCCAAGTCTCTGTACAAATCTCCACGTGGGGCAGCATAATTGGAGATGGAGCTGGTAAAGGAAAAACAATTCATCAGGAAGAGCTTGTTTTGATATTCAGATGAGTTTATAAGGTAATTTTTTTTTTTTTAAGACGGAGTCTCACTCTATCACCACGCTGGAGTGCAGTGGTGCAATCTCAGCTCACTGCAACCTCCACCTCCCGGGTTCAAGAGATTCTCCTGCCTCAGCCTCCCGAGTAGCTGGGACTATAGGCTTGCGCCACCATGCCCAGCTAATTTTTGTATTTTTAGTAGAGATGGGGTTTCACCACGTTGGCCAATATGGTGTGGATCTCTTGACCTCGTGATCTGCCCGCCTCAGCCTCCCAAAGGGCTGGGGATTACAAGCATGAGCCACTGCGCCTGGCCTATAAGGTAATTTTTAAAGTGGAAATCATAAAAGAAAACCATGGTTACGTTCATGTACCCTAAGATCTAGCTATGTACAACTTTTATTAGCAAAATTAACAAGGGAGGGTAATGTTTCTGTATTACCCTGAAATGGAGACCTCTGCATTTCTGCCCAGGCACCCAAGAGAATGTGCTCTGGGTGCTTTCTGCTCAGAGAGGCTGAAAGTGATGATTACCTAATGTGCAAAGTAGCACTTAAAAAAAAAAAAAACCTAATTGGCAACAACTTTGGATATCTTATATGCCCTCATTTCAGTTACAATTGGCTTTATGTACAGTTCAGAGGGTCTGCAGCTGGAAGGCATGGGGGGGTGGTAGACTGCTTCTGCAGGCCCAGGTGAAGCCTGTGCAGATGGCGACTGTCTCACCGCTGCAAGAACCACCCCCTCGCTGCCTGCCTCGATGCCTGGGGACCTCCTGAATGAGGAGAGAAAGCACACGTTCTCTGTGGCATCATACACCTTTCAGACTTGTGGTTTTAATAGTTCTCTGCTATGCTGAGCTTCGTCTTTTGAAGCCACTGCCGGAGAAAATCAGCTCGGCTGCTTCTCTAGAAGGGAAGCCAGACAGAAGGTCATTACTTTCCTCACTGCCCACCACAGCCCTGTTCTCCACAGAAATGTGTCCTTCTACAACAGACAGACCCAAACTTGGCTTTCAGCAATGCTCTCAGTCTGCCTTACTCATCACTGCATCCCAAGTACCAAGCACAGTACTAAGTCCATAGTAGACATTCAAGACATACATGGGTGTGGATGGATGTTCTGTGCTGGGTGTATGTTAGTTGCACAGTGGTCAAGAAGGTGCAGTGAGTATGGCAGGTATCCGGCAGCAAGGAGGGTTGGTATGGGTTATGATTATTTATCCCACAGGGAAGCATGTTTGCTCAAAGACAAGGTATAGGAGGAGGAGGTGAGGGCCCTGAGAACCAAGCATCCTCTCCCACAAGTCTTCCTCCCTCATCAGCAGCCAAAGGATGATCTCCTCTCCTGTCATTAATCTGGGAATGTATAGTCTCCTCACTTGTCTAAAGGGGGTAACAGAACATTCCCTCCCTACCCCAAGGGGTGTTAGGGAGATATATCACGAGAACAAGGGGCTGCATAGATGCTGGGCTTTCCTCTGATGACAGAACCAAGCCCTCCCAAGAACTAGTGCCCAAGAGCTGCCCAGCATCCTTAAGAAATTGTATTGGGAAGGCCAGGCAGTTAAGTGTTCACCTATCAGTCAAGGCCATCCCTTCTAAGCAACCTCATTTCCCAGTGTGCTCAGCCTCCTGGACAGTTAGAACACACCCATCTAAAGTGGTACAAACTAAAGCGAGTTTCAGCGTCAGCTGCTGCCTTCTCCATAGGTGGGTCTGCTTGACCAGGAGCATCAGGGAAGGGGACCCTCAATGCCCTCTTCCCTTTTGCAGATGAACACGTATGCTTGGATAAAAGGCAACCCTGAAAAACTAGGCTTTTTTTTTTTCCAAATGAGAAAATTAAACAAAGAAAGACCTTCTGGGGCCAACCTGAACATATAAACGTTTTAATAATATAGATGGAAAAGTCAAATACTACTAATGAGATACTACAGTGATTTCTTGGCTTTTTAACAGATTCTGTCAAGGGATCACTTTTCCAATCTAAAAATGCATTGATTGAGTTCCTTTGAGGGTTTTGTATGTTCCCCAAATAGTATTTGGTTAGTCAAAAATAGTTATTGAAAAAACACCCTGTCATTAAGAGCCTAAGGCCACCTTTACTGAAGAATAATTTTAGGGAACTGGTTTATCAACAGTACCTTCAGGAAAGGTGATAATCCCTAATTACTGAAATCTTTACTTCCTTGCTAAATTAAGGATTCATGACAGAAATTCCCTGGATGCTAATAAGGCTTTTCAGAGGGCAGCTTGTATCTAGGGACCTAGCTTCTAATACATATCATGTCACTGCTGACCTCTGGGTTCTGTCTCTAGCCCATTCGATAGGTAAGGAACAGGTTTATATTTAATAGCAGCAGAAGACACCAACTTGGGCCAGAGAATTTATCTTTCTGGGATATTACTGGACTCTGCAAAATTGTATAAAAACTAATTTGTGAAGTTCCAGGCACAGAGGTATCTCCTTCTTGGTGTGCCATAGTTACTTATGAATTTTTAATTTAATC
Organism: Homo sapiens; assembly: GCF_000001405.40. Taxonomy (NCBI): domain Eukaryota; kingdom Metazoa; phylum Chordata; class Mammalia; order Primates; family Hominidae; genus Homo; species Homo sapiens. The sequence goes on from NC_000015.10 coordinate 62,892,954, forward strand.
CTGGAAAGAAAATCTCTTTTCACTGGAAAGATATGGGTGGAATAACAACAATTATAATTTCCATTTATTGTGCTCTTCTTTTTATTGAATACTTATGTGTCAAGCACTATGAAAAAGACTTTACATGTATTATCTCATTTATTCTTTTCTAAAATAGTTTTTGGTATTCTTTTCATTCATTTATTTTCAATCCTGTTTTGCCAGTAACATATTTTAAAGCTATAAATATACCTCTAGGTAGTGCTTTATCTGCATCCCACAAGTGTTAGAGTAGTTTTTTTTAGTTGTTCAAACCTAAATATTTAATAATTTTTATTAAAACTTTCCCTTTTATCCACAGTAAACTTAGGAGTATGTTTGTTTCTAATAGCATTCTGCATAGAAAATATGATTTCTATGCTATAAATTATTTGAAATTTCTTGAGACTCTGCTAAAATGGTCGACATGTGCTTGAAAAATATATATATTCTCTATTTTGGTGCAGGCTTCCGTATTTCTATATTGGAGCAAGTTTACTAAGTTATCTCTTCATACCTTACATATCCTTACTCTTCATATCTTACATATCCTTACTCTTTTATACATATCCTTACCCTTTTTTTTTTTTTTTTTTTTTTTTTTTTACTATTTGATCTGTTTGGTCCTGATAAAGTACATTAAAAGTATTACACTATGATAGGGATGAATGTATGAGTTAATTTAAAAAATATATTACATGGTGAATATGAATGAATCTAACTTCCCTTTATAATTTAGTCATGTTAAGTGTATACAAATTCACAAACATTATATATTCTTAATGGGATGTTGCTTTTATAACTTTATAATGTCCGTATTCTTAATAATGCTTTGGTCTTGTATTTGTCTGTTCTCACACTGCCATAAAAAACTACGGGAGACTAGGTAATGTATGAAGAAAGAGATTTAATTGACTCATAGTTATGCATGCTGTATAGGAAGCATGGCTGGGAGGCCTCAGGAAACTTACAATCATAGTGGAAGGTGAAGGAGAAGCAAGCACATCTTACCATGGCAGAGCAGGAGAGAGAGAGAGTGAGGTGGAAAGTGCTACATACTTTTAAACAACCAGATCCCATGACAACTCACTCACTATCATGAGAACAGCAAGGGGGAAATCTGCCCCCATGATCCAATCACCTCCCACCAGGGCCTTCCCCCAGAATTGGGAATTACAATTCAACATGAGATTTGGATGGGGACAAACCATATCAGGCCTTAAATTTTATGTGGTCTGATATAAATATTGTTAGTTATGTATATTAATTACATAGGGCCGCCATAACAAATTACCATAAACTGGGTGGCTTAAACCCATAGAAATTTATTTCCTCACAGTTCCAGATGCTGGAAGTCTGAAATCAAAGTGGAATCAAAGCCTGAAATTGGCAGGACCATGCTCCCTCCAAATATTCTAGGAGAGGAGCCTTTCTTGTCTCTTCTAGCTCTTAGTAGCCCTAGGCAGTCCTCCGTTTGTGGCAGCATAACACCAGTGTCTGCCTCCCCCATCACATGGCTGGCTTCTGTGCATCTGTGTCTCTCATCTCCTTATAAGGACACCAGCTGGGCATGTGGCTCATGCCTGTAAACCCAGCACTTTGGGATCCCAAGGCAGGTGGATCATGAGGTCAGGAATTCGAGACCAGCCGGGCCAACATGGTGAAATGCCGTCTCTACTAAAGATACAAAAAATCAGCTGGGCGTGGTGGAGTATGCCTGTAATCCCAGCTACTCAGGAGGCTGAGGTAGGAGAATCGCTTGAACCCGGGAGGCGGAGGTTGCAGTGAGCTGAGATGGCGCCATTGCACTCCAGCCTGGGTGACAGGGTAAGATTACATCTCAAAAAAAAAAAAAGGACACCAGTCATATTGGCTTAAGGGCCCACCCTATTCCAATATGACCTCATCTTAATTTTATTACATCTGCAATGACTCTTTTCAAATAAGGTCACATTGTGAGATACTGAGGGTTGAGACTTCAACGTATCTTTTGGAGCATGCAGTTTCACCCATAACAATATATATTTCATGTTTTGGTTAGCATTGAACTGGTATATCTTTTTCTAACTTTTTATTTCCAATTGTTATGGTTTTGCTTTAGGTGTATCTCTTATAAACTTTGTTCATTTGTTTTATCTAATCTGAGAATGTTTCATTTGAGAGGTAATCTGTTTACATTTATTATAATGACGTATAGTTTAACTGATTCCTGCCATATTTTGTTTTCTATTTCCCACCCTTTTGTTTTGCTTTGGTTTTTCTCCTTTCCAGCTGTCTTAGTCCCCCCAACACACACACACACACACACACACACACAAAGCAGACTCTGAAATAATGGCTTGTCTGCAGCTTGTTTATTTTAGGAAATGATTCAACGAATAGGAGTGGGGCGGGGGCTGGGAAGAATGAAAAAGGGATGAAGACAAAGCTGATCATCACCATAGGCAAATAGGGTCAATCCTATTAGGGACCCTAGAGGAGGGACATGGATGCATCTTGGTCTTGTCTTCAGAGACACTAATATTGCTTTTCAAATGTGGCTGTGTCATTTTACCTTACATTTCTCTATCACATATAGAGCAGAGAGTATTTGGAGCAGAGGGCGTACATTGCAGCATGAATTTACACCACTATCCTGGCATGTCTGCATGGCTGCCATTTAACTTCTCCATCATCCTATGAGGCACTTTATCATCCCTATTTTAGAAAGGAAGAAATTGAGGCTCAGAGAGGTAAAGTAAATTGCCTGAAGTCACACAGATAAAAAGTGACAGAGCCAGAACTCAAACTCTGTTTTATCTGATTCCACAGCCATTCCTTCCAACCTTAAGCTCTACCGCCTGTGTGGTGCTGGGTGTGAGTCGGAGCTAGCCTGGGTTTACCTGAGTTGCAGGGTCACCCCTCATCGCACCCTTGTCAGTCCTCAAATAGGGGTGCAACTGTTCCATGAAAGGGAACAAAGAGACTGAGCTACTAGACACCAAGCTGTTTAGGACTGAACCCATTCCTGTCCAAACGGAAGTGATCCAGAGGGACTCTGAATATTACAGAAGTCAAGAGATTTCATCATCTTTATTCAAAGAAAGGGGTTTGTTTGTTGATTTTTTGGATTTTTTTTTTGGACCACAGCTCTATCTACTCCCTGAAGAGTAAGGATTATTAAGTAAATCAGGTAATTATTGACTAAGAAGTGACTGGCCACTGCAATTGATAAATTAACCATGTCTGTTTTTCTTATGTAGCTCACTGGAAAAGAATGTGGGGGATTTCCTCTTCTTCTTCTCCAGAGGCCTTCCTGTCTTGAAGGCTAGGCTTCTCTTGCTCTGGGGGAAAGTTAAAGGCCTTTCTTTGATTTTCTAAGGGTCTGTAGACCTAACACTTACTGTTAGAGATTGCGAGGGCTGGGGAGGGGGCCAAGGGCTAGAGGTCATTCAAGGACTGGCAGGACCCTTGGGTGCCCAGCCTCTTACCCAGGACCCTGAGGTGCCAAGGCCTCTGGGGAGTGGCTGGGTGGGCAGTGTGCTTCTGGGGACTGGACACTTGCACTGTGGCCTTGAATTTGGAGGATGCCGTGAGCAGCAGCCTTTTACTGGTTTACCTGGGCATGGACAATGAGCCACTGGGCAGTGATCGTCACAGACCTGATGCCCTTCCCCCAAGTTTCAAGGATCCTGAGGCCTCAGAGTTCTGCATAGGAGGAGAGGAGGGGCCTTGAAAAGAGGCTGGGATTGAATTTTTCTGAGGTCCTAGTAGGTGTGGGGTCTAAGGACGATTTGATTTAGAAATTCATGAAATGTGTCATTTCTTGCCCCAAGCTTTGTGGAACAAGTAATACCAGTTACACTAGTGATGACCAAATCCTGCTGTAAATTGTTCTAACATATTGTATAAAACAGGCCTTACCACTTTTGTAATCCCTTGCAAATGGCTGATCGATAACCAACACAATATAATATTCCAAGCCCTTCTTTTGGTAGAAAAAATTTCCTCTAGCCTGGTAATTTAAATTCCAAATTACCTCCAGATGATGCTATTTAAATGCCCTGTGATTAAATCTGCACAAAGTGGAGTTTCTGTGGGAAACTTCGCTGCCTCCTAGGGCATCCTGCGGTGTTTTTTTAAAGGCCGGGGATCTAGAAAGGCTACTCAGGGCCTCGGAATCTTTGTCTACATGACTCAGCCTTGGGGCCCCGGGCCCTGGACACTTGCCCAGAGCTGAACATTCAGCTGGACGCGCCACAGAAGGAGCATGCGGGGAGCCAGGAAATATCTCCGGAATCTCACAATGCTTTCTCACCTACCCTTATTAGACCAAAGAGGCAGAGCCGCAGGGGTGGGGGCCGCGGGGCAGAGGGCAGCGCCTGCCGGGTGGGAGGGAACCTGTGTGTGCGCGCACACACTGTTCACGTCATAGTGTCTCCGTGTGTGTCTGCGTCTATGTATGTGTCTCTATGTGTCTGGGTATTTCTGTGTGTCTGTGTGTGCATCTCTGCATGTCTTTGCATATCTGTACATGTTTCTGTGTGCGTGGGTCTGTGTCTATGTGTGTATACATCTGTTCATATTTCTGTGTGTGTCTGTCTCTATGTGGCTGTGTCTCTGCATATCTTTGCATATCTGTACATGTTTTGGGGTGGGGGTCTGTATCTCTATGTGTCTGTGTGCCTACGTGTGTGTCTCTAAGTCTGTGTGGGTCGCTGTGTCTGTCTGTGGCTGGGAGCGGGGTCAGGAGTGCTTTTGGAGTCCCTGGTTTTCTAAGAATAGGAGGTTCACAGCAGGAGGGGGCTAACTCTTCAGTCCAGACCCCCCTCTGAGACCTGCAGACCACCTGCAGCCCCACCCAGTGTGGCCCCTGCCCCGCGTGTCTGTGGTCTGAGTGGCAGTCAGGAAAGAAAGCGAGGGCTGGGCGTGAACTTTGGTTAGGTTGAGATGCATGGGGAAGAAAGCAGAAGGGAGGGTGTGTGTGGGGAGCAGACCTGCACCCTCCCGAACAGCTGGGGAGGCCAAGGGGGGGGTAAGGCCCAAACCTCACTCCAAAGCTCCCAACATACAATCCAGCAGTTCCCAGTGGAAAACTTGCTGGGGTTTGCAAAGTACCCTCCTCCCCAAAACTGCATCTTTGAGCATGCACCCAGGCAAAGGCTCACACTTCTCTCTCTTCCCAACGCTGCTTTGGGAAACCCTCCTGCACCAGAGAATGTGGGACAGGGACACCCTTACTTTCGAATGCCAACTTTGGTTGGGCACTCCTCTGGACGCTTTCCATTGATCTCACTTAATGCACTTAACAGTGACCTAGGCTTTGTTATTCCTCTTTTACAAATAAGGAAACTGAGGTACAGGGAGGGGAAGCGGGTTGCTTAAGATAACAAGCTGATGAGTGTCAGAGCTGAGGCAGAACCCAGGTGTGCTGAATTCCGGAGTCATTTTCTTACCTGACAGCCCTCTACCTCTGGATGGCCCTCTCTTTACATTTAGAAGTGTGTGTGTGTGCGCGACACACACACACACACACACACACACACACACACCTTAGAGCCCTTTTATAAGACACTAGAGCCTAGACAGCAAGGGTGTCCACGTCATGGTAGTCTCCATTTACCATGTACATACAAAACCACAACAGAACTGTAGGTCTAGTGAAAGCCATTCTTTTACACCCTCCTCCTCTTTCCACAGATGGAAAAAGAATCGCAAATAAGCATAATGTGAAGAGCATGAGCTTTGGAATAAGCAAGCCTGGAATTACAATTTTCTTTTATTAGCTCTGTGGCTGTAATACTCAACTTTTGCAAGCTTCAGTTTCCTCGTCTGTGAAATGGAATAATAGCACTTACCTCATTGGCTGTTGTATGGATTAAATGAGACCATGACTATGGATGTATGGCATTTGGTACCCAATAACCCCTCAATAATCGGCAGCTATAATTATTCATAATAATAATGGTGGTAGCAACAAACCCAGCCCAAACATCTGAAGGACCGATCACTAAAAAGAAGATGAACTCAGTCCTACGTAGTAACAAGAATGTGACATCTATGTTGTTGCCAAAAGTCTGGAGGAGTTGCCAGGACCAGAGAGAAGGAGGTGGTGAGGCCGGCCTGGAAGAGGGAGGGGACAGATGTCAAGGACCCCAATCTTGAGGTGGAAAGTTCTGTGATTAACCCAGATGAATGTCTCTAACCTCCAACTCTTCTGTTCTCAGAGTTTTAATGGGGCACACCGTGTGCTGGGCATTGACATAGATGGGAAAAGCATGACCTAAAATAAGGGCTGGAAGCCAAGACTGGGAGGAAGGGCAAAGGGAGCAGGCAGCCTGGCACCAGGTACCAGTGAGGTGTCTGCTCTTTGTCCCCATCACCTGTCAGCTAAGGAATTCTGCATGTCATCAGTGCAATAAAATGTGATCGCCAGAGTGAAAACCTTGTAATAGACCAGCTGTGGCTTCTCTCAACACCAGTATGTCCAAGGAGGATGCATTTTTATTGCTTTTGTGGTCTTAACAAAAAAGATTCATGAGCATTGTATAAAAGGCATATTAAAACAATTCGGTAAAAGGATGAAAGAAAAATAGAGTGCTTGTAGATTTTTTTTCAGGACGCACACACCTATACCTGTATAAAAACGTTGTATTACGGAAGCTCTCACACATACACAAAAGTAGCATGAATAGCACGTTGGACCCCGATGTACTCAAGACCCACCTTCAGCAATGGGAGTGCTGTGTTTATGAGAGTCCCAATTAAAGCAACATTGCTCTTAACATTTTCCCCATGTGTCAACAAGCTCCAGTGACCCCATAATGCAAACTTATTCAATCCCCTGATATCCAAGCACCTGAAATTACCCCTCATCTCATTCCCCAACTGCCTCGAGCTCCTATCTGAAGTAAGAGAGAGGTAAGTTCACCAATTTGCCCTAAATTACACTGGAATCCGGGCAAGTGCCTTTAACACAGGATCTGTTCAGTAAGAGTTGAAAAAATAATAATAGCAGAAGAAGAATGAATGAGTTTTGAGCACTCACTATGTGCTATGCCGTCTTCTGAGTGCTCTCCCTGTTTTATTTCACTGAATTCTCACCCCAAGCCTGAACTGTATATTCTGTCTTCATCCCTGTTTTACAAATGAGGAAATCTGACACAAGCAAGCTAAACCACTTGCCCAATTTCACGCAGTTATTTAGGGGCAGGGCTAGGATTTGAACCCACACCTCCTTACTTGATAGTCTATCTTCTTAGCCAGTACACTGGGGTGCGGTTCTGAATCAGGTGACCGCTGAAAAAAAAGCCTGACACAGGCAAAGTGATTCCTGCCAGAACAGGTGAGGATGAAGAAGAAAGTTGCCTTTATCAAACACTGCAGTGCAATACACAGAGACCAGGCACTGTGCTAAAGCAAAAACTGTAACCTTCCACAAAGACCATCACTACCTTACACAAAAAATATTTCATCTGCCCAGCAGCTGCCTATCCTACCCCAGACTGGCATCACTCTTGCTATTTGTTCTTTGTAGCCAAGTAAAAATTATTTCAGAACAATTCTGTTTTGAAATGTCATGTCCTAACAGCCTCTTGCCATAGAGCTACAGGTCATGATTGCGAGATAATATTCGTCATCCAAACTGGTAGAGGCCCTTCCTGAATGAGTGGCTGTCCTGGCTCCTCAGTGCCAGGCTGTGGGTGGGATTGCATGCTTTTGAAAAAAATAAGTGCCTTATACGCAAGTATGCATAGAAAAAAGTCCGGAAAAACATCAACCAAATATTAGCGAGTGCCAGCGTCTGCCCACTCACAGCGGCCGGGGGAGGGCTGGTCATAGGGATTTTTCTTTTTTGCTTATCTCAATTTTTAAATTTGTTCCACCATGAATATGGATTACCTGTGTTACAGAGAGTAAAGGAAGAAAAGTTAGGAGAGGAAACAAGAAAGGAAGAGGAAAATGATACTCCAAGGTACCCCACAGCAGTCTGGGGCTGGGGTGGTAACAAAGGCAGCAGGAGGGGCCGAAGGCAGAAGCATGGCACCAAATGAGGCAGGTGGGGCCCTTGCAAAGTTGGTTCCTCTTGTGGGTGGGTGTTGGAGGGAGACAGCCCATTCAGGTTAGGCCCAGGCTGGTTTTAAAGGTCATGGTGCGTGGGGCTCTCACCCCATCCTCACAGGACCCTGTGGCACACGGGGTGCCCTGCAAGTCAGCCTGAGGAAAAACACACACCGCCCCAGCTCTGATTTCCGGAGGGGCCGGGGGCGACGCGAAGCAGGTGCGTGCTGACACCTCCTCCGGGGCCACGCTCATTTGGCACACTCCTAGGCTGTTTGTTCTTAAAGGCTGCATCTTTGAGACTAAAAATAACCCTCAGTTCAGCTTGGCTGTTCTTTCTCTGACCTGGTGACAGAGATGGGGGCGATGCTCCCGGCTTGGGGTGTTTCCAGCCTAGGCTGCCCTTTTTCCACCGTATTCCCTGCCCAGCCAGCCATGCTTCATCATGATCCCTTGGTTTAAAAAAAGAAAGGAAGGAAGAAAGAATGAGAGAGAGGGATTTGTAGGCTCTACCAGGTAGGAAAGTCACAAGGCCTCACTAGAATAGCAAGTCGATGCCACTAGAATAGCAAGGGAGGGATCTTGAACTAAAGTGACAACCCCTTTATCAACTAGGAAGCACCATGCAAATGTGAGTTCCGCTGCAGCATGAGGTGGGATCCGAAGGGTGCCACAAAGCCGGGTTTACCCCCAAAGAGCTCCACAACTTTACACATCCACCATTAGAATTATTCCTTTCAGATTCAAAAATTGTGCCCTGTTAAAATATCTGGGAGGGTTGGTGCTGGCGATTAGAAGTGACGCTTTCTTAGGAGGCCAGAGATCAATGCAATTTAAAAACCTTATAAATACGGGACCTCAATTCCATTCTGATCCTTATTCCTGTGCCTAAGGACCCACGGGTAGGTGTAATCAGTATCCCTCATGGAGGAGAAAACAGCCTCAGAGCTACAGTGTTGCAGAGATGCAGCTGTGATTCCAACCCACTGCCCTCATTATTACCAGTCAGTGACTGGAGTAGCTGCTCAGCTCCTCAGGGCCCTGAGGAGGGCAGTGGGACAGAGCAGGGATGACTGTTGGAGGAGAACCCACCTCTAGGGGCCTATAGGAGAGGGCTGCTTACAGGCCAAAGACACACCTCACCCTTTCACAGTTTTACGGAGGGCCATCCTGCCTCACAGACAATAGGGAAGAAGGTGCTAGAGCTACAGATCCCACATGGGGGTGGCAAAAAGATTTGTCTGGAGTTCCCACCGCAATTGTTTCCTGATGCTGCCTGGAGCTCTGTGTTGAGCAATGAGGCGTGATATATTATTGTGGTCTGCCCTTGGTGCTGGGTTAGGACATGACAAGACGTGTGTTTCAAGAGTTTGCCATCCCTGCCGCGAACCACCTGTCCTCCACAGTAAGGGTAATGATGAGAGTGGCCCTCAGGGTAGGAGGGGTGGTAAACACACCACAAAAACAGATACTTCTTGCCTTGATAGCAAGACAGCTGCTCAGAAGGCCTGCTGCCTCTAGCCGACGATGTTGAACCTGAGAGAGACAGCCTTCGCACCTGGAAAATGAAGTCACGCTAATCGGATGCCCATTTAGAGGCCTATGAAATGATTGCGGGAAATGCTTTAGCAGTGAGGTGTCCCACGGATCTAAGGAAACAGCGTGGACTTTCCAGCCATGTTCCACTTTGGCCACTGGTGTTTTTCAGAGTCAATGTGGAGAGGGAAGAGGATATGCAAGATGGGTAGAGGCTGCTCTAAACGTTTAAGCCACAACAGCGCTTTGGGGCTGCAGGAGGGCTCCACGTGCCCTTGAGAGAGGTGGCTCTCATGGACCCTGAGAGTTTCTGGGAGGCTGGTCAAGAAAGAAGGATTACTCTTAGGTGGATGGGACAGCTTCCATAGCCCCAGAGCTTGGGCCCTTGTGGGAAAAACGGGGCTGGATAGCAGCGAGTATGGCCTAGCAGTGGCCTCTCCTACATACCACGAACTGTCGCCCCTGGCTCAGCCCAATTTCCTGCCTTCTGTCTCCAGCAGGGCCTCCTGCAGCTTAACAAGATTCCTCTTCCCTGCTTGCTCTCCTAGCACACCTACTCAGGTTTATTCCAAACTTGCCTTTCACAAGTCCCAGAACTCACTTCCTCAACCCTTGAACAGATTACCTCAGTTTGTTTTTTACAGTAAAGACAAGTGCAGAACCCCCTTGGTTTTCTTCTTTGCTCCTAAATATGTATCTGTACTCATCTCCTCTATCCTACTATTACTGTGGAAGGTTTGTCCCCTCTTTCCCAAGGAGAGGCCCCTACCTGTATCTTCTATCCTATCTACCTGCTGCTTCCTCCTTCCGCAGTACTTTCTTTCTCTTTGTCCCCCAAGGGACACTATCTTGCTATAAAGAGTGGCCCTGACCAGCCATAACAGTGTCTTGCAGTGGGGGCCTATGGAGCGGAGCCACCTCCCAACACCTCCCTTCCATTCATTGCCAAATACAGTGTGTCTCTGACTTGATGGGCTGGTTGGTTGGTTTATTGGTTGATGGATTGCTGCAAAAACTCTCCACCTCCTAGCTCCTGCCCACTCTTTGTCTGCCTGTGAACCCCAGCACAAAGCATTCCTTATCACTAAGCCCTGGGCTCTGGCTGCCCCTGGAGTCTCCTCCCTCAGCCCACAGATTGCTTACCTGCCTTCTCCCCATGGTTCCCATGCCCTACGTGACCTCAGACACCCAAGTGTTCTCTGAATTCTGAGCACAACTCACTTCAGAATCCATAGAATCCCAGATCTGTCACTCAAACAGAGGGATCTCAGGCCATCACAAAGCCTGTTTCCTGTGTCAAGTGGTGATAATAATATGGAGTTATTGTAAAGACAAAATAGGATAATAAATGTAAGGTGCTTAGCACAATGCTGGACAATATTAAGTGTTCAATAGATAATAGATATTATTAATTATCCGGAAGAGCTAATACATCTGCCCATACCTCTGGTTGTGGGCAGTTCAGCACCTTATTAGGCAACCATTTATTGTTGGACATCACTCTAGTTTTTAGCAAGTTTTCCCTTATTTAACAAAATCTGCCATCGTACGTAGAATGTGCAAGGCACTCTCTTAAGTGCTTTGCAAACTTTATTTGAATCCTCTTGACAACACTATGAGGTTTCCCCATTTCTGAGGAAATAAGGCACAGAGAGATTAAGTAACTTGCCCAAGGTCACAGAGTTAATAAGTGGCAGAGCCAGGAATTAAACCCAGGCAGTCTGATGCCAGAATTCTTGTGCTTAATACTATACACAGCTGCCCATTAGGTTGAGCTTCATTAAAAAGACATAAATCAACTCCTGCTCATCCCTGTGCTCTGAAGTAACACAAAGCAGTCCCCACACTTAGGTACTGCATCTTATTTACTTTTCTTTATTTGTTCACTAGTGCAATACTTACAGAATATCTAGTAGATGCTGGGCAATATTATGTCCTGAGGCCCAGTGGTGACCAAGACAGACGTGGCCCCTGCTGTCACACTGCTGCCAGCACTTTACAGTGGCTGATAGTGCCTGGGACACAGTAGGAGCTCAACAGAGTTCGAAAAAATAGGGTGGGCTCTGCCTTTTGCAGAAAAGCCCCTATCCTTGGTGGCTGCAGCAATTCCTGTCTTCAGGGATTACAACAGGAACACAAAGTTTCACTACAGGGCGCTGTTCAGTAGGGCTGCCCCGAGGACTCAATTCTGTGCAGGAGGGGAGACTGGGAGGGGAGATTGGGAGGGCAGGTTGGGTTGTTCAGGGAAGCCTTAGAAGGTTGTAGAACTAGAAGAAATCACTCACGTTTTAGCAAGAGGTCCTTGCTCAGTTGTGGCTCCTCTGAGGCGGTGCCAGGAGTGGGTCCCCTGACAGCCCAACACACAAATGGCCACTGACGACTGTTGGGCCCCCCAGGGAATTTCACAGGCAGTCACTAAACTCCCCCATTGGGTTCCTGACCAGCCAGTCCAGTGCTGGGCCCCCCTTCCCCATCCCCAAAGCCTCACAGGCAGGGCTGAGACCAAGGTCTGATGCTGAAGAAATTGGCTTCAGACTTGGAGCAGTTTGGAGTACACAGCCAAGATGAACTAGCATCAGTTGGCCTCACTGAGCTAAGCAGGATGGGGAGAAGGAGGGGAGCCAATGAGACAGGAAGAGTGGCCTGAGGACACGTACTTGCTTGTCATGAGGATAGAGTGTATTCTTCAACATCAGTTTCAAGTTGGGCTTGACCTCCCCGGCCCCGGCCCGGTACAGGCTACAGGGCTCCTCAGGATCTGACCCAGTCTAGCCCCCACTCTCCTAGCCCACTGCCCTGGTCACACGGGTCTCCTCACAGCCCCAGGAGCACCCTGGCCCTTCCTGTCCATTCCTTCTGCTGGGAAGTCTCTTCTCTCAGAAGTTGGGGTGTCTGTTTCCTTCTCATCATCCAAGTTCCTGCCCAAAGAGGTCTTCCCTCAGCACCCTGTCTCAAATGCTATCATACCAACTGCAGCCACTCTATCCACTTGTCCTGATTTATGTTCCTTAGAGTGGCAAAGTATAATTTTCAAGAGTTAAAAACACAGATCTCATACAAAAATAGAATAAACACATCTCAAAGATTTGTTAACTGATTAACGCAGAAACTAGTACGATTACTTCATGTTGGTTCCAAAAGCATTTGAGAAACTGGGTGTTTATAGAGACATTAAAGAGAAAACATGTTAGAAGATTGCTAGGTTAGATATAAAAGTTCTTACTGTCCTACAGGATAACAAAACCATAACCTTTTGGATTATCTTTTCTATATGCTAGAAATCTACAAGTTAACATGTCACTTCCCAGTGTCTAGACCCTAATCAGATAGTAAATAGGTATGTCAAGCAAATATCCTAGAAAATTAAATAATTTTTGGGTAGTCCTGCTAAACAAAGCCCCCATATAATTTGAAAGGACATGCCATGCTTTTGTTTTGATAGTTTTTCTCAACAATACCACGCATCACTGTCTGAGATTGTCTTGCATGTTTGTTTATTGTCAATCTCAAATGCCTATAAGAAAAGCTCCATAAAGGCCTAAACTCTATCTTGATGACCACTGTGTCCCCAGACTCTACTCCAGTTCCTGGTGCAAAGCAGCTATTCAATAAATATATTTGTTAAATTAAAAAAAAGACATTATATAATAAAAAGTTATGTTAATTAAAAGACAGAAAGCAGAATAGTGGTTACCAGGGCCTGAGAGAAATTATCGTTTAATGAGTTACAGCGCTTCAATTTGAGATGATGAAAAAGTTCTGAAGATGGACGGTGGTGATGGTTGCACAACAATGTGAATGAACTTAATGCCACTGATTGTAACTCAAAACAGTTAAATTGATAAATTTTATGTTATGGATACTTTACCATTAAAAAATAGTTGTATGATTATAATAGCAGCCTCTTGTGGAGTCGTTCTGTGCCAGACACTACTCTAAGCAATGTATGTATATTAAATCATGTCCTTCCTTCCTTCTCCTGTGCAATTGGCATTGTCACTATTCTTTTTTTTTTTTTTTTTTTTTTTAATAAGTAAAGGAATGAGGTATGGAGAAGTAACTTGCTGAAAGTCACACATCTGGTGAATGGGAGCGCTGCGATTTGAGGCCTGCAGATTGTGTTCCTAACCATGAGTACATTTATAGTGCAGATTATCTACACTGTAAGAGTTGCCAAGAAGGAGCAATCCGTCTTGTCCAGAGAAGTCAAGGAAGGCTTTCTGGAGGAGATGGAATGTGAGCAAACACCCCATCACACAAGGGTGCCTGACCCATTGTCCTCTGCTGTGGTTGCTACACTTGACAGATTCCTGACTCCAACTCACTGACGCCAGTGCAGTCCCCCAGGCCCCACTGAGATCCCCCAGGCGTCAGTGCTGGACCAACAGGACTGTGTGCGTGCTGTGGGTGGGGACAGGAGGGTTCAGGATACAGGCACAGCTGATGGTGCCTTCCTTTGCCTTTGTTTTAGTAGTGAGTGGGTCTCATCAACCTGGGTCTTTCCCTGACCTGGAGTGGCTAAGCAACTGTAAGGGAAATTTTGCTGGTGGCACCTGTGCTCAAAAGGCTACCACCACTTCCCACTGGCCAGGCACCAGCTCCTACCACAGCAGCTTAATGCGAGTGCCCCGTGTGCTGCTGGACCCCAAGGGACAGGGTTGGCAGGCAGCACTTCAGTGCTTCATTAGACAGACCATGCACAGCACTTGGTCCAGCCCAGTGGCCCACCAGGGGCATATGGGTGTCCAGGGCCCGAGCGACGGGTGCAGACAAGTTGCAAGAGTGGGTTTTCTTCTCTTACTTTCTGACCCAAGCCAGAAAGAAGCGATTTCACTGCAGCTGGTTCCAAATTGGAGCTCTCAAAATATTTATTCTGTTGCTGCAGCAGTTGAGCTGCACAGACCTGTCCCTGGAACATTCAGCAGACAGATCCGGCCCGTGGAGAATTCAGGGCATTCTGGGCTCCACACACATTTTAGAACAAAAGGAAAGGAGCATGGTATTAGGGAAGCAGGAGCCTAGGAGAGCCAGAGTGCCGCCATTTTAAAATCAGCTTCATCTTAAAACGAGCAAGGCACAATCCTTGCCAGTCACAACCCATGGTCATAGGATGTTTACAGCTAAGGCAGCAGCTTGGTAATGCCTGCAAGGTCAAACGCCTACAATAATAGAAGGTCCAGATGTCCCAATACCCATATCAATATATGCTTTCAGGATAATTATAGTTATGCTTTGATGTACTCACACGAAAATGTCAAAGATAGTGTTGTTTAAATCAGTAGAATAATAAATTTTGTCATGCAGTCTGCTCACCCTCATGTAGTCACAGCTTAGTTTACTCTTTACATAGTTAGGACCCCTATATAAGAAAAACTTAAAACAAAGATGGTACATTCTTCTGCTTGCTTTCTGAGCATGCCCTATTCTGTAATGGAGTAGCTTTTAATAAATTTGCTTATTTCACTGCACTTTGCAACTCACCTTGAATTCTTTCCTTTGTGAAATCCAAGAACCCTCTCTCGGGGTCTGGATCAAGACCCCTTTTTTTCCAGTACCAGTGGAAGCCTGGCTTTAATTGCAAAATATATAGTATTTCTGTGTGGGCAGAGGGGAGGAAGTTTATAAGATACCCCCCGTCCTAAAAGGCAATGCACCAGCTGACTTCTCCACTGCCCCCAACTTGAAGCAGCCCACCTCCCACTGGGCTCCTTGACCAGCAAGGACTTCTTGCAGACTTGAAGAGGTCCTATTTCTGCCAGGCAAACAAAGACTCTCTAGCTCCTGAGGGAGATTTCCAACTCCCACAAGCTTCTACGCAGGGACGGTGTTAACCAAGAAGTTTCCCTGAAGCAGAGTTGGTAAAATGAAATATTTGCAGGTCAAATCCTATTTCCTGTTCTCTACTACAATGGCTCTTTCTTTAAAGTGAAAATACTGAAACAGGTGAAGAGAAAGGTTATTGTCTCTATCAATTTCGTTTGCTTAAAAAGTGGCAAATATCTTTTCAGTAGCTGGGAGGCCAAAGTGGGCAGATCACCTGAGGTCAGGAGTTCAAGACCAGCCTGGTCAACATGGGGAAACCCTGTCTCTACTAAAAATATAAAAATTAGCTGGGCGTGGTGGCGCTCACCTGTAATCCCAACTACTTGGGAGGCTGAGGCAGGTGAATTGCTTGAACCTAGGAGGTGGAGGTTGCAGTGAGCCAAGATCGCGCCACTGCACTCCAGCCTGGGCGAAAGAGCAAGACTCTGTCTCGAAAAATAAAAATAAAAAAATCAAACCAGCATTGCATAATATAAAGGAGAGTAAAATTCATGCTAATAATTTTACATTTTAATTTTTCTTTACTTTGAATGACATTAAGTAGCAAATTAAAAACACCAAGGCAGTTGAGAAAGAGACACTGGAAGAAAGGAAACAGCTTTACATTTTAATGAACAGTATTTTTTCCTGCTTTTTAAAGAAGAGGTCCTTTATTTACATTTTATACCCAGCTCTGCAATGTACGTAGCCAGCTCTGAAAGCAACGCTGGTGTCAGAGCTTTGCTTGACACTTGGGCCACCCTGGGCAACGCTTTTCACCAGTTGTAGTCCCGGGTTCACAATGGAAAATGAAGATATTTCAGAGCTGTTGAGGGTTAAGGTAAGTGACTGCAAGGGCAGCTGAATGTTGCTGATTCCTCAGTAAGGACAAGGTGCCGTGCTAAGTGCTGTACTGCTTGATCTCATATCTGCCTCACAGTGGCCCTACCCAGTGGGAATTACTGCCCTCTGCAGTGGATTTTGTGATCTTTCCAGCCTCCTGCAGCCACTGGCACTTTCTCTTGGCACTGTACCCCAGCTCTGTTCTGGGGAGCAATCTCTGTCCTGTTGTGTGTGGTCTTGGTAGGACTGTCTCACATCCTTTCTTAGTCAGTGAGTCATCCTTTGACCCCAAAAGGCCAGTCGGGCTGTGATATGGTTGGGCTGTGTCCCCACCCAAATCTCATCTTGAATTGTAGCTCCCATAATTCTCGCATATTGTGGGAGGGACCCAGTGGGAGATCACTGAATCATGGGGGCAGCTTCCCCCATACTGTTCTCGTGGTAGTGAATAAGCCTCACAAGATCTAATGGTTTTATAAGGGGAAACCTCTTTCGCTTGGTTTTCATTTTCTCTCTTGTCTGCCACCATATAAGATGTGCCTTTCACCTTCCACCATGATTTTGAGGCCTCCCCAGCCACATGGAACTGAGTCCATTAAACATCTTTTTCTTTATAAATTACTCAGTCTCAGGTATGTCATTATCAGCGAGTGAAAATGGACTAACACAGGCTGTCCTCAGCGTTTAGATTCTTGACAGGACGTGATTCGTCCCCACCCTTTGTAGACAGCTCCCAAGTGGCCTTGGTTCAGAGGTCTGGCTTCTGGTACCCCCCGGAGTAACTCTGCGGCCTGACGTTTCTGAGCCCCCTTTCTGAAGCCCTTCCCTTCATGCTGCGAGCCACCTGTATCCAGTTCATAAGTCCCCCTTTGTTTAAGTGAACCAGTCTGTTTCTAATGCCTGCAACCAAAAATCACCCACGGATCGTCCCGAGTTTTCAGATAAGGAAAGCAAACCCAGAGAGGTAAGTGATCCCACAGCAAGGGAGCAGCAGAGCCGGGATGTGAGCCCTGGCAAACCAGCCGTGAGCCCCTAGTGTAAGTGCGTGGTGCAGTCTCACCCAAATGTTCCTTTTTTTAAAAAAAATTTCTACCTGCCTGTGACACACTCACTGCTGTTCCGGGCTGGTTGCCTCCCTTGCCACTCAGCAGCCTCTATGTCTGTTGCCCTAAGATCACAGAGCCCCACCCTGTGGGTCCCTCACAGAAGAGGCAGGAGCTCCAGACCTGCACCCACTTTGCACCAGAGCATAGAAGCAGAGCCACCTTCTGGCATGGAAGGCCTTGGCTGAACTGTCTTAACGTTAAATGCTATAGGATCCTCCGTCTCTTTAGGGCACCAGGAGCCCTGGAGAAAGACACAGCCCCCAGGGCTCACCCCATTCCCAGGCCCACCCCATTCGCACTCCCAGGCTGGCACCACTGTGGCTGCTAGGGCTCCAGTTGAAGGTCAGGTTCCAAGTGTGGAAGGAGAGCCACACCTGGCGGCTGCCTTGGATGATGAAGGGCATAGTCAATAGGGCCATTGCACTCGAACTCCAGGCCTTGCTGATGGCGCAAACAATGAGACTCATCCTGGGCAAGTGGACTGACTTCTGGGCCAGCCTCAGTCCTGTGTGAGGAGGTCTCATGGTCTGTCTATAACACCAGCAAAACCTGCATGTCTGCCTCCTTCCCCTCCCCATACATATTTTGTCTCCTCCTACCCTCCTTGTTTTTATAGTTGCAAATGCACCCAGCTAAATTCAGGTCCAGAGACACAGCTTTGCAACTGACAACAGGTTTCATTTTCTCTACCAAGGAAAACTAATGGCTTAAGTAAAAATGAGCATGAAGAGGATGATGATGATATCAAGATACAGACAGTGAGATGGTCCTTAAATGAGAGAATATAATTGTTGTTGTCAAATGTTGCCTCTCTCTCTCTCTCTCTCTCTCTCTCTCTCTGTGTGTGTGTGTGTGTGTGTGTGTGTGTGTGTATGTGTTTATTGCAAGGAAACTTCTTGTTAGTTTATTTGGTCTTTATAAAAACCCAGAGGACAGTGGAACCAATGACAGTCTCAGTGGGAGATGAGGCCACTGAGGTGCAGAGAACTGGCATTATCCAAGGTCACTGGGCCAGCACACAGCAGAATCATGACGGAAACCCAGGTCTTGTGCCATCTGTGCCCCACCTCGGGGTCCAGCACTGCCACTGGGCTCTCAGCAAAGCCTATGGCCAAGCCCCTTGGGCAATGCGCTTCCTAATTCCCCATGCTGGCAGCTGCGGATGACACACATTCTGTAGCATGTGCCCCCCGTCTGTGGTAAGGCGCATGTGATAAGACGCATGAGGGTGGATGTGAGCTCCAGGGGACATGGACCTCCCTAGCCTTGCCCACTGCTACGTTCCCACATCTAGAGCAGTCTGGCGCATAGCAGGTGCTTCATGCATATTTATGGAGTGAATGAATGCTCGACTTCCACTCTTCCTAAACAAGACTGATAAGCTGTCCAGGCAGGAGAAGGAGTCTGCATTGAAGGAGCACCTTCTCCGTTGGGCAGTCCACCATGCTGATCTCATTTAATCCTCGCAAGAGCACTTGGAGGTGGGAATAACTTTATAGGCAGAGAATCTGAGACTCAGTCTTGCTGAAGGTAATACAATTAATAAAATTAATAACTGACCAGACCGGGACTCAAACCGAGGTCTGACTGAGTCTAGGCTGTCTCCTTTCCCCACTGAGCCACACCAACCACCTTCCAAGGTCCTTAGAGTGCACGTGTTTGCGGCACTAAACCCTCTTTTATCTGCAAGGCAGCCATCTGCCTGTGGTGCTAGCTGTGCAGGCTGAGGTGATCTCTCTGCCTTATCCCAGGGCACCCTAGCTGCAAGCAGAAGAGCAATAGCTATAGCATCAGAGCTCTGGAAAGGAGTGAAGGCAATTGTGTGTGTATGTGTGTGTGTGTGTGTGTGTGTGTGTGTGTGTGTGTGTGTGTGTGCATGTATGCATGTGTATATGTCAAGCCTGAATTCCAACTGGCAGGATAAATTCCCAGCACTTAGTAGGTTCTGACTATACATTAGTGGGATTAATTCACTGGACTTGTTGAATAGTATTAGTGCTCGTAAGGAAGAACAATCCAACATTGACTATTCAGCAAAATAACAATCACCCTTCTTAATGCTATTGCACTTTTAGCTTCCGAAGTACCCACAGGTACTTTATCTATTTACCTTGGACCCAAGGAGTAGGTAAACCTTGCTCCCATGTAAACAGACAAAAAAAAGTTAAAGCAGAGAAGTTCTATGATCTGGCCAAGGACCTGGGAGCTGTTACGCTGCAGAGGCAGAGCATAGCCAGACTCTGGTATCATCAGGCCTTTCCAGCAGCCCACACTTAGCCCCCTACTCTCCTCCTCCCTTTGCATTTGGTCAGCAGACCTCTGAACCTCTGCCACAGAAGAGCTGTGAACAGACCAAAAAGTTATCTCAATTTTGTATCCTTACAGCAATCATCAACCTAAACTCATGAAACCTACTTTTACAAACAGCACTAGAAAGACAGGCTTCACAGAGAGAAGGATTAGAACCTCAGGGAAATTTCCTTTCCTTTTTCTTTTTAAAATAAAAAAGCAGTTTGTTGTATGTGCACAGACTATTGTGCAGTGCTGGAAAAACCTACTTCTCCAAGGCATCCCTGGCAGAAGCTGGTTTGCAGATCTCAGGAGTGGAGGTGGGGAGAAAACCTGCAGCTGTTAATCTGCCGGCTGCCCTGCTAGAATGTGAATTGGAAACTCTAGAGGTCAAGAGGAGAACAGCTTTCTCTCAAGTTTATTCCCCAGGCAGCTAGTGTTACTCAGACAATGCTGATTGCCCTTTTGCCTGTGATGGACCGGCACCCGGCCCTGGTCCCAGATATGTGTGAGCCACTGCAAAGCAGTCTTTCAGCATCAGCGTTAAATGCCTTTCTAAAATAACATCACTCAAATTTTATGTGCAAAGCAGCTGAGAAGAGCGGGAGGCCCAGCCATCCTTCTAGCCTACAGGTGAAAGTGTTACCATCAATGGTGTGAAACCCACTCACAGGAGTAAAAGGCCCTTGTCTATTACACTTTTCCAAGTGAGAAGAGTTCCTAGCTCGGATCTTTGGGCTGATGTAATTATGTCCCAGGTTACTTCCCCTCTTCTCCCTCCATCTTGCTGCTCTCCATAGAAAGCACAGGTTTCAATCATTACAAGGTTTGTGTTAAATGACCTCATTTTCCTGTGAGTCTGCCAAGCCCTATGCATGTCAAAGAACTGTGGGGCCAAGAATCATTTTAGAAATTATGATGCTCTTTCAAAAAGTAGGAATTTTTGCCAAAGAGGGAGGTGCAGAATGAAGGTATGGAGGAGAGATGGATGGAATAAATATTGATATTTATCTCCCCTTTGCCCTCCCCCCAACAGCCAGAAATAATGGCCCTCTCACTTATATCTCCAGATCCCTATAGGCATTGTTGATGAAAAAAGCAAAACTCTGTAAAATATTGGAAGAGATTTATTCTGAGCCAAAGGTGAGGACCATGGACTCGTGACCACATGTGCCCAAGGTGATTGGGTTATAGCTTGGTTTTATACATTTTAGAGAGGCATAAGTCATCAGTCAATATGTATAAGGTATACATTGGTTCAGTACGGACAGATGGGACAACTCAAAGAGATGGCTTACAAGTCTTAAGTGGATGCAAAGATTTTCTGATTGGCAATTGGTTGAAAGAGTTATTACCTAAAGACCTAGAGTCAAGAGAAAGGAATGTCTGGGTTAAGATAAAGGGTTATGGAGACCAAGGTTGTTACTATATAGATGAAGTCTTATAGATGGCCGCCCTGAGAGGCAATAGATGGCAAATATTTTCTATTCAGACCTTTAAATGTGCTATACTCGTAGCTAATCTCTTCAGGATCAGAAAAAGACCTGGAAAGGGAAGGGGATTTTCTACAGAATGTAAATTTCCTCCACAAGAGACAGCTTTACGGGCTGTTTCAAAATATGTCAAAAAATATATTTTGGGGTAAAATATTTTTATTTCTTTCAGGGCCTGCTGTCTGTCATGTGATGCTATACTAGAGTCAGGCTGGAATTTGGTATCTTACTGCTACAAAGAGTCTCTTTTTTTTTTTTTTTTTTTTTTTTGAGACAGAGTCTCTCTCTTTTGCCAGGCTGGAGTGCAGTGCTGCGATCTTGGCTCACTGCAACCTCTGCCTCATGGGTTCAAGTGATTCCCCTGCCTCAGCCTCCTGAGTAGCTGGGACTACAGGTGTGCACCACCACGTCCGACTAATTTTTTGTGCTTTAGTAGAGACGGGGTTTCACCATGTTGGCCAGGATGGTCTTGATCTTCTGACCTCGAGGCCACCCACCTTGGCCTCCCAAAGTGCTGGGATTACAGGCGTAAGCCACTGTGCCTGGCCCTCTTTTTTCAGTCTTAAGACCTCTGTTTTTATGTTAATGCTGGTCAGTTGTGCCTGAATTCCAAAGGGAGGAGAGTATACAGAGGCATGTCCAAACCCCCCACCCCACTTGCCTCAAGGCCTGAACTAGTTTTTCAGGTTGCTTTGGAATCCCTTTGGCCAAGAAAAGAGGTGCACTCAGTCAGCTGCGGGAGGGGGCTTAGAATCTTATTTTTGGTTTACAGATATTTTAGTGTCAGCACTTATTCAAGGGCTACGGCTAGCCCAACTTCAGTATACACCATTCACATTGCCAGTAGTCTAGGTCACTGGAACCTAGAGTTGTGGAGTAGATAGCCTACACAGCCACACTTAGGTGGCCTCAGTCTTATCCCATTGTGCTATCTAGCTGTTATCCTAGACTGACCCCAACTTCCACCCCTCAACTCTACCCAAGACTGTACCACTGAGCACAGGGACCATCCAGTATGTCCTATTCATTTTGGAGGTCTACAGCATGCTTATGCTGCTTCTATATAGTAGAGCTTCCATAAATGTTTGTGGAGTGAATTGTAGGTTTAGAAGCCTTTGAAAGATTAGAAAACTACGTATGTTATCTCCTCATGTGTTTAGTAAGAATAGGCTCAGTTATGCTGTGGTTAAAAGACAACCTCTCCTTGAAAAGATCAACATTGACAAAAATTTAGCTTAATGGAGAATAGAGAAGGCTCAAATTATGAAAATCTGGAATAACACTGAAAGAAATATCACTATAGACCCTACAGAAATACAAAGGATTGTAAAAGAATACTCTGAACAATGGTGTGCCAAAAAATCCAATAACCTGAACGAAACAAAAATTTCTAAAAGTATACAAACTACCAAAACTGACTAAACGAGAAAAAATCGAAGAGAACCTGTAAGAGATTGAATTAGTAATACATTCTTTTTCCCCCACAAAGAAAGCCCAGACCCAGATGCCTTCACTGGTGAATTCTACCAAGTACTTAGGAAGAATTAACACCAATCCTTCCCAAACTCTTCCAAAAACTAGAAGAGGAGGCAATACTTCCCAACTCATTCTATGAGGCCAGTATTATCCGGATACCAAAAGCATGCAAAGACATTTATTATAATATATCTTGCAAATATAAGCACAAGCTCCTCAACAAAATACTAGCAAACCAGATCCAGCAACATATCAAAATGATTGTATCCCATGATCAAGTAAGGAGTTATCCCAGAAAAACAAGTTTGATTTGAAATACAAAAAGCAATCAAGTGAAATAAAGGACAAGATAAAAAGACAAAAACCATATGATCATCTCAATAGACAGAGAAAAAGCATTGAACAAAATCCAGCACTCTTTTGATACAGGAGATAGAAAGAAATTATTTAGGCAGATAGTAAGGGCAACAGAGTCATCAGTGGAATTTCCCTTTTAACAAAAAGCAGCCCCAAAATAATTTCCTTTCTAACAAAGAGCAGCCTGAAAAATCGAGCTGCAAACATAGATAAGCAAGCTGGAAGCTTGCACAGCTGAATGGCGGCAGCTGTGCCAATAGAACAGGGCTACCTGGAAGCCAGGTATATTCAACATGGAGGCTCCATCTTCCCTTTTCTTTGTCACCATGTGCACAGTAAAGAAGCAGGCAACATGGCACTGGCCAGATAGCATTATAAAAGAATAGGTTGGAGGCGGCTAGATTTTCACTCGCTATGCAAATGGCACACCTGGTCTGACCAATCTTTCATGCGCTATGTAAATCAGACACCACCTCCTGAAGCTCATCTATAAAACCTCCTGCATGTCACCACAGACAAGAAGACCCGCTCAAGACCCCTCTCTGCAAGAGAGAGCTTTTCTCTTTCTTTTGCCTATTTAACCTCTGCTCTTAATCTCATTCCTTGCATGTCCATGTCCTTGATTTCCTTGGTGTGAAATAACGAACCTTGGGTATTTACCCCAGACAATGACACCACTTCACTTTCATGATAAAAGCAATCTACAAATTAGGAATAAAAAGAAATGTCCTCAACTTGATAAATAGCAACTATGAAAAACCCACAGCTAACATCATACTTAATAGTGAAAGACTGGGAGCTTTTCCTTTAATACCAGTAACAAGACAAGGATGTCCACTCTTGCCGCTTCTATGCAACACTGTACTGGAGGTTCTAGCCACAGCAATTGGCAAGAAAAAAAAAATTGAAGGCATCTAGATTGCAAAGGAAGAAGTAAAACTAGTTGTATTTATAGATAACATGATCTTGTATACAGAAAATTCTAGAAATTATTAGAAACCAAGAAATTATTAGAATTATTAAATGAGTTCAAAAGGTTGTAGGATACGTGACAAAATACAAATACACACTTACAGAAGCCTGGCCAACATGGCAAAATTCCATCTCTACTAAAAATACAAAAATTAGCTGGGCATGATGGTGCATGCCTGTAATCCCAGCTACTTGGGAGGCTGAGGTGGGAGAATCTCTTGAACCCAGGGGGTGGAGGTTGCAGTGAGCCAAGATCACACCACTGCACTCCAGCCTGAACAACAGAGCAAGAATCCATCAAAACAAACCAATCAACAAACAAAAAAGTACATTTATATATTATACATTTATACAATATACAAAAATCAATTGTATTTCTATACATTAACAAGAAACAATCTGAAAAATGAAACTAAGAATATAACTAAAAAATTTAAAATTTATACACTGAAAATTACCAAACACCATTGAAAGAAATTAAAAAAGACTTAAATAAATAAAAAGATGTCCCATGTTCATGGATTGAAAGACTTAATATGGTTAAGATGGCATTACTCTCCAAATTGATGTACAGAGTCAATGCAATCCCTACCAAAATCTCAGCTGTCTTTTTTGTAGATGTTGCCAAGCTGATCCTAAAATTCATATGTAAAATCAAGGAATCCAAAAGTCAAAACAATCCTGAAAAAAAAAAAACTGGAGGACTCACACGCCCCAATTTCAAAACTTACTAGACAGCTATAGTAATCAAAATTATGTGATACTAGGATAAGAATAGAAATATAGATCAATGGAATGGAATTGAGAGCTGAGAAAGAAATAGACACATTTATGGTCAACTGATTTTTTATTAGAGAAAAAACAAACTTTTTAACAAATGGTGCTTGGTCTGGCAACTGGATATCTACATACAAAAGAGTTAAGTCAGAATCTCTATCTCACACCATATGCAGAAATTAACACAAACTGGATCAGAGACTTAAATGTAAGAGCTAAAACCACACACTCTTAAAAGAAAACATGGGAATAAATCTTCATTACCTTAGATTAAGCAACACCTTCTTAGATATGACACCAAAAGTGCAAACAACAAAAGGAAAAAACAGATTGGACTCCATAAAAATTTAAAACTTTTGTTCTTCAAAGGACATCATCAAGAACGTAAAACAACCCACAGAAGCGGAAAAAATATTTCAAATCATATATCTGATGTTTATATTCAAAATTATAAACAACTCTTACAACTCAATAAAAGGACAAATAACCCAATTAAAAATGATCAAAGGATTTAAATTAACATTTCCTCAACGAAAAGCTACAAATTGCCGATAAATACATGAAAAGATGCTCAACATCATTAGCCATCAGGGAAATGCAAATCAAAACCACAATAACATAGCACTTTACCCATTAGGATGGTAATAATTAAAAAGACAGCTATTAATATTAATAATATTAATTAATATTAATAATAAGACAGGTAATGATTAATGTTGCAGAGAAATTAGAACCGTCTTACCTGTCTGATGGGAATGTAAATGGTGCAGCTACTTTGGAATGTCTGTCAGCTTCTCAAAAGTTTAAATGTAGAGTTACTATATGACCCAGCAATTCCACTCTTAAGTGTATACCCAAGAGAATTTGAAACAAATGTCCACACGAAAATTTGTACACAAATGTTCATAGCAGCATTACTCATAATAACTAAAAGGGAGAAATAATCCAGATGACCATCAACCAGTGAATGAACAAAATACAGTATATGTAATATACAAAATGTAGTATACATGGACTATGATTCAAGAATAAAAGGGAATGAAGTGCTGATATATGCTACAATATGGATGAAACCTGAAAACATTATGCTAAGTGAAAAAAAAAAAAAAAAACAGCCACAAAAGACTACTTTTTTTTTTTTTCTGAGACGGAGTCTGTCACCCAGGCTGGAGTGTAGTGGCATGATCTCAGCTCACTGCAACCTCCACCTCCTGGGTTCAAGCAATTCTCCTGCCTCAGCCTCCCGAGTAGGTGGGACTACAGGTGCCTGAAACCACACCTGGCTAATTTTCGTATTTTCAGTAGAGATAGGTTTCACCATGTTGGCCAGGCTGGTCTCGAACCCCTGACCTCAAGTGGTCAGTCCGCCTTGACCTCCAAAAGTGCTGGGATTACAGGCGTGAGCCACCGCACCTGGCCCAAAAGACTACATATTATATGAAACGTCCAGAATAGGCCACATCTATAGCGACAGAAAGTAGACTAGCAGTTGCCTAGGGCTGGGAGTCGGGTGGGAGAAAATGGGAAGTGGCTAGTAATAGGTTTGGGGTTTCTTTTGGGGGTGATGAAAATATCCTAAAATTAAATAGCAGTGATGGCTGCTTACACCATTAAATATACTAAAACCTACTGAAATGTATCACTTGAAAGGCTAGTTTTGTGGTATGAGAATTACATCTCAGTGAAGCTCTTCTTCAAAAAATTATTTCAAATTGTCAAAATAGCTTGTGTAAATATGTATCTGTATAAACACTGGATACTGGGAAAAGAATTTGTATTGAATATTTCTATCACTAGATGGATGGTAGGAGAATAAATACGCAAGTGTGACTAGCTCCCATCAGCCACAGATAGGAGGAAGGGAATTAAATGTATTGAGCATCTACCATGTGCCAAGCACCAGGGCAGATGCTTTCATTTAATCTTCACAGAATAACACTATTAGGTGGTACCTAGATCTATTTCACACATGAGGAAACTGAGGTGAAGGGAGTTGCTCAAGCTCTTACAGCTAGTAAAAGGCAGACCCGGGATTTAAACCGAAGACTGTCTGACTCCCAAACCTTTTGGCACTAACCATCAGGCAAAGGACATGTAAAATCTGATTAATAGTAGTGGCAAATGGTATTCTGGCTGTATTAGGGACCAGAAGAATTTTCCAAAATTATCATCGACTTTGGGATTGGCATCTGATAAAAAATGGATGAGAAGTCCAGCTGTAGCTATGATTTCTATGGTCCCTGCATGTAGCTAAATTCCCTGCCTCTTCAGGACCTAATGAAGAATTGCATTGAATCTACTAACTCCAAGCTGCTGACGTCTATTTGAGAGTTCGATGTTCTTTCTCCCATGTTAAAGCTATTCCTTAGTGTTTTCACCCTGTTGAGCAACCTGACCAGATAAGGCCCTTTATGCACACACAAGACGTAGACCAAATTCAGGCCGTAGAGTAGCAGTCTGGTGGGACACAGATTCCTCATGACATAGAATTGACCTGGGTTTGAGGACACGAATGACCAAGATGATTAACTGACCCCAAGATTCATGCGGCCCTTCCATGCTGTGGAGTTGTTGCTAGGAAGTCAGGCTGTACATCTGTCTCTTTGTATCTTTGTGGAGGCACATAATGAGTTCTAGCCAGTGGACTGTGAGCAGAAGTTTGGGCAAAAAATTCTGGGGTTCTAGGAACCTAGACTACTGTCTAGTAGCGTTACACAGGCTCTGCGTGGATGCACCTCCTTGTTCCTGGGACTATTTACCTCTTGGACAGCAGTGTGGCCAGAGGAGGGCCAAAGCAAAGCCCTCTAAGGCATTGGGCCCACATTAGGAGCCGACTTGCCCAGGGGTCAGGGGGTACTGGCCATGAAATTTCAGGTGAGGATTAATTTTCTTGCCCATGAAAATAGAGATACCATGACCTATTTTGCAGAGTTGCTTTGAGGATCAAAGGAAATACTTTATATAAAAAACCTGGTACACAGTAGGTGCTCAGTAAATGTTCATTTTCTTTTTTGTCTCTGACCTTCCTAGTACTTCCCTGTTCTTCCCCTCCTTTCCCTTCATGACCCCTCTTCACCCTCATCCCCAGCTGTGTTCTCTTTCCTTCCTCTCTAGAGCCCAGGGGTTTGGCTCGCCTGACTACAGAGGTCCTGAGGTCACTCCTCTCCCATCTTCGGCTGCAGGAAAGCTCCTTTTCCATTTAGAACATATTCTGGGGTTTTTCTGGTTTTAGGGAAGGGGAGATACTGCAGTTTACAGAATGGGTCAGAAACCTCAGATTACTCTCTTGCTTGCTAATGAGAAGGTTGAGAAAGGCTTTTGGGTCCTGGCCAAAACCTCTTGGCTTTTATGGGGCAGAAATTTGATTTCCAGTGAGATGTCAAAACATGCCACTGAGCATAACTTGCAGAGGTTTGTATTTCACTTATTTGGTTATGAAATGAACAAAAAGCACTTCCTTTATGTTACCCTCAGCAGCTCTCAGTCTTTTGGGGACTGAGGGACCCTTGAGAGATGCTGTCAACTTCAGATCTCTTTTCCAAGCCCTCCTTTTCTTCACAAAGCCCCTTCAGGAATGCCTCAGCATCTCGTCTTTGTTTCTTGTGACTTGCCCTGTCTTTATGAATGTTGTTGCTGCCCAGAGAGAGAAGTCCAGGCTTAGTTGCTTGACACTCAAGCCTGTGCCAAAGATCAGGCCTTCCCTTGGCCTGTGTCCTCACCACCCCAGGTCTTACCTTAAGCCTTTGAAGGGGAGGTCTCTTAGAGAAAGTTTTGGTCTTAAAAAAAATTTTCAAATCTTTCTTCTCCTGCTACATCTAGTTATTGAGGAATAAAATATAATCTCCAGCACCCAAATTTATCTGTTCCTTAGTTTCACATTGTTTAGGATCAGAGTGACAGGTTCAGGAATTCTCTTTCTGGGAAGAGTGGCTGAAAAATTAAAACAATGAAGTTGCTTTCCTTATATGAAATATTTTTCATGAGTAGGATTAACGCATGTTTTCTTCCAACTTTTACCCAATTCTATATTCATCTTGTTTTTCTATCTCAAAAAGCACTTGACTTTGAGCCAGATGTGATAGAAGCAATTCACAATCATTTCTTTATTGATTCCATTTTTGGGGGCAAATATTTACTGAGCA
The DNA here is from genome assembly GCF_000001405.40 of Homo sapiens. Lineage (NCBI taxonomy): Eukaryota > Metazoa > Chordata > Mammalia > Primates > Hominidae > Homo > Homo sapiens. The sequence continues at coordinate 62,921,805 of NC_000015.10, forward strand.
CCTACTATGTATAAGACATTGTGTTGGGCACTGTGAAGGATGCAAAGATTGATGAGCCATGACCTCTGCTCTCAAGCTTTTAAGTCAATCCTGGTTTAGTTATTCTTTCTATTGAGATGTTTTGTGGCCCTGCCTTAGACTTTGAGTCTAAGTCTGTGGCTTTCTTCTAGAAGCAGAACTATGCTTATGCAATTCTTCGTACATTTGAATAAGAAAGTATTCATGTAACGAGTACTCTGTATCCAGCCCCAAGTACCCAGCACTATAGAGATTCAAGGCAAGTTTAAGTCACGATCCTCTCTTCAGTGATCTAGATAAGAAGAGAAGACAATTATTCAGCAATGTTAAGACAGATGCCTGGATGTAAACAAATACAGAATTTTATAGTCAGGTGAGTTTTAAACTTCGATAGACAAAATTTAAACTTGCCAATTATAGTATCTATGTATCTACTAAAGCTTATCATGTGTATACCCTAAGACTCAGCAATTTCAGTCCTAAATACATACCCAATAGGACTGTGTACATATATTCATCAAAAGACACTTTGAGGAATGTTCATAACAGCACTCTTTGTAACAGCATCAGACTGGAAACTACCCAAGTGCCCTTGGCATTTGATGGAAGGGATAAGTAAATTGTGGTATAATCAAATAATGGGATACTATATAGCAATGAGAATGATCTATCTGAATATGCAATAATATAGATGAACCTCACAAAAATAATGCTTAGCTAGAGAAACCAGAAGCAAAAAAACAAAAACAAAAACCAAAAAAAACTCACATTCTTCTATTTCTAGAAAGGACAAAAACAGGCAAAAGTATTCTATGCTCTTAGAAGTCATGATTGTGGCTATTTTGGAGGGATAGAGGGATAGTGAGTGAAAAAGAGAGACAGGAGGGGACTTCCGGGGATGGGAACATTCTGTTCTTGATCTGGGAACTAACCCTATGGGTGTGTTCAATTCTGAAACTTTTTTTGTTCGTTTTTTTGGTCTAGATATTATACTTAAGTTTTAAAGAGTCACCAATTTAAAAATTGACAGAATTCGGAATCACCAATCAAGAAGCCTGAATCTTAGAGCTGATTCTGACTGTTGATCATTGCCTTGGGCAAATCCATCTCTTTGTGCCTTGGGTTTTTCATCCATGGAGTGGTGATAAGGCTTTCTCCCTGTGTCTCACAGCTAGCTGCTTTATTATATGTAGGGAAACCTGGCAAACCAAGCAGTAGTTGTGGGGCTTCTTTGTGCAGTTTCACTGTTGATACTTAGGAGCCTGCTCTCCATTAAACTGTATTTCATGAAACCTGGCCTTTTCAATGTAAACTCTGACTTGGTCTTTGAATCCCACCTTCCTTCCACTTTGTTTATTCTCTACAGCTCCTCGGTCTCATGGAGCAGTTCCTCAATCTGAATGTTTCACCTTATGACATGATGGTATTTGGCCTCAAAATATCAAACAGAATATGGCACCCTCTGGGGATATGGAAGCTTATTCGGTTATGTTCTGGAATAACACACATATATGAATGCTAAAGCCTATGAGAGGGGTTACTGAAAAGGACCCCCTTGCGACGCCAAAGTTCAGTTCTGAGTCTGAACATGTATCTTGCACTAGATGAGAGGAATAAGTTCTAGTATTCTATAGCATTACAGGGTGACTATAATCAACAATTTATTGTATACATTTTTTTTTGAGACAGGGTCTCTCTGTCACCCAGGTGGGCATGCAAAGGCACAATCACAGCTCACTGCAGCCTGACCTCATGGGCTCAAGCGATTCTCCTGCCTCAGCCTCCTGAGTAGCTGGGACTACAGGCGCACGCCATCACACCCAACTAATTTTTGTATTTTTTGGAAAGACAGGGATTTGCCATGTTGCCCAGGCTGGTCTTGAATTCCTAGGCTCAAGCAATCTGCCCACCTCGGCCTTCCAAAGTGCTGGGATTTATTGTATATTTTCAAATAGCTGGAAGAGCAGATATTCTCAACACAAAGAAATGATAAATGCTAAATGAATATGCTAAAACCCTTATTTGATCATTACACATGTATCAAATGATGCAGTATTAATTGTATCCCATAAATATGTACAATTATTACATGTCAACTAAAAAAGAATAATAATAAAAGAAAAAAAAACTGTGTCTTGCTCAAGGCTGGCCTGGCTTCCTCCTACCTTCCCTTTCCCTGCAGGCCTGCCCGACCTTGTGGGGTGGTGTCCACCTCCTGCCCAGGTCCCTCATCAGTAGCTCTGACCCCAGATCCTCCTGACCTATGTCTCTCCTTTTCCATCTGTTCTCTTCTATCAGTCCCAACAGAAGAAAACACAGAGGGCACACCTTTCACTTATCACCCGACACTTTCTTTTTCTTTTTTTTTTCTTTCTCTTTGAGACGGAGTCTCACTCTGTCGCCCAGGCTGGAGTGCAGTGGCGCGATCTCGGCTCACTGTAAGCTCTGCCTCCCAAGTTCACGCCATTGTCCTGCCTCAGCCTCCCGAGTAGCTGGGACTACAGGCGCTTGCCACCATGCCTGGCTAATTTTTTATATTTTTAGTAAAGACGGGGTTTCACCATGTTAGCCAGGATGGTCTCGATCTCCTGAACTTGTGATCCGCCCGCCTTGGCCTCCCAAAGTGCTAGGATTACAAGTGTGAGCCACCGCGCCCGGCCCGCAATTTCTTTCATATGGTTTTCTTTTTCGCTATTTTACTTCACTATAATGGATTTACCCCCTAATAGTCTACTTAGGACTTCTCTAAGATGGACTACACTTCCCTTTACCAACTCTAAGCATCTACCTTCCCTCTCCTTGGAGCAAACAGAAAGGGAAGCACAGCCAGGCTGTTTCCCGTTCTCAGGGCCTAGCACAGCACCTGGCACAGAGGCACTTGCAAACATTTTTCCAGATTCTGATATTGAATACACACCATGCCCACAGCCACAGGCTGAGCCCTCAGGATATGCTCTTCCCCCCAAGACTGCTCTGTCTTCAATAGTTCATGAGAATTATCCCAACTTTATTCCATTAAGAGCTTGGTCTTATCAGAGTGAACAGGCAACCTACAAAATGGGAGAAAATTTTCGCAACCTACTCATCTGACAAAGGGCTAATATCCAGAATCTACAATGAACTCAAACAAATTTACAAGAAAAAAACAAACAACCCCATCAAAAAGTGGACAAAGGATATGAACAGACACTTCTCAAAAGAGGACATTTATGCAGCCAAAAGACACATGAAAAAATGCTCATCATCACTGGCCATCAGAGAAATGCAAATCAAAACCCCAATGAGATACCATCTCACACCAGTTAGAATGGCAATCATTAAAAAGTCAGGAAACAACAGGTACTGGAGAGGATGTGGAGAGATAGGAACACTTTTACACTGTTGGTGGGACGGTAAACTAGTTCAACCATTGTGGAAGTCAGCGTGGCAATTCCTCAGGGATCTAGAACTAGAAGTACCATTTGACCCAGCCATCCTATTACAGGGTATATACCCAAAGGACTATAAATCATGCTGCTATAAAGACACATGCACACGTATGTTTATTGAGGCACTATTCACAATAGCAAAGACTTGGAACCAACCCAAATGTCCAACAACGATAGACTGGATTAAGAAAATGTGGCACATAGACACCATGGAATACTATGCAGCCATAAAAAATGATGAGTTCATGTCCTTTGTAGGGACATGGATGAAATTGGAAATCATCATTCTTAGTAAACTATCGCAAGGACAAAAAACCAAACACTGCATGTTCTCACTCATAGATGAGAACTGAACAATGAGAACACATGGACACAGGAAGGGGAACATCACACTCTGGGGACTGTTGTGGGGTGGGGGGAGGGGGAAGGGATAGCATTAGGAGATATAGCTAATGCTAAATGACGAGTTAATGGGTGCAGCACACCAGCATGGCACATGTATACGTATGTAACTAACCTGCACATTGTGCACATGTACCCTAAAACTTAAAGTACAATAATTTAAAAAAAAAAAAAAGAGCTTGGTCTTAAATTCTGACACCACATTCCAGGCAAAAGTGCAAATGTCTTCCCCAAGCGCATCTTTGTTTCCCAGCTGTATTTTCGTTTGAACAACAGAAAGTCACAAGGTGCTATTTTAGCAGAGGAATCTTATGGAAAATAACCCCTCAGGTTGATGCTCCTGTGCACTGGAAACTACAGGTTCCCATAGGGCATGGGGTGTGATTTGTTTAGAGCCGAATTGTTAAAAGCAGCAGGGTAAGGTCCGAGGATCATTCAGGTCATTCGGTTCTGTCTACCTGCCTTGAGCCAAGAATCGCTTCTGGCTCTGGCCCACGTGGGCAGCAAAGGAAGAAGCTCCAGAACTCATCTCCCCACCAGAACCAGGAGCTCATGGTCAACTCCAGGGCAATGTGGGAACGGACCCAGGAAGTTCAGTAATGCAGGGAAGAGGCAAGAAAAAGAAGTACCTTAAGCAAAGGACTCAGGACACTGGAGGCCCCCAGTCAAGGGGAACTGTTTTCACCGCTAAGATGATAAGAAATCACAACCTTAACCAGGCTAACTTAACTCTCACAGCCTCCCCTACTGCCTTTGTCTTCTTCTGCCCTCTCCTAAATGCTCCTTCTTGCCTTAAGCTTTCTGAGTGGTCCCTTTGACATTTCCACAAGGATCCCAACATGCCCACCATTGGACCCATGCCTGCCCTCAGCCTGAGCCCTCTACTGGCCTTGGCTCACCCTCTCTAGAATCACAGTCCTATCTGGCTCTCCTTCTTCATCAACCACCTGCCACCAAGGTCTGTCGTCTCTACTCTTCACATGCTTCTCAAACTGGCCGTTCTCCTCATCCTGATTGCCCTCCCTTGGTGCAGACTCATCATCTCTCCATGGGCTGTTGGGATCTTCTCCAGCCTGGCCTCCTTCACTCCAGCCTCGCTCTTCTCTAAACCCGCATTACAGTGCTACCATGGTTACTTATAAAACCCCAGGTCTGACAATATCCCCCTGGCTTTCAAATCTTCTGTGACTTAGTCCAAACTCTCTTCTCACTACACCCTCCAGGGCAGAGCTCACTATTGTAACAGGAAAATCCTGTGTTAAAGTTTTCCATATTGCTTGCAGCTTGTTCAAGGTTTGCAGCTGGTATTACTTTTTTTTTTCTTTTCCTTTTTTTTTAAGGTAGCATTTCAGGCTTTTCAATTCCAATGAATTTTTTTTCAGAGTTCTTTGTCCATCTTCTTTTTGTTTTTTCCTGAGACATCCAAGATGGACTACAGTAGCACAATCATAGGTTACTGCAGCCTCGACCTCCTGAGCTCAAGTGATCCTCCCTCCTCAGCCTCCCAAGTAGCTGGGACTAGAGGTGCACACCACCATACGTGGCTAATTAAAAAAAATTTTTTTTTTTTTTTTTAGAGATAGAGTCTCACTATGTTTCCCAGCCTGGTCTTGAACTCTTGGCCTCAAGTGATCCTCCTGCTTTGGCCTCCCAAATTGCTGGGATTATAGGTGTGAGCCACCACACCCAGCTGCCTATCCTCTGTATCATAGAGTTTAAATGTCTTGCAGTCTGTCTGCTTTCTCCTGTAATGGTTAACTAATGTTTCTTCTGTGATTCCTCAAAGCTCCTACTGATAGTTGAACTATTTCTGTATTTCTTAAAACTTTCAAATCCATGATTAAACAAATAAGAGCTCAGAATGCATAAAATTCTTTGATTAAGTAAATATACAGTTGGAAATGCCTGTGTTTCACACAAAATATTACACAAAGTTTAAAAAAAAAACACTACACAAAGTGGGAATTCTAAGTTTAAATTCAAGAAGGTTAACTACATAAATGATCAGAAATGCATCTGATACTTATACACAGCTCCAGACTTGCCTGTCACCTCTCAGTGTCAACTTTTATAAAGTAATACACACGCTCCTCACACAACCAGTGAATGTTCTGTGTTTTTTAGGAGGAGTGATCAAATTTTAAAATGTGCCCAGATGAACTCTGAGAAAAAAAAAGGACACCGTGCTTTATAGAGGCACATCACCGCACGGGCCCACTGAACTATACTGTTGAGTGGCTCGCTCTGGATTCTACCACTCAACCACAGAGCTTGGGCCTAGGGGGTGCTCCACAAATGCTTGGGCCATGGAGAGGGGCACGCTGAGGTTTTTACTGCCAAGCATACTGTCTCTAGCAGCAGGACCAAGCACAGCTCTCTGGAAAGAACAATTTCTCTTCCTGTTGTCACTTCAAATGTCTGGAGTCTTTCCCTAAACATCTGTGTCTCCCTTTATGGTATGCTCATTCAAAAATGTATGTTGTCAACATTTACATTCTCCAACCTGTTCCAGTACTTGCCATGAGAAATTTGGCAATGTGACCAGGTGCTTCCTTTCCTCGGTCCTAATACTACTGCCTTCCATCCTTAAGGGGAATCCTCTGGAACCCCTATCTGGAGACTGCTGATCAATTCTACCGTATCTGCTCCTTCTTGAGCAACATCCACACAGTCTAATCTGAAAAGCTGGCATGACAGTCCCCTGCTGGACAATATCCCTGGTGCCTGCTGCAGCGTCCGCCCACATAAGCACTCAACACATGCTTGTTGAAGGAATGGATGAACACCAACTGCACACCCCCGAGACTCAATACGTCTCATGTATGCGTCCCAACTTTCTGGCACCTTTCTTCATGGCTTAATCATGACTGGGTTAATTTGCCCCAGGCTTAGTCAGAGGCCAGACTCCAAGCCTGTGGAGGCAGGAAGGCAGAAATCCAGACTTTTGTCTGGACCATCGGACCACAACTTGCCTGTGCAATGATGGACTGCCTAACCCCTGACCTTTTTCCTCCTTATCTCTCTGTCCCCGGGGCCCATGTAGAAAAGACAAGATGCTACTATCTACAGGCAGCTGGGTCAGCAGCCTGATGTTGGGGCATATGCAGACTGATGTCATCATTTAAAGTTTCTACAGGAACCTCTCTAGACAGGAGCTGGCTCCAGGCAGGCACATTTCCGTGAAAGCTCTTGCCAAAAACCATCGCTGAAGAATGTTATGTCGAAGGCTGTAAGTGGTAGAGTAGCTCAATCAGGAGGCTGTCGTCTAGCTGAGCTGTAATCTCCTACCACAAAGTTGTCTAATACAATTTGTTGAGGCAAAGCCTAGCAGATTTAACAGGATGTGTCCATCCTCAGTCTCTGCTCAGTTCTTGGCTTATTTCTGGTCACAGTCCCCACATACAGGGGAGGGGAACTGGTTGAGTCCCACTCCATCATTCCTGGGCTGTAAAATCAGATGCCTTTCATAAGCCCAGTCTTAACTGTAAATAGTATCAGTTTACTATTCCCTCATTGAGCACCCACTGAATGCTCAGCAAGGCTGTGAGCATGCAATGAGTCACAGCTCCTGCTCTCCTGTTTCTTGCATTGTAATGGGATTAACTGATAGTTCAATGAGCAATTATCATCTGATGATAAATGCTGTGATGAGAGAAAGGTGGGGTAGTTTTTTCCTCTTACATTGGGACATATACATATAGAAAAGTCTATACACCATGCATACAAACAAACATAATTATTAAATGGACACCGATAAAACCATGACCGAGATCTACATTGAGAATATTTGCCAGTTCCCCAGAAGTCCCTTGTCTACTTCTCCCTCATCAAAAGCAAATCTCACTCCACCACCTCAATGGTAACCACTTTCCTGCCTTTGTTTTACCTCCTATATATGATCCCTAAAGAATATACCTTAATTTCACCTGCTCTAGTAATGGAGTCATCCACTAGTATTTCTTAGCACCTAACATCTTTCAAACTTATGTTTGTGAGATTCACTCATTTTGTTTTGTAGAGCTATGGCTTGTTCATTTTAATTGTTGTATAATACCCCATTATATAAGTATACTAAAATATATCTAATCAACTCTTGAGGGACATTTGTGTTGTGTCCGGTTTTTGCCTATCTTGAATAATGCTGCGGGGAACATTCTTATTCATGTATCCTGGTGCACATGTGCATGAGTTTCTGTAGACCCAGGACTACAATTGCTGGGTCATGCAGTTTTGTATGATTGGCATTGGTAGCTATTGCCCAACACTTTTCCATGGTGGATATATAAATTTTATATTTCCATCCTCAACATATGTGAGTTCCTATTTCTCTACATCTTTGTCTACATTTGATACTGTCTGATTTTTGAACTTTTGCTCATCTGTTGAATGCAAAATGATATTTTGTTGAGTTTTATTTAACACATCCCTGATCACTCATTAGGTTGAGTGGTTTGGTTGTGTATGGTTTTTTTTTTCTTATGCTTCTGGGCTGTTTGGATTTCTTCTGTGAAAATGTCTATTTAATCCATTTTTTCTATTGGGTTTTTTCTCAGTGCTTCATAGTTATTTTTGTATTCTGGACATTGTTTGGTGATTACATATGGCACCTGTCTTCTCTTGTATTTTCATACTATTTATGGTGTCATTTGAAGAAGTTTCTAACTATAGTATATATTTATTAATCTTTTTCTTTAGGATTCCTGCATCTTGTGTCTAGACCAAGAAAGTTTTCTCTACCTTGAAGTCATAAAATATTTTATATTGCCTTCTAAGTACTTTTACGTTTTTCCTTTCACTTTTTAAACTTTTTCTTTTGAAATAATTATAGACTCACAAAAAATTGCAAATTCTTCCCCCAGTTTTCCCCAATAGTGATATCTTAAATGATTGTAGTACAATATAAAAACCTGCAAATTGACATTGGTAAATATTGCTAACAAAACTTACTCAGTTTTTTTTTGTTTTTTGTTTTTTTTTTTGAGACAGAGTCTCACCCTGTTGCCCAGGCTGGAGTACAGTGGCACGCTCTGGGCTCACAGCCAGCTCTGCCCCAGGTTCACGCCATTCTCCTGCCTCAGCCTCCCGAGTAGCTGGGACTACAGGCGCCCGCCACCACGCCCGGCTTTTTTTTTTTTTTTGTATTTTTAGTAGAGACGTGGTTTCACCGTGTTAGCCAGGATGGTCTCGATCTCCTGACTTCGTGATCTGCCTGCCTCAGCCTCCCAACTTATTCAGTTTTTACCAGTTTCTACATGCACGTGTGTGTGTGTGTGTGTGTGTGTGTGTGTGTGTGTGTGTTTTATGCAAGTTGGTGTCATGTTTAAATTTGGCTCGCATTTTTTAGTGTTCAATCAGTGGAATAGCTTTTGTGCATGATGTGAGGTAGAGATTCAGTTTATTTTCTCCCAAATGGATAACCAATTATTCTAGCATCATTTTTTGAATAGTCCATCCCTTTCCCCACTGATACGCGATGGCTTTTTTCAAAAAAATCAAGTTTCTTGATCTGTGTAGGTTTCTTTCTGATCTCTCCATTCTATTCCATTGATCTATTTATCTATCCCTTCTTTAACATGATACTATTTTAATTACTTTATATTAATACTAAATCTTGCTATATGGCAGGATGATTTCCAAGATTGTGTTCTTCAAGAGTATATTGGCTATGCTTGGCTTTTTTCTCTTCAATATAAATTTTAAAATAAAATTCTAGACTAAAACTTTCAAGTTTCACAAATGATCTTCTTAGGATTTTACTGAAACTGTGTTAAACTGCTTTGTGGAGAATTGACATCTTTACAATAGTGAATCTTCCTAACCAAGAATATGACTTAGCTTTAATTTATCTGCGTTTTCTTTAATGCCTTTCAGTAAAGTGTTGCAACTTTATCCCTGAAGAGTTTTGCACATATTTGGTTAGGTTGACACCTAAGTATCTTGTACTTTTTTTCTTATTTCAGTTATACTTTCAAATTGAGTGTGGAAATACAGTTGAACTTTGTGTATTAATTTTTTTATTAACTTTGCTAAAATCTCATCAATTCTAATAATGTATTCATAAATTCTTCTGGTTTTTCTGAGAAGACAATCATACAATCTGCAGATCATGACAGTTTTATTTCCTCCTTTCTAATCCTTATTTCCTCTTCTTGTTTTGCTACTGTCCTGGACAAAATTGAGAAGAACTGATGATGAAACACATCCTAGCTTGAACTTGTTTGTAAAGAGAAAGCATCTGACATCTTGCCATTAAATTAATGCTCGCTGTAGGCTTTTGCAATGGCCCTGAATTAGGTTAATACATTTTCTTCTTTCCTAGATTGTTTGTTTGGTGGCCATTTCTTCTAATATCTCCAACATTCCTTTTGACATTATTTTTCTTCTAAAGCAAGTCCTTGAGAAGCTCCTTTAATAGAAAATATATTTATGGCAATCTCTCGATTTTTGTTTTTCTGAAAATTTGTTTTATTTTGCTCTTGTTCCTAAAAGTTGTATTGGTGTAAAATTCTGTCTTTTAACTTTACTGAGGTATAAACTATATATATCATAAAATTCACCCATTTGAAGTATGTGATTCAATGATTTTTAGTCAGTTTATCAAGTTATGTCACCATTACCATAATCCAGTTTTACAGCTTATATAACATCCCAGTAGTATCTCTTGTACCCATTTCAAATTAACCCCCATCCTCACCGGCAAGCCCAGGCAACCCTAGTCTCTCCCGGACATTTGCCTTTCCTGGACATTTTTAAAAAATGGAATAATATATGTGGCTTTTATGTCTGACTTCTTTCATTTAGCATTCCATTTAGTACTCCACTGTATGACTATACCTCATTTTATCCATTTGCTAACTGATGGGCTGTTGGGTTGCTTCCACTTTTCAGTCACTGATGCTATGAACATTATGCAAGTCTTTTTAAGGACATATGTTTTTATTTCTCTTGGGTATATACTACAGAGTGGAATGTTGTGTCATGTGGCAAGTATTTGGTTGACTTTTTAAGAAACTGCCTATTTTCCAAAGTAGCTTCCTACCAGTAGCAATGTTTAAGAATTTTGATTTCTCGACATCCTTGCCCAAAGTCATTGTCTGTCTTTGATTATTGTGGGTGGATGTGAAATGGTATCTCACTGTGGTTTTGTGTTTCCTTAATACTTTTGAGCATCTTTTCATGTGCTTATTAGCCATTTGAATATCTTCTTTGGTGAAATGTCTATTCAAATCTATTGCCTTGTTTATTTTATTTTTAGAGACAGGATCTCACTCTGTCACCCGGGCTGGAACGTAGTGGAATGATCATAGCTCACTGCAGCCTTGACCTCCTGGGCTCAAGTGATCCTCCCACCTCAGCCTCCTGAGTGGCCAGGACTACAAGCATGTACCACCACACCTACTTTTTTTTTTTCTTTAAGGAGACTTGGGGAGGGGGGTCTCACTATGTTGACCAGGCTGGTCTTGAACTCCTGGCCTCAAGTGATCCTCCCACCTCAGCCATCAAAAGTGCTGGGATTACAAATGTGAGCCACCATACCCACCCTTTTGCCTATTTTTAAATTGTTTCTATTTTTATTAACAAGTTGTAAAAGTTCTTTGCATATTCTGGATACAAATTCTTTGTCACATATGTCATTTGCAAATAGATTTTTCCAAGTCTGTATACCTTTACAGTGAGCATATGTGCCTTAGAATTTTATCTGTACAACTCTTTATGGCTTGGATTGAAACTGCAAAAAATCCAGGGATAAATTGTGTTTGCTCTGCCAGTCACCTGGGACACTTGCATGATCCAAGATGACTTCCCCACGAAGTCTGTATTCCAGACAAGAGGAAAAGGCTGAAGGGACGGCAGGACACCTTCTTTCACTGTCAGGGCAAAGGAGGAAGCTGCACACTCCCACTCACAATTCCACAGCTTAGTCACTTGGTCATATCTAGCTTTAAGGTAGGCTGGAAAATGGAGCATTCAGCTTGGTGGCTTTGTGCCCAGCTAAAAATTCTATGCAAAAGAAAAGTGATATCACACATATGGTAAATGACAAGGACCTGCATTCAAACTCAGATCTGTATGATCCCAAAGCTGTGCTCTGTGGACTACATTAAGAAGCTAGTAGAATATTATTTTTAAATAGATTCCTAAGAATCCTCAAGTCCCCAGACAGTAAGTGACCAGAGCCAGGGCCATTTTTTTTTTTTTTTTTTTGAGATGGGGCGTCACCCAGGCTGGAGTGCAGTGGCGCAATCCCCACTCACTGCAACCTCCACCTCCCAGGCTCAAGTGATTCTCGTGCCTCAACCTCCCAAGTGGCTAGGATTACAGGCATGTGCCACCATGCCTGGCTAATTTTTGTATTTTTAGTAGAGATGGGGGTTTGCCATGTTGGCCAGGCTGGTCTCGAACTCCTGACCTCAAGTGATCCACCCACCTCGGCCTCCCAAAGTTCTGGGATTACAGGCGTGAGCCACTGCGCCTGGCCTCAACATGGGTCTTGTTAAAGGATCGTCTTCTCACTATACCACTCTGCCTCTCTGAACTATTCCTGAAAGGGACATTTTCATGGTAATCTGGGTGACATTATAGTCATTTTGTATTTTTCTAGGGAACCCGTAGTCACCCTTCCAAACGCCATCCTCTCTCCTTTTTCCAGAGAACTAACTTTGCCCCTAGGCCCAGCAACTAGAATTTCTCCAGCCTGCTTTGTGGCACTCATCCCAATTCTGTGGCCTCCTGAGCATCCTCCGGACCGTCAGGCAGGAAAACTGGGTGTTGGCCCAGAGACATTCTGCCAGGGACAATATTTGGAGCACAACACCCCTGACAGAATGTTCACTGTGGCAGCCAGTCAGGAAATGCCACTGGCCTCAAGGCTGCACATAGAAGCATCTATTTCAGCCGGGAGGGGTGCCTGAGTATGAAAATCATTGAATTTCTTTTTCTTTCCCTTGAAGATTCTTGCAGGAGTTTGAGAACCAGCTAAGTGGGAGAACGGTCTGGTAGTTTCAAAAAGCAAGGTTTCTTTTCTCGCCTGAGTTCCCCCTTAGCTGTATTGTGGGTGTGTGCTCCGGGTTCACTTCATTTTGCTCTGTATGTCTGAAGGGTGGTTAATATCTCCCTAACCAGAAGTGACAAGTCCCATTCAGAGCTGAGCAAAAACGTTAGCGAGGTTTACTTCATGTGGGAGAAACACCGTAGAGAAAATAGCGAACAATGGAAGCTGCTTACAACTGCAAGGAAATCGCATCACATCTCTTCAAAAGAGACAGTCACACCTGTTCTTTCCACCGTTATTAGGTTGTTTGCTTATTCCTAAAATCAGAGGAATTTACTTATCTCAGAGAGAAACTCTCGAATTTGAAATTGTTCATCATCCAGCAGCATACTAAAGTAAATTCTCCAAACCAGTAGACAGTAGGGGTGGGAGAAACACAAAAGAATTACAGGATGTTGTTCGATTTAACAAATATTTATTGGGTACCTACCATATGACAGGCATTATTCCAGGCACCATATATAAAACAGCTGTTCCCTTCCAGGGAAATGTGGTTTTGTGTGAGAGATGGTCATGCCAGCAAATAATTCCAGCCAAGTGGAATGCTCTGGCAGAAGAACGAAACACCTATGGTGGGAGCCCACAGGTGAGATCCCCCAGCCCCACCCCTGGAGGTGCCTGAGCAAGGGTCGAAGGCAGGAGGGCAGAAGGAGCATTCCAGGCTTGGGTATCAGCATGGAAACAGGCAAGAGGATGTCAACGTTCCTGACATGTGAAAAGGACCCTGAGTACTTCGGGGTGATTAAGTGCACAGTGTAGGAGGTTAGAGAGGGCGGGTGGCTCACTGGGAAAAGTGGTTTGCTAATTTGCCTCTGTTGGCCCCTCTAGGCCTGCTCTCGGCCTTTCTCTGCCCTGCTCTGGCCCTGGAGGCTGACTTCTGTGGGCGGCAGCACCGGGGCTCCTGGGCAGCTGCCTTCCAGTTAGGTTCAGTGCCTAGAAGCGCCAGCAGCAGCTCAGATGGAGGACAGAGAGTGAGGGTGGGGTGTTTGTTCTCAACAGTCCCCAGCTCCCAACCTGCCCAGCCATAGTCTTGGCCATGGCTGCCTTCTCTGCCATGGCTCCCTCCAGGCAGCCCCTCCTTCACGGTACAGCCCTCTCCAGGACCCAGCAGCACTGCTCTTCCCTCTGGTCTCTTTAGACCCAGGGGCAGGGACTGTTTCTCACTGAACCCGACTCCTTTCACCTGACCAGCCTGTGTGTAAATAGTCCCTTCGTTAAACTAGTCCGTTGACCTTTATGAGTGAGCCATCTGTTTCCTGGCAGGACCTGGCTAATGCCAGTAGGTTGGTTAAAAATGCAAATCATGCTAAGAAGTTGCTTTTTGTTGTATTTTTGTTTTTGTTTCACAATGACAGTGGCAAACTATGTTTTTGAACTCCTAAAAATTATAAACTGAAATAAGCCAGACACAAAAGATCACATATCCTATAATTCCATTTATATGAAACATCCAGAAATGGTAAATTTATAGAGGCAGAAAGCAGAATAGTTGTTGCCTGGGCTGGGAAGTGACTACCCATGAGCATGAGGGATCTTTTTAGGGTGGTTGATTGTGGTGATGATTGTACAACTCTGTCAATATATTAAACATTACTGAATTGTACACTTAAAGTGGGTAAATTTTTTATGTCCAGAATACATCTATAAAGCTGTTAAGATTATAAACAAAACATATCAATAATAAAGTTTGGAAAAGAAAAAGGTGATATATTATCACCTATAATCCCAACACCCTAACACAACTATTATCATTTTTTCCATATTCCATTTGTATTAACTGTATTTGACAATCATGAAAACAATAACATTAGCTAACATTTACTGCATGCTTACCATAGCCGAAGTGCTGGGTTAAACATATACCACGTATTATCTTATTTAGTCCACACAACAACCAGATGAGGAAGGTAGTATTATTATTATCTATATCTTATTAATGAGAAACCTGAAACTCAGAGAGATTAACTGACTTGCTATGTAAACTTTTTTTTTGTAAACGTAACTTTCTACCTTGCTGTAGTCTTGTTTCTTTTTCTTTTTTCTTTTTTTCTTTTCTTTTTTTTCTTTTAGAGATGGAGTTGCACTCTTGATGCCCAGGCTGGAATGCAATGGCATGATCTCGGCTCACCGCAACATCCACCTCCCGGGTTCAAGCGATTCTCCTCCCTCAGCCTCCCAAATAGCTGGGATTACAGGCATCTACCACCACACCCGGCTAATTTTGTATTTTTAGTAGAGACAGGGTTTCTCCACGTTGGTCAGGCTGGTTTCATACTCCCAACCTCAGGTGATACACCCACCTCGGCCTCCCAGTGTGCTGGGATTACAGGCATGAGCCACCGTGCCCGGCCTCTTGTTTCTTTTAATGTCTGCAAAATAGTTAATTGGGTCAGTATACTTCATAATACTTAACTCTTCCCTCATTTGTAACATGTTTCCATAAAATAATGCAATGAACATCTTCATTAGAAATAACTTTATCCATATTTATTATCTTCTTAGGATGCTTTTCTAGAAGTTGAGTCAAAGGGAGCAAGGCAATTTTAAAATTTTGGGTAGTAAAATTGGTTTCCAAAGGGCTGGGATTTATATTCCCATCTAGCAATTTTGCCCTATCCTCAGCAGCACTAGATCTGCCAAGTTTTTTAATGTTCTGCTTAATTTAGTGGATTCTTAATTCTTATTTTAATTTGCATGCATTTAACTACTAGAAAGGTTGAGGTTTTTTCTATACCAGTTGAATTTCCTCATTTGTAACTTAACTATGTGTTCTGCCCATTTGTTTATTACAAATTATTAATGATTTTCTTACTGATGTACATGAGTTTTTTTAATAAACATATAAACCCCTCATGTTTTATCTGTTTTTTCTCATTTGCCTATTTATTTTACAAATTGATTTTATATATTTTTACAAAATGAAATTGATTTCTCTTTTCCTTTGTGAATTTTCTATTGCCTCTAGACTTTCAAAGGCATCACTCTCCAAGGCTTTGATAATA
Source organism: Homo sapiens (assembly GCF_000001405.40). Taxonomy (NCBI): domain Eukaryota; kingdom Metazoa; phylum Chordata; class Mammalia; order Primates; family Hominidae; genus Homo; species Homo sapiens. The sequence goes on from NC_000015.10 coordinate 62,937,707, forward strand.
ACATTCAGTTATATTTTCTCTTGTGTTTTTTCTGTAGCAATCTTACATCTAAAAATAACCCATCATTTATTTTAATGTATAGTTTGTGATGTGGGCCTAAGTCTTTTTTCCCCAAACTATTATCCAACTTTTCCCATACCAAATATTATCTCCTTTCCCACTGTTTTGTGATGCTTCCTTTATCATATACTATATTCTTATAAGAGGTCCATTTTGCTCCAAAGCCACATAGTTTTAATAATCTTTGTTTGATAATATGGTTTGGTATTTGATGGGTCTAAAAATTCTCACCTGGTCATCCATGAGAGGTCAGGCCATCCCACTTAAAGGGCACCAAAAACATGGTGCTTTCCTGCTGCTCAGCACAGCACAGCACAGCACACAGGTGAGGCTGTTGATACGGTTTGGGATGGTGTATTAGTCTGTTCTCACGCTGCTAATAAGGACATGCCTTAGACTGGGTAATTTATAAAGCAAAGAGGTTTAGTTGACTCACAGTTCCACATGGCTGTGGAGGCCTCAAATTATGGCAGAAGCCGAATGAGGAGCAAAGTCACAACATACATGGTGGCAGGCAAAGATAGCGTGTGCAGGGGAACTCCCATTTCTAAAACCATCAGATCTCGTGAGACTTATTCACTATCACAGGAACAGCACAGGAACCTGCCCCCATGATTCAATTACCTCGCACTGGGTCCCTCCCGTGACACATGGGAATTATGGGAGCTAGAATTCAAAATGAGATTTGGGTGAGGACACAGCCAAACCGTATCAGACAGGGAGTATTCTAGAGCCCTGGGGGTGACTGAGAACCCCAAAGAGAAGAGTGGAGTTAGTAAGAAACCTGGCCCTGGGATACTTAGAACAGGGCCAGAAGAGCCTTTCCAGACAATTTTACCCAATTCCTTCAGTGTACAGAGAAGAAAACCCGATTGATGAGATTAAGCCTTTTGCCCAAACTCACAGAGGTAGAAAGTGGCAGAGCTGGGATTAGATCTGGGTCTCCTGGCTGCTGGTTGGGGGCTCTCTAACGTTCCCTAGGGAAGAAGGTTCATGGGAGGAGGGGACCATGTGTGCTGCAGCATCAGGGAAGGCTTCAAAATCATGAAGATGGCTTATATACAAGACACCACTTTACTCAATCCTTTCACCTGCCATCTCCATTGGCTCTCACCCCAACCCTTCCATCAGGTCCTGCGCAAAGCCTCTTAACCACATTCCCCATAACTGGCCAGGTTAACCAGCTTCCATTCTCTGCCCCAAATACAGCAGTTGATGCTCCCAGCTAGCAGCTTATCTATAATACGCCTCCACACTTCTGCTCTCCAAATGAGTAGAACATTTACCAAGAATCAATTATTCATGTTCCCAAATCTATTTATGCCTTGCCACTTACACTTGACACCATGATTATGCAATTTAACCAAAAGGAACATAAACCGAGAAAGAAGAGTGTGGAACAAAAGAAATTGTTGCTTTTTATGTCAAACACATTGCTTTAGGAAAGACTTGATAAAAGTGAATCACTAAGAAACTTGTTGAATGAGGTGTGGACGAGATAACGGTAAAAAAAAAAAGAGAAAGTTTGTATAAATCTAGAAGGATTCTGCACTCGAATTGCTTCAAGAGTACCTTGGGTTCTCTCTTCTTCATTAAAACAGACACTGGAAATTATTAGTGTAGCTTACGCAAAACAGAAAAGTAGAATTTTCTTCACCAGTTTCTTTGAGAAAAGGCCTTTGATCCACATCAAAATAAGGCTGTATGTGTCCTGTTTTATGATTTCTCACCTTGATCAAATTTTTTGGTTAACCAACCAACTACTAGTCCCAATTATATAGGACAAGAGACCTTCCAATGATATAATTTTCGTTTTCAGATGAGTTGTCCATGCTCTGAGCAGCATGTCAAACTCAGAGAGAGGCACACAGGCAGGGATGGGATACAATGGCAGCTGCAAGCATGGGATGCTGTACAGTACCACAGGAGGCATCCCATGGGATGTGGTACTATACTGCATTGGGCCCAAATTCCAGCTCCACTCTAACCAGTGGTGTGGTCTTGGGCAAATCATTTATCCTCTTTGTTGTTGTTGTGTTTGAGACAGGGTCTCCCTCTGTCACCCAGGCTGGAGTGCAGTGGTGCGATCTCAGCTCACTGCAACCCTCCACCTCCCAGGCTCAAGCAATCCTCCCACCTCAGCCTCCCAATTAGCTGGGACTACAGGCATGCACCACCACGCCCAGATAATTTTTTGTATTTTTTGCCACATTGGCCAGGCTGGTCTCAAACTCCTGAGCTCAAGCGATCTGCTGTGCCCTCCTCAGCCTCCCAAAGTGCTGGGATTACAGGCATGAGCCACCGTGCCCGGCCTCATTTGTTCTCTTTAAGTTCAGTTTTCTCACATGTTAAATAATACCTATCTTGGATTATTGTCTAGGTGGAGGGAAATGATGTTGCCTACACCCAGCATGGCGCCAGACCCATTTGAAAATATGAACTTCCTTGTCTGACTCTAAATGAGAAAAGGGGGATGCAATGAGCTTTGGCGGGTGGACTGGGTGTGGATAAGTGGGAAAGACAGATGGCATCCCTCCTCATCAGCAAATTCCAACTCACAGAACAAGGCAGTCTTTGGAGAGAGGCATGTGGTAAGTTATCCTAGGTACACGTTCAGACCCTGTGCCCAGGGACCAAAACAAAAGGTTCCTGGGAGCAGAATGCAAAGGACCACACTCAAGCCGAGTAAAGAGGGCTGCAGGAGTCTGCAAGAGCTGGGAGCTGCCACATGAACTTGCTTTGGGAGAAGTCCATTTGCAGGGGGTTGCACAACCCTGGAGGCTGTGCTCTGTACACCTGGGAAAGCATTGTTAAGTCCTGGGACCTGTAAACTGTTTTCCCTGGTAGTTGAGCCCTGTGACTTCCCCAGCTGCTGAGTCCAGAAATGAGGAGTGCCTTGGCTTCAGTGTCAGAAGCAGCCCCACTCAGTTTCTCAGAACACATCTGTGTGGGTGTCTGACTGTCTCTCTATGTCTCTGTCTCTGCTTCTCTCTCTGTCTCTTGCTGTCATTCTGTCTGTGTCTGTCTCTCTGTGTGTTTCTGTGGCTGAGTCAGATGGAGGAGTCCTCATGTTTCACTGCTTAGCAGTTTTTGTCCTTCCTAGTACCCGTTCCCAGCCCACAAGATGCAGAAAGAGCTGTTGCTAGCGTGAGTTATTTTTGTCAGCTGAGTCACCACGCCAGAAAGCAAGAAATGACCCGCTTTATGTCTGCTCTGAGGAGCTGGAACCAGCTGGGATCTCTGGACCACTGAAAGCCCTGGAACATCGCCCACTTGAGCCCAGCGTCCAGCCCCTAACTGGAGAGAGGCAGCCAAGGACACACTGAAAGGCCCGGCCTGTCCCACCCCTGCCATCAAGGCCTGCCCTGGTGATGAAGACTGTCAGGGGTCACCAGCTCCCATCTGCAGCCTCAGGGCTTTACTCCCTGCTGAGAGGGACTGCTGCTCATTCTGACCGTATCATGGTTAATCCTGCCCCAGTCCTTGGCTGCCTGGCCCATGAGACTGTGTTCCTTCGGGCGAGGGAGCACGCCTGTTTATAGCCCTTTGGCACATATCATAGTGGCTGGGACATAGTAGGTGGTCAATAAGCATTAGCTCTGTTCCCTTCACTGTGGCTCTGCAGGCAAGCCAGCTGCATCTCAGCTCCTCTACCTTTGGCCTCATTCCTGCCTAAAATGCCCTCTCGTTTCCTCCCTGTAGCCACATCCAACCCAGGGTCCTAGCCCTGGCCCCGTCCACACAGCCTGTCCTCCAACCCTGCAACCCCCTAAGATGCTTCCCCTCTGGACCCCACAGCACCTGCTTCCCTTCACTCCCCTGCACCTCCTGAAATCTTAGGCATTTGTGGACATGCATATTTTTCTGGGAAATCTTAAAGGAGTCCTTGGCCCCCAAGAGGTTTAGAACTACTGGGAGGGAATGGGGAAGCCTGGAAGGGTATTGAATGATACATTCCTTTGGTAAGACAGACCTGGCAGGGTACAGGGGGTTCTCTTCCATTTCTTTTGTAGGGCTTCCTCTTTGGGTGGGAAACTTTGAGGAGGCTCCAGGGCTGTGGACTGTCAGGGTGTGCTTTCCCTGTGACAGCATTCAGATAAGATGAGTAGTCTCTGTCTCTGTCTCCCTCTCTATCTGAATAACAAGGCTTGTTGTTTCTGTAGTTTTTCATTTTATTTTTCACATTCTGGACATTTTTAAAGCAGAAATCATTTTAGCTCACCAAGAGTTGAAATTAGAGAGAGAGTGAATCACCTGGTCTCATCTAAAGTAGATAACAAAGCTGAGTTTGGTGAGAGCTGCAGTAAGCCATTTGCTTGGACACCATGCACAGCCGCAAGAAGTGATACCTCTTGTAAATAAATCACCCACTGGCAGCCTCACCTTGGAATATTTATAAGGAAACAGACCTGGGAAGGACAAACTGTAAGTCTAGGCTGCAAAGATTATTGGAAGAAGCACTTTACAGTGTATACAGAAAGTTTGATGCTTGATCACCTACAGGAAGACAGAGGAGAAAGAAAGGAAAGCTGCCAGTTCTATTAGGCAGGGAAATGGTGTATTTCATTTTCAACGGTGGCCTGTCCTTGTGTATATCTGTGAGTCTTTCTCACTACAGGATAGGGAAACATACAGGGAGAGTCTGCCCATCCTCCTTCCTAACCTCCAAGCTTTGGCAAGCCAGCCCAGGGCAGGATGCCTACGATGCCTGAAGGGGTCCCCAAGTTTGCTCCCAAATTACGTCAAAGCCCCAATCTACACCATAGGCCACAGGAAAGCCCAGACTGGCCCCCCTTCTCTGGTTGTAATATTGATGAAGTGCTTTGGGTGAAAGAGGATCTTCCATGGAGAAGAGATACAGCTGGGCCCAGTGAAGTATCCGTGTACATTTACGTCGGTGCAGAGCCAGACGCTGCAAGTGGACTCCCAAGTTCAACGAGCACAGTGTAACCTTAAGCAAGCTGCCGCCTCTATGAGCATCTTCCCTACCTCCACCCCTCCCGCCACTCAATTTGTCTCATCTATTAAATTAAATTCCTCCAGGGACAATGGGGAGTCACACCCATCCCCCCAAGGAAAGCCTCAGGGCACCCCAGGAGTCTTGTGGTATGGCAGAAGGAGCACCGGGAGGGGTGTGGGGAGCACTATGTTGCGTGGCCTTGGAAAGTTGATTCAGACCTCATGGAATCCTCATCAGCCACTGTTCATTCAACAGCCATTTGTGTATTGCATGCATGTCCTATGTGCACCACTGTCATAGGGAGTGGGGGTAAAATGATGCAAAAAGGAAGATCCTAAACCTCCCAGGAATCAAAAATTTGAAAGAACACACATGAGTTAGAGTACAATGAAGTACATTACTGATGGAGAGAGAGAAGGTGCTAGCAGGCTGAGTGGGAGGCAAGTCTCCCAGCCTAAGGGGAGAGGTTGTAATAGGAGGTGGTATCTCAGCTGGTTGCTAAAAGACGAGTAGAGGTGAGCCAGGCCAAAGAGAGGGATGGGAGGCGTGGCTTTCCAGGCAGAGTCCCAGAAGTGGGAAACATCATGGAGAAAATGTGAACATTTTGGTGTTGCTGATGGAAATGGCAAGAAATAAGTCTGCATCTTTAGGCAAGAACAAAATATAAAGGGCCTTGGACCTGTTCAAGAGGATTGAACCCTACATTTTCAAATGTAGCCCAGAGCATATCACTCCTCTACTCAAAGCTCTGCAGGTTTTACTCCTGTTTCCCCTGCAGTGTCCTTACAATGCCCCCCACAGACCCAACGTAACCTGGCTTCCAGGTGCCTGTCTGACCTTATCTCCTTCCCATGTCCACCCCCCTGTACCCTCTCACCATGTTCTCCCTCTCCCTCAAACCACCCAGGCAGCCCCTGCTCAGGCCCTTGGCACTGCAGTTCCCTCTGCCCTGAATGTCCCTTTTCCAGATATCTTCACAGCTCACTCCCTCACCCCCTTCAAGTCTTCTTGAAGTGTTACCTTCTCCATGAGGCTGCCCAGACCACCATGCGGCACCCTCCCGTCCTCATTCCACGCTCCTAAAGTTCCTGACCCTCTTCAGGTGTTTTCTTTCAGAGCACGTACCACCTCAACATACTGTATAATTTTCCTATGTATGTTTTTCTTGTTTATTTCTATATTTATATTCACCCAACTAGAATATAAACTTAACCAGGGCTGGTATTTTTGTCTGCCTTGTTTACCGCTCTATCCCCGGCACCTAGAACAGTGACTAGCACACAATAGGCTCTCACTAGATATTTCCTAAGTAATGAGTGACCAAGCTAGGGAACCACTGACAGGCATTAGGTGGGGGACATACTCAGATTTACAAATTAAAATCACTCTAGCTGCATAGTGTAGACTCACAATGGCTGTTCTCCACTTTTTTCATCATGCCCCATAGTAATACATTCATTTAAATTATGACCGTGGACACACAAAAAAGTCTAACTGAAATAAGTTTCATGAAACAGTAGTTTCACTTTTCACCTTTTGCAATGTTCTGTACTCTATTCTACTCTACTCTTCTATTCTATTCTATCCCAGTCCAGCCTATGCTATTCTATTCTATCCCAGTCCAGCCTATGCTATTCTATTCTATCCCAGTCCAGCCTATGCTATTCTATTCTATCCCAGTCCAGTCTATGCTATTGTGTTCTATCCTAGTCTATGCTATTGTATTCTATCCTAGTCTATGCTATGCTATGCTATGCTATTCTATCCTAGTCTACGCTATAGTATTCTATTGTATCCTAGTCTATGCTAGTCTAGCTATGCTATGGCTACTTCATTGTTTTAAAACATATAGTGGGCCAGGTGCGTGGCTCATGCCTGTAATCTCCGCACTTCAGGAGGCTGAGGCAGGCAGATAATTCGAGGCCAGGAGCTCAAGACCAGCCTGGCCGACATGGCGAAACCCCCTCTCTAATAAAAATATGAAAATTAGCTGGGCATGGTGGCATACGCCTGTAATTCCAGCTACTCAGGAGGCTGAGGCATGAGAATCGCTTGAACCTGGGAGGTGGAGGTTGCAGTGAGCCAAGATCACACCATTGCACTCCAGCCTGGGCAACAGAGCAAGACAAAAAAAAAAAAACAACACAACAACAAAAAACCACAGCCATTGCATATAGGATACCATTTTTATTTTAAAACTAATTTTACATGTGTGCACTTACATATTGGTCAAGGCATAGAAGAGCTCTGAGGCCACACACCACACCGCTGGCCAGCCAGAGAAGCCTGCAGTGTGAGAGCAGAGGTCCCCCAACATTCAGTGGGTGGGCAGTGGGACAGGAGACATGGAGACCTGGGCAGGAATGGATGCAGAGGACCTCGGAGTGTGCAGTGTTGTGGGAACCAGGAGAGCAGAGAGTTTCAAGGTGACCAGCCAGGACATGGAGAGATGAGGAGCCCGGGAAGTGTCTGAGGAGGCAGCAAAGATAAAGTCTGAAGGGCAGGAGGCTGGAAGGCCAAGCCCCACCTGGGGACCTCTGATAAATGGGCTTTTGGGAATAGCTCTCCCAGGTGCCTCACAGCCTCAGAGGCAATCAGGCCTCAGGCAGAAAGGCCAGCTTGCCTCCATTGTCTCCCCTACCTTCCTTCCTTCTCTCTGTATTAAGTCTGTTGTCACTCTGCTAATAATGACATACCCAAGATTGGGTAACTTATAAAGGAAAGAGGTTTAATGGACTCACAGTTCCACATGGCTAGAGAGTCCTCACAATCATGGTGGAAGGCAAAGGAGGAGAAAAGTCAACGTCTTTCATGGCAGCAGGCAAGAGGGCACGTGTGGGGTAACTCTCCTTTATAAAACCATCAGATCTCGTGAGACTTATTCGCTATCATGAGAACAGCACAGAAAAAAAAACCCACCCCATGATTCAATCACCTCCCACCATGTCCCTCCCACAAAACCTGGGGATTATTGTAATTCAAGGTGAGATTTGTGTGGGGACCCAGAGCCAAACCATATCACTCTCCTATCCTCAAGCACCAGCCACCTAAGCAGCCGTGTCTCTCTCTCTCTCTCCCTGTAATGACTTTTGGACATGGGGTCCAAGTGGCCTCAGGACACCCCCAAAGGAAATTTCTTATTAACAAGATTCCCCCATGTGAGCTGGGCAAAGGGTGGGGAGCTGTGGCAACACCCAGGGCCAGACTGTGTGGAAATAAGAAAATGGACAGTTTCACTTTGGGTGGCGAAATATGCACAATTATCTACTCAGCTAGACACAGTCCTCACATGATTCTGGTAATAAAGAGTCTTCCATCAGCCACCCAGAGATGGGGCCCAGCTATGAGACCCCGCCTGAGGACAGAGAGAGGCTGTCTGGGAGGGAGGCGCTGAGATCTTTCCAGATAAGTGTCAGGATCTTGACAGCTTTTTAAAAAATCTTTCAGAGAAGTACAGCCTCTCCAGAATAACAAAGTAGATCGCTTGAGGGCCCATAGCGACAGAAGTAGGAGAGGGAGTGAGAGGGCTTCTGATTGTCAATGGAATAAAAGTGTTTCTATTCTCTGTTCAGCTCAGGAAAGCATCAACTCCAACAACATTCGTGAAGCCCCTGTCACCTACAAAGCAAAACAATCAGGGGCTGAGAGGGATACAGACCAGGCTTCTTCTACCCTGTACAGCACCTTTGTGTGAAATAGAAAAAGTCACCTCTTTCTCTGGGCCAACCCAGACCCTCGCCAGGGAGCAGTGGTCAGGTTACATCAGCTCCCACCAACTCGCCCTCAGCTGGGTGCTCTTGTGCAGTGTCCAACCTAAACAACCATATGCAGCATCCCCAAACACAGAGATGAATATGGCACGGTCTTCAACTCCCAGAAGCTCATAAACTGTTTGGCAAAAAAATGTGTATAACCGGCCAATGAACAAAAGCAGCTTGTGGGAAATGCTAAAACAGAAACGCAAATGGTGGGTCCTGTTGCTAGGAAAGATTCATTCTGACAGGGAAATCTGGGAAGGCTTCCTGAGGAGGTAGAATTTGAGCTGGACCCTGAAATGTTGGCAGACATGAGAGTGGAGAAAGAAGGCACAAGATTTCAAGGTGTCTTCTAGGAAGGGGATGTAGGTTGTTGGGGCTGGAGAAGACAGCCAGGAGAATGGAAAAGGGGCCTAAAGAAGATGTAGGAGTTAAGAATAAGGGTCAAATTGTGGAGCACTTCAAGTGTCTCATTGAGGTATGTGCCCTTGGAGGGAGCCAGAGAAGGTCAGAGTGGAGAACTCCCTCTCCAGCCTGGCATCCTGGGTCTTTCTCAGAAGCGGGGTTGTCGTGGAAGAGGAATTCACACTGTTGCCTTCCAAAGGTACCTCTAGCTGAGGTGTGCAACAGCCAAGGAAGCCCATGAGTCAGGTGTCTGCAGGACATCATGCAGAAGGCAGCTTAAAACATTAGTGCAGACTCATCAACAGGATAAGCAGAGTCTAGAGAGCCCATCCAGGTTTATTTATCAGAGGCAGGCTCAGACAGCCCTGGCCCTACTTACTTGGTGGAGGGGACACACCTGCTCTGCCTGAGGGTCCCAGGAGACATGCACCTTCTACCAAAGGCTGAGAGAAGCAAGCATGTGCTTCAAAATCCAAGAATGCAGCTCAGTCTCATGGCATCACCTGGCCCAAGTAATCCTGGTCACTAAGAGCAGGGTCTTTCTGCCTTGGCATTTCTCAATCCCAAATGACTCAGTACTCCTCATTCTCTGCTCCTACCTTAGACAGGCAAGAATTGCAGAGGAAAAGCTCATAGCCAACTACTTTATTCTCCTGAAAAGTCTCTCCCATGATTTCTCCTACATCTTTGCTACTCAAAGTGTGATCTGCAGACCAGTAGCATCGACATCACCTGGGAGCCTTATGGAAGTGCAGAATCTTGTGCTCTGTCCCAGACCAGTTGAGCCAGAATCTGCATTTTCACAAACCCCCAGGCAATTTGTATATGTTGTATATGTTGAACTCAGAGAAGCCTGTCTTATACCATATTCTTTCCTGCTCTTCTCATAACACCCTAGCTACTCCTTCTCAGTCTTCCTTGAGGACATCTTTACCTGCCCCTTTTAATGCTGGGAGGCTCTCTGCTCTCTTCCTTCTGCTTCTGCCCCTCTTCCTGGGTCATCTCAGCAACTACCATGGCTTCCAATATCATCTGCCTCTCATGGACTCCCCAGTTTATATAAACAACACAGACCACTTTTCTGGGTGCCTGACTCATAGATCCAAACACCTATGAGATGGTTCCAACACACTCTTCAAATTTCACATGCCCATGCCGAATTCATCATCTCTCCTCCAGCCTTGCAGCCTCATCTTCCGTGTTCTCTAGGTCACCCAGGCACCCATCCAGGGACTCATCCCAGCCTCCTGTCTCATCCTTAACCCCTGGGTTATTCTGCTATTAAGTCCTACTTCCTAAACAGTTTTCGATCCTGGCCCCCTCCCCCTCTATCCTCACTGCCACTGTAATATAGTCTGAATATTTGTCCCCACCTACATCTCATGTTGAAATGTGATTTCCAGTATTGGAGGTGGGACCTGATGGGAGGTGATTGTATCGTGGGGATGGTTTAGCACCATCCTCTTGGTACTGTCCTTGTGATAATTGAGTGAGTCCTCACAAGATCTGGTCACTTAAAAGTGTGTGGCACCTCCCCGCCACACCATGCTCTCTTTCTTGCTTCCATTCTCGCCGTGTGGTGGGCCTGCTCCCTCTTTGCCTTCTGCCATGCTTAGAAGCTTCCTGAGGCCCCCCTAGAAACATATGCTGCTGTGCCTCCTGTACAGCCTGCAGAACCATGAACCAATTAAACCCCTTTTCTTATAAATTACCTAGTCTCAGGTATTTCTCTAGGCAGCCTAGTACACACTGCCTCCACTCAGGTTGTTATCGTCCCTCTCCCAAGTTCTGCTACACGCTGACCAACTTGCCAGCACCACTATCCTCCAAGCAGCAACTCTGCCATCCGGGCTGAAGGAGGCTCTGCCATCTTGTAGCTACTGGCACTGGAACACACGGTCTCCTTGGTTGCTGCAAGGAAAGTGAATGCTGGAATATTTTGCACCAACGAAGGACACAAACCACTGGAAGAACTAACCACATGTCTCCATCTAACTGCAAGGGGTGAGGGGTGTAGGGAAGGGTGAACCTCCTATGTCACAGTCTGGAGGGAGGGAACAACTGAACATGGGTGAATACCAGAAACCTCTACCAATCATTCTCCTCTGCTGCTTTATCTCCTCTAGCCCTTATCATCTGATGTACCGTGCATTTGTTTGTTTACATACTTCTGTCCTACTTCCCCCAACCTATAGAGAATCTAAGCTTTCTGAGGGCAGATAATTCATTTTGTTTATTGCATTGCTGTATTTCTACAGCAATTGTAGTATTCTGCAACAGGGTCTGGCACTTAGTAATCACTCAAATATTTGATGAGTGCCTTATTAATAAAATGAAAAAATGAATGGTCTGGGCTGTATGTGTTTACTGGGACAAAGGTAGGGCCAATGTTGAAGGAGGAGCCTGGAGAGTAAGAAGGGGTCATATCACAAAAGGCATTATGAGCCAATATAAAGGTGATTTCATTTTATCCTATAGAGGACAGACGGCCGGGCACAGTGGCTCACACCTGTAATCCCAGCACTTTCGGAGGCCGATGCAGGTGAATCACTTGAGCCCGGGAGTTCAAGACCAGCCTGGGCAACATGGCAAAACCTTGTCTCTACAAAAAATTAGCCGAGTGTGATGGCCACCTGTAGTCCCAGCTACTTGGGGGACAGGTGGGTGGATAGCTTGAGCCTGGGAGATCAAGGCTGCAGTGAGCCGTGTTTGCACCACTGCACTGCAGCCTGGGGGACAGAGTGAGACCCTGTCTCAAAAAGAAAACTTTAAAACTGCAGAGAACCACTGGAGGGATCTTAAAAGGGAAGTGACATGTTCTAGAAGATCACTTAGGAGGCAGGTTGGAGGGAACCCGCTGAAAGCTGGGAGGCCAGCAGGAAGACAACCGCTGCTGGTTTAGAGCTGGATGGTGGAATTTGTGAAGCAGGAGCAACAAGACTTGCTGAGAGATTAAATATGGGGTTTGTGAGGGGTCAAGATGACTTTAAAGGGTTTGGCGTGGGTTACTAGAAGGCTAGGAAGATGGAGTTCCATTTACTCCTCCCCAGGTAAGAAGGACTGAGGGATGGAGAAGACCTGGGGGAAGTCCTGTAATGAGGAATTGTTTGGGACACGTGAGCTTTGACATGGCTAATCACATGCCCAGACCTTGCTAAATTGCATGCAGCTCCCTATATAGATGTTTTTCCTCATCACTGGAATTTTGCACTGTCCCCTGACCCTGGAATAGCATTCTCTCTCTCTCTCTGTTAACTACTCCTAGCTCTGACCTCAGAAAACAAATCAGAAAGAAAAGAAGCACAAGAAGATGGGGCATACCTTCCAGTTCCCACCTCCCCTGACGGCACCGAACTGTACCTGCCCTCACCCCCAGGTGGATGTAGAGGCCTCCAGGGCTGGAGGAGAGGAGTCAGCTGGGTTCCTTGCAGGCCAGGAGCAATGGATAGATGGCTGCTTGGATGGTGGACAGCCTCCAGGCAGGGCCAAGGTAGGTACCCTGTTCAAAGGCAGTCATTGCAGCCAACTCTTGTTAGCATATTACTTGTGAAATGCTTCTCTGCCTCACATGGCTTCTGCCTCTCTGCCTTCCCTGGGTTCTTGTCCCCAGCCGTGGCCTAATATGAGTGCTCCTGCCAATCTTGTTTTTATCCTGGCCCAGTTCCTCACGCCTGATATCCCTTCTGTACACCAGCCTTTTCCAGCGTAGGATAGGATTGAAAGTGATACCTCCTGTGCCATCACTCAACATGAGACAGAAGCCCAGCAGTCCTGCTGCCATGTCCTTCTGCATGAGGGAAGAATGCCAGCTAATTTAATCCAGTCCCTGGGAAATCTTCTCTGGCCCCATCGGAAATAACGTGCTGGGAAACAGTCCAAGGCCACTGTCCAGCTACAGCCTGACTCCAGCAGTGTGGGTAGGGATGTAGGTAGGTGCATAGTTAGCTGCTCTCCTGCTCCCAACTGCTGCACTGGGAGGTGATTGAGTGTCACCTCATGCATTAACCATGCATGGGAGAGAGCTGTGGGAGCTTCATTACCAACCCGCCCTCCTGTAGCCCTCATCCCTCCATCACAGGCCATCTGGATTGACACCTTGATTGATTATCAAGGGCTCCATTGCGTCTGCTGCAGCGTCACCTGACAGAACGGGGAGGGGCTGTGTTGTACCTTACCTGTCAGTCTCTGCTAGGTGTCCCCTCTTGTGGTGCATGGGCACACCACGCTGGCATATTCAGTGGAGCCCTCATTTTATGGCCAGATGTCTCCTGCTAGAATAGCATCTGCCAACCCACAAACCCACTCCAAATCCTATAGAAGGGGTTTTGGCAAAAAGAGTTCAAATTCAGCAGTTTTGATAAACCCCCAGAGAAAGGCATCCCTGGGCTGTTTCTAAGGATGGTAAATACCCACATCAATTGGTAAATTATAAAACTCAGCCACAAAATAAAGGGCTGATGGTTTGCAGAGAAATTGGCACAGTTGGGAAAGAAACAATACTGCCAATGATACAGCATCCTCTTTCCAAGCATTGGTGGTAAAGAAGAAATGACAAGCTGCTGCATCCAAAGCCTTTGAAGGGAGAAGAAAAGAATTTTCCATCTTGATTTTTGGCATAGAGGGCGGTAGCCTTAAGTTTAGCAGGACAGGAGGAAGAGGAGGGAGGCTAATATTTGTAGAGTTCGTGTTTTGTGTACAGAACCTCATCAAATCTTTGCCACAGCCTCACGAAGCAGGTATTTCTGCACTCATTTGTCAGGTGAGGTAGTAAGCTCAGAGAGGTGACGTAATTTGCCCACAGCCTCACAGCTTGCATATGGCAAACCCAAGCTGTCTAATTCTGAAATCTGACCTCTCTCTACTGTTATTACATGTCCACCCTGCCCCAGGCACATTTCAGGAAAGTCGGAAACCCAAGCCTTGTTTGAAAGGATCTTAACATATTTAAACAAAATCAGAACAAGAAACTTGAGAGCAAGTGTCATTGAATAAAATTAGTTTGAATGATCCGTACTGATCTACACTTATTTAAGGGCCCCATGGGGCGTTTTATACATTCAAGTATACTTGTATATACTTGAACAGAGTTTCTTGAACAAAGATCTGCTATGCAGATGAGGAAAACCAAATTCCAAAGAGATGCTCACAAGTGGTAAGGGAAAGAACTAGACTTGTTTTTACTACGTAGATGCGTTTGTGTTCTGGTAGCATGCAAAGTCCCTCTTCGACATGTGAATATTAGTTATCAAAATGCGCGTTCTTATAAAAGAAACAGTCAGATGGCTCTGCCCTAGTGGTCGTTGTTCCTAGTTCACATTCATCAGTCACAGAAGCTGGCATACTGTACAATCCTGAGGAACTAGTTATATACAATTATGCTTGTTTCAGAATAGTGGGGGGGTGGGGGGAAATTGGAAGAACAATGTCACATTTGGGGAATTAAATGCCCATATAATCCATTACTTTTATTAAAAATATTTCTGAGCATTTATCATTCTTAGTTTTAAATAATATGGATTCTACACCACCTGCTAGAATCTGGGCTGGATGCTTTTTATACACATTGATTTAATCTTTACAACAATAGCACAGAATAAATCATGTAATTCCTAGTGCTACAGGAAACTGAGGCCCAGCAAGTATAAGTAACTTGCCTCAAATTGCACAACTGGAAAGTTCCAGGGCCATCACTTGAACCATATCCGTTGATGTTGGACTAACGGAATACATATTAGCACCTCATGAAGCCGGTTGACTTGCCTTGGGTGAATTGTAACGTCAATGAACTGCCTCATGTCTATCACAGGACAATTACACCTAGTCAATGAAATGTGTTGGAGCTTTATGAGGATTAAACGTGAGCCCATGTGGAATCATATGTGAATACTGAAGTTACACACAGCCCAGGACTCCTGAGCATGTGCCTGAAGAGACATGCAAGGACGCTCATTGGAGCATTGTTTTGTAACCGCGAAAAATTTGAAGCAACCAAAATGTCCATCAGCAGGAGAATGAAGAAAGAAATCATGATGGCTGGGCACGGTGGCTCATGCCTATAATCACAGCACTTTGGGAGGCTGAGGTGGGCAGATCACTTGGAGTCAGGAGTTCGAGACCAGCCTGGCCAACATGGTAAATCCCCATGTCGAGTTCGATCGGTAGCGAGAGTGGAGAGCAGACCAGAGAGCCCTAAGCAGCCCCACCGCCTCCGCCGGCCTATTTACCATCACAACCCAGGAGGAGCCGCAGCTGCCGCAGCCCGGCCCCAGTCACCATCACTGCAACCATGAGCAGCGAGGCGGAGACCCAGCAGCCGCCGCCCGCCCCCGCCCTCAGCTCCACCTACACCAAGCCCGGCACTACGGGCAGCGGCGCAGGGAACGGTGTCCTGGGCGGCCTCACACCGACGGCGCCTGCCGGCGGGGACAAGAAAGTCATCGCAACGAAGGTTTTGGGAACAGTAAAATGGTTCAATGTAAGGAACAGATATGGTTTCATCAACAGGAATGACACCAAGGAAGATGTATTTGTACCCCAGACTGCCATAGAGAATAACCCCAGGAAGTACCTTCCCAGGGTAGATAGGGAGACTATGGAGTTTGATGTTGTTGAAGGAGAAAAGGGTGCGGAGGCAGCACATGTTACAGGTCCTGGTGGTGTTCTAGTTCAAGGCAGTAAATATGCAGCAGACTATAACCATTATATAGACGCTATCCAGTCGTGGGGGTCCTCCACGCAATTACCAGCAAAATTACCAGAACAGTGAGAGTGGGGAAAAGAACGAGGGATCGGGGAGTGCTCCCGAAGGCCAGGCCCAACAACGCCGGCCCTACGGCGGCAAAGGTTCCCACCTGACTCCATGCGGAGACCCTATGGGTGTCGACCACAGCATTCCAACCTGTGCAGGGAGAAGTGATGGAGGGTGCTGGCAACCAGGGTGCAGGAGAACAACGTAGACCAATGAGGCAGAATATGTGTTGGGGATATAGACCACGGTTCCGCAGGGGCCCTCCTCGCCCAAAACAGCCTAGAGAGGACGGCAATGAAGAAGATAAAGAAAATCAAGGAGGTGACACCCAAGGTCAGCAGCCACCTCAACGTCGGTACCTCCGCAACTTCAATTACCGACGCAGACGCCCAGAAAACCCTAAACCACAAGATGGCAAAGAGACAAAAGCAGCAGATCCACCAGTTGAGAATTCGTCCACTCCGGAGGCTGAGCAGGGCAGGCTGAGTAAATGCCGGCTTCATCTCTACCAACATACAGTTTAGTCATCCAACAAGAAGAAATATGAAATTCCAGCAATAAGAAATGAACAAAAGATTGGAGTGGAAGACCTAAAGTGCTTGCTTTTTGCCCGTTGACCAGAGAAGCAGAACTATCTGCCTTATCTATGCAGCATGAGGTTATTATTTTTACTAAAAACGAAAGACGTCTCTTTTTGGTAATAACAAACGTGTTTTTTTTTTTTTAAAGCCTGGTTTTTCTCAATACGCCTTTCAAGGTTTTTAAATTGTTTCATATCTGGTCAAGTTGAGATTTTTAAGAACTTCATTTTTAATTTGTAATAAAAGTTTACAACTTGATTTTTTCAAAAAAGTCAACAAACTGCAAGCACCTGTTAATAAAGGTCTTAAATAATTTTTTGTTTGTTTGTTTTTGAGACGGAGTCTCGCTCTGTCGCCCAGGCTGGAGTGCAGTGGCGGGATCTCGGCTCACTGCAAGCTCCGCCTCCCGGGTTCACGCCATTCTCCTGCCTCAGCCTCCCAAGTAGCTGGGACTACAGGCGCCCGCCACTACGCCCGGCTAATTTTTTGTATTTTTAGTAGAGACGGGGTTTCACCGTTTTAGCCGGGATGGTCTCGATCTCCTGACCTCGTGATCCGCCCGCCTCGGCCTCCCAAAGTGCTGGGATTACAGGCGTGAGCCACCGCACCCGGCCGGTCTTAAATAATTTTTAAAAACCCATCTATTAAAAAATCATGATTCATTCATGCAATGGAATATTATGCAGCAGATGAACTAGATCTTACAAGCATCAACATGGATAAATCTTGAATACAAAGTGCTGAGAGAAAAAATTGTGGAATGTGTGAAGTATTTGTATTAGTCTGTTCTCACGCTGCTGTGAAGAAATACCCAAGAATGGGTAATTTATAAGGAAAAGAGGTTTAATTGACTCACAGTTCCGCATTGCTGGGGAGGACTCAGGAACCTTAGAATCATGGTGGAAGGCACCTCCTCCCAGGGCAGCAGGCGAGAGAATGAGTGCCAATCAAAGGGGGGGGGAAGCCCCTTATAAAACCATCAGATCTCGTGAGAACTCACTCACTATCACGAGAACAGCATGGGTGAAACGACCCCCATGATCCAATTACCTCCACCTGGTCCCGCCCTTTACATGTGGGGATCATTACAATTCAAGGTGAGATTTGGGTGGGAACACAGAGCCAAATCATATCACTATTGATGTAAATTTTAAGCACACAAAAATACTATGAATTGTTTATTGAATACACACATACCAGTAAAAGTCCTAAACTCAGATGAAAAATCTACACACCAAGTTAGAATAATCCATACCTCTGAGGAGGAGGAAGGGGGATGGAATCAGGGAAGAATACAAAGGACACTACAACTGTCTCAATAATTTTTTAAATCTAAAACAAATGTGGTAAATGTTAATATTTGTTCAGTCTAGGTGGTGGGTAGCTGGGTGTTGTGTTTTTTTGTATATGTTTAAAATAGTTCATAATTGGAGAAAAGCATCAAGTGGTAAGCAACTGTGAAACATCATTATTATAGCTATTCTTTATTGTTACTGTCACTGCCATCCAGGGACCCAGGTGACAGTGCTAACCTGGAGATGGGGACACTCATGTGGGCAAAGCTGCCTGATTTACACTCAAAAAGGATTAAATGAGGGAATATCTGCAAAGGCCTTGAGCTGTGTTTGCTTCCTTCCTCTATCCCTGCCTTAATAAATAAATTAATCCCAATAGAGACCACAGGAATTATCTGTGAAAGAAACCATCCCAATACCCAACTAAATGAAATATTTCAATTATCTTTAATGAGATGATGTGTGCACCTGTCCCATATGTGATGTTCAATAGCGACAACTAGCCGGGTGTGGTGGCTCACGCCTGTAATCCCAGCACTTTGGGAGGCCGAAGTGGGTGTATCACTTGAGGTCAGGAGTTGAGACCAGCCTGGCCAACATGGCAAAACCCCATCTCTACCAAAAATATAAAAATTAGCTGGGCATGGTGACACGTGCCTGTAATCCCAGCTACTCAGGAGGCTGAGGCAGGAGAATTGCTTGAACCTGGGAGGCATAGGTTGCAGTGAGCCGAGATGGCGCCACTCTACTCCAGCCTGGGCGACAGAGTAAGACTGTCTGAAAAAAAAAAAAAAAAAAAAAATTACAACTATTGTTCTTCCAGGGAATTAGGCTGGGCCTAAAAGAGGCATGCCATTGGCTGGGTAAAACGCAGGTCAACTGGAACCTTATCTCATGCACTTAGCTGGCTCTCAACTTCAAGACTGTGAGGCCTCCTTGCCATACTTGGGATGTAAGAAGGGCAAGCAGAAGATGGTTTGGGGGACTTCATGCCCCCGATTGTTTTAAATCCTCACCTTCCATTTGATGTTTTAAAAAATTGCTTTTGCACCAACCTAATATTTTAGTTAATATGATCAATGACCATGAAGCTGCTCTGCCGGCAAGCCTGAGGCCACATTGGGGATTTCAGCACAGTGATGGAAGGTAGACAGCTCAGTTATCTGTGGTGATTAGAGACCAGGAGGGGAGGGACACGGAGCTCTCCAGAGGCAGAATGTTCAGATAACAGCAGGCAGGATCTGAAGGAAGAGTGAAAGGAGGGCTTGCCAGAGGAGTGGACACATGCAGGCAGAACATGGAGGCATTCTGAATATTCCCCCTCCTGCATGCCATATACTGGCCAGATGTACTGCCAGGTGAATAAGGCACAGGAGTGATATAGATGAGCGTGGTCCAATAGAACTCTCTGTGATGATGGAACTGTTCTTTATATGGTCCAATACGGTGGCCACTACCACATACAGCTATTGAGCCTTGAAATGTGGCTTGTGTGACTGGGAAACTGAATTTTTGCCTAATTTTAATTAACTGACATTTAAAACGTAAACAGCCACATATAACTACTGGCTCCTGGATTAGATGGCACAGGAGAGGAAACTGACCTAAGAGTTTGATGGAAGGAAAAAGGTTGGGAAAGTTCTGGAACATAAGCCACTGTCTATAGGGGGTCAGCCTTGATCAGGCACCACCGTGAGGGTTTTCTAAGCAGCTCTGGGCATCTGAGGCCAGGAGGGGAAATTCCAAAGGAAGGAAGGTGACTAAGAAGCGTGACAGCCTTGCCAGCCCAAGTTTGTCCAGAAACAACCCTCTTCATTTAGCATCTGGAATTTGACCAGGCAGATGTAGTTCCAGGGTATGAAACTGACCTCCAAACTCTGTGCAAGCTCTGGGAGGCACATTGCTGTGCAGGAAGCAATGCGACGTGACAGTGAGCACTCTTCAATGTCAGGCCCATTCTGTCTATATCATGCGGTCCCACAAGCTGGGAGAATTGCTGCTCACTCCGTTGTTTCCCTTGGTCCCTGCATGTACCTCTCAGAGAGCACCCACTCTGTGATTTCAACCCCTTCCTCCCTCCCTCCCTCCTTCCTTCCTTCCTTCCTTTTTTTCTTTCTTTTTTTTAAAAAAAGTTTTGATGCAATGAAATAGAATTGATGCACAGGTCCTAAGTTTGGGCTGTGGGTTCTACATCCCAGCAACTGCCTCTGTCAATTGATGTGTCTGTCATCTTTGCCTAAGATTTGTGACTGTAGCTATAGGAGCCGTTTTTGTTGTTGTTGTTTTCTTCTTAGACCTATACAGGGTGTAATCTGTAGGGCATCATTGAAATCAACTTGTCCAAATCCTATATGTTACATACGGAAGGACAGAAAACCCAGAGAACTAAGAAGCTCACCGCAGCTCACCTGCCCCTGAATTAGTGGAAGGTAAGGAATTAGAACCTGCAGATGACACACCCAACCCTCCCTATCCAGGAACCACCCCTTCTTGCCTAGAATGAATCCTCCATTTTTGTCAGCCCCTCACGTGTTTCCACTGCAAAGGTGTTCTTCACCCTGCCTTCAGGGACGCAGCATAAATCCTTAGATTTCCTCACATTGTCTTCCCTCTTCATTCACCCCCCTGGGCTCCAGTGGAAATTAGGCCAAAGAAGAACCACCTTCCACTCCTGCCCTACCTCACTCTCTCCTACAACACTGATATCTAGGATAGTCCTCTCAATCTTTAATGTGCATAAGAATCTCCCTGGGATCTTGTTAAAATGCAGACGCAGACAGTAGGTCTGGCTTGAGGCCTGACATTCTGCACTTCTAACAAGACCCCAGGTGATGCTGAGGCTGCTTTGAGGAGCAAGTCTCACGCTTTGGTCCTAAGGGCTAGAGCTGAAAGGAGCTGCCAGAGGTCAGGTGCTCCAGAAGTAGAGCTAAGCCGGCGATTCCTATAGACGGGGCCCCAGAGAAACCAGTAAGATAGTCGAGGAAGTAGAATGAGGTAGAAAGGAAGCTAAGCAAAGAGCTGGCTTCAGCTAAAATCTAACCTCAGCCTGATCCACAGGTTGCTCTGGGACATAAGTGACACCACAAAGCTGTTCCAGTGTCAGCTGAGGCAAAGGAGCTAGGTTTTTGCTTCCAGCATCAGGCAGTCATTAGCTGTGAGCTGCCCCTGGGAGAAGGACATTGCCATCCCTGGATAACCTCCAGGCATTTTCAGGGTTGGCAGCTCCCACTTGGTAAAGGGCAAGCCTCCAGAGAAGTAAACAAGCATGAGCCAACAGTATGCAACACTCACAGCAGCTGGGGGCAGGTGCCCCCGCGGTAAAGAGGATCCAAGCAGGCCCCCAGCAGAATCTAGCATGAGGGCCTAAAACTCTTGCAGGCCATCTGCCCAGCCCCACTTTTGCATAGCAGAGATTTTAACTTTGAAAGCTATGCATATGTACATGAAAAAACAGAATTAGAAACACCAACACAAAACTTTACAACGGTGATCTCAGCTTGACTTTCTTGTCTTTTTCCACAACTTTCAAATTTGCTACAATTAACATACATTCTTTTTGTTGTTGTTGAGATGGGGTCTCAGTCTGTGGCCCAGGCTGAGTGCAGCAGCGCAATCGCAGCTCACTGCAGCCTTGACCTTCCTGGCTCAAGTGATCCTCCCACCTCAGCCTCCTGAGTAGGCGTGTGCTACCATGCCTGGCTAATTTTTGCATTTTTTTGTAGAGACAGGGTTTTCCCATGCTGCCCAGGCTGGTCTTGAACTCCTGGGCTCAAGTGATCCACCTACCTTGGACTCCCAAAGTGCTAGGATTACAGGCATGAGCCACCGTGCCTGGCCAACATGTATTAATATAAACCAATCAAAGTAAATTCACTGATAGCCCAGCTCAGAATCTTAGAAATATTTTTATTTTATTTAGTAACTTTTTATTGAATGCCTGTTATTACCATTTACAGTCCTATGTGATTCCAATCAACCTTCACAGTGCAATACTAATGACAGGGCACACATCTGAAATGCAATTGGTAGCAAAGAGAAATTATAGACTGTTTAGTATGGTTTTAAGTTTGAATCTATTTTTTTTCCAAGTCTTTGAAAATTGCTTATCTACATAGCCCTTTAACTGGAACAGCCCATTCATCAACCCCTGGTTTAGTGATGTGAAATGCCAAGACACAGGTCTTGGCAAAAGGGCTAACAGAACTCAGGCCCCTGACTCCTGTTGGTTCTCAAAGACCACACAGCCTGTTGGTGCCCCATGAGCAATTTCTATGGACTTCCTTCTTTGTTTGCCCTGCCTAATTAAGCAATCAAGTTAATTGAGATTAATGGCTTGCTTAATAGGGATTAATAACTTGCCAAAAATGCCCCAGGTTTGGGAACTTACAGCAGTAGTACTGCTCGTTGTAAAAGCTGGAGATGTGGTGGCCAAGCAGAGCCCAGACCCTCCGGCCTCTCTGCTCACTTCTCAGAGGGTGCCTCAGGCCTTCAGGAAGAGATGGGATACTGTGGGGAGAGGGGGATGGGGGAGGTAAAGCTGCCACATTAGATTGACCTTCAGAGGCCCTACAGCTCCTGCTCAGGCCACAGAGGCCTCCATTGCTGAGCCAGGCACCAAACCCAGTGCACGGGCATAGTCCCAGCTTGGTAGGCCTGGGCTCCTGGGCTCCTGGCGAGCCCTAAGGTGCCTTCCAGTTCCAACAGTCCCTGGGTCTCTGGGTTCTCAATCTTGGTTTCCTCTTAGAATCTCCTGGAGGGAGCTTTTTTAAAAATGCTGATGCCCCAGCCCTACCCAGAGTTTCTGATTTAATTGGTCTGGAAAGAGGGGAGATCCTTTTTATAAAAGTTCCCCAGGTGAGTCTTATGTGCGGACACTGACAATGAGATTGAGGAGTTTTTTTAAAGCCCAGTCCTTTTGGTGATAAGAGTGAAAGAAAGTGGAAGGAAGGGGCCAGGCGTCGTGGCTCATGCCTGTAATCCCAGCACCTTGGGAGGCCGAGGTGGGAGGATCACCTGAAGTCAGGAGTTTGAGACCAGCCTGGCCAACATGGAGAAACCCTGTTTCTACTAAAAATACAAAAAATTAGCCAGGCATCGTGGTGCATACCTGTAACCCCAGCTACTCGGGAGGCTGAGGCAGAGAATTGCTTGAACCTGGGAGATGGAGTTTGCAGTGAGCCAAGATCATGCCACTGCACTCCAGCCTGGACAACAGAGCAAGACTCTGTCTCAAAAAAAAAAAAAAAAGAAAGTGGAAGGAAAGAAAGAACGGAAGGAGGGAAGAATGGAACCAGAGCCACTGATACCAAGGGGTTTCTCAGATTGAGGGGAAGAGGGAGGGGAAGAGGGAGGGGAAACAGGACAAGGGCAGAAGGAAGGAAGACAGTCCACACCAAATGGCAGCTGCCTCTCTCCTGCTGTCTGTAGGCTACGGAAGGTCGTGGTTGTTTCTTCTCATTCCCAGTGGAGAAAGAATCAATGGCTTGAATTTTCTGCCCAAGGAGTCGTTTTTTATCTTGGCTGATGCCCTTGAGTCTCTCAGTAGAGCCTCACAGAGGTGGGGACATTTGTCTCCTGCAGACTGCAGCCGGTCTGCACACCTTGATGCACACCTGGAAGGCTACCCCTTTGGCTTGGGGCCTCCCCTCCCCAGGTGGAGGGTTCTCTCCCTTCCCTTCCCTTCCCTCAGCTGCTCAGCCTGCAGGTCTGAAGTGGGCACAAGGGCCAGAGCCCAGCGGGTGCTGGACGGGCCAGCCTCGTGATGCCTCCGGTTTTACAAGACACTGGCCTTCTCCTCCTCTTCCCTCCCCACAGACGTCAAAGGCTTCACAAAACAAACACGTAGCTCTGGGGTCAGAGACCTCTGGCAAGAAGTTCTGGGCCCTCCTAGGTTGGGGACTGTGCTTGCAGGATTGAGCAGAACGGGGAAGGCCAGCTAGATCGCCACTGGAAAGAGCAAAGAGCTATCCACAAAGGGAAAGGGGAGAAGGGAGAGACGTTCCCAGAGAGTGTGGGGGGATTTTGAGAGGGGGCAATGGCAGATCTTGGAGCAGCTGCCCTACTCGGATGTTGGGGAGTGGGAGCAGCTACATGGTGGCACAGAATTCTAAACATTTTGCTATGCTTGATGGATATATATAATCCCCTTAGATGTTTTTCAAAAGACAACAAACTATTCAAATTGCTTTTCAATTATGTTTGGATGTAGCTCTGCTGTTACTTCTGAATGCAACACCTTGTGAATGAAAGCTACAGTGCAAACCCAGAGGCCTCGATTTATCTGAGACAAGATTATCTACCGCCAAGGCGCACGGGAGGATTGAATTGATGATGTACCTGCAAACGCCCAGTGGCACGATGCCTGGCACAAGACGGGCAGGTGTTCACTAAGTCCAGGATCTCACCACCTCCTCCCACCTCCATCCTTCCATCCACTGACCCCAGAGAGCCATGCTTTAGCCTAACTGAACAGCACAGGGCATGTCTGTTTAAGGGGTAACTCTCACAGTGGGCATTTCAGGCCCTGGAAGCTGCTGGAGGTTTTGTGGGCAGCTGCCTCCTCCTAGAAAATGGCTTTGCTGTCAGTTCTGACCTGGTGTGGGGAGTACACTCACACCTATCAGACATCTTAGCAGAGGCTAAGGAGCAATTTACTCTGGGCGCCAACATTCCCTGGCAAGGTCAGATTCCTGATGCCCTTTTGGGGGTGTGGTCCTGCCGGTGACCTCTGTAGCTGTCCATCCTTCACCCCACACCCCGGTCCCTCACTGCTCTGGCTTTCCTACCAGGACTAGCTCTGGCCGAGCCCACAGGACTGGTGTTGCAGGGAGGAAGTGGTGAGCTACCAGGAGACACTCCAGAAACGGTGTCTGTAATTGGCCTGGAGAGAGTGGCTGTCCAGATGCAGGCAATTTTGACTTTGATGTGAGCAGAATTACAAAGAATCATAAAAAGAGCCTATGATTTGGGCTGAAACCGTGCCACGGCAGTTGAGTCCCAGCCCTGCACACAGCTGCCTTCCCCTTCTGCCTGGAAGTCAGCCCTCCTGGCAGCCGCCCTCTGCCCTCTGCCTGGCCAGCCCCTGCTCCTGTTCACAGTTGCACTCAATGCCCCTTCTCCAGGAGTTGGGGCCCCGACTTGT
Organism: Homo sapiens; assembly: GCF_000001405.40. NCBI lineage: Eukaryota > Metazoa > Chordata > Mammalia > Primates > Hominidae > Homo > Homo sapiens. Next base: position 62,962,652 of record NC_000015.10, read on the forward strand.
CCTTGCTTACAGCACCCATCCCCTCCCTCAACGCACCTACCCCCCTTTCAGTTAAATTGCTTCGGGTGACTCCTCCCCTCCCTTGGTCCCCATCAGACTGAAGAGCACAAAGGCAGGGGCTGCAGCTGTCGTGTGGTGTTCACCCCAGTGTTCCAGAGCTGGCCGGGGCCGGCACGTGGTGAGCCCTCGGAGCACCTGTGTTACATGGATGAATGAAGGAAGGAAAAACGGCTGGTTTTTTAGTGGGGCTTCTTGTATAACACCAGGAATCTAGGTGTGGGAAACCTCCTTACCAGAGGAGGATCCAATTTTCGTGAACCCCGAACCTGATTAATTTGGGGGCCCCTTTGAAGAAAAAACTTTAAAAAATAATAATTATACCATAAATTTTACAAAAACCCATGACATCGAAGGACGTATCTAGGCCACTTCCAGGACTTAAAGTAAGACACTGTACAGTGTATGTGTCATTACTCCATCCTCAGGCTCCAGGTGAGGGCAGCCCAGCATGACTCTCAGGACGCTTCTGCCAATGGCACTGCTTTAGAGCGAAAGGCACCAGCAAAGAGAACTCCTAACCCACAAGCTCTCTCCCCTCTACCTTCCCTTTCCTGAGCCACGGCCCAGTCAGTTAATCTGGGCTCTGAAGGGTGACAGGTTTGGGGATAAAAGACAAAAACCCATGGAGTCATGGGGCCCTAAGAGTCCCGCCAAACCTCATCTACCTATGGTCACTGCTGCCTGACATCCATTATGAGGAACAGTGATTTCTGCACAGGCCTTAGGCCTAGCTCAGGGCTCAGCTCAGTGCTTAGAGCTCTCCTCTGCAGATCTCTGGAGCAATCTTTCTCTTTCTCTGGGCAGCTCTTTCCCCTCTAGTGCTCTGCCCTGTGAATTCTAGCCACCTTGACCTCCCTGAATTCTCAATGCCATTTTCTCAATTCAGGGAGCCCCCAGCTCTGTTTGGATTCCCCCACTGCACTGTGGCCTGCACACTCCCTCCAGACAGCAAGCTGGGATGCCTCGTTTGTGTCCCTTCTCATGGTTCGCTGTCCTGAGCCTGTTATTTTTAATATTTTACCTGTTTTTTTTTTCTTAGTTCTTTAAGGTGGGAGAGGGTAATTCGGTTACTGTTGTTCCATTTTGGCCGATAGTAGACATCTAGTTCACCCATATTCAGGAAATTGTCTGCCAAATACAGGTCTAGAGAACAGAGTTTGAATGTCAGTCATTCTTTTGATTAAAAGTGGTGTTTCAAAGAGAAGCGGCTAGTTCAGTTTTCACACCTTGAACAATCACACACGTGCTTTTGCTCCAGAGCACCACTGCAGCTCGCCACGATGCTTTCTGCATTGGTCCCTTCCGTCACATGGTGGTAGCAAGACTCCTGCTCCAGGACTGAGATTCCACACAATTATTTTAGCATTTCATCAAAGACATTCTTAACCCATTGCCTTTTTTTTTTTTTTTTATCTTGTGAGTGCATAGCAGCGGAGAAGAACAAGACCGCTAGTACCTTTGAGGGCTGTCTTTGATTCATGCTAAGGCACCAGCCGTTTTATACTCCCCTTTTTTGCTTTTGCACCATTGGAGTGCAAGTGTCCATGCAGCACGGTATTGTTATGAAAATAGTTTTGACCTCTCAACCCTCTGAGTCTCAGGGCTGCCCAAGGGTTTGTGGAACAGAAGGTGAGTGCCACTCAGTTGAGCTACCTTGAGTAACCCCCAGACTGCTGGCGATCTTCCTGCCTTGGCCTCCCAAAGCAATAGGATTATAGGCGTGAGCTGCCATGCCCAGCCCCTCTGTGTCATCCTTAATGCGCAACAGCTGGGTCCTGTGTACCGAGGCAGGGCCTGTCTTTGGGAAAACAACTCAAAATTACCCCATTCTTTTATGTGTGTGTGGTTTTTTTTCTTTGTTTATTGGGTTTTTTAAAAATTACTAAGTAATTCATTCTGGGAAGTAATAAATGCATTTATTTTCTTCTCTGCATTTTAATTTCCTTTCTGGATTCAAAAAAATAAAAAAAATTTAAAGTATGTGCTGAGAGCTGGTAACTATTTTCCCACTCTTACTGGAGAAAGAATAATCCCATGCAAACTTGTACACATATCAGGTCCTTTTTGGAATGGAGCCGTGTGTACATGGAATGAATGAATAAATCCAGACTCTCATTTAATTAATGCCCCAGAAGCTACTAAGAGTACTTGCAAAGAGTTCTTTATCATAGTTGAGCTGAGAGGGGTAGTGGGGACAGGTGTGGCTACTGTATCCCCATTTCAAAGATGATCAAATGAAGATCATTTTTGCAATCAATGCTACTTGCTACAGTCCTCTCTGCTTCTAGTGCCGCTTTATGTCAGTAGCAATACCTGGAGTACAGGGAAACCATTAGAAAGCCAGATTGTGTCTTTCGACCTTCTACCCAATTCTGTCTACTTCTCTACATTTTTCTTTTCTTTTCTTTTTTTTGAGACAGAAACTCACTCTGTCACCAGACTGGAGTGCAGTGGCACAATCTCAGCTCACTGCAACCTCTGCCTCCCGGGTTCAAGTGATTCTCCTGCCTCAGCCTCCTGAGTAGCTGGGACTATAGGCACATGTCACCACACCCAGCTAATTTGTTTTGTATTTTTAGTAGAGACGAGGTTTCACCATGTTGGCCAGGATGGTCTCGATCTCTTGACCTCGTGATCCGCCCACTTCAGCCTCCCAAAGTGCTGGGATTACAGGCGTGAGCCACCGCGCCCGGCCTACATTTTTCTGTTAGTGACATGGATGTTCCCTGGAGCCACTGGAAGGAAAAGCACTATCCCAGCCTCCTTGTACTCCCACATAGCAGTGCTGAGGTTGGCGTGATGCAGGCTAAGAAAGTGGGTGCTTCCATCACATAGACCTAGATTTAAATTCAGCCTCCACCACTTCCTCGCTGAGTGCCCTTGAGAAAGTTACTTAACCTCTTTGTGCCTTAATTGCTCTCCTAGAAAAGGTACAATAATAGTACCTTGCTCACTGGGATGTTATGAGAATTATATACGATAATGTAGGTAAAGTGCATAGCTTGGTGCCTGCACACTAAACTCGGGGCTAAGTTATTATTATTGTTAATAATAATGGTATCAGGCTTCTGGTAATTCTCTAGAACAGTGGTCAGGAAATTGCTGCTGTATACCAAATCCAGCCCTTGGTCTGCTTTTATATGGCCACTGAGCTAAGAGTTGTTGTTATATATTTTTAAAATTTATTTATTTATTTTGGTTGTTACATTTTTAAAGGGTTGTAAAAAGAAGGAGAAGGAGGAGGACAGGGAAAGACCATATGTACTATCTAGACCTTTATAGAAAAAGTTTGCCAGCCTTTGCTCTAGAAGCCCAAAATGAGGAGTGTCACAGGTTACTGACACTCCACCAATATCCTCTCAAATTCACCTAAGTGTGATGTTTCCATGAAAGAACAAACAATTAAATCAACGTGGGTACCTCCGCTGGGCAACTTTCACTAAATGCGCAGGTCTAGGTGGTCTTTCCCTCTGTGAGCTTCTCCAGCTTGTGCTATCCTGGGCACTTTCTCCTTTCCCCCAAAACAGACATTGCCCCCTGTGGACAGGGACCATCTCTTAGACCTCTGTGCCCTTGCCGCATAGGTGCTCAAAGACTCTGTATAGAATAGTCAGATTGATGATTTAGCAACCACTCAAAGTCTGCCTACTTTTCTGATCCTCCTGAATATTTAAAATCTCTGTGTGTGGCAGGCAAACAGCAATTAGATCCAAGTGTTGATTTGTGGGGCCTTGAAGGTGGTGCGTCAGTACCACATGCTTTGCTGGTCTCTAAGGAATGCTTGTGCCCAACCCCTACAGAACAGCTGATGCCCTGAACTGACTTTACCCTGGGATATCCCCATGGCCCAGCCTGCCTCTGAGCACCTTCCCTGTTCATCAGAAACAGACCTGGATGGCAGCCCTTCCAAAAAGTGGGGGAAAGCTGGGGTGTCCTGGAGGGGAAACAACCAAGGGAAATCTGGACCATGGAAGGCAGCAAGTGCTTAGACACCTGCTGTCCCTGATTGTCACTGTGAATGGATGACCATGGGTTGAGGGCTTTCAACTCAATCCAGAATCAGTGAGTGGCCACTGGTTCTGCAAACACAGGCAAAATCATGATAAATGATTTATTAATATGACATTATAATACATGACAAAGTGATAAGACCTGTTTCTAGGCTTGGTGGCCATCATGTGTGTGTCCAGCACTGAGCTGCAAGCGCATCACGTGCATTACTTCATTCAGTCCTCACAACTGCTCTTAGAAGCATTTATTGCTGATTTACAGGCTAGAAAACTGAGGCTCAGAGAATTCCTCCGGCTTATGGCTACATAGCTGATTCAAGGCAGAGGCAGAATTTGCAACCAAGTCTGTATGACCTCAAAGCTGGTTCTGAGATCACCTGTGTAGGAGACACCTTGCTAAGTGCTGAGGAGGCCTGAGAAGAGATGGAGGCCCCACCCAGAATAGCTTACACTGGGTCACAAAGACAAGGTGCACAGGGAGCCACAGGTCAGGGTAGCCCTGTCCCCAGGGAGGAGGTGGGCCTGACTCTCTGCAGGTCTGCAGGCCAGCCAGTCCTGCTGGGGAGGGGCCCAGAGCAGGAAAGCAGGCAGTATAACCTGAACTCACCCTGAACCTAGGCTGCTCAGACCTGGGCTGGCGCCAGAAATGAACCCCTTTCCCCAGGCCAGCTAGAGTGGTGTTGAAAGGGCTTGGCCCATGGCTCGGGGCTCAGGCTCAATCTACCTCTCTGGTTTTGTAACAGTGAACTTCTTTGCTGCCCTAGCCTCTCCTAAACCTCCCTTATCCCTGCCCAGCTGTCCGTACAAGGGCCCCTGCCTTGTTAGGTGTGCAAGGCCCTTCCTCCCACCTTACCCAATTATCTCCTACTGAAAGACACAGCAACCCAGGCATGACAGCCCAGAACCAATGCATGTGGCATTGGCCCAGGGATCCCTTCCTACTGTTCCTGGGCCTGAACACTGAAAAGTAAAAGAAAAAGCAATCCATAAACATCCCCTGGAGAGCAAGAGAGAAAATGATTTATCTTCCAATCCTTGCCCAGTGGCAATTATCATATTATTGTTGCCATTATCACTGGCTATCTTTGAGGTCCCCCAAGCTTTATTGAAGGGCTTTCCTCCACCTTTCCTGACTCCATTCCCTTCTACCTTTCTCTGTGGCAGGGCCTCTCTGGATCTACCACTCCCTCCCTGCTTGTCCTCCCCCCACTGCCCCAGGCCTCAAAAGATGTCTGCCCTTGACTCATTCTATCAGGGCCTAAGGAGTTCCAGAGAATGAAAGGGGACTTTTCTCTTTTTTTGAGATGGAGTCTTGCTTTGTTGCCCGGGCTGGAGTGCAGTGGCATGATCTCGGCTCACTGCAACCTCTGCCTCCTGGGTTCAAGCGATTCTCCTGCTTCAGCCTCCCAAGTAGCTGGGATTACAGGCACCCGCCACAACGCCCAGCTATTCTAACAGATGGATAGGTCTGTGAGTTAACCAGATAAACAAGCCCGTGCTGACATGTGAGTGAAGCAGGCAGGTTTATTCGTGGCCTCTCACATGCGGTATTGGGGGAGATAAAGACCTTACTTCAATACATATTTATCAAACAACTACTTAGTGTAAGATATTGTGGGAGACTTCGTCAATGTCCCCCAAAACTGAGAAAGCTACTTGAGAAAGAGACTGGAAGAGGCACCCCTGGGCCTAGTTCTCATGCTGGTCTTTGACATTTTTCATGTCTCAGCCATTAGACCTAACTCTTTCCTAGCATCAGGTAAATAAAAGTAAAGGGATGACAGAGGTGAGAACAAAGAGAGTTTAAGATTTGCGTGAAAACAAAGCTGCAACACTGAGCTGTGGCTTTGCAATGCTTTCCTTTCCAGCATCAAGACTTGTGGGGAGAGAGTGTGGAAGTGCTCAACTCTTAGTTACAGAGCCAGGGAAGACCAGGGAAGGATTATAGAGAGCCCAGCCAGACTCTGCCCACAGATTCAGATGAGAGCCTGTACTTTGTTTTCTATAGTAGACAACTGGAAATGGGGTTGTAGGCCCACTCTCTTCTTAATCCCACAGGTCTCCCTGGAAAGCCACGTGATCCAGAGCAGTTTCGAACCAGAGAAGAGAAAAGCCTGGAGAATTACACCAGTGTAACTAGAGATTCTTCTTATGCATCAATATGCGAAAATGTGAGCTCCCTTAGGAATGACTCGGTCCTGTGCCCCGATCAACTTTATCTTTTCGTTTCTGTGTGGCCACAGCAGGACTTGGTTTCCTGTCCTGGAAGAGGACTTCGAGCTCACTCTGCTTCCTACAGTCCCTCCCAGTCTCTCTCCTGAAATTTCTGGGAAGAGGCTCAGGGCAGAAGCCAGAGACACAGAAGATGTACTACAATGTGGTTGGAGCCCAGAAACATACTGTGTGCATGAAGGTCCCTGAGGTCTGGTCTACGCAGTCAGTGTTCAGCCTCTGCATTCCCCAGTGGGCTCTGGGATAGATACACCTCACCAAAGTGGGCTGCAGAAGGGCCACCAAGAAGAGTGGCCCCCTTATACTGCCACTTGCAGAACAGTAAGGTTCTTTTTTTCCCTCCCTTTTCTAAAAATCATTCTGCAATGAAAAACACTTTTTCCATTTTTTCCTAATTATGTAAATAATACATACGCTCTGTATTTTTTAATATAAAAAGCTCAAGGGAAATAAAAATCACCTGAGATCCCATACACTGAGTTGTCACCATCAATAATTCAATGACCATCATTTCATCTATGATTATATGCATCTACATACAGACACACACATGCATAACATAAAAGGGATGTCACTCAAGTTGCTTAATCAGGGACACTTTAACAGTCTGTTGTGTTTGGGTTTGGTTTGACTTGGTCTGATCTGGACAGGACTAGTTGGTCTGGTCTGGTGTAGTTTTGTTTGGTCTGATCTGGTCTGCTCTGGTCAGGTCTAGTTTGATCTGGTCTGATCTCATTTGGTCTGGTCTGGTTTGGCTTGGTTGGCCTCACTTCCCCATCTCCCTCCTTGGCATGTATCCTCCAGTACCTTTCTTCATGCTCATTCAAACATGGGAGCATAGGTTATGTCACAAAAATGGGGCTTTGCTACACAAATTTCTCTGCACCTTACCTTCCTAATTTCACAATGCATCCTGGAAATCCCTTTGAGTCAGGTAGTATCGATCTGACTCATTCTGTTTAATGACTGCCCAATATTCCATGGTATGCTTCCACTCTACTCATTCTGCCATTTGTCCACTGAGAGGCTGTCACCTGAGTTCCCATGTCTAGCCACTACACACATGTTTCAGCCAATGCCAGTGTGCTGCACACACCTCCAAGGACAGTATTCACATACCTGTGCTACCAACTCTAGAATATTTGGGTTTTCTAGATGCAATTATGGCATTGGCCAAAAGGGCAATTTTATCTCTTCTCTTCCAAAATTTTATACAAGTTGAGTATACCTTATCCAAAATGCTTGGCACCAGAAGTGTTTCAGATTTCAGACTTTTTTTATATTTTGGAATATTTGCATATATATAAGAGATATCTTGGTGATGGAACTAAAATCTAACATGAAATTCATTTATGTTTCATACACACGTTATATACATAGCCTAAAAATAATTTTATGTAATATCTTAAATAATTTTATGCATGAAATAAAATTTGTGTTCAGTACTTCTGTATGGAATCCTCCACTTGTGGCGACATGTCAGTGCTCAACAATTTTCAGAATTTGGGACACTTCAGATTTCAGGTTTTGAGATGAGGGAAGCTCAACCTGTACAAGTTATTTCACTTTCTTATCTTATAGAACCTGTTAGCACCTCCAAAATGATGTTGAATAATAATGGAGATAGTGGATACCCTTGCCTTGCTTCAGATTTAAATGAAAATGTTTTAACATATCACCATTGGTAATATTTGGTGTTGGTTTTTGACAAATAATACTTATCATATTTAGCTATTTCCTTCTATTCTTCTTCAGAATTTTATTAGGAAAGCCTGCTGAATTTTATTGGATGCCTTATCAACCTTTATAAATCTGAGCACATGTTCCCCTCCTTTAAATCTGTTGATGAATATAGAAGTGGTAGTCTCCCGAGTAGCTGGGATTACAAGTGTGCACCACCACTAATTTTTGTATTTTTAGTAGAGACGGGGTTTCACCATGGTGGCCAGGCTGGTCTCGAACTCTTGACCTCGTGATCCACCCGCCTCGGTAGAAGTGGTCTTCTAAATAAAATAGCATTATGTAAAAAGAATTGTATCGATCTATTCAAGTGTTTCATCTCCTATTGCATCTATTTATGCTTCATCTCTTCTAGGTTTTCGAATTTGTTGCTATAGAGTTACACCTGCATTTGCCTACAATTATTGTAATTTTCTACATCTATGATCACACCTCCTTTCCTCATAGTTCATCTCTTCCACTTTTGCTTTCATTTTCTTTTCTCTTCAGTCACATTTTTTTTCCTTTTTTTTTCTATTTACAAAAATGAGAATGATGTTTAACATTGAAATCTGGTTATTTTAAATCTTATGTATATATTTTGAATAACTGAATAACGTGGCCACTCTCCCATTTTGACCTACCTTGATTGTCACAATTCCTTGAGGGTCCTGACTCTCATCTGAAAGGATGACATCACCACTGTGAGAGAAGCGACGCTGCTGGACTGGGAGTTCCTTGCAGAGGAGGACTCAGGTTCCCGGGACCTGGCAGAGAGGGGGCTGGGCACTGAGCTCAGGCAAGCACCTCCAACTAATGATGCCTTAGGTTCCTCATCTGTAAAATGGGGAGAATACTTAGCCATATCCATTTGTTATGAGGATTAACTGGAAAAATACTTTTAAAGCACTTGATCCATAGTAAAAACTCAGCGGACAGCTATTATTAATAACATTTTGACATGTGCCTTCTCTGTCTTTTTCAACTATGCAAATGTATGTTTGGAAATATATACACACACATAATAAAAATGGAAGCTGAATCCCAGGATACTTCTAGAATAAGGAATAAATGCTATTATTTCAGCTCCAGCAGAGTGGAAAGTGGAAGCAGAGCAGCAAGTGGAAGCAGAGCTTGGCTTGCATCCTGCACCCTGAGTCCCACACAGGGCACTGCGCATCCCTCCTCAGCAACCGGGCCGCAGCCTTCCTCCCATCTAGAGGTGTAAGTGCCTCCTAAACTCACCTGGAGGATATTAAATGGACAGGATCAAAGAAAACCTAGGTTATGTGTTTTCATTAAATGTGACCCATATGTCCTGTGTCTTACTCCTTGATGCAATCATCCTTTTCAGAATGAAGTGGAGCTCACTATTCCCAGTGTCACAGGATATAAGCAATTTAAATGCACTCTAAGGATATTGCTTTAAATTAGACTGCCCAGACAGGCTGGACGAAGGAAGGTTAAAACAATCATCCCATCCTCTCTGTTTGCAAAACAGTTTATGAGGGATCTCAGAGCACCTCTATATTCTAATATTTATTACATTTCTTACCTAAATTGTATAAAACTTCTTTATCATTTGGGTATGTTTCTGTCTGTCCCACTTGTGCCCTTTCTTCAGCTTTCATTGCCTAGAGTCAGACACAAAGTAGATACTTTCAGTGCTCTTTCAACAACTGAGTGAATGAATGAATGAATGAATGGGTAAGTGACTTCCTGCCCAAGGTAGAAGGTAAAACATGACTAAACCCAGAACTAAAACCCAGATCTCCTGACTCCCAGCCAGGTTCTTATATTTTTCTATGCTTTCATTGGGTTGACTTGTATCTTGTACCAAACCCAGATGAGTTATCAGTCCTCCTCAACATCCATTCACTCATTTAGCAAAGGGATATTGAGTACCTACTATGTGGCAGGTGCTTCTTCCAACAGTTACACTCAGAGAATTGGGGGTATTGATCTTGGCTGTCACTATTAACAGAGTCAAGATGTCCAAGCCATGCTTCCAGGGAAGGGGACCCACTTCCCTTCTCATCCCTGCTTTAGCTCAGTCTGATAGAAGAGTCAGGACTTTAAGGTGGGGGAATAGAGGGAGAAATATTGATCCCAAAGGCTTCCTGTGCCCTAATCCCTCTTTTGGTACTGTATCCTAGTACGCCCTTACGTTCCCTGTTCATCTCATCACCTAAAGCATGGCCTGTCTTCCCACACATTTACATTTCTTAACACATTCTAACTTCCATTCTGGTTATCTGGCACGTAACTCATCTCCCCATGGAGATTATCAGCACCATGGGCTCAGGATCCATGTCTAATTTCACCTTTGTATCCTCGACAGTGCCTGGCATGACTTGTATCTTGTACCAAAGACAAATGATTCAGCAGCCCATTGTAAATAAATGTTAGAATAGATATTGCTTAATCCTTGTTGAATGAACGAATGAATGTGTAATGGAAGGAGAAAATGTTATCTAGAGAGGTGGGAGCTGGAGAGAACAAAACTGATTAGCAAAAGAAATGGAGTAAAATTCTGGAAGGCAGAAGACAAAAGAGAAAAGAAGAGAGCTAATAAACACAATAGGAACCTGTGTAAGTACAAACAGCCAAGGGACTTTTTAAGAATGAGAGGAAGAGGGGTTAATATTTGAATCTGCAGTTTATAGGGTACAACGGAACCACTTCTCACTGTTATGCTCAACTTTCAGTGAAGTCTGCCACACCTTCGGGTACCCTGTATGGGTGATGTTTTCTGTGGGAAGTCAAAGAAATGCAGCTGTGTTGTACATCTGGAATGAAGCCAGAGAGAATAGGGATGGGGAATTGATCCATCCATGGAACTAATTCAGTAGAAGCTGGTGCTCAGAGCCCAGGTGACAAAGAAAAACTCAAGCCCATTTCCTGATCCAAATCCCTGGGAAAATTAGCAATGAAGGGAAGGAGAGAAAGCGGTTCCCACCATATATGGGATGGAGTTGAGGCTATTTCATTTGTATCTTAATGGCCAAAGAACTTGACACCTGGCATACAAATGAATGCAAGAATGAATGATAAATTAATTACTCTTAAGATGTTAATGGGTTATAGTAGTTTAGTGTCCCCAAAACCATTTTCAACTACCATCAATGCCTTACAGAGTGGCCTCAGGGTTCCTGAGAGAGATGCTTTTGAGCTGAGGCAGTCATTTTGGGGGCCCTTAAAATTTATGGAGCCAAATTCCAAGGACCTTTTCAACCCTATCTTACCTGATAGGTCCCACTGAAGCCACAGGTGGATGGCCAGAAGTGTCTGACCATTTGCTGCAAACTGACCCAGGGGGAATGTCAGGAAACTAGGCAATAAAAAAGACCTGATTTCCAATTCCAGTTCATGAGTTTGCATGACCCTAAGCAAGTAAAACTGTGGAAATATCACTGTCTCTACCCATGACACAGTCTTGTTGGGAGGAATCAACGAAGAAGCTATCTGGGAAGTCCCATCTAAACCGCTGTCTCGGAGCTCATCCATTTCATTCTTTCTTGGGCACTGATCATATTGGATTTCATTTCAAACACAATCCTTGGTTTCCTTGGACAACCTTTATTCAGTTTCACCCTAAATTCCAAACTGAGAGTGGGAAAATGCTGGTTTGGAAGTGTGGAGGTCATGGAAATAGATGCACAGGCACCTGGCTTAAAGAAGTGATGACAGAGAACAAAGAAGGTCACAGCGAGGGAATCTGAAAAAACAACAACTCTAAGGACAGAACAGACCGAGCTATTTATAGTGCTATAGAACTCCATCACCCCATACAATTTAATAATCCCTAAAAGTATCTCTGGGCAGGTAAAGAACAGCAGAGCGGTTTCGGCCAAGTCAATGATGGCTCAGGTGGCTGCTAGGTCCTTTTTTAGTGCTCAAACGCACACCACAGACAATGGCTTCACAAGTGTGTTCACAAGGGTGGCCTTGAGTCAACAAAGAAAAGGTTACATTGCATTGTGCTGTGTTTTACTAAAGAAGGTATAGGTGAGGCATGTTTTAGAAAGATATCAATTAAAAATGGTAGCAAAGTAAAGTGGGAAGGTCATGCAGACCTGGATTCAAATCCAGCTCCAACCTGACCTGGCCCTTGAGGCACACAGGTTACCTAACACCTTGGAGCCTCCATTTTCTTATGTGACAATGGGAATAATAAGAGCTGCCTCACAGAATTGTTGAGTGGCTTAAAAGACATAACAGGCCAGGCACAGTGGCTCACGCCTGTAATCCCAGCACTTTGGGAGGCCGAGGCAGGAGGATCACTTGAGGCCAGGAGTTCGAGACCAGCTTGGGCAACATGGCGAAACCCTGTCTCTACTAGAAATACAAAAATTAGCCAGGCATGGTGGTACACACCTGTAATCCCAGCTACTTGGAGTCTGAGGCATGAGAGTTGCTTGAACCCGGGAGACGGAGGTTGCAGTAAGCCAAGATTGCGCCACTGCACTCCAGCCTGGGCGACAAAGCGAGACTTTATCAAAAAAAAAAAAAAAAAAAAAAAAAAGACACAACATAGACTGGAGCCAGCACAGATGTTGGTCTTGAAAGCATAGGCCTCAGTTATCAGGGAAACGTGCAGATCTAAAGCCCTGGATCTCTGTCACAGTGCTGGGCAAATCAAGCATGGCATCATGATTAATACTAATATGGCTGCGGCTGCTACTACTACTATTACTGCTACAATCATTGTTGTCAATCTATTCCCATGCAGAGATGAAGGAGCAACTATTGATTATACTGGTAGAAAAGCAATTATTTTCTTTGTGTGTTTGTTTGTAGAGACAAGGTCTCACTATGTTACCCAGGCTGGTCTCAAACTCCTGGATTCAAGCAGTCCTCTCACTTAGACCTCCCAAAGTGTTATTTGACAGCCATGAGCCACTGCACCTCACCGGCAATTATTTTCAAGGCTGAGATGAGCTCTCAGTTCACAAGCCATCTCCTCAGTGAAAACTCCTCTCACCACAGGCCTCTCCCTGGCAGACGGCCCCGCCCTTCTCCGCACTCCCTAGGCCTTTGTTCCTACCTCTGTACGACTGCCTCGTCTTCCTGGAGATGGCATTCTGTGATGGGTGAGAGCACTACAGGCAGACTCAGTGAGAGAACTCAGGCAGACTGCGTTCAACCCTCTATGACATCTTGGCCAAGCTATTTTATCTCTCTCTGTGCCTCGTTTTTCTAATCTGTAAATGAAGGATTATAAAATACCTACCTCATGGGGTCAAGTATTAGGCTGAGGTGAGTTATAAGGTAAATTTCTTGGAATGGTGCCTGGGGACACAGAAAGTGTCACCAAATATTAGCTTATTACTATGTGTATATAATATATATACATATTTATATGAATACATACATATGTAATCCTATGTATATACATATATGTATATATAGCATACATATAACATATATAAGTATATGGAATATATTTATATACTACATATTTATAATATGAATATGCACATAACATATTCATATATAAATTCATATTTAATATGTCATATATTCATATTATCATATTATATTACATATATATTACATGTATACATATAAGATGTATACATTATATATATTATATACATGTGTGTATATATAAATCTACACGTGTATGTAACATGACATCTCATACAAACAGATGCTTGGTGAATGTTTTATGAATGAGTGTACGACAGTAGATGAACTGGGAGAAATTCTTTGAGTATTTCAATGAATTGCTGGCAGCTTTGCTGGAGAGGCTGTGACCTTTCCTTTCTAATTAACAGGCTCATGGAGGTGGGGAGAGGGTTGGGGGCTGGGGAGTCAGCAGTAGACACTGAAGCCCTTTCTTAATTGTACCAGACACCTTGTCTCATGACAGCACAGAGGAAGAATTCAGAGAATCAGACCCCCTCTCCTGAACATTCAGGAGAAGAATTGCATCTGACACTCAATATAAATACACAACATAGCAGGGACTAGTCTCCTCCTCCCTATAGGAAATCACTTATTCCCATATTTTGTTTTTGCCCTTCTCTGCCTTTATAAGATGATAAATCACTAAAATGGAATGTGGCTTCAAAAAGCCAAAAGTGCATTATTTACATTTTTCAGCCAACTCAGCAGATCTTCACATCGTGGGAACTCCCAGTGCCTTGGAGACTTGGAAAAGTCCCAGGAGCCCCTTACCAACTATTCCCCCAGAGCTAAAGGCCTGGAAGCTATGGCCTCGTGCGTCATTCCTACCCCTCTCTGCTCAGATGCTGAGAGGGGTCTGGGGACTCTCTAAACGACCCGCTACAAGCAAAGAGCCCTGTTGGGAGCTCAAGAGACCTGGACTAAATTCTCATGCTGCCTCTTTCTGGTTGTAAGCAATTGGACAAGTTGCTTACCATTTATCCTGATGTGATTATTATGCATTGCATATCAAAATCTCTCATTACCCCATAAACATATACACCTACTATGTACCCACAAAAAATTTAAAAATTTAAAAAATTCTCTGAGCCCCCATGCCTATATCTGTGAGTGCAGGCACTGTCCCTAGCTCCTAGGACTGTTACGTGGGCTAAATGATACTTAGGCGTGGAGCACTTGTCACCTGCAGGGGGGAGGTGTATGGAGCTTTCTTTGGCCTACATGGGACTATAGGGTCCCTGGAAAGACGTTGGTGCCTGAGTCAGAGGCCTTCATGCTAATGCCAGCTCATTAATTCATTGTGGAGCTTGTGCACATCATTTGTGCTCTCTGCCTTAGTTTCCTCCCTGCAACATAGGGGCAAAAATAGTTGTCCATGCCAGGCATGATGGCTCACACCTGTGATTCCAGTACTTTGGGAGGCCAAGGCGAGAGGATCATTTGAGGCTTGGAGTTTGAGACCAGCCTGGCAAAATAGCAAGACTTCGTTCCTACGAAAAAAAAAAAATGTAGCTCCACATGGTGGTATATGGCTGTAGACCTAGTTACTTAGGAGGCTGAAGCAGAAGAATCGCTTGAGTCAGGAGTTTGAGGTTACAGGGAGCTATGATCGTACCACTGCGCTCCAGCATTGGTGACAGACTGAGATCCTATCTCTAAAAATAATAATAATAATTGTCCAACTTACTTCCCAAAGTTACAAGATTAAAAAGTTAATTAACATCCCTTGTAAGTTTTTTTTTAAGTAAAAACTGTTTAATTCATTTTTTCTAAAGTAGCAAAAAACTAGAATTTCTTTGAATTAAGTAAGGTTTGTACTGTGGCCTTTGATTAATCATAGTAGATTGCCTTTTAAGCCATGAGAGCCACACTCTGAGAAAAGGCTTAAATGGCTTTAATTCCACTATAGTGTGCATGACTGATATCAAATCCTTTACTGAAACAAATTCTGATGGAGCAGAGGAGGGAGTAAGCACGGGGCATCTGTGGGCTCAAAATGAGCTCCACAGAGGGGCACCTGAGGGCACCAGAAACACACTTTGCCAACTCGCCCACAGCCTTTGGGCAGGTCTGGACACACAATTGTTTTAATGTCTGTGTCATGTTGTCCTCTCCCAAGTCTAGCTGACCCCATCCTTTATAAATGGAGAGGCAAGAGCTGGTTATGATAAGATATCTGGTTTCAGAAACAAGTGCTTTTGTTCCAAGTATTCCAGCAACAGCAACCTGGTGTCCCTGGCCTACCCAAATCCAGGACAAGTGTTCCTGCCAGTCTGCAGCCATCCATCTCTCCAGGCTTATCTACGAGTCATCATGGAAGTTAAAGAGCTGCTGGTGGCCATGGTAGCCTGCCTGGTCGCATGACCTCAATCCTCTCTCTGAACCAGCAAAGCTCCCTGACCCACGAGTCTCACAAAAACAATTCCTGTCTCTTGTCATCAGGTTCAGATGATGAGCTCAAACAATGCCCCAGGATGAGCCAGGAATGTCTTTGCCTGACTTGGCAAGTGGTTTCCCTGCCCTGCAGTGGCCAGAATGTGGGAGTGGAAAATTATTCTTGTTTCCTTCCGGAAATGACCACATTCGCCAGGGCCAGGCGCAAATCCACTGACTGCCCTGAAGGGAGATTTGCCTCCTCTTCAGAGGACAGAGGGAGACTTGGCCAAGCTTGCTTGGGAAATCAAAGTGTCTCCCAGCTGCCATGTTCTAACCCTAGGCCACACAATGAAACCAAAAGGGCCCCATTGAATGAGAATGGGTCTCACTCGTGAAGCCACTTCACTTCTACACACAAGACCATTCCTTGGATATTCCAGACACCCCCAAGTCTCTGCCACTATTGCTGTTGTTGACACACTCCTCAACTGGTGCTCACAGAGCGGGAAGGGGTCCAGGAGAGGAACCCCGCTCTTATCCTCCAGGTCCACTGCTCCAGGGCATGAGGAGGGGAGAAGGGAAGGGAGATAGCACTGTCCTGTCATACTGACCCCAGAGAAATGTGAAACACTTTTTCTCATTCCTTCTCTGTAGAGGTGAAACATACCAAACCTTCCACAGGGTTTTTATTAAACTCTACGAGTAGAATGAAAGAACAAGGAAAGGAGCAGAATTAGTATTTATTCAACAAATACTTACTGAACCAGCATTATGTGCCAGGCACTGTGCTGGCCATGGGGCAGATGTGAAAGAGCTAACCCCTGACTTTAGGGGGTTTGATAAACCCAGGTGCTAAATGAATGGTCCAATGGTTCCCAGGGAGCACACCCACTCCACCCCTTCCCACCACTTTATCTCAACCCCAGTCATTTCACAATTAAAAAAACAAAATGAAAGTCTAACACAATTTGTTCTCCCATGTGAGCTAGGAAGACCCAAACTCCCACAGGCTAAAAGTTTATGATAACAGGCAAGATTAATTAGTAGTTGTCATGAAAATGGAATGTCATTAATTATGCAGTTTGAAACTGTTCAAGTTCACTTCCTCCAAAATTAAATCCTAAAACTATAGCATCTGAAAACCTCCACATATGCTTGACTCATACTTGAGTCGTACACAACACTCACATACTAAATATTATCTACAAAACAGGTAGCGTTATCAATTTGAGTGTGTGTGATGTGGTAGGAGTGGTTGTGCTCCTCACACAGAAGGATGCCGGAGCACATGACTTCTTGTTTAAATCGAACACACAATTGGTACCTCTATTTTTAAATGCTGTTATAGCCAGACCGTTGTCTAGTGGATGACGCTCCCATGGGCCCCACAACACATGTAGGGTGCCCACAACAGTTAATTGTTGCATAACAAATCACCCCAAAACGTAGCAGCTTCCATACTAATCATTGGAAATTTCTCCTGATTTCTGTGGGGCAGGGATTTAGAGAGGCTCAGCTGGAGGTGCTGGCTCAGGGTCCCTCCTGAAGTGCTGTCAAGGGTCTGCTGGGGCTGCATGTAAGTGCTTGCTGGGATTAGAGGCTCCACTCTGAGATGGCTCACTCACAGGAATGGCAAGTGGGTGCTGACTGTTGGCCAGAGGCCTCCGTTTCTCTCCGTATGAGTCTTTCTACAGGGCTTCTTGAGTGTCTTTATGGTATGGTACTGGCTTTCTCCAGAGTGAGCAATGCAGGAGACTGAGGCTGAAATGGCAATGCCCTTTACGACCTAGCCTTGGTCCTAATTGTCACTTCTATCATACTCTGTTGGTCACACAGACATCCTTGATTCAATGTGGCGAGGGCTTTCATACAAAGCCTTGAAAGCCAGGAGCTGTGGCTCACTGGGGCCATCTTGGATGCTGGGCACCACTGGTATTCATCACCACGATGCTTCGGGCAAACCTCCCTGCCGTCCAATGTAGGCAGGCAGAGGAATGCTTCCATTTATCAAATCTCTGCATACTTGTGTGATGTTACATGTAAATGGACATATTTTAAAGAATTTTGTAGCAATAAAACAGACAATACCAAAACTCCAACAAACATCATTCAGCCTGTTTTTGAACATTCAGGAACCTCTGGACTACACTACCCACAGGTTACCGCTGTTACCATGTAGGCATATGGCCTTCCAGGTTTTTTCTACGTCCTTTCCACTGCCTCCACCTGAAGCATTTAAAGATGTTTCTGTCCTTCCCATTCTGGCCCATCTTAAGTCTTTCCTTATCCTCTGTTCTCCTTCAGCTGTTGTCGTATTTCTTTTATGTCCTTCACAGCCTAACTTCTGAAATGATGTGGCTAGACTCACCTCCCACTTGCTCCTCAAGCCACTGGATCTGGCTTCGGTCCTCACTATACCATGGAAATTGTCCTTGCCACAGTCATCAAAGGCCTTCTAGTTGCTCCACCCAATAGACGCCGTGATTTCCACTTTTTACCTGACCTCTTAGCACCATCTGAGGGTGCTGACCACAATCTTCCTTCCCTGGCATTTTTTTTTGCTTTTCTGATTACTCCTTCCTGGTCTCCATTCTGGGCTCCAATTCTTCCCCCCACTTAAATGCTAGGGTTCCTCCAGCCTCATCCTAGCTCCATTTCCCACCCTACTCGTGTTGCCAGCAGTGTTGTCCATCCCACACCTTCCTTTATCAGCTAGAAGCTGGTGCTTTGTAAATCTATGTGTCTAGCTCAGGTCACTCTCTTGAGCTTCAGACCCACACAGCCGGCTATTTGGCAAATGCCTTTAGTCAGATGCCAAACTCAAACTGTTGAAAGCCAGATTGATCATTTCCCCTGACACACTGGCTTCTTTATCTTCTCCTACCTCAGGAAATGGCACCTTCATCTACTCAGTTGCTCAAGCCAGAAACCCAGGCATAAATTATCCTTGACTCCTCCCTCTCCTTTGTCTCTCACTCCATCAGTTACCGTGTCCTGTAGATTCTACCTCTGATGTATCTCTGGGATCCATCCACCTCTCTCCATTCCTACTCTCAGTTCTCTGGTACTATTCACTATCATAGCCTCGACAACCTCTGAACTGACCTCCCTTTCTCCAGTCTTACCCCACAATTTGCTTAACCACTCTTGTATCATGGGATGTTTAGGGGGTTTGTACATGATTATACTTTTTAAAAAAATGTCTGGCTACTTGTGTTCTTTTTTTGCTTGGATTTGGATTTCATGATATTCATATATTTGACTCTAGGGTAGGCTTTACCAATAAAGAATCACAAATAATTATCCGATTCCCTTCTATAGAGACGAAATCTCCAGCTAGGTGTTCTAGATTCTAGAGGTTGTCATTCCTCAACCTGCCAATTGAAGCCCTCCACAACCCAATCCAACCACATCTATCCAACTTCATTCCCACCTACATAGCAGTATCCGCCACTTACTCTTTCATTCTCTGATGCATCTGATCATTCCTTCACATAAGGCATTGTGCTAAGGAATACTCTCACTCCACATGTCTGTACCTTCATGGCATGCTCCACCCCACCTCCCAAATTACATTTAACTTCTGAGTCTAGGCATTTGCTCAACACCACCCTGCTTCCTGGAATGTCCTCTTTCACCCCCTTCCCAGTGACCAAGTCTTCATCTTTGGATGTAAGCCCACCTTCACTGACTATCCCGGTCCACAGTGATCCCTGTGCCTTTCTTTTTCTTTTCTTTTCTTTTTTGAGTCGAAGTCTTGCTCTGTCGCCAGGCTGGAGTGCAGTGGCATGATCTCAGCTCACTGCAACCTCTGCCTCCCGGGTTCAAGCAATTCTCCTGCCTCAGCTTCCTGAGTAGCTGGGACTACAGGTGCGTGCCACCATGCCCAGCTAATTTTGTATTTTTAATAGAGACGGGGTTTCACCATGTTGGCCAGGATGGTCTCCATCTCTTGACCTCGTGATCTGCCTGCCTCAGCCTCCCAAAGTGCTGGGATTACAGGCATGACTTGCTTGTGCCTTTCTTATCTCTTCTCTCATTTCAAAATGTAATCACCTTATCTTGCTTTGTTATTTAATTCTTTCTCGTATCTGTAGTTCCTCAGCTATATCAATACTGTCTCCCCCTCTCGACTGTAAACTTCTGGAGAATCAGAATCATATTATTCATTTTTCTCTTTCTAGAAAATTAGATAAGTAGTTAATTACTTATCTGAGCCTTGAGCTCTGTATAGCTAAGACTGGGGGATAATAATTCCAGAATCACGGGGTGGTTGTGCGAGTACTTGTAGTAAGGAATGAGAAAGTGCATTGTGCTGTGCCTAGCACAGAGAAGGTACCCAATAAATGTTAGTTCCCATTCCTCCAATATCTATTCCTGACCTGAGGGTACAGTAACTACAAAGTAATTATTTGCAAAATGAATGAGTGAATGATGCATAAGTAAATGACAAAGAAGTCAAAGAATAAAATGATGCATTCTGACTACACAAGAGAGGCAGTGCCAAAGAAACCGAGTGCCTTTCCCTGGCTGGCAGGGGAGGGCATTCTGCTGGGGGAGACTGTGGCGGGGCTATGTGCTACTGGGCTTGAGATCGTGAAATGTCGATTAATGGGAAATCAAGTTTGATTTGGGTATTGCTGCTACAGCCAGCTGATTATTGTACGTTTGACTGAGTTTGTGATCTGTCAAGATCCCCAGAATAAAGTAGTGGCAGGCATATGTTTCTTATAAATGGAAAAACAATTATTGTGTAAATCAATTTTCACTGGCATAGGCCTGGCTCCAGGCTCTATAAGAAATGAGAATATGTAGGTCTCAGAGCCCAGGCTATAAATATTTATTTCTGCACTGTCACTGGTATTTGTAGCAAATCCTTTTTCACTAGTGGGCATTCTATTTGTTTTGACAAAGGCGTAAAACTGTTCCAAAGGCACTGAAGGCCACAACATAAAAGGTCTTTAGGGAGTGCTCAAAGAAGGGGGTGTCATTTTCAGATGCTGACCATTTGGTTTTCTCGCTTCGTCCGTGGAGTTCATGGCACTAATTTTGAGTTCACTGTGGAAGGAATGCCCTTTGTGGTCGGCTGCGGTCAGCAGTGACAGTGAGCCCCTCCCCTCCCTATCTGCCCCACAGAAAGTGACAGAGGTGGCAGATTTCTCTAGCCTTCTTCTGACCCCTTTCTTCATTCTGTGCTCCCCTCTCCACCACTCCCAACCACATCTCCTCAACTGCATGAGATGCTCTTGAAGAAGGGGGATTATGGTTAGGGACATCAGCCTTGGCACACTAATATTCCATACATGCATGAACAATTTGGAGAAATTTTTTTATGTGGCCACAAAATGGCAAATCCAGAAGGAACTTCACATATCACCTACTTCAGGGATTCCTTGCAAAGGTCCATGGAACCCTAAGAAATCTGTCAGTAGAACTTAATGAGTCCATGAATTTGGATGGTGTTAAAGCACACTAAATATGTCTTGAGAAGGACTCCGTACTTCTATATTTGAGCCCAGAGAATGAACTGCAACCTAACTTAGTGGGTAGACAAGATTGAAAACTGAACTTAGGAGTATGCGCCTGTAACAGTGGCTGAGTCTTGGCCAATCCCAGCCGCCATACTTCAACCATTCATACACTGTTGAGTGTTCAAACTGTGTTCAAATAAGGCAAACGCCGAGCTGTAACCAATCCAGCTGTTCCTGTACCTCACTTCTGATTTCTGTATGTCACTTCCCTTTTTTTGTCTATAAATTTGTTCTGACCAGCAGGCTTCCCGGGAGTCTCTCTGAATCTGCTATGATTCTGGGGGCTGTCCGATTCGCTAATTATTCACTGCTCAATTAAACTCCATTACATTTAATTCAGCTGAAGTTTTTATTTTAACAATGGGAAAAATGCATCTTTATTTTTAGTAACTACTAACTGAAATTTAGCATTTTCTTCAGTTATGAATGGAAGCATCACACAATAGTGTTGGCAATATCTGTGACTTTGTTTCATCGAAGACATCAAAGTTATTTTTATATCCCATGGTAGCTTTGACAAAATACTTAAAATATCATTTGCTTTCAGCACCACTTCAAAATTACATTAAAATTATAAAATTATAAGTAAAAAAAAAATCACCTGCCATCAGATCTTATTATTTGGTGCAATAATAAAAAAGCATATCTATTATTATGTCAAACATTTATTCTTTTAACATTTTGATAGCTATATCTCACTGTAATTGGTTTCTTTGGTAATTCATATTGTGTTTTTTGCATTTAAAAACATTTTTTTTTCTGGGAGGGGACTTCATAAGTTTCATCAGACTGCCAAAGGGGTCACAGCACAAAAATGGTTAAGAACTCAGATCTGGTCCCTAGAAGCACATGGTTTGTCTCACATGCATATTCCAGGTCAATTGAGCACAAATGGATCTCCGAGGAAGATGGTGAAGACACATCAAGGTATAGTAGACAAGAATGCTGTGATCGATTAGCAATGTCTGTCACAGGGGCAATATGCAGAGGAGAGGTAGAATAGAATCCTACACTATGATTTCCAATCTAGGCAGGTACTGCAAATAAAACTTGCTACAATGATGGAAATGTTTCATCTGTGCTGTCCAATATGGTAGCCATTAGCCGCACGTAGTTTTCGAGCACTTTTAATGCAGCTGGTGCAGCTGAAAATTTGAATTTTCAATTCTATTTAATTTTAATTATTTTGCATTTAAATTTAAATAGCCACGTGTGGCTAGTGGCTACCTCATCGGAAAACAACTCTAAATTAATCCCACCCACCCCCACCCCCAGGCACCTCCCACCCCACCTCATTACCCTTCACAAAGGAGGAACGCAGACTCTTAGAGAGATGGTCTTTCCCAGAGGCCGTTGGACCCATTTGTAACAAAGCCACATCAACATCCCAGATCTCTCTGTCTCTAGTTCAAAGTCTTCTCATTTATCTAGTGTTCCTAACTTGTTTTTGGCAGAATGCTGGTCCCCTGAACAATACACAGATGTGTCGTGAGAGAAGAAATAACTCAGCATTTACATATGTCCTCTTAGTAAAATGAGATAGGACACTATCTCTTCATCGCAGTAAAGCCTGATTTACGTGTTCCTTTTGGTTTTTGTTTAGATATGTCAATTCAAAAAGGAAGAGGAGTAGATGCAAGAATTATTTTGTTTTTTGGCTCTGATAATTTGTTTCAAAAAACTATTTACAGGTGTTCTGGATAAAACTGATGGCTGTTCTGCAATCTCTAAACATGTAAGAAATGCATTCTAAGCCAGACTGCTTCCAGGGCTGACTGATGCACTGAGGCAGGGTCTCCATGTTGACTCATGCTGAACTACAGAACACTGCCTGGAACTCGCTGCTCGCTCTCAGTTGGCCGGAGGGGCCTCTGCTGATGGAGAATTTATGGTGGGAAGTCCTGCCCTGGGGAAGGGACCATTTCTGATGAGGTCATGAGGAGGGAATGCCTTCCTCAGCGGAGATGGGAGCCTGGGAAGGCGGCCAGGAGCATGGTAGGGGAGGCACAGTCCCTGAGACAGACGGATGGAAAGAGGATGAGAAATTCTGTGGGTTAGAAACCATCTGGGATCTCAACAGGTTGCTTGGTAGTTTCACTCTCCTGCAGGCTCAAGTCCTAGAAAAAATGCAAACAATAGGCTTTTTTCCTCTCCTGGCTAGGAGAGGCCCTAACCTTGCATTAACTTGGTGGATGTGCCCACAGTTAAGGCTTGCCGCAACTCAAAATATCCATACATAGCAAAACTGCCCAACACACTGATTAGAATGTTTTCTAAAATTTCAATGGCATTTAAACAATTTTCAAAGACCAATTATTGCAGACCAGCAGATCCTGCCCCAGACATGCCGAATCAGACTTTTAGACAATGTGTTTTGAGAATCTAGGTTTGTTTTGTTTTGTTGTTGTTGTTGTTGTTTTTCTGAGATGGAGTCTCGCTCTGTCACCCAGGCTGGAGTGCAGTGGTGGGACATCGGCTCACTGCAGCCTCCTCCTCCCGGGTTCAAGCAATTCTTGTGCCTCAGCCTCCCAAGTAGCTGGGACTGCAGGTGCATACCACCATGCCCAGCTAATTTTTTGTATTTTTAGTAGAGATGGGATTTTAGCATGTTGGCCAGGCTGGTCTTGAACTCCGGACCTCAGGTGATCTTCCCACCTTGGCTTCTCAAAGTGCTGGGATTACAGGTGTGAGCCACTAGAGAATCTAGGTTTTAATCAAAGCTCCCAGCTGATTTTGATGTGCAGTCGGGTTTTGAAACTACTGTCCTAAAGGATGACATCTGTACCCTTAGCCTTGGCATTCAAGGCCTCCAGAAGCAGGCCCTGCTCTCTACAAGTGGAGCACCATAGTGGGAAGCACACAAATTGTGTAGTAATGATATAAATAAATAACAGCATCTAACATTTATTGAGTGCATGGCAGATGTCAGGTGTCAGGCTAAGCGCTTTAAATGAATTGCCATTTCATCTGACTGTTGCCTCTGTTATTACCATTTTGCAAATGAGAAAATTAAGGCACACACAGTAAGTATAGAAATGAGATCTGAGATCTGGCAAGCTCCAAAGTTCATGCCCTTCACCTAGGGTGGTCAACTATCCCGGTTTCCCAGCGACTGAAGTGTTGCTCAAGACATGGGACTTTCAGCGGTAAAACCGGGAAAGTCCCAGGCAAACAGGGACAAGTTGGCCATTGTATCTTGACTTGGAGACTTCTGCCTGAGATGGAAGCTCAGCTCTACCACTTATGACTGTGTGACATGGGGCCAGCCTCTCCACCCACAGGTTTCTTATATTCCTCATCTGAAAACAAGGATGATCACACCTATCCCGCAAGGCGGTTGTGGCCATCGCATGAGATAGCACATGTAACAGCAACCCGCTGTGTGTCTGGCACTGACAGAAAAGGCCAGCTCCCCAACACATCCACCTGGAAAGCGCCACTTGGCCCAATCTGTGTTTACTTCAAGTCTGGAGAAGTCTCGGCCATTATCTCAAGTGGTTCTCCACCATTCCCTCTACGCTCGCCTTCTGGCCTCCTATTCAATGAGATACATATGGGAGTCTCTCCGTCAAGCTTAATTTTCTCATAAGTTCTCTCTCGCATTTTAAAAACTTTTTGTGTGTACTCTGGGTGAAGTCCTCAATACTCTTCTTCATTTTACTCTCTTTCTTCAACTCTACCCAACTAAACTTTATCCTGATTATTGAGTTTATTCAATAACTCATAACTTTTAGTCATTTACAGATAATTTAACATTTTAACTAATAATTTTTTATTTCCAGGATTTGTTGTTTCTTCATCATATCCATCTGATCTTGCTTCACAGCTGCCTAATGTTTGCTTTACAGATTCCTGGGACTTCTGCCCCCAAGTCAATTTCTCCTTGTACCTCTTTGAAGTGGGTTCTCCCGCCTGTTGGTTCTGTTGACCACCTCTCTTAGCCTCCCTTCTCCTCTTGCATTTTGGAATTTGGGCTTGCAGGGGCCTCTGGAGCTGCAGCTTACTGTGTTTCGTTTTGCATTTTTCCTCCCTCTGTGTCATCCCTTCCTCCCTCTAAGGCAGTATCCCCGTTGCGTCCTTTCTGATCCAGGAACCCCAGTTCACAACCAAGTCTAATACTGGAGGCTCAAGGCTCTGCCTGGGGCTGACTCCAGCGATCTGACGGAGCTGGAGGCAGGCATTGCCCAGGACCTGGCTACATGGCTGTGTCTGCTCCCTTCCATAGGCCTGGGGAGGCAGCTTTAGGAAGTGGTGGGCCAGGCAACAGTCACTGCTTTCCTCCAATCTCCCTTCATGGGCAAAGGAGGCCTGTCCCACCCCAACCTCACAGAGTGGGCCTGGCTCTGGTTCCCACCTGACATGGGGTGCTTTCACTCCCCTTTAAGTCAAGAAAAGCCAAGAAGGCCAGTCTTGCTGCCTTCGTCAAGACCCAGAACCACCCAGCCCTAGCCTCATTCACCCTCACCCAAGGGTCTGCGCCTTGTGCTGTTGAATGAACACTGAGCTGTTTATCTAGCATTTGACTCTCCTTGTGTTTTTTTTTTTTGTTGTTGTTGTTTCTCTTATTTTTAGTCTTTCTTTACCCAGCGTTTGGAGAAAAGGAAGTCCTGAAAGGATCGTTCTACTAAATCATCTTGACTTAGATATTTATGTGAAATTGTGTTTTAAAAGAAAATTAAAACCAAGGAAGATACAAAGTTTTCACACATGTTTCATTTGGCACTTAAATTAATAGCCAAGTAACCAGGAGAAAAAAGCAGGAAGCCACACTGAGAGAAAGAGGGACTATACTGGGTCCTCGCTTAGGAATCCACTGTTAATTCGCCACACGATCTTCAGTGCCGAGGGTGTTTTGTTTTTGTTTTTGTTTTTGTTTGAGAAAAGAGCTCACTCTGTCACCCAACGCTAGAGTGCAGTGGTGCGATCCTCCCACCTGGCCCTCCCAAAGTGCTGGGATTACAGGTGTGAGCCACTGCGCCCAGCCTTGTGTGCCAATTATTTAGTGCCTTGTCTCTCCCTGTTAAATTGAGACCTCTTCCAGTTCTAGAAGTCTGTGATTCTCTAACCAAAGATCAACATAGCCCAGTGTCCTTGGAGCCTGAAGCAGGATCCTAGGTGTCTCCTTTTCACCGGCCCCCAACTCTCAAATGACTGGCCTGGCCACCACCTCTAGGACTGCCATTCCAGAAATTATAGAATTTAACAAAGTCTCTTTGGGTCTGACAGGGCAAATTATTGCTCTAAGGCTATTTATGTTTTCCCTTTTTCTTCCTCCTTTTTCTCTGACCCAAACTTGAATCCCCCACGAGTGTTTTAGAAAATCTCAATTAAGGGGCAAGTGGAGTTTCTAAAGGAAAACAGGAGTTACCATCTCCATTCCAGACATTACAGCTAGCGAAGGTAAGTATATAACTTGCACAAGGCCACTTGGCAAGTGGAAAAGTCAGGAGGGAATCCAGAGCCCTCTGCCTCCACAGCCCACACGCCTCAGCACAGCACACACTGCCCAGGCACACACTGCCCAGGCACACACTGAGGCTCTGAGACCGGCAGGAGCCAGCACTGGAAAGATCACTCCATGCCCACTCTGCCTGCTCTGGGCACAAGTCCTCCAACAGAGAGCCACAGCAGCCCCCAGGATGTGTGCCAACAATTGCTGCTCACACCCCACATTTAGGGCCAACTTCTACAAATACTCCCTCAATCTCGCTTGCCAGTTGGGCATTTTATTGAAGTCATAGGGGGTGAACTTTACAGATCAAGACTAATCATCTCCCCCTCTTCCTCCACTCACCATCATTTAATCCTCGAGGCAATGTTATAACCTCAGAACACAGCTCCTTTGCCAAGGAAAACAGCTTACGACTTTGTCATTTTCTTGGATTCATAATTCCCAGCTCAGGGCAAAAGGGCAACGTTCCTCCTTACCACCCTGAAGCCTCTCTCCTCTACACCCCTCTCTCCCTTCAGGGCCCTGTCACCCCTACCGCCTGGGCCCTCTCACCCCTACAGCCTGGGCCCTCGTTACCACCCCTTCCACACTCACAGCAGCCCACACCGGGAAGGAAGAGATCAGTGTGTCGGCATTAAGGGTAGTCTTTTTTTTTTTTTTTTTTTTTTTTTCTGAGACGGAGTTTTGCTCCCGTTGCCCAGGCTGGGGTGCAATAATCTCAGCTCACTGCAACCTCTGCCTCCCGGATTCAAGCGATTCTCCTGCCTCAGCCTCCCGAATAGCTGGGATTACAGGCATGAACCACCACACCTGGCTAATTTTGTATTTTTAGCAGAGACAGGGTTTCTCCATGTTGGTCAGGCTGGTCTCGAACTCACGACCTCAGGTGATCCACCCATCTTGGCCTCCCAAAATCCTGGGATTACAGGCGTAAGCCACCGTGCCCAGCAGGGTATTCTTTCCCAGGGGGCCTTCCTATTTAATGGAGCACATTCTTTAAGCGTTTGCACATGCACACACATACACACTTACGCACAACATTTACTGTTTTTCTCATTAGCTGGCTAAAATGTGTCCATCATAGAAAATTTGAAAAGTACAAAAAAGACCAAGAAGAGAGTCAGAACCCATAATCCCACCACTCATAAACCCTCCATTAACTCTTTACCGTATTTCCTTCCCGTTCTTTGTCAGAGTGTGTATGTGTGTGCGAATGTATCTTAGCGTGTATGTGTTCAGTTCTGCGTCTTAGTGTGTATATGTGTTCTAGACTACATATGTATGTATATATAGACTACATATATAAACACATACATATGTAGTCTAAAACTCATATACACACTACTATATACACGTAGTCTAGAATATGTTTCCAGGTGACATTGTTTCATTGCTGCACCTGCCAGTTCCTGCCCGCATACCATAATGTTTACACTCTTGTTGTGTTATAATAGACTTTAATTCCTAGTGGGCCAAATCCTCCATCACCCTTTTTTCAAGATTTTAAAAATTATTCTCAACTACTTCTTTTTCCTGATGAATTTTAGACTTATTGTGATAAACAACTAATTTTAGACTTATTGTGATAAGCCCATTATGGATTGCAAGTTCATTAAATTTATAAATTTATTGGGTAAAATTGGCATCTTACAGTATTCGGATTTTCTACTCAAAAAAATAATATATGGCTATCTATTTAGTCAAACCTTCTTTAATATCTTTCAATAAAGTTCAAAGTTTTCTTTCAAGTGGGTCCTAAACATTCTTGTTGAGGTTTTTATAAATTTTTTATTTTTTGTTGGGCCATTGGGAATTGGGATCTTTTTCCTCTAAATATTTCTAATTTGAACTATGGTTTGGAAAAAATATTCTGCATCTAGCTATTATCTTACTCTCTGAATAATTGTAATACTTTTTCATGAGTTACTGTACAACTTCAAGAATCATGTTAATAGTAATAATATCGGTGATCTTATCTTAATTTACCATGGATTATTTTTATATCATTAAGGATCTATTTTTCTAATCCTAGTTCTTAGACTTTTAAATCAAGAATTGGTATTGAAATTTATCACATACATGTTCATTATCTGTTGAGATTATTGTATTTTTCTTATTTTACATGTTGATGTTAAGAATTACCTCATAATTTTCTAACACTAAAATATCTTTATATTTCTGGAATCAAAACTCTTCTTTTTCGGTGAATTTTTTTTTTTTTTAGAGACAGGATCTCACTCTGTTGGCCAGGCTGGAGTACAGTGGTGCAATCATAGCTCACTGCAGCTTTGAACTCCTGGGCTCATGCAGTCCTCCTGCCTCAGCCTCCTGAGTAGCTGGGAGAACAGGCATGTGCTATCACACTTGACTAATTTTTTTGAAAAACATTTTGTAGAGATGACGGGTCTTGCTATGTCGCCCAGGCTAGTTTCCAGCTCCAGGCCTCAAGCAATCTTCCCAAAGCACTGGGATTACAGGCATGAGCCACCACACCTGGCCCCTCTGGTGAAATTTTAAAATGCACTATTGAATTTGATTCATTTATGTTATATTTAGGATTTCACAACTGCTATACATACAAGTGAGATGACTTTACAGCAGCATGTCCCAAAGTGTGTTCTACAGAACACTGTTGCTATGAGTTGTGCCACTAGAAATGGAAAGAAAAGAAAAGACATTAAAAGGGGGAGAGAGGAAAGAAAAGAAAAGGAAAGGAAACGTCTGGCATTGCAAGGTTTGGGAAATACTATATATCCTTCCAGGAGATTCACTAGGTACATTCTCATTTTAAAGATTCTAAGATCTGCTAGAGTTAAGAGCAAGGGAACATGCTGTGCTTAAATTTGTATAATCCAGCATTTCCCAACACGATCGATCACAGAGCCCCCATTTCACATAATTCCTCTTAACACCCTGCAGAACTCATGTCTGAGGCATGCCTTTTGGAAAGTGTCTTTGTCAGTTTTATTATCAGAATTACACCATTTTCACTAGAAAGGCTCTCCCTTGTCTGAACTTCTAATAAGAGGCTTATAAATCCATTAAACTCCATTGCTGCTACCCTACACCATAAGACATTTATTGTTTTCTGTAGTCATCTTCCAACCTAAGCTTATGCCTTTCACTTTTATGGTTCTGAGATATTGTCTCACTCCACTGGGTCCCTTTGGAATCTCAAGCATGCAGAAAAACTCTGAACCTTCAGATGGATCGAGTTTGGAATAGTCTTTATTTAACATTCCCACTATAGTTGAGTGGATCTTGCTCAAGCTTCCCCCAGTTCACCGGGCTATATGGCCTTGGCCATCCACCTGCAAAGTCTTCCTTCCAAAACAGCCTGTCTCATCAACTCAAAGTGCCCTGTGGGGCCCAGGTGACATTTACACCATCCCTTGCCCTGCATTCTAAAGCCATCTGCTCCAAATCACTATCCCCTTTGCTCACTGTCCTTCCAACTCCAAGATCTCATTTTTCCTACAAATACCCAACAGTTACTCAAAACTCATCAACACAAGTACTGACAGACATGTTATTAGTTACCAAAAATCGTTTCCAGAAGTAAAACCCCTCTAGGCATTGTGGAGGATATATTGATTCACCTTATGGCCTCTGCCCTTGAGGAGTTCCAATTCTTTCGAGGTAGATGAATAAGTATCAAATCACGGCATTAAAGCTTTTGACCCAGTGCCTGGGAGAGAAAAGGCTCAGTAGCCATTGACTAAAATCACGTTGAATGTAGAATGACAAGTGCCATACTGGAGTTCTGTGTAAAGCGTGTGGTTAATCTTCTGAAGAATTTGCAGATCAGTGACATTTGAACTGGGTTTTAAAGATTGAATAGGAGCTCATGCTGCAGAGCAAGGGGGCGATGCAACAAGTCACAGCTGGATCAGACTTTCTAATGCTCTTTTCCGTACCAACCCCACTTGATCCTCACAGCACTGTGAGGTAGACGTCATTGTTGCTGAACCCATTTTACTGTTGAGGAAGCTAAGGATCACTTACAGCAGTGAGCATGTCCAGATCAAAAGATTCCAGGGAATCCCAGCACTTTGGGAGGCCAAGGCGGGCAGATCAGGAGGTCAGGAGTTTGAGACCAGCCTGGCCAACATAATGAAACCCTGTCTCTACTAAAAATACAAAAATATTAGCCAGGTGTGGTGGCAGGTGCCTGTAATCCCAGTACTCGGGAGGCTGCAGCAGGAGAATCACTTGAACCCGGGAGGTGGAGGTTGCAGTGAGCCGAGATCATGCCATTGCACTCCAGCCTGGGCGACAGTGTGAGACTCCATCTCAAAAAAAAAAAAAAAAAAAAGATTCCAGGAAACATGAGCAGCTGTCTCAGCACTCTGATGGCAAACATTTATTTTTACAAGGTGCTGAGGTCCCAGGAAAACAAGGTAGGTGTGGTCCCTGCATTCATGGAACTTGCAGGCTAAATTCACAGAACTGTAGGCCTGCAAATTCTTCCTGCATAGAGGTCCTTAGCTCACCAATTAGTGAAGGGGCTAAAGACATTGCTTTTTCCATGGACGGAAGCTGTGCCCACATTGAGTATGGGAAAAAAAAATGATCCCCCCAGCCAGAGCGGGAGACCTGCAGACGCTCTCAAAGCGGTGGTGCTCACCCCTAGCTTATATCTGAAGCACTGGAGAATCATAAAAATACTGGTGCCAGGCCCACCCAGACTACCAACATCAGAAAGTGGTTTGGGTGGGAGTGGGCAGTACTTTTTTAAAAGTGCCCACCTGATTCCAGTGAAGCCATCATTGTAAAGCGGTGTTCTAAGGGAAAGGTTGAGGCAGTGCAGGACACAGTTAGGATATTCTAATTCTGGTTCGTCATTCCTTCACCCCTTGCCTCCCCATGTGCACCCCAGCAGCTCCCTCTCCTGATCCTGTTCTCAGAGGGCCCACATCTGCTCTATCCCAGCTACCTAACACAGGGACCAAGATGTGCCCCCGGGACCATCACCACCGAGGACTTGACTTCTAACTCTCAGATCCCAAAGTGACATTCAAAAGGGGCCTTCTGGGGGATGGCTCCTGGTAATACTGGTGGAAAAATCAGGCATAAGAGAGCCAACATGCAATGGGCCATTAGGGATTTCTGTTCAGTCACATCACAGTCTGCTCAGCTAAACTGTAAGGCTGGGCCTGGTATACAGAGGTAGGCCAGCTCTCCCTGATGGGACCACTCTCTCCCCACTCACTGCCTCAGAGGTGTCAGGGGAGTGAGGAGAGACTCATATCCTGCTTTTTACCCGTGGCCGGGTCAGCCCCAGATGCAAATCCCAAGGGAGACCAGGGCCTGGAGCAGGCAGGCGCCAGCCTAACTGGGGAGCTCATTCACCCCCCGACTACTCACCCTGCTGTCTTAGGCATTTTCTCAGCAATTCAGGGAAGGAACAGCAGTGCCTGAAGTCCTTCAAAAGTCTACCCGGGCAAATGGTGTTAAGGGGTTTCCCTTCCCTTTGTGGAGTTCAGCCTGCTCTGCCCCACACCACATCCTTGGTGCTTTCCTAGGAAGGAGGTGATTTCCTCCAGCCAACAGCAACTGGAACATATTCTGGAATTCATCTGGATTCACTGAGAGTGTGAGAGGAGGTGGACAAGGGCATGGAACCAAGGTCACAGAGCAGTGCAATCCAGTTCACCTGATGCCACCTGATGAAGCCATTGAGATTGTGGTATTACAGGAACAGAAGCCAGCCTTGGGCTGTCAGCTTATCGGTTGGTCATCACTACTATCTTCCAATGTACATATTTCCAGAAATGATTCATTGCACTAGATCCCTGTAGCCTTAAGACAGTGATGTAATGTGAAAAGGGACCTGTAAAAGGAAATCCTTCCTGTGAATGCAGAGTATTAGATTGTAGATTTCCCTGGCCATCCACTGAATGGAGGTGGGGTCTGTGCTGAAGTCTGACTATTGCATCTTCCTGGCCTTATTTCCTCATCTACAAAACCGAGAATACTACTGCCCCCAGAACTGCTCCCCTGGGATGCTGTGAACATGAATAAGTTATTGATGGCAGAGAACAGGCTACTAAATCAAACATTCCCATCATGTCTGTTTCCAATTTCTCCTTTCAGTGAACATTTATTTATTCATCGTCTGCAGCATGGAGCAGCATGCCCTGCTCTGGTAATGTTCCTCTTTTGTGTGTCAAAGGCAAAGAGCAAAGTCTCAGAATCCACACTGCTTAGATTTTAATCCTATCTCTCCACTTCCTAGCTGGGTGAACTTGGATACCTTAAATCTGTGCCTCAGTTTCCTCATCTGTTAAGTGAAGGTAATAATAGTATCTACCTCAAAAGGTTGTTATCGAGAACAAATGAGTTAATACATATAAATGGCTCAAAATTATTGCCAGGTGCAGTGGTGCATGCCTGTTGTCCCAGCTACTTGGGAGGCTAAGACAGAAGGATCACTTGAGCCCAGGAGTTCAAGGCCAACCCAGACAATATAGCAAGAACCCATTTCTATATAAAAGAAAAGAGACAAAGAAAAAAGGAAGGAAGGAAGGAAGGAAGAAAGAAAGAAAGAAAGAAAGAAAGAAAGAAAAAGAAAAGAAAGAGAAAGAAAGAAAGAAAGAAAAGAAAGAGAGAGAGAAAGAAAGAAAGAGAAAGAAATTGAACAAGCACATAGTAAGTGCTCAATAAACTCTTGCTACAAGGATAATGATTAATACATAGCACTCTCATATAATGAGCCCAACAGAAAGTTATTTAATTTGCTTATTTGGCACCTAAACAGAGTTCCCAAACTTGTCTGCTGATTTTTAAAAATTACCCAAGGTGCTTGTTAAAAATAGAGGTTCCAGGCCCCCACCCTGAAGATTCTCATCCAGCAGATCTAGAATGGAGCCCAGGAGCCGTATGATGAACAAATACCTGCATGATCCTAATGAAGGGTTTAGGGAACTAACTGCTTCTCTAATGGGACCAAGAGCCTAACAGGACTAAAATCTGTGCTTTTTTGCTTCCTCTTCCTCACTCTCTCAATTAATCTGAAATGCCAGAGAGGGGGAAAATGCTTGACTTAGGAGCTTTAGGAAAGCTCATCTTTTCTCCCCCATCCTATTTAACGAAGAGAGGCTTCCTAGAAGAGGTGAGGAGACTTCTAAAAGGACTGGAACAAAGGGAGAGTCCTGGGCTGAGACAGGAAGGTGGTGAGTTGTTGCAAGATTTGAGACAACAGGGGAGGAAGGGAGGATGGGCCAGGGAGGCCCAAGGGCCTCACACATGCAGAGTCCTGGGCGGCATGGTATCTGGGAAGCCTCTCCAGGCATCTGTCCTTCCCTTTACCACCATTATGCTTTGGATAAAATCCTGAGGGGCCCAGTAAACCACAGGCCCATTCTCCCAGAAATTCTGACCCATTTGTTGAACCATGGGTTCATTTCTTAAACCACATCTCCTGAGCATTTTCCTGGGACTGGGAACACAAAATTGAGTGTGAGAGTCTTTGACAGAAAGCTTCTCTCCATGGAGAAGCTTGGTGTCCAGCAGGAAGGTCGTGGGAAAAGATATTAGCAATGCAACATGGAAAACGTGAACTAGTGGCATGCAGAAAGGGCCAAGGGAGGCCGGGCACAGTGGCTCACACCTATAATCCTAGCACTTTGGGAGGCCGAGGTGGGTGGATCATTTGAGCCCAGGAGTTTGAGCCCAGACTGGGCAACATAGCAAGACCTCATCTTTACAAAAAATTTAAAAATTAGCCTGGTGTGCTGGCAAGTGCCTATGGTCCCAGCTACACAGGAGGCTGAGGTGGGAGGGTTGCTTTAGCTCGGGAGGTCAAGACTACAGTGAACTGTGATTGCACCACTGCACTCCAGACTGGACGACAGAGCAAGGTTGTATCTCCAAAAAAAAAGGCCAAGGGAGCCCCAAGGAAGGAGGACCTCTTCTGGGGAGGGAGAGGATTATAGTCTTACAAAGCTTCTCTAAGGTGTTATGCCAGGTCTTGAAGGATAAAAAGGAGCAATCAGACTGCTACAGAAAGCAAAGGCACCCTAATAAAAAATCAGTCAAAGACACCAAGGTGTAAAAGGGCACAAGTGTGGCTGGAATGCAAAGGGCTGGGCATGGGGCTGGAAAGGTGGGTGGGTCTGGCACCTGAATATCCCTGAGTTCCAGCCCAGGAGTCTGGGCTTTCCCCTGCAGCTGATGGAAACCACTGAAGAATTTGGTGAACACAGCTTCTATTAACAAGAGAAGAGCAAAAGAGGGCAGGAGTTGTGGGAAATAGACCAGGACAAATGGAGCGTGAGTTACCAGCGGGGCCTCCACATACAGAGGTCCAGGAGGTGGATATAAATAAAAGCCTGAGGCCAGAGAGAGGTCCAAGCTAGAGGCGAAGATTATGGAATCTTATCATGAAGGTGAGAGTTGACGCTGGGGCAGAAAAGGGACCACCCCCACCCCCAGGAGGGCACACAGAGATGAGAAGGCCATAGAATGGCATCTGCCACCAACAAGGTCATTCCCTTCCATGGAAAATCCAGCCCCTTGCTAGTCCAGGAGGACTAGCAAGGAGGCATTACCCCCTGTAATTTAGCCTTCTGCAAGGACCTGCTTTACCCACTATCAAATTCTGGCCCAGTTCTGCCTGAGACCAAATTACACCCAGTGTCATCTACTGGACAAGTCTCTACGGTGAAGGAAGTATGGCATCATGGTTGCTTTGTAACTTCCCAAACGTGTCTTCAGAGCTCTGAAACAATGAGCAGGGACCTATTTCCGGCCCTAAATCTCTATAAAGGAAAGGGCCATTACCTCTAGAGCATGCTGGGCAGGTGGGGGCAGGGTGCTAGCAAATGTCCCCTTCCCCTCACCCAAGATTTCTACACCTACCTGCAATCATGCTTTAAACTCCCCTCAACAAAGTCACATTTTTACAACCATACAGAAGTTCAAAGGGCTGTTACCCTGGGCTGGTTAAGTCAACAGGTATTTACTGGTGCTGCAACTCCACACTCTTTAAATATCTCTCTGGCTTTCCACCTGTCACCTCTATTTTGATGACTGCCACATCTGCCTGATGAGCAAGCCTCTTAGCTGTTTCAGGTATTTCCAATTGCCAGCAGGACATTTACGATGGAGAGATATAGTAGATCTTTATTGTAACAGCGAAAGTTCTGGTGTCTGAGTGTCTGCGTTTGGAATCCTGTTCCACCTCTTACTAGCTATGACCTTAACTATTCTTCGCCTCATGTTCTTTATCTGTAAACTGATAATATGAAAGTGCAACCTCATGGGGCTGTGATGAAAGAAAAATACTCATGCCTAAATCTCTACAGCAGTGCCTGGCACACAGTAAGCATGCGATGAAAACGAGCTGTAATTATTACCTCCAGTCAGAAGTTCTACTCCCACCTCAGACTCTTATGTCCAAAACAGAGAGTTGGGCCATTAATTCTGGTCCTGTTCCTCTACTAAGAAGCTCTGGGTGGCACTTACTTAACAGACCAGAAAATGAGGCCCACGGTGACAACATGACGTGCTCAAAGTCACAGAGCAAGCTAAGGAGAAAGCTGGGGTCAGGATTCCTCATCCAGGGCCCTTCTGTCACTTCCTATTGTTACTGGGAAGTGTGGAGTCTTCGGTTTTTAGTCCTTCTGGAGGAAAGAATTTGGCTAAGAGACCAATTAGTAAAGTAAGCAAAAGGAAATAAGAGTAAACTCCAAGAGAGGACTGGGCTCTTCCGGCTGGGAGCAGCCCTGATACTTTTGTATTGCAGTTTTTATTATGCCAGACTGTTTCTTTAAGCTCCTGCCTCCATCTTAACACTCCACCTTTTTCTTTGTTTAGTTTTCTGCTTTTGTTTTAAGTCTCCACTTTTGCTCCCTCCTAGTTTTCACCTAGGTTTGTGGAATTTCCCTCACTGTCATTGATACACTTGTGCAGGGCCAGGTAATCAATACGAACCTTACCTAATGGTGGCCTTGCTCATGTACCGCCACCACAGAAGGGTCACAGGGGGGTTACAACTGTACTTACTGTGCCTGTGGATTTCTTAGGAATATTTTCTTTGCCCTTTTTACCTTTCTATTAATACATAGCTAGCTACATTTTGACAGGTTAACTACAAAATTACAAGACGTCTTAAGGAGCGTTTGGGGGCACTTTTTCTGCATTGGCATTTTCCCTCCTCTCTGTTTATATTTAACATACATGTTTTAAGTAGTCTCTGGAACATAACATTTTCCAAAACTTCCTCCCCAGGGGCTCTCTTTTTTGTTTATGTCTAACTATTCATCTACTCTAACAGTATGTGCCCCCTCGCACCAGCCCAGCCACCCAACAGGAGGCTGCCGGCACCTGCAGAGAGTCCCTGAAGAACAAGTTAGACTTGGTACCAAAATCACCCCAGCCACTTATTGGAAATGTAGATTCCTGGCATCCTCCTATTAGATTCTGACTCAGTAAGTCTAGGGTGGGGCCCCAGATCCACATTTTAACAGGCACAACCAACCCTGTACCCCCACCAACTGGCTTGGATTCAGATGGTACCCACTTTGAAAAGTGCCTCTCAAGGGCGAGTTGACGCATGTGCCTCCACTAGAGATGAAATCCTGAACAGGGCCCAGTGAGGCCCTCTGGCCAGCCCGGGCTGCACGCCTCGCAGACACGCTTGCGGGTGCAGTTACTGGGCATGGCTGCAGTCCCTGAATGGAATTTCAGAAATTTGGTCACATTCTTTCATACTCTCATCCTAGAAAGGAACACCGCCCTTTCAGACAAAGATGCACCTGTACCCCTGCAAAATCAGCAGGACATCCAACCCCAGGATTACCATTCCACTGGACATTGTTTACTGCAATGGGAATTCATCGGGAGCTTGTGGGATTGTGGGTAATCTTATTCATAGCACCTGCCTCCTCTGTGGGTGACCTCATCAAAGGCTCCCGAAGCTTGTTCCCTCTCCCATCCATCCTGCGACTGACACTGAATATTAATACAGCTTCAGAAGCTTCTGTCCTTGCTCTCCTATAGCCAGTGACCATGTGGCCCTATGTTCCTCCCCCTCTCTAATCTGGGCCGTCAGACCCTTTCCAGAGGGAGACAATCAAAGCAGATTGGAAGCTGTTTGAAGAAAGAACAAATAGCTGAAAATCAATTTGCAGAGATAGTAGCAAGAATTACAGTTCTTTTTGTCTGCTTATTAACGGGCTCCAGCTAAGTATCAAATGGGAGAAGAGAATGCATTCCCAACACAGTAAGTGGCTGATTTGGAGATGTTATTAAAAAGAGTTGACAGAATTCATTCAGATTATGACCAATTTAATTTTGGAGGGCTTTAAGGGTTCTGTTTACTTCTCAGCTCATGGCTCTCTTGTGCCCAGAACTTGTACCCCAGGCCTGTGTTCATTCATTTCCATTTCTGAATTATCACAAGGACACGGAGATAACAAGGTCTGGTGACCAGAATATGGCTGTGGGAACTAAGAAATACTGTGATAACTGTCCTACAGCAATCTGGGGTTGGCCTTTGCATCAGCAGTGTGGCTGGCAGCAGGAAACGCATACTGTGAAATCACAGAGAACAAGTTTCATCCCCAGATCTGCTGGTCACTGGCTGTAGGGCCTTGGACAGGTCACTTAAACTATCTGAATCTCGAAGTTCTTATCTGTAAAATGGGCATTCTAACATTGAATTTACAGGGTTATTGTGCTGATCAAAGGGCATAGTTAGCAAATGTCCTTTATTCCAAATGTTGACCAAGATATACAATAAATAGCTGTTATTATTTCTTTTCTCTATTTTCTTCTTGGTAGCACAGAGATAGGAAGTGATTGAGAACTCAATCACTTCTCAACAACAGAAAAGGAATCACTTTCAATATAGTAGAAGGGGAAATGAAATAAAACCTATTCGACTAATCCAGTAGAAGTCAATAAAGCAGGAAAATAAAAAGAGAAGGAAATATAAAACATGTATTTAGAAAACAAAAAGTGGTAGAAGTCGGTCAAATATCAATAATCACAAGAATTATAACAGATTAAACTCATCTGTTAAAGGATAAATTTTCAGATTAGATTTAATTTTTTCATTCATTCATTCAACAAATAATTATTAAGCACCTACTATGCATACTAGGCAGTGGTCTAGGCACTGCAATCCAGCTAAAAGCTATTCTAAAAGACACATTTAAAACCAAAAACAGGAAAGGATCAAAACCAAAAGATTAAGAAAAAATATTCCAGGTAATACTAACTAAAAGAAGTTGATCTTGACAATATTAATTTGAAACAAAATAAGCCTTAAGACAAAAACTTGGCAATAAAAAGGTCTTGATAAAGAACAATTCACCAAAAAAAAAAATATAGTTAACCTGAACCTGTGTAACCTTACAACACAACTTCGAAATATATAAAGCAAAAACCGACAAAAAGATATTATTGACAATGAATAATCAAAGTGGTAGATTTTAATCACTTCTCTCAGAAAGCATTGAATCAGACCAAAAAATTGTGAAGGATACAGCAGAGTCGAACCACAGTTATTTATGAAAACTTGCACCTCAAAAATAAAGAATAAACAGCTATTCAAGTACATACTTACAAGAACTAACCATGTACCCTAGGCCACAAAGAAAATACCAAAAGGCATCAAAGAATTGATATTATACAGATCATATTCACAAACCTCAGTGCAATAAAATTATAACGTCAGTAACCAAAACATTTCCACACAACCCATGTGTTAAGAAAATTTCTGAATGCCCCTCTAAATAATTAATGGGTAAAAGGAAGAATAATCATGGAAATTATAAACTATAACTTAATAACAATAGAATATTATATAGCAAAATAGTAAAGAGTAACATAAATATGGTTACTGTCCCACAGACAACTCCACAGCACAGGGACATCCCAAGACTAAGATACCAGATGGGAACCCTTAAAACTAGGGCAAGTGAACAGAAGAGTTTTAGAAGGGCTGAACAAGACTATCTCTCAAATAGCATTTTTTTTTTTTTTGAAACGGAGTTTTTCTCTTGTTGCCCAGGCTGGAGAGCAATGGCGTGGGCTTGGCTCACCGCAACCTCCACCTCCTGGGTTCAAGCTATATCCTAGTCATCTTCATCTGTGTAGAACCACATACGGTAGGCATTCAGCAAGTCTTTGTGGAGACACCTTTGGGGTCTGCACCCCAATGCTACTTCTTTAACTGGCTGGAGCATTTCAAACCGTGGTCTGCCTGCTATGGCTAGAGGGAAGATACTTACCCTGGTTTTTAGGGGTGTTCCAAAAAAGCTCCCACCATTGCTGGGCCAGAGAGAGCCAGAAAGCCACATTCCTGCCACATCATGCCCCCATCCAAAACACCGCCACAGTGCAATGACACCCCACTGGGGACCACTTTAAATCAGAGCCCAAGATTTATTTATTTATTTATTTATTTATTTATTTATTTATTTATTTATTTTTGAGACAGAGTCTCACTCTGTCACCCAGGCTGGAGTGCAATGGTACGATCTCGGCTCACTGCAACCTCTGCCTACCGCATTCAAGCACTTCTCCTGCCTCGGCCTCCCAAGTAGTTGGAACTACGGGCCCCCACCACCATGCCTGGCTAATTTTTGGATTTTTTAGTACAGACGGGGTTTCACCATGTTGGCCAGGCTGGTCTTGAACTCCTGACCTCAGGCGATCCACCCACCTTGGCCTCCCAAAGTGCTGGGATTACAGGCATGAGCGCAGGATTTTTAATAGATGTCATTTTCCAGTCTGCCCCCTGGAAGTCTGGAAATGTAGAGGTTTGGCCTGAATCCTGTCTGGAAATTGGTGTTCACCTGCTTTTGCAGAAAGGAGTAAGATTTCACTCTGGGCAAGGAAAAACCTCATTAAAGGCTCATTTATCTTCCTGGGGAGCCGTTTGCCTGAAACGAACTGAATCTTAAAATGCAAATTCTTTCTCAGGGAATGAGCGTGGCAACTGAAGCTGCAATACCTGTCAGAATGATTTGAGAGCAATTCTTTTACTATTACTATCATCATTATCATTATTATCATTATTTCAACCCAGCCATTAGGTTAATACTATTAAGTCAGCATTTTCAGCAAATTGTTAGTGGCGTGAAAGTGTGTGTGTGTGTGTGTGTGTGTGTGTGTGTGTGTGTGTAGGGATTACAGCTGTCATCATTTCTATCCTGTTGTAAGGTTTAATAATTTAACCACAGGTATGTGCTCCAGGCTGAAAGCCGATGAGTGAGAAGGAAGCAGGGAGGAAGGGGGGTGCCCAACCATACATTGTCCCATTAATATGAAGGTAATCAGCATGACTGTTGGATGAAGTAGAGCACGGTCCATGAGGACGCAATAGAGCACATGTGTACACATCAGCATCTCAGCACTTTCCATGGACCCTGGCCCTCTCTGTGGCTAGGCATTGGTGGCAGTCCCAAGAAGCCTAAGATGAAATTGACTTTAAAAAGTGGAAGCAGCAATGTGATTTGTATCCCCCGGGAAGTATGGCTTGATTTATTACTACATCCCCAATTACCCAGTGCTTGACAGAACTGGTCAAGCAGGGGAGGGGGCCAATAGTGTTAGTTCCCTTCCATGGAGATTCATGGCAGCGTCACTGAAAGTGTGGGAGTGTTGGAGTCAGCTGAACCTGAGTGTGAATCCCCGCTGTGTGACTGCACAGGTGACTTAACCTCTCTGGGTCTGTTTCCTTATCCACAAAATGGGGGCTGGAACCCTTTCTCCTAGGATGATTATGAGTGTTAAATTAGAAAAATTCAAGGACTAGCTCACCGTATGCACATGCATTATAGGCACTCAGTCAACAGCTACTCTGCTGCTAGGCTGTTCTGTTCCAGGCTTGTTTCCTAGCTCCGGCAGGGCCCAACTCAGTGCCTACCTCAGGGCTCCAGCTAGGGCCTTCCAAAACCTCCATGGCCAAATGAACTGTCCTGAAGACATCCAGGAGGAGGCACCCCACCCCTGGGGAATCTCTTCACTCTCTTTCCCTGGCTCTGGGCAGTAATCTGAGATGTCAGGCTGGGTGTTTCTTTTAGAGGACAATGTGTCTTCAAGTACTGCCAGGGCAGTGATGAGCAGGTTGTGCATGGGACCCTGGGGGACTGTATTTGGGTCTCCCTTTCCTAGAGACCCCCTGTCAATCTTCAGTGTTCCTCAGGAGGCACTCACCTCACATCACACCCCACTAAACACACACACACACATCAATAACAAGAGCATCAACTTCTTTTTTGGAAACTTTGGCTCCAACTAAATGAATCAGGGCCATCATCACAATATCCCTGTCCAGAAAATGAACATAAAGATACATGAATAACCTTGTCAATGGTTTAATTCCTCCACCCTGAAATTTACTATTTAAAACTTGGAGATAATAAAGACGTAGAAATTACAGGGGGAAAATGATCTACGAACAACCTTTGGCTAACATTTAGCAATATCTCTTGCAAGTCTCTCCTTTATGCATATTTCATTTTATATAATAATGATCAACTTAGATGTTTGATATTCATTTATGTGTCCTGCTTCTCTCACCTAATTTTATAGAGTGAGCATCATTTTAATAGTTGCATGTTATTCTCTAAGAAAGGATACGCCATGATTTATGCAACCACCTCCCAATCATTGGAATCTCAGATTGCTGCCAAAACATTTGCTATTGTAAATGGCATTATGAAACAAATCAAGCCTTTTCTACTTTGAGTTCCTTGTTGGTTGGTTGGTTGGTTGGTTTTATTTGTTTGTTTGGGGGTTTTTTTGAGACAGGGTCTCACTCTGTCATCCAGACTGGAGTGCGGTGGCACTATCATGGCTCACTGCAGTCTTGACCTCTTGGGCTCAGGTGATCCTTCCACCTCAACCTCCCCAGTAGCTAGGACTACAGGTGCTTGCCACCACACTTGGCTAATATTTTGTATTTTTAGTAGAGACGGGGTTTCATCATGTTGCACAGGCTAGTCTCAAACTCCTGGGCTCAAATGATCCACCTGCCTCGGCCTCCTGAAGTGCTGGGATTACAGGCATGAGCCATCGCACCCAGCCTGCTTTGAGGGTTATTATCTCAGGAATTATTCCCCGGAATAATAAGTATAAGGTTACCTGTTATAAGGCCCCTAATATGTATCACCGACCTAATTTCCTAAAGAGTTATATCAATGTATATACCCCTAAACATTTGCTCATGATCTTCAAAGATATCCACTCTCACCAAATAAATAAATAAATAAATAAACTCAACATCCTTAGAAAATGTCTCAAGTAGATGGCAGAACATTAAGCCATCACTTCCCAAAATGTGGGTCCCTCCCATGCCACTGTAGTATAGGAGATATTAGAGCACGAGTAAACTTTTTTTTTTTACTTTAAGTTCTGGGATACATGTGCAAAACGTGCAGGTTTGTTACATAGGTATACATGTGCCATGGGGGTCTGCTGCACCCATCAACCCGTCATCTAGGTTTTAAGCCCTGCATGCATTAGGTATTTGTCCTAATACTCTCCCTCCCCTTACTCCCCACCCACTGACAGGCCCTGGGGTGTGATGTTTCTCTCCCTGTGCCTGTGTGTTCTCATTGTTCAACTCCCACTTATGAGTGAGAACAGAGCATAAATAAACTTTTAGTATATATTAGAAAAACTATGAAACACTCAAAATCCGTGTTTCTTTAAATATTATCAGGCCTTGGCTAAAGTGTGGGTTTAAGGGTTTTTTTTGTAGGTGTGTTGAGTTCAAACTGTACGCTACTATGATAAAAGCTGTAAACATAGAGCAGGAAACTGCCCTGGTCTGTCAGGCAAAGCACAGTCCTGCCCTTAGAAAGAACAGGGCAAGGCAAGGAAAACTGAGTGAAAAACACTGGCTTACATGCACACACACACACACATACACACACACACACACACACACACATACACGCACAGCCACATGCTAATGCACAGCCCTTCAGGGTTGAGGGTGAGGTGAGGGCAGCGTTCTATGCTATTATCAGGCATTGTTGCCTTAGTGAGAATGAGGTGTCTAAGGGAGCAGAGAGGCCAGAGCATGCCTTAGGGTATTAGACTCCGCCATGGGGGATTAGGGCATGGGAGAAAGGCAAAGACAAGAACAGGCAATTCAGAGGGAAATTGTGTAAACTACTTTTTCCAGTTTCACAATTTTGCCTTGAAAGTCAAGTATGGTCGAAGAAAAGCCAGGCCTGTTTCTCTGTTGTTCAAACGTCCAGGCATGTGGCAAGAGCTTGAGCTTTGGCTCAGCTAGACCTGTGCTCACGTCCTGGTTCTGCCACTCTGCAGCTGTGTGAGCCTCAGTTTCATCACCTTTGGTGGGG
The DNA here is from genome assembly GCF_000001405.40 of Homo sapiens. Taxonomy (NCBI): domain Eukaryota; kingdom Metazoa; phylum Chordata; class Mammalia; order Primates; family Hominidae; genus Homo; species Homo sapiens. The sequence continues at coordinate 63,006,774 of NC_000015.10, forward strand.
ATGGTAATAATACTTATTTCATAGCACCACTGGAAGAGAAAGGATTCAGTGCCTAGCACACAGACAGGCTCCCACAGATCCCAGTAGTAGGAGTCAGGGGGAGGGGAGGGGAGAGCTGTAGTAATGTCGAGTGGTAACACTGAGGGAGGGAAAAGAGAGGGGGCATGATATAGTGTGGGGTAGTGTAATGTTGCCCTACCCAATCTCTTTCAAAGTAGTCCAGCAAAGAGAGAGGCCCGACTAGGGAATGCCACATACCCATCAACTTCCAAGAGCCAGTGCGACTGGTAAGAACTATCGAGAACCCAGAATCCAACTGTACTGGGTTGCATAGTGTCCCCCCAAACTCATGTCCACCCTGAACCTCAGAATGTAACCTAATTCAGAAATAGACTCTTTGCAAACGTAATTAGTTAAGGACTGAGATGAGATCCCACCAAATTTGAGTGGGCCCTAAGTCCGATGGCTGGTGTCCTTATAAGAAGAGGAGTGAACTCATGGAGACACACAGAGGGAGGAAGGCCACAGGAAGATGGAAGCAGACATTGGAGTTATGCTATTATAAGCCAGGGAATGCCACGAGCCACTGGAACCCATAAAAGGCAAGGAAAGATTCTTCCCTAGAAGCTGTGGAGAGCATGGCCCTGCTGACACCTTGATGTCTGACTTCCGGCCTCCAGAACCGGGAGAGAATAAGTTCCTGTCGTTCTAAGCCACTCAGTTTGTAGTAATTTGTTACAGCGGCCACAGGCAATTAACAGACCAACCATCTCAATTCACAGAGAAAGAAAGCAAGTCCTAAAGACGACAGTCGCCGTCGACCCACAGAAAGCTATCAGCCAAACAGGGGCTAGAACCCAGTTTCTCGGCCCTCATTCGGGGCTCTTCTCCCACTTTACAGAATCCTCCAAGTCTGTGACATCGAATAGGACTTCACATCTAGATTAGAGCCAGACAAAAGGCCGATTTTGACAGGGCCGCTCACCCCTCTGCGCCTGTGTCCTCCCCAGAGAGAACCCGGTGAGTAGAATTCACTTTTCCTGATCGTGACTGACTGCTCAGTTCTAGGTAAGAGCTCTAACTGATTAGTCGGGCAACAGGTGACTGATGAGTTTGCTTGTCAGCTGTCATGACAGAGGAAACCCCAGTGAGCTCCCTCCCCCGCTGAAACCAATAGCAAGAGGTTCATCTCCATGTTGCTCATGCCACATGAAGGTGCTGCATAATAAATGGGAAAAAACCTAATAAATAACATACGATTTTGATATTGACTCAATGGGACTTTGAACTCAATATCTGTTGAGTCAATGAATGTTGTTCAATAAATATGCCCAGACATTCCTTTAAAAAGGCATGGAGTTTTCTCTTCTACATATTAATAATAGTTCCATTTATTGAGCATGTACTATGGGCCGAGTATTATGCTAAGTATATCAGTCAGGCCCTTATATACTTAGTATAATACTTGGCCCATAGTAGATGCTCAGTATACCAGTTTGATGTATCACATGCTCATATATCCCTAACTGATATACTTAGTGTATATCAGTTCCTTTATTCAACTCTCCTCAAATTACCTGAGTGTTTAACTTGCTCCCTGACTGACATATACTTAGTAATAGTATATATCTAAGTACATATAGTAATAGTATGTATCTAAGTATATATAGTATACTAAGTATATATCAGTCAGGGAGCAAGTTGAATAGTCATATCAGGTAATTTGAGGAGAGTTGAATAAAGGAACTATTTACAAAGGTGTGGGTAGTGTGGGGAAACCCCATAGGCGCATGCGGTAGCCCAGGGTGGATAGTGCCAGCCATTACCTCCTGGGCTGAAGGATAAAAGGTGGGAGACAAAGACAGGTATGTGGAGAGGGCAGTGTGACAGGAGCTGAGATGGGGTCAAGGGACGCAGCCTGCGAACAGTGCCCAGAAGAGAAGGTGCTGGACTCACCCCTGTCCCCCACTACAAGGTCAGAGGGGCAAACGACAGTTATCCCATCCTCTCATGATTGGATCTGGTTTGTGTCATTTAATTGTCTCGATAATCCTATAAAGTAGGTACAATTATCACCAGCCCATTTTAGAGATGAGGAAACTGAGTTAAAAGAAGAAACAGGTTGCCCAGTTGTGGCAATCAGTGGGCCAGGATTTCAACCAAATCTCTCTGATTCCATAGACCATAAAGTCTGCAGGATAAACTTGCATCATGCCATAAACTTGCTATGAAATTGGCAAGATTTATTTTTAAAAATAACTTTATAAAACTGGATTAGCTATTCACCTTAGCTAAAAGTGTTGATGCCCTTTCGCCCCCCTTTAAAAAATCAAATAACTTGTATATAATTTAGTTGTTTGGAAATGGAAAGACAAATTCGCGGGGTAACTGGTGAGCCACACAAAACCGCATTTAGTCTCTAAACTATGGGGATCTGAAAATCCTGTGTAAGTGTTCAGAGAGAAGAGATGGAGAAAAGATGAAATAAAATGCAGGCTATGGGTACCAGAAGGGATTTTGGAGATGAGCAAGCCCCCAGCCCACCCCCATTGCACAGGAAGACCCTGCCAGGGGAACTGAGTCGCCAGGGGCAGGTGAGTGTGCTACACAGTTGGTCTCCTTGCAGATGAGGCTGGAAAGCTCCCCGGCCTCTACCACCTCTCTCCACACACACACCATGCCCGACCATGTGGAAGAGCTGTCTGTTTCTTGAGCATGCCTGCCCAGGCCCAGGTCTTTGCTATTGCTAGTCCCTCTACTTAGGAGAACTGGAAAGAGCAAAAAGCCCTAACATTGTTTCAAGCGCTACACATGCTGCTAATTTCATCTTTGGAACAACCTGTTACATGGGTACTATTACTATTCCCAGCTGACATCTGTAGGAAACAAGCACAGAACAGTTATGTAACCTACTCAAGGTCACACAGCCAAGACGTGGCAGAGCAGAAATTCAAACCCGAGGAATCTAATCCAAGCCCTTGCTCTTTCCTACTGAATTCCACTTTCTGGAATGCCCTAGCTACTTCCTCCCCACTCTCTGTTCAATTAGTTGCTATTGCTATCTCAAAAACCTTTAGCTCAGGGATCTTCAAAATTTTCCACCAGAGGACTTTGAATGTTGGAGGAGAGCGAATAGGTGCCCGTGGGGTTTGGGGCCATAGCGTGAGGAGTCTGTCATGTGGGAAAAATGTCTTTGCAGTCTCTTGTTTTAATTTTAAAATTCATCCAAAGTTTGTACTCCTTTACATAATACTGTCATGTTTGTTTTATTTTTTTTAATAATGTTTTTAACTACTTACCATCTTAACAAACCAATGCTCTCAAGAGAGGCACCAGATTTATCCTATGGTGGCTATGATAAACACAGGTTTATCCTATGACTTCACCTACCCCATCGCACAAGCCCCACATTCTCCAGGAATGTGAAATCTACTTTAGTTCAAGCGCCACTTCTTTAGGTAAGCCTTCCCTACCCCACCCCACCAAGCAGGGCTAAAGCCTGTGCTCACCAAGTAGCCGAAGTATACCTCTCATTTCCAAAAGGATCATCAACTCTCTCATCCCCTAAGATAGTGACTTGTCCTTCCTTGATTAATTAAGGCAGCTGCCATTCAGGACTATTAGCGTCAACAGGCCCCAGGCAGAGGAGGCAAAAAACCAAATGCTACCCTGCAAAATGACATGGCCAACTGAGGAAGGTGGAGGAGTGCAGAGCAAATTGAGGAAACGTAGGCTTTCTCCAGTGAAGTGCTGGTGAAGGTTTATTGACCTGGGTGTGGGGAGGACAGCACTGATTTGTAGTGTTTGCCAATTTCCAAGTGTAAATACTCCCACAATGGCTGACTTCAACGGGCCTGGAGTTGGGTAGTGATGTGCAGCAGTGTATTCCACCATTATAGACACAATAGATAATAGTAAAGTGTAGCAAAATAATTAGGAAGTAATGCATTTTTAGCATGTATTAAAATTTTTAATATAACTTATTTAATTACAAGTTTATGGAATTTACAATTTAATAGTGGTGGCAATGTTTAACAAGTGGCTAACAAAATTCCTGAAAATTTCCATCAAACAGCTCTTACAAGCCAGCACGGACCATCTCCAGCACACTACCGAACAGCCGAATTTCTGTGTGTGTCTTAAACAGTACTAGTTCCCAAAGTTAATTACTGTTTGGGGAGAAGATTGCATGTATAATTTAATAGTGCTATTACATCATAGAACCTGCATGCATGCAACTCACACTGATGGGACTGTGGAGAAGAAATCCAATGAGAAGGATCCACAACCACCACTGGCTGTGGACTGCAGGACTCGGAATTCCTCCCTCTTTGGTTCTGGCTGGGCCCTAGGATTTGAGTGGCCAAGAGAGAGATTGGAGAGGAAGGGATGGCTTAGCAAAGGGCTGAATGGGCAATATTCTAGAATTAATGTCCCTGGGCCGGGGCATTGGAAGGAGGGCATGGAAAGGATGCATCTGGAGAGTTAGAAATTTTGGTGGGGAGGGGCAGGAGTTTTCCAAGGGAGGTGGATGGAAACTTGAAGGCCTAGACTCTTGATAAAATGTGCCTTCAGTCTTCCCATGAAAAGAAAACTCAGTGAAGCTTGTGTGGAGCCAGCCCTGAAGCAGTCACGAAAAACTGAGAGACTTTGCACCAGGGAGTACCCAATACGATACCCCAGTCAAGGAACAAAGGCCATGTTTGGCTTCCAGTGAGCCACTGGACTTGGTACTGGGAGAGGACAAAGTAGGAGAAAAATCAATTTTGGCCCTCAGGGAATTTCCTGAGTAGAAGTATGCACAAATCATTAATTCCAAGGGTGAGCTCACGGGCTCCCCTGTGAGGTTGGGAGACTCATCTAAGGTCTCGGTAGCCGGATGAGGATGCTGCCAAGGTTTCTTCCTCCTTAATGGATGCCAGCAGCTCCCCTCCTCTCTGGATCAGGCATAGGTGCTGAGGGAGGCTGAGGCCAGGGGCAGAATATCTCCAACTGAGGGGACTTCTGGACACGTGGGGTTGTCAGTGGACTTCCCAGTGGTGGTTAGGGATGGTTGGCAGCGAGAAAGATGGAAGGGAGCACCGGGCAGGCCAGGGAAATTGGAGGTGAGAAAAGGTAAATTATAGCTGGGAAACACACATCAGTTGAGGCTCCGGATGGTGCTGGGGGTTCAGGTGGGAAAGTAATGTGAAACAAAGTTGGAAAGGCTGCTTGAGGCTTAGTAATGGTAGCCTGAGTGCCTGGCTAAGAATTTGACATTTTCACGACTCACTTTCCTTATATATAAAAGTCAGGGGAGGGGAGGGGGCGTTCACATTTATTTGTGTCCTTATTTGATTGATGTCTATCTCATGCATGAAACTGTAAGCCCCGAGAGGACAAGGGGCACTGTGCCTGACTTGGCTCACCTGGAGAAGTGCCAGGCATGGAGCAGACACTTGGTGACTGGTCACTAAATTAATTAATGGTCAGAGATTTTCAACTTGTATTTTTGGTGTTAGAATTCAAGGTAGCCTCAGGCACTGGGGAGGCCCAGCCAGGAGGCTCCAAGTGTGGTAGTTCCACTTCCTCCAGCCATCTGTATGCAGTGTATGTATATTATCTCATTTGAAGCAAGAGTTCCTTAACTTAAAAAAATACAAATTTGGAAGCCACTGGAGCAAGTGTCCTCAAAGGGCCTTACTGTTCTATCCTAGTGGCCATCATCCAGAGGCTGGTATATGGATAAGCCAGGCCCAGATTCTCTAGCCCAGGGACCTCCAACCCCCAGGCCACAGACCGGTACTGGTCCATGGCCTGCTAGGAACCAGCCACACAGCAGGAGGTGAGTGGTGGTGAGCCAGCGAAGCTTCATCTGTATTTACAGCCATTCCCCATTGCTTGCATTACCACCTGAGCTCCGCCTCCTGTCAGATGAGCAGTGGCATTTGATTCTCACAGGAAGACAAACTCTATTGTGATCTGCGCACGCGAGGAATCTAGGTTGTGCACTCTTTATGAAAATCTAATGACTAATGATCTGTCACTGTCTCCCATCACCCCCAGATGGTACCCTCTAGTTGCAGGAAAACAAACTCAGGGCTCCCACTGATTCTATGTTATGTGGAGTTGTATAATTACTTCATTATTTATTAAAATGGAATAATAAAAGAAATAAGATGCACAATAAAAGTAATGCACTTGAATCATTCCAAAACCATCCCTCCCACCCACACTGGTCCATGAAAAAATTCTCTTCCACACAACTGGTCCCTGGTGCCAAAAAGGTTGGGGACCTCTGCTCTAGCCCACTCTGTCTCCGAGAGCTGTACCAGGATGCTTGCCCACTGTATAGGGCACCTTTCTGCAAGTTCTGGGACTGATCACCAAAAGGGGCCTTTCCTTTCCCCTTGCCTGAGGCCCAGGGAGAATGACAGCAAAAAGCCCATCCCGGTCCCTGCTCTTCCCATGCAGGTCCCATGTCCTCACCCCTCAGGCTGGTGGATGCCCTGACTGTGCTGGAGGCCACCTCCAGCTGTGCCAGCCGCCTCCTGTCCTTGCATTTTCCAGACCTAGATTTAGAGTGGCCAAAGCAGTTGAAAAGAAAAAAATATATATATTCTCTCTCCACACCCAGACTCCTCACACTTAAGTTGGGGAAATGCCAACAAAAATAGCATGATGTCATCTCTCGACTGATCCTGTTAATCCCTTTCCTGCCGAATATTGAGTCTTGGTTTTTATTTAAAAGTGATTTTATTGTCTAAGGCTGGGTAAAAGCCTCTGGGAGTTGTGCTGGGAAAGCTGGTGATGCCTTTGATGTGCAGAGTGATGTGGGGCCCTCGGCCCCCTGAGCCCCAATAAGGAAAGAAAATGGGATTTGCAGAAAGCTGGGAAGCTGGAGGAATTCTGTCTCAGACGGTGTGTGTGTTACCAATGGCATCTGGTTTTGCATTTGGCAGCCGGCGTCCCTTAGGAGGCCGGCCTCTTGGAAAGGATTTCTCAGCAATCCATGGCCTGTGAAGAGTCACACTCCCCCTGGATGCCGCCTTTCCTGCCCCCATCATCATTTGGGCACACTTTGGGAACACTCTTCCCTCTGCTGGGCTTTGGATACTTGGTGAGGAAGGTATGGATCCAAAGCCCACCCTGTTCTGGAGGCAAGGTGAACTGAAGGCCAGAAGACATGGGTTTGAAGCTCAGCTCTGGGCAACCCTGGAAAAGCCACTTAATAACTTATCTGTCAGCCAGAAATAGGTATACCTTCCCTGTTACCTGCCCTGCATCATACGTGACCACCAAAATATCAAAACAAAGCCATGCCTTTTCAAAAGCTCTACAAACTCAAGAGCCTTGTACTAATGCCAAGCTTTATGATAAATAGGGTAGTGAGAAGGAGAGGAAGAAAAGCAAAGGAATTGGAGGTGTTTGCAAGAGAGTGACTCCAGTGAAGAACCATGGAATCTAAGACAGAAGAAAAAGGACATGAAGCCAGAAGAAGACTGGCGGACAGTGAGAAAGAACTGGGCTCAGTAGGTCTGGGTTCATGAGGAGGTTGGAAAATTGTCGTAAGGGGCCTAGAAGAAGCAAGCTGGGAGATCAAGAGATAATCTTGAGAGCGAGATATCTGGGTTTGAGATTTTGTAGGGAATGTCATTTTGGTAATGGGAAGGCAGTGGATAGCTAAGGTCTGAAACTGTTCTTGGCAATTAGGAGGTCATGTTTGGGATCCTGGAAAAGTCATCCTCATAGATGATAAAGGGCCCCGCGGTGATGAGGGAGCTGGGATGGAAAGGATCCAGGAACCCTGGAGCCAAGGTGGCCAGTACATCGAAGGGGTTGACTATAAATGAGCACTAGGGATGGGGAGGGGACTGAATGACATTACTCTAAAGGAACTGAGCTTTCACAAGGTGAAGAGGAGTTTAGGAGTGGTCTGGGGAGCCAGGAGGATTCCAGCCTGTCCTGCTGACCCTGAGAGGGGAATGTGAGGATAAGCAGCCCCTCTCTGAAGGGTCAGAGGGCAAAGAAAAGGGAATGTTCCAGGAAAGGCTAAGGGTACAGAGGAATGCGCTGCTTGGAGCAGTGAAGGGGTCAGGGAAAGGGGGATGGGGGCCAGGGCAGCCGAGAAGAGAACAGAGCAGTGTAGGGATAGAGTCTGGGAGCCAATGGGTGCAGGAAGAGGCCTGGGATGCTGGCTGAGACCGAAAAGAATGGGAATGGGCCCAATGGGTTTCATCCACTGCGTCTCTACAGTGGGGTGAGGACTTGGGGCTAAAGATTTCACACAGTGGCTTGGCCACAGAGTGGGTCTGCGCAGGCAGCTGCGATGGCTTTGGCAGGCCTCGGGTCTGCAGGCACCAAAGGGCTGCTTGCAGGAACCCTGCATGGTGGATGGTGCTTCAGTTAACTGCTCAGACAGGACTTGTGAGGAGGGATGATGACACCACAGGCTAGAGGGGTGGCTGGATCAGGGACTAGATGAGCTCTGAAGTCCATTCCATCACTGCCACCTGTGATCACATACTTCACAGCTGTCCCAAAGGTTGACCCAACTATGAGATATGCTGGTTGTTTAATCTGTAATTTCAACTAGCTGTATACAAATGTGCCTTCACCACCACAGGCTGAGAAAGGAAACAGACACCCCGGCCTATGCCAGAGGCCTGAGCATAACCACCTAGAGCCAGCCTTGGAGGGTATCAGCAAGAGGCTGAACTGATGAAGGAGAAGGGAAGATGCAGAAGCCCTTGTTCTCAGGGCTCAGAGCAAACTGTGGCATCAGATCTTTTAATATTGCTATTTCTGTTGCTGATAATGACAGCTAAAGTTTATTGAACACTTTCTATGTGCTAGGCACACTATATGGCCTAGCTTGTTTATTCCTCATACACTAAGAGGAAGGTGTTTTTATCCTCATTTTGTAGATGAGAAAACAAGTCCACAGGGATGAAGGAACTTGCTAAGTATTGGGGCCTGGACCCCTAAGAAAAACTGACCCAAGTTCAAAAGATCAGAAAACTACAGCTCCAACAGGAAATATGACTCAATCAAAGACTCAGGAGGTCAGGCACAGAGCAAGGGCTGACATCCAAGTCTCCTGACTGCCTACTCATAGTTCTCTCCACCCCACCACACAGAGACGAAGCACAGTGTCCATTTCTTCTGCCCAAAAGACATCTTGACTGCAGCCTCATGAAAGACCCCAAGTCAGAACCAACAAGCTAAGCCACTCCTAGATTTCAGACTCACAGAAACCATGAGAAATAGTCATTGTTTGTTAAGTCATTATATTTTGAGATGATTTGTGACACGGCAATAAATAACTAATAGAGGGTAAACATCTATTGGCTCATGTGTCAGGATTTGAGGACATTCCCTCTGACATTTCTACTCTCTGTCCTGCTGGAAAGTCCTTTGTCATGAGACAAGGAAAGAGAGAGGCCATAGTGACCCTCTGTCCTCCATAGAGCTGGAGACAGAGTGGACAACTGACGCTGCCTTTCTGGCTCTCAGCTGTGCTGGCCAACAATACTTGTCCATTTCTACCAGCAAACTTCTTCTTAGAAGGTCTGGTAGTAAGTATTTTAGGCTTTGCAGGCCACATACAGTATCTGTTGCAACTACTCAACTCTGCCATTAAAGCGCCAAAATAGCATTAGACAATACATAAACAAATGGGCATGGCTGATTCTAATAAAGCTTTATTTACAAAATCAAGTGGCTGATTCAAGGGTCATACTGTGCTAATCCCTGGTTTAGAGAAAGGAAAAACTAAGTCCATGAAGGTCTGTGGCCAGGCAGGCTTAAAGGGCCCACAGGACACTTCCCATAGAGGGGAAGCTGTTCCTAAACTGCCCTACCCTTGGCCCCACCATTGCTCTACCTCTGCCCCAGGAAGCCAAGATATTTATCATCTCTTGCAAACAACCACCACATATGAAGATAGCTAAGGGAGCTCCAGGTTTGCTGAGAGTCTGAGCACCTGTGAGGGATATTACTAAGGAAATGTCCACACCAGCTAGAAGGTTTCTTTCAACTCTGGGTGCAACAATGTCCAGACACTGCTCCAGTAGTTACTGCTTGCACACATATTACCTCCTTTCTTTCTCACCTGCAATTATTGTTGTGTAACAAATGAACCCTGAAACTCAATAACTTACTCACATGGCTGGCAGGTTGGTTCCTCTCCACACAAACTTCTCCATGAGGCTGCCTGGGTGTCCTCACAGTGTGGTGACAGGCTTCCCCCGCAACTACCTATCCAGGAAACCAAGGAAGAAGCCGCAATGCCTCTCCGACCTAGCTCTGGAAGTCACGCGTCATCACATCTACTGTCCCATTGTTCACACAGGTCAGCCCTGATTCCGTGTGAGAGCGGACTATGCAAAGACAGGGATACCAGCAGGCAAGGATCCCCATCGTGGAGGCTGGGTAGAATGAGTGGGTCCTGAGGTTAGTGCTCCATGGGAGTGATCACTAGAAAAGTTCACCCACTTAAGTTTGGTAGTTGTGTGAGGAAGGACTCTAACACCTGTTTTGTTGTTGTTTGTTTGTTGTTTGTTTGAAATGAAGTCTCGCCATGTCGCCCAGGCTGCAGTGCAGTAGCACGATCAGGGCTCATTGCAGCCTCGACCTCCTGGGCTCAAGCGATCCTCCCACCTCAGACTCCCAAGTAGCTGGGACCATAGGCACACGCCACCATGCCCGGCTAATTTTTGTATTTTTTTGTAGAGACGAGGTTTCACCATGTTGCCCAGGCTAGTCTCAAACTCTTGAGCTCAAGCGATCCGCTTGCCTTGGCCTCCCAAAGTGCTGGGGCTTACAGGCATGAGCCACAGTGCCTGGCCTTCTATCACCTGTCTGCTCAAATCTGTATAGGTGAATTGTTCATAGGAGATGTTGATACTCAGGTACCGATGGCTATAGTTTTTAGCTACATTTGACCACAAGTTTTGATTGCTGGGGTTTCAATCCCATCTTCCTTGTTCTTCTGCCATTCTTAGGAATCTGCAATGGACGTTTGTCATTCTGTTCTGACTTCCCAGCATCTGACACTTGCCTAGAGGAACTTCTCACTGTGTGACTCCTGGTGAGGGCAGGTCCCTGCCCAGTTCTTCAGTCTTTCTGTCAGTATTTGACTGACCCTATGTCACTCCAATAATCCTCTTGCTATTTAAATTAGCTAGTCAGTCACACCTGTAATCCCAGCACTTTGGGAGGCCAAGGCGGGCGGATCACCCGTGGTCAGGAGTTCGAGACCAGCCTGGTCAACACATTAAAACACCCTCTCTGCTAAAAATACAAAAATTAGTCAGGCATGGTGGCACGTGCCTGTAATCCCAGCTACTCAGGAGGCTGAGGCAGGAGAATCGCTTGAACCTGGGAGGTGGAGGTTGCAGTGAGCCAAGGATGCAGTGAGCCAAGATTGTGCCACTGCACTCCAGCCTGAGTGACAGAGCAAGACTCTATCTCAAAAAGAAAAAAAAAAGAAAGAAAGAAAATTAGTTTCTGTTGCTTGCAACCTAGAATCCTAGCAGGTTCTGAGTCTCTAGCACTTACTTTCAGACAAAGTTCTCCTGGTGCCAAAGCCACTACATCTCTGCTGCTGCTGTGGCTACAGTTGCTGAAGTTGAGCATAGACTTCAGAGTCAGACAGACCTAGGTTTGAGTCCCAGCCCTGCCAATTTAATGCAGTGTGACTTTCTACACGTTATTTAACATCTCTGGACTTCTGTTGCTTCCCCTGCAGGATGAGGGAAGTGATATTTAGCTTGAAAGACTGCTATGAGGATCTGCACATAGCATTGTGCCTGGCACAGAGTAGGTGCTTAGTGACTGCTCTTGTATAATAAAATATGATGGTGATGATGATGATGACCATGGACATGTGCTGAAGTTTCTCCTGATGTGATCCCCATCCAGAGTTTATTACAGAGGCAAAGCTACTCCCGTTTGATGACAGGTCTCTGGAGCTACCTTGAATGGTCTGTCCTCTCAGTACCAATTGCTCTTTAGAACCCTCAAAGCTGGTCTTACTCATGGAGTTGAATAAACTCTTTCAATAAGGAACTTGCTATAAGTCCCCTGGGGACTAGTCCAGAGCATGATTCAGAGACACACCCCCAACCCCTCCTATATTCAATGCTTTGCAAATGGAGCTCTTTCTGGCCTGCCCTGAGATCCTAGAACATCTAAGATGGGCATGCAACTTCAAGCCCCACTGTGGTCCTTGCAATCTGATTTCAGGTCATCCAGACCCTTGACCTGGCCTCACAGCCTGACATAGCCTCACAACTACTAGAGATACATCCTGGACGGCAAGCCACACTCTAAGACACTGTGCTCCAGCAGGAGCCCTGGTTTCTCCCATCCCATCTCTGAGCTGGCAGAGCTGTTGCATAGTGTTTCCATTTTTCTAAGGGTTGTTCCAGAGTCTAGGGTGTTCATGAGAAGTAATTTGCAAACCCCATTCCATGCTACTCTAAGAATTATACCCTCATACCAGTCTGGGAAAGAGTCTGACCCCCACCTTCACCCCAAATCATGGCAATGGGTGAGGTGGCACCTATGCTGGTTATGTGGGCACTACAGATAAATGGGCAACTGCAAGATCAGGAAATCATCCTAACACAGAAAGAAACATCTCTTGTTCTAAGACTCCCTCTTTGAACAACCCAGTTAACCCTACAGGCCCCTCATTCGTCTTCCAAAGCACTGATTTGCCGCTTAGGACATATATTTGTTAGACTAGCAGCTGAGTAGTAGCCTCTATCTTTTCCTAGCAAGAGTATAAGCCACCTGGAGTGAGAGCCTTCTTACACTTTCCCTGTCCTCTGCACCTGGCACCTTGCCTGAAGATGAATCAGAGCTGACGAAATACTTGTCGAATGGCTGCTCCATGGATGACACAGAATACAGCTGTAGACCCTGACTACCTGGCCCAAAATAGCAAATATTGTGGGCCATGGGGCCGTGGAAACCTGAGATGCCTCCCAGGGCCACGGCAGATGATTAAGAAAATTGGCTGAGAGATAGGATCGCACCAGCCCACAATAGCCTGTGCATTTTTGTCCAGGTTGGAGAGGCAGGACACAGCCTGTACCTGTTTGGCAGGACACAGCCAGGTCATTCCTGATAGACAAGACACAGCCACCCGACACACGGGGTAGAGCCCCCACAAGGCTGCTGCTCAGAATGCTCCTGCAAGCTCAGCTGCGATTTTAGGCCTGCTGGAGTGAGGTCTCAGGTTACACCAACTCCTCAGCTTCTCAGCTTTTGATGGGAGCTGCTTCTGGACAGGGACATCACCACCAGCCCATTAGTGAAGGAAATATTTGCCAGAGAGCGTCACCCTCCAGGAGGAGAATAACAACTGAAGGTCTATATTTCATCTGTTCCAGGAGTCTTTTAGCTTAGATGAATTCCTTAATCCTTCTTCTCTACCCATAGGCTCAAAGAGTTGCAAATCTTCCACACACTCGGTACCCCTTTTAAGTTTAGAAATTGACCTAACAATAATGCCTCCTTGCAATGTCCTTGCAAGTGGCCTGGTATGCACTGCCTGGTTTGCCCACATGTCAATACTGTGAGGCTGGACATGGGGATTGTTTGGTTTGGAGATGTACTGTGTGATAAATAATGGAACGTTGCAACGGCTAACATTATACTAAACATTTTGCAAAAAAGTAAGCCTCAGAACAACCATATGAAGGGGGGAATGTCACTATCCCCAGTTTCAGATGAGCAAACTGAGGCTTAGAGGTGTTAAGAAACTTCCAAAGTCACCTAACTGGGAAGTGGTAAGACCATGATTCAAACCCAGGAACGTTTGGCTTCTAAGCACAGACTCCTAATGCTCACAGTCCACTTCTACCCACATATTTATGAAATATCAATCACTGTGCTGCCTGCTGGAGACATAGGGACAATTAAGGTACCACCTTGTTGCTCAAGATTCCAACCTAGCCAGAGAAACAAACATTAGCTTAATTTTAAATTATATATTACAGTGTGATATTTGTAATAATAAAAATTATATGTAGGAATGGAAGGATGATGATTAATTCAGTCAATAAGGGAGGAACAGAGATTAGGGAAGGCATACAGAGGAACATTCAAAAAATGAAACTTTATGATTCAATTTCTTTTCTGTTTTGAGTGTGTGATCTTTAGCCATCATTCGTCCACACTGGCATCTATTGAATGAGTCATCCATCATCTGGGAAAGACCCAGGCAAAAGGGTCCCCTTCTCTGAGCCCATGCTTTATAGGTCTTACATATCACAAACCCAAAATAGATTAATGTGTTAAGGAACTTGAGAGCATCTCTGTCATTCAGGATTCAGAACTCAGCATCGGCACAGCACAACCAATAACCCTAAACACCACTCGGATGAGTAACACCATTCAGGCCCCAGAGAAACGCTTCTCCGTGTCTCTTGTCCTGTGTCTGTGAATCAAAGGGAAACCTTGTCCAAATGCCATCCATGAAGATTTGTGGGTTGTGCCGCTGCCAGCGCTGGAGATGGACACCTCCCTTTGGAGGATGGGCAGGATGTGAGCCCCATATGAACTCAGATAAGAATTAGGCAAATTAGTTAACTTACCTTATTCTTCCTCACAGATTTCATGAATGCACAGACTCATGCAAAGTGCAGTATCCTTTCCTAGGAATGCTGAGTGTCTATTTCTTGCTTCTCTCAATGCTCCAGCCTGTGATTCTGGAATCAGTCAAAAATTAAGGCAGTATTCACAACAGCTTCACATGATGGTTGGGAAATAGTTTGCAATATTAAACAAATCCTAACACTTTTAATTTGTGTATTTGCAGGCCTATCCATAACATACAAAAAGCATGATATTAATTCTTTATGTTGGCCACAGGCAGACCTCAAAGGCTAGAATTGTATTAATAAATAGGTTTTATTTTATAAAAATATGTTTAAAGATTTAATTACATTTTCAAAAGATTAAGTAATTTTAATCTAAGTGATGTTGATTTTTAAAGTTGATATGAATTTATTATAAATTATATTTTCTTTTAATTTCAATAGATTGTTTTGCAAATTTTATTTACATAAATATTCAGTCATAGAAAAACATCAGATGGTGTAATGAACTGAGTGTTATGGCTTGCCGAAAGTCATATGTTGAAACTCTAATCCCAATGTGATGATATTTGGAGGTGGCACCTTTGGGAGGTAATTAGGTCATGAAGGTGGAACCCTCAGGAATGGGATTAGTGTCCTCATAAGAAGATGCCAGAGAGCTGGCTAGTTCTCTTTCCACCTCATGAGGATGCAACCAGAAGTCAGTAGTCTGCAACCTGGAAGAGGGCCCTCACCAGAAACCGACCAGGCTGGCACCGTGATCTCAGACTTCCAGCCTCCAGAACAGTGAGGAATAAATTGTTGATAAGCCAGCAATCTATGGTACTTTGTTATACAACCCAAACTGACTGAGACAGATGGGTTTGCTCCCCTCTTTAGCCTCACTCACTTATCTCCCTCAGGATCCCTTCTGGGCCAGCAAACAGGAGATTGGCCAGGTGTGGAGCCTCACCCACAGCACCTGGCTCAGCAGGAAGCATGTAAAAGGCCCCCAGGCCAGGACAGGAGGGGCCTCCGTTGCAAGCTATTTTCACTGCTACTACATATACTGCTCAGTGCCTCACTCTGTCTTGCTTTGACTTGGGCCTTCTGACTGTCTCCTGGTACCTACCTATTCACCTGGCTTCCTGATCTGCTTTGACGGATAGCTCCAGTCACTGATCTCTTGAGCCAGGTCTTTGTCAACCTTGCTTTGACCAGCACAACCCTTGCTTCCTCCCCACGAAGTATTTCCTGATATCCATTGGCCTGCAATGATACAGGGAAATAAATATTAACATGTTTTTGAATTATACATTACAGTGTGATATTTGTAATGATAAAAATTATGTGTAGGAATGAATCAAAGGGTGGTTATTAATTCTGTCAATAAGGAAGGGAGATTAGGGAAGGCTTCCCAGAGAAACACTAATTAAATGGAACTTTATCTATGATTCAAATTATTTTCTATTTTAACTGTGTAATCTTTAGCCATCAACCATCCACACTGGCATCTACTAAATGAGTCATCCACCATCTAGGCAAGGCCCAGACAAAAGGGTCCCCTTCTCTGAGCCCATGCTTTAACAGGTATCACATATCACAACACCCCCAAAAATTAATGTATTAAAGAACATAAAGTAATATGAATATATACTTCAAAAATCAGAGCTCTCCCCCCTCCCTTACCCACTCCCCAAGAATATACAGAGAATGGCCTTCTTCATCTCTCATTTCACATAAATCATTGTAGAAACTACCCTGATCCTAGCTTCACCCTCTGCCCTTCAGGATAATTCATAAAAATCATTAAGCACTGAAATCATCCAGTTCAAACACTGTCTTTTTACAACTGGAGAAACTCAGACACAAGGAGGGGAAGTGACTTTCCCATGATCACCCATCAAGTGAACTGAGACTAGAGCCAGTCTCCAAGCTCCAAGCCCACATCCACACTCTGGTTCCAAAATGCCACGTATCCAGATAATTGTGTGGCATTCCAGCAGCACCCCACCCTAATCAATCTCCACATGACATCCCATAGGGCAGTTATTGTGAATTGTGGGGGGCAGAAGTTGGATGCTGGGTGTGCAAAGGAAAAGCAAGGGAGGTTGTTTCATAAATGACACAATGGCACGCTCCAAAGTTGAGTTGCAGGGCTTCCGCTGCCCTGAGAGACTGCATGCCTTTCTGGAGACTAAACATTTTCACAGTTCCTTTGGCCCAAGGGTTATTTTCTTGTTGGAAAAAATGGAAAAATTCCCCACACGGATGGCAAGAAAAATAACTTCAGCTTGACTAATCCAGAGACAAAGCTTCTTCTGAAATTGCAAAAGGATAGAATTGGAGGGGAGCAAACATTTCTTTTAAATAAACACAGAATATTTCTTTCTTTGCTTTGTTTTAGAGACAGAGTCTCACTTGTTGTCCAGGCTGGAGTGCAGTGGCATGCAGTTATGGACCACTGCAGCCTCAAACTCCTGGGCTCAAGTGGTCCTCCTGCCTCATCCTTGCAAAGTGCTGGGATTATAGGTGTGAGCCACCATGTCCAGCCCCACAGAATGTTTCTTCTGGGTTTCTTTTTATTTGCTCATGCCTAAGAACCCCTAATTGGCTCCTTAGAGAAAGGCCAGGTCCCATGGGTCAGAGGAGAAACTGGGTGGGCATGAGCCTACAGGAGAAGCCCCAGCTCACTGGAGCTCCCTGTCTGGCCAAGCCTGTTAGGAGCTGTGTCCCACAGGGCCTGGGCTGAGAGGGAGACGTGCCTTCTTGCAGAATCCCCCGCATACCCAGATGAGCCCTCCCTAGAGATGGGACTATCAACTGTCCAAGACCCTGTTCATTACTTATCTTCAAAATGTGCCTCCTCTTCTTAACGAATAAATGCCTTTGGCACTAAGAGTTCTTTTGCTACAACTTGTTTCTTAAAATCAAAATAACTTAGGTTGATTTTATCAATTGCATAACTTACTAATTTTTTTATCTGATTTTTCTCAGTTCTTTAGCTAAAGAAAAACTCAAATTAGTATCTATGTTTAAAATATTTCTTCTATGAAGCCTGGGCAACATAGAAAGACCCAATCTCTACAAAAAAATTAAATAACTAGCCGGGCATGGTGGTATCCACATGCAGTCCCAGCTACTCAGGAGGCTGAGGTGGGAGGTTCACTTGAGTCCAGGAGTTCAAGACTGCAGTAAGCGAAGATCGTGCCACTGCACTCCAGCCTGGGTGACACAGCGAGACCTCATCTCTAAAATACATTAAAAAGGAAAAAAATATAACTGTTGGAAAATACTGAAATTGTCAATGACTGCAGGTATCCTTGAAAACATTTCTCCTGTGAGATTAAGTAAATCATCTATATGTTCATGGCATCTATTCTGAGAACTTATTGATGCCTTTAAGGGACGCTTACAGCTGCACTGTCATTAATGACTGTGGATATTGCTAAACAGCAGGTTACCATCTTCTAGAATTTGTATCAGTTTATCAAATGTAGTCACACATAGATGGCTCGCACTTGGCAAAAAAGTTAGGAATTGTCCTGGAAGGGTCCATGCGAGTGCGAGTTTTGATGCTTAAATGTCCCTGGCTTCACAGTAGACCTGCCCTGCAAACCATTAAAATGGTTTGTCCCAGCCTCGCAGGGGTCATTTTACCTACCCTTCAAGATACCCACCTCACAGCCAGTGAGCATGGAAGAAGCCCAGGGAACTGGGGTCATGACATGATCATGTGATATGAGTAGAGCATGAAGGAAAGAGCATCAGATTCCGGGCTGGGTGAATTAGGACAATGCTTTTCATACGTGACTATATGTTCACTCTTCTCTATAGTAGTATTCATAATACTAGCCCTCTATACTTCACAGGTATGGGAATCAAGTTGTAAAACATCTGGAAAATTACTTCACAAACTAGAAAGCACTTCTTGAAAGTAATGTCTTTTGTTCATAAAATCATGCATTCATTAAATATTTATTAAGCACCGACTATATGCTAGGTACTGTTCCAGCATTGGAGATAGAGAAATAAACAAATATGACTATCTGTTTAAGAGATAAAATGTATTTTCCTCCTAGCCTTTAAGGTGAATAGCCCTTGGGACAGTAGTCAGTCTCCAAGATGGTCCCCAGGGACCCCACCTCCTATTGTTGTGCCCACCATACTGAATTGGGGCTGACCTACACACGAGAATATGGTAGAACCAACAGTCTATGACTTCCAAGACTGGGCCATAAAAGACACTGCTGCCTCATCCTTGGCCTCCTGGATTACTCGCTCTGGGGAAGCCAGCCACCATGTCATGTGGACACTCAAGAAGCCACCAAGAGGCTGGCGAGGAGAAATGCAGTGTTCTGTCAACATCCAGCACCAAAATGCCAGGCATGTATTACCTTAGAAGTAAATCTTCCAGCACCAGACAAGCCTTCAGATGGCTGCAATCTAGTTCACGTCTTGAATACAACGTCATAAGAGACCTCAAGCCTCAGTTGCCAGCTAAATCACTTCTTCGTGTCTGACCCATAGAAATGTAAGAGGTAATAAATATTTATTCTTATACATAAAGTGTATAAGCCACTACATTTTGAGGTAAGTTGCTATGCAGCAATATATAACTAATATATTTCATTACATAATTCTTCCAAAAGGGTAAAGGAAGATAATTCCACCTTTGGTCTCATATCACTACAGACTGATATTTGTTGCCTGACAATCTTCATTTGGTTGAGGAACTGCCATGGGTACCAATCATATAGTTGGTGCTCCATAATACTTACTTGTTGGCTGTTGGATTCATGATTCTGGAGCTGATGAGCACAACTATGGCTTGGTGGACAGGGATGAGGTCACACAAAAGTTGGCTAAGGCATAGAGAGATCCACCCAGGTAGGGCCAGGGGTGGGTGAGGATGGTCTCAGGAACAGGTGATCCTAGGAATCCAGATAGACAAGACCCTCACGATGGCCTGAGGGGCAGGATCCTGGTGGTCAGTCAGAGCACTGCATTCGTGCAGATCCAGGTCTGATGGACAGTCTGGATTGGAGGGAGAATGGTTATCATGGAAAGACAGTACTTGGGTACTGAGGCCCAACAGCAAGACTTCAGACCAAGATGGGCGTGGGGGACAAGATAGAGGAGACCAGTATTGGAGGATTAGGAGGTCAATGTAGAAATGGTAAGCAAGTCAGAAGCCCATCCCTGGAGCTCAGGCCCAGGTGGAGCTGAGGGTGCAGCAAGGCTGCAGAGGCCCAGGTTGACTCAAGGAGCATCTGCAGAATTGCAGCTGCAAGCCCCATAGCTGTGCTCCTCAGTTCTAAAGTCATGAATCCAAGAGCCAACAAGTAAGTGTTTATAGAACACCAACTCTATGATTGGTACTATGGGAGTTCTTCCAGCCAAATGAAGATTGTCAGGCAACAAATACCAGTTTTTAGTTATACGAGACTATCCTCAATCTGGAAAGGCATCCTTCATCTGCTGCCACAGGTAACACTGATTCCCCCTCACCTGGCACCTGGACCCTCCTAGCTGGGCACCCCTCTCAGCTGTGGAGCTCCCCACAAACTTGCCTTAAAGGTGTACAGCTCTAAAGTCTGGAATTCACTTTGATTTGGGATGATGGGGCTGCAACACAGTCCTTCATATTGAAATCTCAGGAGAAGCAGCCTCTCCTTAACTACACCTTCACAGTTTTCCTTTTTGTAGTCTCTGGGTTTCTGAGATAATAAATACTATCTCCAAAACAGGTGATAACAATGACAGTGATGACACTAGACTGTGAGACTCCAATGTGGAGTCAAGGCAGGAAACTTTATTGACAAAAGGAGGACTTAGTCAACACAGGAGTTCTGGGGACAATAAGATGGAAATCAAATACAGAGTAACCAAGATAAGGCCCTCACTTTCCATAAATACCTTTGCCTTCTCCAAAAGCAGGTACTTTCTAACTACAAAAGTATAACACAATGTGAGATGACAGGTTCAAATCCAAACTCCATCCTATTACTTTCAGAGACTACCTGTGATTTTGTAGCATCTCCTAGTTTTTTCAAATATATCAAAGACCCTAATTTTCCAAGCATTCATCCCAAAAGTAAATTCTCCAAAAAAAAAAAAAAGGACATACATCACCCAAAAATTATGCAGATTGGTCCTGAGCTCTTCCACGTCAGCTTCTGGCCTCTCAGAACACCCTCATCACCCCAGTGTTCAGGTCCTGGGACAATTTTTCGATAACAATTTATCTACATAATGTTCACCATTGTGAGCAGAACTGGCATGAATCTTTGCACCTCACTGGAGCTATGAGAATTGTCTCTATTGGAAATGCTTCTGAATTAAATCAGCTGGGTTTCAATTCCTCACAAGCTAAGCTCAGTGTTATGTCTCATGTTGGTCCATTTTTGTGGCTTCCTTTCCCTCTCCTCAAGGCTTTTATGACCCATGAGAAAATGGGGGCAAGACCTCTAGTTGTGGTCCACTGTGGTCACTGTTAGTCCCTGGTCCAAGCTGTGGGGTCCATTCAAAGGTAGGCTGCTCCACAAATATGTCCACAACCAGCATGCCAAGCTCAACCACGGACAGAAGCCAACTCCACAGGTGCCATGGTCCTTAAGCTTTCAGGCAGCCATCCCACCCCCAGTTCTGCCACCCTCACAGAGCTCAGCGCAGGGTTGTTGTACAAGTATTGATGGATTGGGTGAAACCCACCTTGTTTCTTTCAGCTATCTGACATCTGGCTCATTACCATTTCAGAAACTAAAATACGGCTCCCAAAAACAGTGGCCATGCTCATCCCATGGGCAAATGTACCTTACTACTAATTTGTCTATTTTGATGGTTGAAACAATTTGTTGTGTGCTTGTTAGGCACCACCAAAGATTAAAAGAAATAGATGACATGGCCACTACTCCTAAAGACTTTTATTTTCTAGTTGGGAAGGTAAGTACCCATGGGAAGGTCTAAAGTTAATAATAGTACAAAATAACAATGAAAGTAACACCTCAAGACACATTGGCACATCTCATTGGATTCTCGGAGCAATCCTGGGTGACAGGTATTACAATTTCCCATTTTGTAGGTGAGGAAACTGAGGCATATATGATCCTCCCATAAGACTTGCCTCTGGAGGGGGAAACTAACCTGGGGCCAGAGGGGGTCATGCCCGGCTGTTACCCCCTGCTGTCTTGCTCCCTACCCTCTGTGACCCGCAAACTTCACAACACACATGTATACACACACACACACACACACACACACACACACACATACTCCAACCCTACCTTATTGGAACATCTGACTCTGTAATGATCTATAAAAGTTTTATTGTTCCTTCTTTTAGAAAGTTGCTGGATCTCCCTAGCACTTGTAAATAATGTGTGCTCCAGCCCCTATCTCTGCCCTGTCCCTAATCATAGGCACCCAGTGGGTAATTATCCAACAGCCAACAAGGGAGCAACAAGAATCCCATGAGGAAACTCAGTCCGGGGATTCTTCTGAGGTCACAGACCTCCATTCATGGGTGGTCGACCCTTCAACCCTTCTGCCCCAACCTGTCAAGGAGACAATTGCCACAGCCCATGTGAGAGGCACTCTGGTTTTCCAGCCTCATCCCCCACTCTGCCCTTCAGTCTTCCCAGTAGATCAAATGACTTCCTACTATTTCCTGAACATACCCCCTCCCCAGGCTTGGGAGCGTGTCCTTTCCTCCTCCTGGAGTGCTCTTCTCTCAAGTAATGCTTGTCCAATTACTGCTCAGACTACAAAAACTAGGCCTAAATATCACCTCCTCCTTCAATCCTTTCCTGATTTTCTCCATCCATATATGAGCTTGCCTTTCTCTGAAACACCATAAAATTACAAGTGGATCATCTAAAAGTGTTCATCTCTATCCGCTTCTTATTACAGAAGCATATTTGCAGATTTGTCTTAGGGGATAGGAGTCAGAGTTCTGAGTCTGTCCAACCTCTGGCACTTATGACCCATGCAAAATTGGGAAACTGAGCCACAAGAAAGTCATCTATAAAATGGGGTTTCATGAGGATAAAATGAGACAACAAAGAGAAAGCACTTCATAAACAATAATGGGCTTTACTCATGTTATGCTTAACCTCTCTCTGCCTCAGTTGGCGCGTCCATGAAAACACGTGTAGTGATGTCTCCCGCTTGGATTTGCCGTGAGGATTCGATGAGGTCGTGTATGTAAGGCAAAGTGAGCATAGTCCCCCGCCTCCATCTCTGGCCCTGTCCATGTCATAGCAGAGCTTGGACTGGAGACACCCCATTATATTTTTCACTCTGACCACGATGTTGTACAGGATTTAGGATGCTGCTGCAAACACTCTTTCATGGGGGTGACTTTTGGAACCTGGGCAGGAATTCCAATGCTCTGTAATAATAATCATCATCATAAACAGTTGGTGGTCCCTGCATCCAGGAAATCAGTTTTTAGGGGCCAAGTCTGTGCTGTGAGGGAACATGCCCCTCCCTCAGAGGTAGAGACTGCAGAGCATGTGTGTCTATAAAACCACAGCTAATCCTCAGAGCCAGATGGAAGAGCTGCCTTCCTGAGTGGCCAGCTGCGGCATCGGAGCCAGAAATGCCCCACAGAGGCAGTTTGGGAAGCATCAGCCCTAGTGCTCCATGAGCCACGTTACTGAATTGCAACGTTGATGCGGGAAGGTGAATAATAAATCAGGTTAGACATTGGGTCAAGGATCTGCATCTGAGAAGAAAAGGAAATGATAAACTATCAGAGTTAGAAGGAACCAGCTCAGACCAACATCTTTGCTGCAAACTTCCAAGCCCCTCCCTTCCCCGCTTTCTCTTCTTCTTTTCAGGGCTGGGTCCCACACCCTTTCAGCATCACGTGTCCTTACACCCTCCAGCCACAGTTGACGTGACTGAGAGCGGACCAAGCTGGGCCAGTCAAATTCTCTCTCCTGGAATTCTGGAATTGGAAACTGGACACTGGTCAGCTTCTATTGGGATCTTTACCCAGGAAGACTCACTTTCATGGATGGAATACAGACTGGAAGCCAGACAAGAGAGAGGAGTATGGGAAACGCATGCCTCATTCCAAGAGAAACAGCTCAAGCAGGCAGCCCTGCATGAGGAACACCGCAAAAAAAAAAAAAAAACACTCACTGAAGACACAAACCTCTCTTGCCTCATCACTTTAGTGAAGTAACAGAGTGCCTTGCACACATAGGTGCTACTAAATTCAAGTTTATTGACATTCACTAATAATCAAAAACAAGTGGGGATCTAATCACAGTGTAGATTTGAGGGAGAAACAAAGAGCCTCTGAGCTCCTTAAAATCAGGGGCCAGGTTTATATAAAGCTGAAACGCAGGAAAAAACTAGCCGGGATGGTGGTCAGCTGTAGGGGGGATAATATGTGGAAGGGGGCACAAGGGGCTTCTGGAACGTTCTGATTCCTGTTCTGGGTGCTGGTTACAAGGGCCTGCTGGGCTTGTGAAAATTCAGTGAGCTATATGAGTATGACATACGCACATCTCTGTACATATGGTATATGTCAATAAAAAGTTTAATGGTACAACAAACGGGAGTCAGGTCTTGACTTACCCAGAGCCCACCTGATACAGTCCTGGCAGGAATTCAAGGTTCCATCTCCCTAGCATTTTCATACAAGCAATATCTGATTAAAATAAATAACCAAAGTGGCCTGGAAGAAAATAGGAATCAGAAAGCCAAGTCAGAGAAGGGCAGCAGTGTGCTCAGAGGAATTCAGGGGGTAGAAAAAGAACTCGTTGCCAAGAAGACAATCCCAAATGATGCGTTAACAGTAATGTGTTTGGGCTAATGTTTTATACACAGACCCACAAACAAACACACATATTTGTCCATGTGTACACATGCCTTGGACCTTTTGATAAATTTATAACCATTATGAAGAGAATATTTAACTTTTCTACATGGTAGGCACTGTGTTTTACATTCATTAAATAGCTCAATCATGATAATCACCTGCTGAAATGGGTACTATTATTATCCCCATTTTTCAGATGAAGAAATCAAGGTTCAAAGAGGTAGTGACTTGGCTGTCACCCTGGTAATAAATGGGTAAATTAGGTTGGTCTAACTGCAAAACCCACGCTTTTAAAATAACACTTTCCAACTCCCCAAAAACATACAGACACAGATATTGGTACCTCAGCGCCTCTGTGTGAAATATAACACAGAATACGTTCCATTTCATTCATCAATGGCTTCTACGGCTAACACATCCAACAGCAAGACAAGTGAGTTTGTTTGTTTCAAGGTGTAAATAGGAGACGGCCAATTTGCCGATCATTTTCGCCTATGTGAATTTTGGAGAGGAAGCGGCAGACACGGCGGTTCTGCTAGCACACTTAACCCTCCTAACAATTTGATGAGGTACATATTCTTATCTCAAGTTTACGGAAGGAGAAACTGAGGCTGCATGCAATTAAGGGCCTTCATCAGACCCTTGCCCGGGTGACTCCAAAGCCCAAGAACGCATGTTCACTCCCAAACAAGGCAATCTATATCCTTGTGTTAACCTCTGAACTGGCCCCACTGTGTCACTGGGTTGGGCAGGAGGGCTCATGTATGATGGGGCCTCGTGCCAGGCCAGGCATGCTCAGTGACTGGGCTGTCACTCTCAGGGCTTCTGTTTGTCTCTGGCAATACCAGGGTGCTCAGGCCGACCAGCTCAGCAGGTGCCCAGAAATGATGACACCGAGGAGAAAACCCACCCTGGGCTCCCTGTCATGGAGGAACCCAGGAACCCAGGGAACAGCCATCAGCACATGTGCCTTGGAGAAATTTGAATGAAGACCGAGAAGTCACAAGCCAAACCAGCTACCTCGGAAGGGAGAAGGACATGAGAAGTACATCATTCCAGCCATGAGCTCACCGTCCTTACTCAGAGTTCAAGGCTGATGAGAGGGAGCAGAGGTAAGGCCGCGCTGACCCCTGCCTTCTCTCTTCTCAAGCTGAGAAGATCCTGGCTGCTGGCTTTCCTATTGCTGTTAACAATGTACAACTACAAGATATCGTGACTGTACTTTTTTAACGCACTTAGGAACAATTGTTCACTCAGTAAATATGTGTGGCGGGCCTACTCCCATCAGTCATCGGGAGGGGAGACACAGTCTATTGGTTAAGAACGTGGACTCTGCTGCCTGTCTGAAGAGTTAAGTCCTAGCCTCATCCAAGCCTCGTCTATTGGGGGTCTGCGGCTATGATTACTTGTGTTATGACTCAGTGGAAGTCCTAAGGTGAGTGCTGGTGAGAAGCATGCCTTCTAGGAGAGGCTTTAGGACAAGTACGCAAGTACCTGTGATGGTGAAGACAGAACAGGTAGAATCTGGCATGTAACCTAACAGGTAATTCAGAGTCACAAGCACTATTCCTTTCAAAACTGTCTCTTTGGGAGGCCTCTTATTTATATGTAAAGCATTGTTGTGGATGGCTAAAGGAGCTTTTAGGCAAGCTTATTAACTTATTATTATTATTATTATAAAAGTAGAACATGCTCATTTTTCAAACATTGGAAAATAAAGAATTTCTGAAATTACTAACAAGTCTATCATGCAAAACAATGACAGTCAACATTTTGCTGTCTGTTCTTTTATTTGGATTTGTTTCCAAAAGCATTTTTTAGCTCCACATTTGGAGCTGCTATTCCTTTAGACTCTGTAGCACATTCTTTTTTTGTTTTTTGTTTTTGTTTTTTTGAGATGGAGTCTCACGTCGCCTGGACTAGAGTGCAGTGGCACGATCTCGGCTCAGTGCAACCTCCGCCTCCTGGGTCCAGGCAATTCTCCTGCCTCAGCGTCCCAAGTAGCTGGGATTATAGGCACGCACCACCATGCCTGGCTAATTTTATATTTTTAGTAGAGATGGGGTTTTGTCATGTTGGCCAGACTGGTCTCGAACTCCTGACCTCGTGATTCACCCGCCTCGGCCTCCCAAAGGGCTGGAATTACAGGCATCAGCCACTGTGCCCAGCCCGTAGCACATTCTTTTGACTTTGCCTGGTGAAGCAAATCTTCTTTATCCTTTGAAGGTACGTTGGAGTTTTGGAAACATCCGTAAGTCGTCAGGAACCAGGTGTGGCAAACTTAATAAAAGATCAAGCTGGGGGCATGTTGCTTTTGGTCCAAACACAAGATGGTAAAGCAATGAAACTAATTTTACTGGGTGACTTGTAAAAGACCACTAACAACAGTTCCAGTAGGTCGTTTGAAATTTGGGTTTGCCACAGGCAATAACCTAGAAATAAAGGATCCCACAGAGGGCCAGAATTCCAGGTTGTTCACTTTTAAATTTCTGGTGCCAAGTTTTATGCCTGACAAATAGTAGGCACTGAAAAACAGCTGGGTGTCCCAAAGGAAATTGACTACTTTATTTTTATATTAGTTTTTACTTGCTGTGAGGCTTTGGCTTATGTACACGCCAAAGTGGATTCTTCTTCCTTTAAGAGACTCAGGCAATTATAAACCCTCCAAAATTTTCTGTAATACACTCAAGAATATATTTTTAAATAACAACGAAGGGAAAATAGGAGATTATTAATACTTTATATAATTCACAAATATATTCTACTTTAAAAATTAAACCATAAAGATATAGCTATACTCCTTTTTGAAGACCATATCTGATCCTAGCACCCCTCCTACCTCTTCAAAGGAAGTGAATTCAGTTATCAAATTAACAGTAACTTCCCACATCGGGTGTGTGTGTCTGTGCGTGTGTGTGTGTAATCATACGCATATATGACATATATTGCATATATATAATACATATCGGGCTGGGCGCAGTGGCTCACACCTGTAATCCCAGCACTTTGGGAGGCCGAGGCAGGCAGATAATGAGGTCAAAAGATCGAGACCAACCTGGCCAACATGGTGAAACCCCATCTCTACTAAAAATACAAAAATCAGCTGGGCGTGGTGGTGCACGCCAGTAGTCCCAGCTACTCGGGAGGCTGAGGCAGGAGAATCACTTGAACCCAGGAGGCGGAGGTTGCAGTGAGCTGAGATCGCACCACTGCACTCCAGCCTGGAGATAGAATGAGACTCCATCTCAAAAAATAAATAAAATAAAAAATATTTTAAAAAATACATATCATTTTTAACTAAGTTATATTACCATATGTTTGATTTTACTGCTTATATTTTTTGCCCAACTAAAGCAAAACTGATCATGGTGACAAAATCCATTTCAATATATAAGTTCTGATTTCCTTCCTTTTAAAATAAACTCTTGATTTCATACCAGGCCTTCCACAGTGTTTGGGAGAATTTAGAGTTGCCAGAGAAATTAGCAGAGGCACGTAAGAACTTCCACACTGGGTCAGCCCTAGGATTTAGCAGCCCAGCATTGTACATCTGACAGTGATGCCAAGGAATGCTGTGGATGGATGGGCTGATGTCAAACTCCAGGATTAGAGACATCCTAAGACATTCTCATTATCCTTCATGACCCACGGTGCATCTGTCCTCCACAAATGTATCAAGCTTCTTGATAACATATTTCTATTTCCAGCTTGTACCATCTTTATGGACTAATGGGCTCCATGAGTTATATTTGCTAGGAGAGGGGTTTGCCTTCCCTTTACTGTCATCTCATCTGAAACATTTGACCTGCCTTTGTCTCTCACCTTCACCTATTTTCAGGGATATCAAAAGAGGACTTTGCTTTGGGAAAAATATGTGTGGACATGCTTTTGTTGCTTCCATCTGGCAAGGACAGTAGAAAGATTGAAACTGGAAGCCTTGGGGAAGAAGGAACCACAGAACTATAAAATAAAACAGGCAAACAAACAACAGAAAAAGAAACTGTGAGCCAAGGGTAGATGGCTGGCATCAAGGTAGATAGATCCAGTGGTTTTATTCTAACTTCCTCCCAGGGCAGATGTCGCACTTCTCAGCCAGGATCTATAATAGCCCCACAGCTTAGGAAGGAACAAGAAGAGGTAGAAATGAAATGGCTCCCAAAAGAAAAACCTCCCTTGGGTGGTATTTTAGGACATTAGCTCAGGCTGCCTTGTCCTCAGTCATCTCAGTGGCATTTAAGTAGCCCCTTGGGTTACAGATCACGGCAGGTGCTGGGAAGTGAAGAAGGCCATGCTAAAAATACTGGCCTCTTCTGGAACTCTGCCGGCAGCCCTGATGGAGCTCCCTCCTCAAGCAGCAGTACCTCAGCAAAAGAACAGTTTCCTCCGCCTTAAGCAGTAAGAAAAGTCTGGCTCCTTCCTCCACTGAAGTTCCTGAGGTAGAATGGTCCTCAGGACAAAATACTCAGAGAAGCATTTCTATTGAGGAACAGCAATTTCTATCAAAGCAAGAAAACAGGTTCTCTTAAGAACTCAGGGTCCCAGAAGAAAGTGCTAAACCCTGGGGTACAAGGTTTTGCTTTTAGCACACTCATCCTGATGCTGTCATGAGAGGTGAGTAGGAGGAGGTAACGAACTTGTAAGTGCTTTTTAAACTACACATATATAAGAGAATATCACCATTCTTCAGACAGCTAAATTCCCCCACATATAGAGCTTGATTAAACCTACATGTTAACCAATTAAACCTTGGGGAAATGGGTTTTGCTAGTCTGCCAAGAAAGGGTCTTTACAAAACCAAAAGAAAGCCCATTGCTTACTTTTAATAACCTAGGCCCACCCATAGGCCTCTAAATCAAATAACCTCCACTGAGAATTAAGCTGTTAGCACTAGGTCTGGCATAGGTGCAGAAACAAAAGTTTAGAAATCCTAATCTTGAATTTACCTAACACGGCTGCCTCCTAGAGCCTGAGTGGGTTGTAGCGAGACCTCAAGTAGAGGAGAGGCACCTGGGCCATCCGCCTCCATGGGCTTTTTTTTTTTTGCATCGAATTTCATGGTCTGCAAAGTAAGGGTGGGGCTTTACTTGCCATTCAGGAGGTTGCAAAGGTCACCTCCACATATGTTCCTGTTAAGGACATCAGCAGAAACTTGAGAAGCAAGTATAAAAATATAAAAATGAGCAGGTGGCATTCAATAGGAAAAGAATGCAGGGTTTGCTGGGAAGTCATGATTGAAACCAGTCCAAGGCTCCGACGTGGCCTTCAAGGCTCTGGACTGCGAAGTCTGTACAGACGCTTTCGTTTCTGCGCAGGCTGGGTCTTAAGGAGGCACTAGTTGCTGTTTTGCCCCAAATTTTCTCTTCATTTTCCCCCCAAACATACTGCCTGGGTTAACTGGTGGCTCATTCCTTTGCAAACCCAAGGGTTTTAAGGGAATCAAGTGTAGATATCTATTGATTACCCCAAATCTCCATTAAAGCTACTGGGAATAAAATTAACATACTCACCTTTCTATCTTCAAGATGTCCTTATTATCCCTCCTTTGGTCATAAACACAAGAGTGGAAAAAGATTTTGGTGGCTTAACAACATTTTCTCACTAGGTTCTCCCATCACTGAGAGTGGGTGGGAGGGTTTAGGAGCCCAGGCTTCTGTTGTGAGCTGGCCCATGCAGGTCAGGGCAACCCTTCAATCTTAGCCTCATTAGTATCATGTTTTAACCACGTTCTGCGTGTAGAAACGACCTTAGCGACCCCCCCCTTCCCCTTATAATGTATTGCTTTTAAATATGAAATAAGGCCAGGCGCGGTGGCTCACGGCTGTAATCCCAGCACTTTGGGAGGCCCAGGTGGGCAGATCACCTGAGGTGAGGAGTTCGAGACCAGCCTGGCCAACATGGTAAAACCCCATCTCTACTAAAAATACAAAAATTAGCTGGGTGTGGCGGCGCATGCCTGTAATCCCAGCTACTCGGGAGGCTGAGGCAGGAGAATCGCTTGAACCCGGGAGGTGGAGGTTGCAGTGAGCGGAGATAGTGCCACTGCACTCCCGCCTAGGCAACAGAGCAAGACGCCGTCTCAAAAATAATAATAATAAAAATAACATAAAATAAATATGAAATCAAACTGAACCTAAAAACAGGCTGGGAATGAATGAATGAAAAGGGCATTGTTACTGAGAGTTCAGATATCTGCATTTTTGTTCCTGCACTGCCACCTCCCAGCTGAGTGGTCTTGAACCAGTTACTGCCCTTGGTGTGTGTGGTTTTGTTTTGGTTTAGGTTTTTTTTCTTTTCAAGACAGGATCTCATTCTGTCACCCAGGCTAGAGTACAGTGGCACACTCACTGCAACCTCAAACTCCTGGGTTCAAGCGATCCTCCTGCCTCAGGCTGCCGAGTAGCTGGGACCGCAGGTGTGAATTACCATGCCCCGCTAATTTTTAAAGTTTTTTGGAGAGATGGGGGGAAGCTCTACAAATTTGCCCAGGCTGGTTTTGACCTCCTGGCTTCAAGTGATCCTCCTGCTTTGGCCTCCCAAAGTGCTGGGATTACAAGCATGAGCCACTGTGCTCGGCCTGGTTTTCTCATGTACAGAGTGAAAATCAGAGAACTCATCCTGATGCTGTCATAAGAGGTTGGGAGGAGGAGGTAATGAACTTGAAAGTGCTTTATAAACTATACAAACATGAAGGAATATCGCCTTTCTTAAGACAGCTAAATCTGCCACACTTGGAGCTTGATTAAATCTACACTGAGTTGCTACTGTTGAGAGACAGACAATAAGAGGTAAGGCAGGAAAACTCCTATGCCTTTTTTTTTTTGTACTGGGACAATCATTTTGCCCATGCAAACATTCCAGGTAATAAGCGTGCTCAAGGGCCTCTCCAAAGAATCAGGACCAGCTGTGTGTTACTAAACAATAAAGGCAGGCACGCCTTGAAAATGGCCTAAAGACCTTTCTCAGAGATCCAAACCAGCCCCACCCCCCGCCCCCAGGAAGCATAGCATATTTTCTGTGAGGCCTTGATGGTAGCATCACAAACCCTTGGGAAACACAACTCCCAGTGTTTGAGGAGAGCATGCCGTATCTTGTTCCAGGGACACTGAGTCGTGAGCATAAAACGCTGCATTCCAAAAGAGACGAAGAAGCAGTCGTCTCTCCATTTAATTATAGATTCTTCACTTTCCCTTAATTGCTTCAGTCAGCACTGTTGACTCTGGGGGAGTCACAGTACACCGGCAGGGCTATTGCTGTTAAACAAGGGGTGACTATCAGGTAATGAGGTTTTCATTTTGTTTTTTCAAACAAACAAACCCTGATGTACATATTCAAGTGGGCATTCCTGTTAAAGGTGTCACATTGGGAAATGATGCTCATGTTGACTCTCCTTTGTAACCAAATATTGATAAATGTAGTATGACACATACAAGTGTTTTATGGAAGGAAAAAGGCAGCATATTTAATATTAAAGCTTTCCTAGAAAACCCGAGATATGTGATCCTCATAACTATAGAGGGCCCCAGGTGACCAACTGAGCTGATGGTCATGCCATGGGAAATACATATTAAATGACTCCCAAAGAGAGGGTTCTCCCTGCATCATACATAGACACTTTTCCTACAGAAAAAGATCCATGTCTTTTGTCTGCTTCCCTGGATCCCATAAGCCCTAAATGTCTTGCACACAAAAGGTGTCCAATAAATATTTGGAGACATTTGTCTTACCCTATCACAATACTTATATTCATTCTTCATGAAATAAGACACAGAGCCCATATTTTGAATGGAAACAAGATCTTTTGAACCTAGATTTGTTACTTTACCTTCCCAGACTTTCTTGTAAGTCAGTAAGAAAGCTGGACTTGTCAGTCATAAAAAAAATTGTTCAACAAACATTCATTGAGAAATGACTGAATACCAGGCACTGGAGAAATCTGGAAATTCCAAGCATGTTCGTGGTGATCACGTAGAGCCTCTAGGCCAAGAATGTTGAATGTTGTGCAGGCTGTCATGCCACCATGATTTGGTAAGCTTTTTACTTTCAAGGAATATAGACTCGCTTATGTAACCTCAAGAAATACAGGGGGTTATTATAAGGACCCCTGGAACTGAAATTTGGTCATATTCTCCCAATCTCTTTCTCTAAATGGTGCTTCTGTTTATCTTGATATGCCTGCTTCATTCTTTCTCTATAATCACTTCTCTGCTTTTTCATAACTTAGCTGATGCATGCCTATTGTGCTGTATTAGTCAGGAGAAGCTAGTTATGCTTCAGTAACAAACAACCCCCAATCTCAGTGGCCTAAAATAACAAAGATTTATATCTTATTCTCACTACATGTCCACCAAGGGTTAGTTGGGGGGAAAGAGGGAGCCACTTGAAAACCCACAATGACAGAGCAGCCACAGTCTTGAAAAATGAACATGGTTAGTCGTGAGCTCTTTAAGTATCCACCAGAAGTCATTTCTGCTCACGTTTCCTTGGCCAAAGCAAGTCAAATGGCCACAGCCAACTTAATTGGGTGGGATGTACAATGCTACCACGACATTGACTGGGGAGAAAACCTAAAAAATTGTGAATAACCTTAATCACTTTTACACGTGGCATTTCCAGCCCGACACTGCAATCCCTTTTTGTTTCAGCAGCCACGGCTAGTGATTCCCATTTTTCACGTTCCTTAATTCAAACTGCAATGAAAGAAGCTGAGTGGCCCAGTTCATCATTGCCTGACAAGCCACAACGCCAAGTCCCTGGTTAGTATTTAGATCCATCCTTGAGTTGTGGCCAATCAGCCAGAGAACAGGGATACACACTACATACAGCCTGTGACTGTCCAGCCTACCTCTGGAGAGGACCAGGAGACCTGTTCACTACAGAAGAATGTGTTATTTAAGTCATGACGTTTTGCTTGTCCTAGCTTTGTCTTAGCCCTTGGTGACAAAAAGGTCATGGGTGGTATAGCCCATGAAGCTGACTTGGGCCTGACACATGGCAGAATCTCAACATGGGTTAAAAGAAATGATTGAATTCAGGACCTGCTATGTTAACCCATCAGTCTAGAGATCAATGATGTGGTACTAAGGGATTTTAAAAGTTAGCGTTGTATAGCTCCATTTCCATACTTTGACACCATAGGCTTCGACCTCTGAATATAGGCCCTAGGTGAGGGAGTCTGGGAGAGGAAGAGGTGAAAAGAAGAGACATCGATGGCTTTAAACTACACAATAAGGTCTGAATGTCTGAATCTGGAATTCAAGGCCCTTTATCATACAGCCCCAAGCTTCCTTTCCAGTCTCATGCCCCCATTCACCCCCAAAATCCTACTGTCCAACCACCACCAAACATTCCTTTTTCTTTCCTTGGCGCATACAACGGCCCTCCTCTCTAGCTAACTGCTACCCTTCCTTTAAAATCAGTTTAAAAGCCATCACCTTTTCAGAGAATTTTTTCCCATCTGCTCTGACCTAGTCATTTCTATTTCTTCCTCGTGTGAATTCTTAACACCTTTCTCATGCCAAACACCTGGAGGACATAGACCTGTGCTACTCATTCTTTGGATTCCAGAGCCTAGTACCTGCCTAGTATATAGCAGGTACTCAACAACCGTGTGTTTAATAAATTGCTTGTAGCATGATTTCATTTAAGGAAACTTTAATGAGTCCCTCGGCTACATATGGCACAGTAAGAAAAGAAAAGTCAGTAACATGTGGTCCCGCAAGGAGTTTCTCTAGTTCAGTTGCCTCTTTTTATAAGTGAGAAAAAAGGCTTAGAGAGATTGTAACATGGCTAAGGTCACACTGCAAGGAAGTGACCAGGCCAGGTCTGGATCCCTGGAACTGACTCCTAACTCCCTATTCTTGCCTCCTCTGCTGAGCTCCAACCTGGGGAGTCAGCTCCCTGGAGTCCACGCATCTGGATATCGTCCACATGCCTGGAACTTTGTCACTGTTCCGGTGGCTGGGTTGACACACCGTGATTAAAGGGCTCTGGTCAATTTCTGTGCCACGCAGCCCCTATGCTAATGGTCAGATCTAATGTTCTGACCATTAGGTCAGTGTATCTTTTCCCTCCTGGGCAGTTAGGTTAGTGGAAGAAACCCGATAAAATCTTGGAGAGGAATTTGATCATTCTCTGAAGGACTTACAAGTTGTTTGGCCTGCCTAATCTGCTCAGATACCGTCCGGGGAATATTTGGTAACCATGCAGTACAGACTGTGAATTATTCTGTGGGGACTATTAACAAGACCCTCACCAACCCTGCCTCAGCTGATCTCAGGGCTTGGGGGCAGCCCCCTCTCCTCCCCTCCCACTGAAGCTCTGAAAAAAAGCAGCCTTTCCCCCTTGGGAGATGGGAGGAGTAGTTAAAAATAAGAAGTGTTGGGGGAAATCCTCCTCCTTCCAAGCACAGCTCACACGGCAGAGCCTCCTCAGAGTTGCGGCTGCGGATGCAATGACTTAGCCAGGTTAACGCCGATCCCATGTTTTCCGAAACCTGGCACCTAAGCATCTAACATGGAAGGCCGACTCCCTAAAATCAGTGCAAGAAAAATGATAACAAGTTATATCTGGAGGGACCTCGGGGATTATCTACCCGCTGGATTTAAAGTTGAGGAAGCCGCGGGCAGCAAACAAGGTCTCACAGTTGCTGGTGGCAGAGTAGAGACCACAGACCAAATTGCCTGAGTCTAAACTCAATGTTCTTTCCCCTTAGACTGCCACCCGCACACACACGCACACATGCACACCTTTTTGGAGGCACTGCACAGCAAGCACAGAAGTACGCCACTGAGTCCTGTGTCCCTAAAGTATTTGACTGTCCCTCCGCTGGGGGAAAGGGCAGGCAGAAAACAAGACTCCGTGTGCTGTCGCTGTGCCGCCCCCTGCCTCTCTGACCCGCGCCCGCAGAGAAAGTCTCAAGAGCCGCCCCAGGCTTTCTCCCACGTTCTCCCTTTCTCTGCTGCAGTTGAGTTTCCAGAGCGTGAGCGCGCAGGATGACACCTGGCTGGCTGAGAGCTGCCGGGGAGGCGCTGGCGGGTGCCGAGAGCGCACTGACCCTGACGCGGGGTGCAGCACGGCTGGGAAGCCCCCGGGCCTTTGGCTAAGCGCGCCGGGGGACGGCACAGGGGGGCGACGCGCATCCACCACCTGGTCCGCGCTCTCCCGGCCTCCGGCAGCTCAGGGCGGGCTCGGTTGGGGACCCTAATGGCTGGGTGCCGGCCCTGGGAGAAGGGCACGCGGAGGGCGGAGGGTTGCGCCTCGGCCCCGGCTCGGCCCCAACGCCCTCTCCCTGGCGCGCAGGTTTAGAAACAGGGCGGCCTCTCCGGCCGCCGCCTCGGCGGCTCGGGTCCCCATATATAGTCATATCCACCGTCAACTGGGAGGCCGGCGGCCGGCAGCGAATGGGCGAGCGGCCCCCGCGGGAGGAGCGGGGAGGGGGCACGGGGCGGAGGGAGGAGAGGAGGAAGGGGGGCAGGAGAAAAAAGCTTTTCCAAAAAAGTATTGGCTGTCTTGAGGAATGCGGTCGCCCCCTTGGGAAAGTACATATCTGGGAGAAGCAGGCGGCTCCGCGCTCGCACTCCCGCTCCTCCGCCCGACCGCGCGCTCGCCCCGCCGCTCCTGCTGCAGCCCCAGGGCCCCTCGCCGCCGCCACCATGGACGCCATCAAGAAGAAGATGCAGATGCTGAAGCTCGACAAGGAGAACGCCTTGGATCGAGCTGAGCAGGCGGAGGCCGACAAGAAGGCGGCGGAAGACAGGAGCAAGCAGGTCTGCGCCTCCCCGGCCCTGCGCCCGCGCCCAGAGCGCCGGGACTCGAGCCTGGCACCCCCGGCTGGATCCCCACCCCGAGGACTCGGGGAGCCACCACCCTACCCCCACCACCACCCAGGGCGGCCAGGGCGCGCGTCTGGAAAGAAGGAAGGGAAACGCAAGAGCCAGGCTTAGTCTAACTTAGTCTGGTCTGAGGACGCTTATTTCCCTTCTCTGGTTCCCATGGCCCGCGAAATCAAGTCCTAGAGGCGCTTTATTCTCAGGACTGGGAATCAGTTTGGGGGAGGGAGGAGGACACCCGGTTCCTGGGGACGTTTGAAGGAAGGGCGAGGGATGGAGAAAGGGGGTCGAGTAACTCAAGTGTTAGAAGTTCGTTGACTTTTGACTGGGGAGAAAGGAACCTTAAACTTGGGGAGGAGAAGGGAGTCCTGGAGTTGTTACCTAAGAACAAAGATGGGGCGGAATGGAGGCTACAGCCCGAAAGCCAGGCCAGCAGTGGCGTTCTTCTGTGTCCCCAAGTAGTGGACTTGAGCCCGCTGAGACCTCGGCAGGAGTCTCGTCCCAGGGCAGGTGGGTGTGCGGGGTGAGCCGCGGAGCGGTTCCAGCTCGGGTAAAGAGGAAGTTACCTCGGGTCCTTTGCACTCCAACTCGGCGGCGCCCCGAGCCCGAGGGGCCCCAGCCAACCCGACGCCCGTGTGTTGTGTGTGTCTAACACCCGGTCCGTGCCGGCCGCCCGCGCCCGCCCGCCGCTGCCCCCAGCTCGAGGAGGACATCGCGGCCAAGGAGAAGTTGCTGCGGGTGTCGGAGGACGAGCGGGACCGGGTGCTGGAGGAGCTGCACAAGGCGGAGGACAGCCTCCTGGCCGCCGAAGAGGCCGCCGCCAAGGTACCCGGGGCGCGCGGCACGGCGTGGCGCACGAATGGCTAACTCTTTCTCTTTCTCTCTCTCCCTCCCTGTCTTTCCCTCTGTCTCTCCCGCTGTCCCTGTCCTTCTGGTTCTGTGCACCCACACCCCTCCCCTTCGGGATCACGCTGCCTGCTGCACCCCCCTCCCTCCCTGTACCCCCTGGCCAACTCCCAGCTGGAAGATGAGCTGGTGTCACTGCAAAAGAAACTCAAGGGCACCGAAGATGAACTGGACAAATACTCTGAGGCTCTCAAAGATGCCCAGGAGAAGCTGGAGCTGGCAGAGAAAAAGGCCACCGATGTAAGTGCACGCTCACACTGCTTCCCTCACCTCTTGCCTGCGTGGCCACTCCGGGGTCACCACAGGGCTGGAGAGCAATGAAGGAAGTTTACCTTTTCCTGCTGGACACCTGCACACAGCCCTGCCATGGCCCAGAGCATTGGATGCCGCCTCTGACTGCTACTGCACACATTCATTTATATTTCATCCACTCCTCTCTTCTTCTCCTTTCCTTTACCTCCCTGGGGGTGGAGGTGGGTGGATGAGAGGCTGGGAGAATAGAGCAGCTGAAATTGGACTCTGGAGGTGAACTTCACCTCCCTGGTGGCAGAAAACCCTTGAGGTGTCATCACCAAGGTTTGTGTAGAGAATGCCAGGTTTTCTTCACTTTCTTTCCTTTTGCCGTTTCCAGTGGGTGGGAAGTTCTGGGTTTGGTGGTGGGTCTAGTCAGGGTTCAGAGAACCTGGCCTCTAAATGAAAGAAATGACACAGCGGTACCTTTACTTAGATGGCTGCACTTCATGGTGGGGCACAGAGACACTTTGAGGCTTCCTTTCTCATTAGTGTAAGCCTTAATCCACCCCTTAAGATCTGCCTGGGAAGATGATACTTGCTTGGGTCTGCAGTCTGAAGGCACTAGATCCAGAAAGTAAGCTGTGAGTTATATATAGCTCAGTGCTTTATATGGTATAGTGAGCTAGCTGCCCCCTGCCCCTCCTGCTGGCCCCGCCCCCACCTGTCAGCCTTCTGACAACCACCACATAGTTGCAGGGGTGATGCACACAGCTAAGGCTCTCCTAAGCTCTTTGTCCACTGCCCTTTGGAAGCTTTTTAATTGATAGCTTGCCTCTTCTGCCTCGGAAAGTCAAGCCAAAGGACCAACTTCTTTTCACACCGTTGGATTCCATTCTAAAAGCTAATTAAGCCTAGAGGCCCAATTAGAAAAGAATTCCTTGGGAAGTTGGTAACAATTCCAAGAATGTGTGAGCACCAGGGAAAGCTATGCCAGCAGTTGAAACACCGAGAGCAACAGCAGACTTTTTTATATGAAAGTAACATGCAAATAACTGAAGGGTCTCAGGTCTTGAAATTAGTGAAGTCTTTTGTAGCATGAAAGGCTTGAGATGTATATCCAGGTGTGCTTTGTAAATGAGAACTCCAGAGACGACATTTAGGATCTGACAAAAAGAAATTTTCAGTGAAAATCAAGCTTCCTGGAAAGGGGATTTGGGGGGAAGCACTGATTTCGCTAAAACATTTAAATTCTAAACTACCTGGCTTTGGAAAAAGAGCCAAAAACCATATATGACTCTGAGCCTACTTTGTATAATGCAGATCAGATGCCTGCTCTATATATGGCTAAATGGAAGATGCCTGCCTCCCGCAAATTCTCCAGCAGGACGTTTATTTAGCTTTTTCAAAAGAGCTGCTAATAGATCAAGGAAAGATATTCCTTATAAGGAAAAGAATGCAGAGAATTTGAAAATAGCCCAGTAAGACTGAAGGCAAAAGAGGGAGAAAAAGGTTACTACAATTCTTAAGGGAAAAAAATAGGATAATAATTATTGTAACTATGTAGTGCTAACATGTCTTTATTGAAAAGTCTTGTTGAAGGGAGCGCTGGAATGGGGTGGGGCAGAAATGGGAAAGAAGTTATTTAAAGTCAGCTGGTGTGGGAAGCAGCAGGGGAGGGAGCTTCTTGAATCTTGTTTTGGTTATTTTTCCCACCGGGAAACTGCCCCTAAATCTGGCATATATGGCTTTTTTGATAGTGTATTGATCACATTCCCTTTTAGGACACTTTAGGTTGTCTGGAGTTTGGAGCCCGTAGGAATATTGAAGAAGTTAGTGAAGAAATGCTATACAGTCATTTGTTGATTAATGAAGGGGGATAAGGTCTGAGACATGTGTCGTTAGGTGATTTATTCATTGTGCAAACACCATAGAGTGTATGGTACTTACACAAACCTAGAGGGTATAGCCTACTAAACACCTAGGCTACAAACTTGTACAGTGTGTTACTGTACTGAATACTGTCAACAATTGTAACACAAATCACCAGGCGATAGGAATTTTTTAGTTCTATTGTAATCTTATGAGGCTACTCTCATATATGCAGCCCCTCATTGACCAAAACATCATTATGCAGTGCATGACCATATTGAGAGTATTCGTTTTTTATTTACTAAAAAATAGTCAAAACTTGAGGAGGAAGAGACAGATGTCACTAGAAAAAGGGAGAAGTCCGGTAAGGGAGAAGTCAGCTTCCTGAGGTGGAATCGTATTACCTTTGGGATTAGGACATTTCATTGTCATTATTCACCAGTGTAAAACACTTTTACATTTTTCTACTATTATTACTAAAAACATTTTTCTACTACTTTACAAATCCTATTCTGGAAGTGGGCTCTACCTAGCTTAGAAGATTGTCATTCAGGAGTAGTATCCCTGATGGTCTTGTTTCGAATTTTGTGTTGTCTTTCCACCTAAGTCAAAAGTGAGGCTGAAGGGGATCGAAGACTCCATTTTTTTCTGGCCCCCAATCTCTTCCCCAGTAACTGTGATATATCTGATATTTATAGCATATGAGTCTTTATCCCTTTGTAGGTCTTTACTTCTTAACTTAGGGATTCTCAACCTTCTCTAAACATAATCACTTAGGGAGCTTTTAAAACCCAAAGTTAGGATGCACCCAAAGCCAGTTAAATCAGAATCCCTGGGGATGCAACCCAGGCGGCAGCATTTAAAAAATACCCAAGTGATTCCAACCTACAGACAAGGATGAGAAAACTCTCCTAAACTCTTGTATAATGACATCGGCATGAAAATGAACTCACCTGAAACTGACCTTCCCAGGACATTAAGTCACTAGTTGGCTGCTTATGGCACTTGCCAGTGTCCAGCAGTTTCCTGGCTGCTCCTGGAGGTTGCCAGACACCCGGTTCCCCCATTCTCAATGTTGGAGGCCCACAGTCTCTGCACTTAGGGGACCAGCTGTAACCTCCCCACCTGACCAGATGAACCGCGGGGAAACAAAGCGAGAAGCTCCCACCTACAGGATGCAAGGACCCAAGCTGGGATTTGTGAGAGTCTCAGCAGAGGCTGTGAGGAACTCCACAGAAAATGAGGCAGGAAAGCAAAAGTTCCTTGTTAGGGCTTGGAGGAGGAGAGGGTTGTCAAGCATGTTTTCTTTATTATTCCCACACATAAGGGAGCTGGCTTTAAGAGCTTTCTGTGACAAACCTGAGGAGAAAAAGCCCTGAGACTTAGAAGGCATTTAAGAATA
This sequence comes from Homo sapiens, assembly GCF_000001405.40. Classification (NCBI taxonomy): domain Eukaryota; kingdom Metazoa; phylum Chordata; class Mammalia; order Primates; family Hominidae; genus Homo; species Homo sapiens. The sequence goes on from NC_000015.10 coordinate 63,047,418, forward strand.
CAGCTCAAGGGGGAAATCGGTGGAGACTGTATCTGCGGTGGTTTTCTCCACCTGTAGCCAGAGGCTCTCTCATAGGGTTCTGTGGCTTTCCTTGGGGTGCCTTTTAAAGGCATCCCAGTCCAGCCCAGGACTGACTGGATTCCAGGAGATCTCAGAGGCTGGTCTGACACCAAAGAAGGCTGTAAAGAGAAGAGACCATTTGGATGACTGTTTTCATGGAAAGTGAGCCCCAGGGAGGCTGGCCTGAGATTACACAGCTGATTATGGGCCTCAGCCTGACTCTTAAAACAATGCTTGTGTATTTCTTAATCGTAGCTATCATTTGAGTTTTTAACTATGTACAAGGTATTGTGCTAAGCGCTTTACAGTCCTTCATAATTCTCATAGCAGCCCCATGGGGAAAGTACTATTATTATTCCCACTTTTACAGATGACGCCCAGAGAAGACAGGTAATGTGTCCGAAGTCACGCAGCAGGAAACTAGGAGCCAGAGTCAACCTAGGAAAACTGCATTTAGAACAGGAGGTCTAACCACTGTGCTCTACACGCGGGTGGTTTTCACTTCGTGAAGTTTTGGGGAATGGGGGTAGTGCTTGGGTTATAATCTTGCGGTTGGGATCAGGCCCTTTAGGGCATATTCCGGCTCCAGACCCGCCGCTCAGCTTCTCTGGCTCCCGGGCATGGGAATCTGGACTCGGGAGCGGAGCGCTCCCGCGGCCAGCAGGAGTCGCTATTGCCCTTAGCAGCCAGCTCCGTTACCCCGGGTCACCACCGCGCCGCGGAGGGGCCCTAGAAGTGGAAGCCAGAGCCCTAGTGCAGTGGCCTCCCGGAGCGCCCAGCTCACCAGGTACCCCCGCAGCGCGCCGGGAGCGCCTTTCTCCCCGCCGCCGCGAGCATGCGCAGTGCCCCCAGCCAGTCCCGGGATCCACGGCGCGCGCCCCTCCCAGCCGCGCGCGCCCGCCTGCGGTTTGTCTGCGCAGCCCTGGAGGCTGCGACTTCCGGACTGCTCCTGGCCGCAGGGGGCGCCGCCATCGCACAGAGAGGCCTGGGCGGGGCGGACCGGCGCTGGGCAGCCAGGACAGCCGCGGCAGCCGGGTCCGCAGGGCAGCAGCCGGCCTCTCCCACTGCAGCCCTCCCGCCCGCCTACCGTCCGGCGCGATGGCGGGGAGTAGCTCGCTGGAGGCGGTGCGCAGGAAGATCCGGAGCCTGCAGGAGCAGGCGGACGCCGCTGAGGAGCGCGCGGGCACCCTGCAGCGCGAGCTGGACCACGAGAGGAAGCTGAGGGAGACCGTAAGGGATACACCCATCACCCCGCAGCCCCCAGAGGCGCATCCTCCCGGGGCAGCCCCGCAGGGCCCTCCTGCTTCCCCCCCCGCAGGCCCCGGTCCCTCGTCCCCACGCCTCCAGGGCGCACCTGGCGCACCTGGGCCAGCTGGCGGCGGGCTCTGGGGAGGGGCCCGGCCTGTTCTCCTGAGCCTTTGTTTTCCATCTCGCTGATCCAAAGTAAACGCTCCCAGGGGAAACGGGTGGTGTTGAGAAGGTTCTGGAAGGAGCATTTTCCCAGGAAGGGTCTGTTTCTGGGGTGGTGGCTTTCAGTCGTGTCTGTGCGTCCCCGGGAGGTGCACTTTGCGCTGCTGGCTTGCTTTACTCTGAGAGTGGAGAGGGAGGAGGTCCTTCCTCTTGGAGATCCGTACTTTGAGAAGGGGCGCCGACAGGTCAAGTGGGAGAGGCACTGTGGACTTGGGGCCCGGGGATGCTACACTCCGCCGTTCCCGTCGACCCTGTGGTTTCCCGGCGGCCTGTGTCTCCGAGGCGGTAGACAGACATTGACAGCTTGACAGCGCCGCGTTCTGCTGGAAGAGCTAAACTATAGTGCAAAACCCTTAACCCGTCCCTTTTTTCAGCAGTCCTCCTCCCCTTTTCTCTCATACAGATAGATAATGCTTTGTTACCAAGTCTTGGAAAAAGTTGGCGAAATGTCAACAGTTATTGGGTGTATTCTCTTGCGGGCTTCCCCTCCCCCTTGTTAAATGTAATACCTGGCTTCCTTCCTTTCTTCTAAGGCAAATGTATCCAGCAAACACGAACAGGATTTCAGAGGTAGTCTAGTATTGGATATTTGTCGATTTTGTGTGTGTGTGTTTTTAATGAAGATACTGAAACAAACACCTTGGGAGTTTTATGACAATTGATAGTATGATGTCCTGCTGTGCTTAATATACGGGGTTGTTCTGAGTTGAGTAAATCGTTCTAGTTAAGTGTTTGTAAATGGCTGTATGGCTGGCCACAGAAACTTCAAGACCTGAAATGGTCCTCTTCAGAGGAAAGCTCAACTAGAGAAAGTTTCAGATAAAATACAAGCAGGAATAAGGAAATTAATAGGCAAAAGATAATTCTCAGTATTTGCTTTATAGGACGAGTCAGCAAAAGTCCTGTGGATATCCCTGAACTTGGCTGGGTGGTAAACTAATTCCGACTCCCTTACTCGCTAGTAGCTGTCCTTGAACCATTAGAACTATATAGAATATGATGGATAAAAACAAGAACTTTGGACCCAGACTGTCAGAACTTGAATCCTGTCTCCACTACTTACTAGCAGTGGGCAAGTTACTTAATCTCTGTGTTTCAGTTCCCTGTGTGTAAAGTGTGGATAGTAACAGCATCTACCTGTCGGTTAAAGGAGTTACTATGTAAAGACAGTACACTGATGCTTGGCGCAAAAGGGTAAGTGCTGTGTGCCCGCTGTCATTAAAACTGCACAGCCCTGGCAGCCCAGTGCTCCTTCACCTTCAGTTCCCCACCCAGCAAGAGGTCTTAAAGATGGCCTGCTCATTTCATGACATCATAAAACACTTCATTTACTGCTTTTAATCAACATTTGTTGGGGCGGGGGGCTTGAATGAAGAGGAAGTGGGCGGGCTGGTAGGCATGTTTGATGGGTTAAAGTGGTATCAGTGGTAGAAGTCTGAGGTCTCCTCACCCTGCTAAGAAAGAGTATGTGTGACCCTATGCAGGAGAGCCTTGTATTGGCTCCTGGCCTAGTGATTGATGTTAGACACAAAAGATAAATTTTATGAAGGGCACATTATTACTTTTATTCTTACCTTCTCTTTTGCACGTCGTTTTTATAACAGAACTCTTCCTGTGCCAGTTGGCTAAAGATAGTACTTTCGTTCTTTTCACGGCTTTATATCAAAAGTAGTTTAAGTAGTTTCAATTTTTTTAAGTAATCTTTGCAAACAATCTACCTGGGTGATTGATTGAACACAGAACCTTTTAAGACAGCAACTTGAAGACTGGATCAGACCATTGAAGAGAGACTTTCAGGCTGCAAGTTGTTCCTAACTTCTGAAATTGGAACTTAAATGTAGCTGACTTAGGTATTTAGATGTAGCTTGGGCTGTGAGTTAAGCTAGCAGTAACAGTTTCTTTTGGCAGCAAAGATAAAGGTTTAGTGACAAAACCATGAGCCACTGCAAAAAATATTTGACCAGAGAGTTGGCCTAAATTCAAATACTCAGACTGTAATTAATAGGCCCTATTAAACCAGCCCTTACCTTGGAAAAAGCAGCCATCCCTTACTTCCTCCTAGTCTGTGTTTCCAAGGTGTGTGGATCCTTCAAAATGTTGGAATGAGGCTACTTTGCTTGACATGATTGATTCCAGATCTTGTGACCCACTAGGGTTATGTTTGCTTTTTTTCATTATTTAAAGAAAAAGGCAGGATGAATCTTCCTTTCTGAGTAGTATCCAGCAAACAAGGAGACAGGGAGTTGTGGCCAGAAGGTTCTTAATTAGTAACATGATTAAATCATGGGAAATAACCAATTTACAAAAATTCCCAGCACTTTCCCTCTTTACACTTGGTAAGTATTTCCGGGATAGGAAAACCGAGGGTGCATTTTGTGCTTGCATTGGCACTCCCAGAGTGGCTGTTAACTGGAATGTATACTCTCGATTTCCGCTTTCATATGTAGGCAAGGCAGAGGCACTACAATGCCTTGTTCATGTCTGTTCTCCCTCATTATACAAATATGCTTCATAAATTATGGGCTTTGGCACACACAGGAGGTTGTGTTTATCTGTTATCCATGGGAGTGCCCCTTAATGTCATCAGTGTTTTTTTTTTTCCCCCCTTTCCTTACCATATAAGGGCAGAAGTTTAGCTTGGCTGTGGTCACTTGGCCTTACACAGCAAGTTGGGTGAAACCTTCTTCGTATAACTACAGTTTGCATGAAATAAAAAGACCTGACCTTTGATCATCCCAAGTTCCACTCCAGTTCAGTCAGGACTTTGGAAACATATTCCAGAGGATTGATTTCTAGATTATAATATTCTCCCACCAGTATTTTTTCTTAATAACCTTAACTGGAATACTTTTTTAAAAAGTAAAAGTCACTGCCATTTTTAATTTTCTGTTGTTGTATTGGCTAAAACATCTGGATTTCATGAAAATCTAGGCCTCATAAAAGTTGTTTTTTTTTTTTTTTTTCAAATCTGATTTGGGATAATATTATACTATGGTGGGGTGGGCATGCCCTTGATTTCTATATAGTACCATGTTGGGGTGGGGGAATGGGGTGCATGCCCTTAGAGGAGGGTCATATGCATTGTAAGGCACCTCAAGTACAGAGCACCAGGAAGTTACTTAAAAACATCTGCAGGAGGACATTGGTAGCCTTTACTAATACAGCAGTCTCTTTTTTGAGTAGTTCATTGTTAGAACACAATAGCACTTTTGAAATAAAAGAAACTAGCATCCCAGATTGAAAGACTTCACTGGCAGTCAGCACATGGGCTGCTGTTAGAAGAAAGCTAACTTGGCTGGGTGCAGTGGCTCATGCCTGTAATCCCAACACTTTGGGCGGCCGAGACGGGTGGATCACCTGAGGTCAGCAGTTCGAGACTAGCCTAGCCAACATGGCAAAATCCCATCTCTACTAAAAATACAGCAATTAGCCGAGCATGGTGTCACGTGCCTGTAATCCTAGCTACTGGGGAGGCTGAGGCAGGAGAATCGCTTGAACCCGGGAGGTGGAGGTTGCAGTGAGCCGAGGTCATGCCACTGCACTCCAGCCTGGGAGACAGAGCTAGACTCCATCTCAAAGAAAAAAGAAGAAGAAGAAGAAAGCTAACTCAGTACACTAAGAGTGATTTACATGCCTGCAAATAATTTGTGTCTGGGGTCTTGACCCTCCCCAAATGCCTTGTTATTTATATCTCTGCTTTTAGATAACAGATGGTCATGTGTCTATGGGCTTGTACCGGCAGAGGCAACAGCAGGTCCTTAAGACTCCCCAGGTGCCATGATGAAAAGAACCTTAGAAAATATTGAAATAAGCTCAAAACTTAAAAAAAAAAATACCAGAAATAAAAGCTAGTAAAGGTGAGAGGTGTGGGGCTTTTGGAACATAGAGCATAATAAATCAGAATAAAAAGTAAAAATAAGAAAGAGAAAAAAGTGGCCCTGATTAAATTATAAAATTAAGCATATCTTGAATTCTAACGAGCCAAACAAAAATTCTACTAGGCCAGTATAATAGGGCCTGCAGAGCCTGTCATGGGTTCAGGGTTTTCCCATAAAGATAGGTGTACCTCAGATACTACTCCTAGGTCCTGGCTTTAACCTCAAAGCCCCTCTGCCTGTCCTGCTCTGAAACCTCTGGGGCAGTAGGCATTGACTTCTGGGCTAGGGAGTAAATGTTCCGTGTCCTTATGTGAGCTTCCTATTACCCATTAGCATTGTTTTATGAAGTTTTCAATTTTATATCCTGCCTCATTTCAAAAAGATTGTGATAATCACTTTAGCAGATGATTTGCATTGCAGCAACTGTTCTCCCAGTCCTGGTTAGGATCTGTGCCTGAGGCCTTTTGTGGGGAGTTGGGGTGGGGGCCGGAGAACATCTCAATCTGATCTCAGGAGAGATAAAGACACAGGAGTGAGAACTGCCAGTTCCAAGGTTTCCGTGATGTTCCGGGAAGCCAGGAGAAGTGACATAGTGGAGAGCCGGCATGCTGGGAGCCTAGTGACTTGGATCTTAATCCTGTCTCACACTGATGGCTGTATGGCCTCCACATACTTCTGTGCCCAGGGTCAGAGTTCCCTCCTGCCGCCTGTTTCTAGTCAAGAGCTAGAAGAATAGCCAGCTTCTTTGGGTGGTGGCAAAGGGGATTGTTTATTTATAGTACAGATTCCTGCCCTCCCCCTTTGACCTCCTGAATCAGAATCTCTAGGGACACGGCCTGGAAGTTTGATTTTTTTTTTTTTTTTTTTGTTTTTGAGACAAGAGTCTTGCTCTGTCGCCCAGGCTGGAGTGCAGTGGCATGATCTCGGCTCACTGCAGTCTCTGCCTCCCGGGTTCAAGCAATTCTCCTGCCTCAGCCTCCTGAGTAGCTGGGATTACAGGCATGTGCCACCATGCCTGGCTAATTTTTGTGTTTTTTGTAGAGACGGGGTTTCACCATGTTGGTCAGGCTGGTCTCGAACTCCTGACCTCATGATTGCCCGCCTCGGCCTCCCAAAGTGCTGGGATTACAGGCGTGAGCCACAGCGCCCAGCTGAAAGTTTTTTTTTTAATGCTCATCTCTGAGTTGATTCTGACACTCAGCCACTTGTGGGAATTGCTGATCTGGACAATGCCTAGGGATCCTTCTAGCTAAAAAATTGAGACCCTATTTTTTGGATTTACAGGGCCTCCTCAGGAAGGGGCAGCCACTCTCAGGTCTGCTGTGTGTGCCCTACCATTCCTCCCACTATATCACAAACTGGCACCTAGAAACTGGTCTCCATGCCCAGTCGTTGCTGGGGCACCCTGTATGAAGCCCTGCTGGCTGGTATTCCTGTAGGACATATTCTCTGATGTCCAGGAGTCTGAGGTTCTACAGAATGCCCCTGGGGAAACAAGAGTGGCATTTAGACAACAGCATTCTGTAAACACAGTGCCAAGAGCTAAGGGAAAGAATGGGGGTGGGGGTGATCGGAGGGAAGACACGGATGGATTGGTAGGGGCCCTTTGGGTAGGAAGATCTCATGTGCAAGGCTGGAATGAACATGAGGTGCTGTTTCCTTCCTTTCTGGTGACTCGGCTGTGTGGGGAGCTGGGGATAGAGACCTGTCACCCAGAGGGTTCTTTCCCCAAAGCATAAACAGTCGTCTTTCTGTGAGTACAAAGTCCTTGAGGTTCAGGCCCAGATCTAAAGCAGAGCAGAGAACTTGGAACTTGGTAGCTACAAAAAAGTTTTGAAAATCTTGCTGGCATTTCTCTAATAGGCCATAGCCTCTGTAACAAGGATATTTGCCATCATATTGAAAATGATAAGAAAGGGGGAAAGAAAAGAAAGTGTACAGTGCTTTTGAGTACATAACCTAGACACTCTATGGAGGCTTTTTGTTGTTGTAGGGCTTTTGGTTTGTGTGCTTGGTTTTTTTGTGTGGCTTTAAATTTTGTTTTGTTTTGTTTGCCCTTTGTTTTTGCTTCCGCTTTGAGTCTCCCCCCCACCCTCAAAAGGAATAGAATTTTACTGGAAAATGAAAATATAGAAAAGTGAAGAAATCTTACCTGACCCAAAAGTATATCCTTAATATATACATCCTTCCAGTAATAGTAATAAAAAAAAAAAGCCTAATGGTTTTTAAAAGACACTTCCCTATAATTGAGAGATTTGTTATCCTATTACCCTCACCCTTCAATACACACACACACCAGAAACAACAGTCATCTGCCAGTAATTCCTAGCTGGGTCCATTTACCAGCTGTGCACTGATAATGATTTACTTTGTAGGCAGTACAGTTGTAAATGCTCTTCCTCTGATTTATTTCACATTTGCCCTGCTCCCTGCCTCCATCAACCAATTACTACATTTTTGTCAAGATAAAAGTGTATTTACATGTTTTTATAGAGTCCTTCACCGTGGTTGGAGATGCCCTACTCACCTCTCTTCCCAGATAAAACTTGGCATTTAAAATCTTACAAATCTAGGTGAGCAAAGAGCTGAAGGTTCTCAGATTCCTTTGATTAAAGACTATGACCACAGTTTCTAACTACATTTGCATTTCCAACTCTGTATTGTGGATCCATAAGCTGAGAACGTTGCTTTTATTAAAATTAGGTTGGTTTTACTCATCTTACTGAGCCCATACTCTGTGCAGAGAACTGTGAGTTCTCTGGATGTGAGCAGCTTACAGTTCAATGACAAAGACAGGGCTGTGTGTAGAGAAATTTGTTATCCTATTACCATGGGTCCCTAAGTGTGTATTGTAATTTCTAGAAAACTCCTAAGTGTTCTGAAAACCCCACCACCCCTTAGTGAACATACATTCAAAGTGGATGAGGATATTTTACCTGATTAGTAAATTCCATCTCCCACTTCCATGCACAATATTTAAACAGCCACCAGTGCAAGTGTGTATAATGGACCATCATAGTCTTATAAGTGTTCTGAGGCTCATAGCAACAATTTCTTATGACAGGAAAAAAATCATTGCCTCTCAAAGAAACCAACATTTTATTTCAGTGACAGATACCAAGTAAAAACAGTACTTGTATTATTTTTCTTTTTAGGAGTTTGATACTTTTCTTGTATTAACCTTGACTTCAAAGAAAAATCATAGGCTTACATCAAAAACACTTGGGAAATTTGTCTTGGCTCTGTTCCAATGAGGCCAGTTATTCTAAAAGGGGTTACTGGATTGTGTTGGGCCTTCATGTGGTGTGTATTTTAGAACCACTGAATTTTAAACTATTTAAGTTCCTTTGTAAGGATCCTATGATAAAGTGGCTTGAAGGAAAGAGTTGAGTGAAACTCTTGAGTCCGATTTCTGGCTGTACTGCTATTGTCTTACATGGCTGAGCCTGGGTAAGTCTTGTCTCAGTTCACACTTCAGGCCCCCAGTGAGTGAGGTGGCCGTGATGACGCTCTTGTTTAACAGGCAAGTAAAGCCAGGGTGTTGAACTCTACGGAAGTGGGCCGGGCGCAGTGGCTCACGCCTGTAATCCCAGCACTTTGAGAGGCCAAGGCAGGTGGATAAGGAGGTCAGGAGATTGAGACCATCCTGGCTAACACGGTGAAACCCCGTCTCTACTAAAAATACAAAAAAATTAGCCGGGCGTTGTGGCGGGCGCCTGTAGTCCCAACTACTCGGGAGGCTGAGGCAGGAGAATGGCGTGAATCCAGGAGGCGGAGTTTGCAGTGAGCTGAGATCGTGCCACTGCACCCCAGCCTGGGTGATAGAGCGAGACCCTGTCTCAAAAACAAAACAAAACAAAACAAAAAAATCTACGGAAGAAAGGAACCATGTGAAAGAGCGTTTGCTAATGATCTGTCTGTCTGATGAGAATTGTGTGTATAGATTTGTGTATACACAAATATGGATGTTCACTGTATAAATCAATGTGTAAATGTGTCCGAGAACTCCAGAGTTGATGAGGGCTTGTAATGCACTTAAAGGTAGCTCACCACAAGACAGTCTTCCTATCTGAAATCAGCATTGCAGTCCCAGCCATTTCCTGAAGCTACCACCCTCACTTTCTCCCCAACTCTGAAATGCTTTTCACTCTCTACCTAGGCTGAAGCCGACGTAGCTTCTCTGAACAGACGCATCCAGCTGGTTGAGGAAGAGTTGGATCGTGCCCAGGAGCGTCTGGCAACAGCTTTGCAGAAGCTGGAGGAAGCTGAGAAGGCAGCAGATGAGAGTGAGAGGTGAGAATGCCTCATCAGCCATCTTTTGCAGCTGCCTTTCCTGGTGGAATAAACCGGAGGGCTCCTGTGATCTTTGAGGTTTAAGAATTTTTCAGTCCCCTGGTGGTGGGATCATTTCCTCTATTGATCCCAGGTATAACTCGGTTGGTTTTGTTCATTTAGCATTAGTGAAACACCTACTATGTCCAAAGCACTGTCCTAAGCCCTAAGGTTACAAAGAAGAAGATGATCTTGTTCCTGCCCTTACAGAACTCACCATCTAATGAGGGAGACAGACATGTAAAGGAGAAATGTCAGGGATACAAGTTGGCCCTTTCACTCCTACTGACCACAGAGCAATTGTGCATTTTTTAAAGTGTAACTTTATTTTATAATATACAAGGAGGCTTAGGTGTAAATAAAGGAACTGTGGACTATCAGTTGTCAAAATAGCTTAACAAATAGGTGGAAGAAAAAACACAAAGCAGAAACATGGTCTGCAAAAGTAAAATATTTTGGACTTGGTCTTAGTAATATACACAACACACATGCACACAAATAGTCAGATGCTCGTGTGTTCTGAGCCCACCTCCACTGTAATCTGGCTGTAGCTGAATTATTACTCAGATTCAGCTTTGTGGTAGTAAAGGAAAGCATGGTTCGTATAGACCAGCACAGCCTTGTGTGGTCTAAAAGGCATTTTCCCTTAAGCTCAACTGTTGGAAGTAAGGATTTGCCATATTGCATAGAAGTACTTCAAGAGAGACTCCATGAGGTGAGAGAGCGTTCTGCCGCTTGAGGGATGGCATAGCATGAAGGGGCTCAGAGCACTGAATGTGTATCTGTCTGTGCTGTGACCTGGGCAAGTGAATGCAGTCAGTCATCTTGTCCATTTCTTACTCTTTGAAGTGACCCTACCACTAGGTACCAGGTATAAAGAGTGATTTCAGACTTTAGGATTAAAGAAGATTTTTAGCTAAACTTTTTAGGCCATTATTCACCGCTGCTTAGTGTTTCTTCGCTAACCAAGCATTTTGGACTTCTTTAAGATGACTAAGCATCTTACAGTGTACGCATAAGAGCAGTTTTGTGGCTGACTTCTTTCTGAAATATACTTGTTAGTGTACCTTAAAGGCAGTCTGGTAATGTTAGACTTCGGAGTAAAGGGGACTTGGGGATCATTTAGTCCCTTAGTTTTACAAATGAGAAAAGTAGGGCTCAGAGGCTGATGTGACTTGCACCAAGGCTCACAGCATATTTGTGGCTAAGCCAAGACTCCGACCCAGATCTCCTCAACTGTATTCCAATGCTTCATCAAAAGATAGTGGGCCAGATGTGGTGGCTCACACCTGTAATCCCAGCACTTTAGGGGGCCGAGGCGGGCAGATCACTTGAGGCCAGGGATTCGAGACCAGCCTGGCTAACGTGGCATAACCCCTAAATCTACTAAAAAATAGAAAACTTAGCCAGGCGTGGTGGTGCACACCTGTAATCCCAGCTACTCGGGAGGCTGAGGCAGAAGAATCGCTTGAACCCAGTAGGTGGAGGTTGCAGTGAGCCAAGATCACACCACCGCACTCCAACCTGGGTGACAGAGCGAGACTCTGTCTCAAAAAATAAAAATAAAAAAATAGTGGTTCACTTATACTGCCTACTTAAATTTTGATAAATGAATTCCATTTTACATGACTTGTTATTCCATATATCTGTAAAATATCATAGGTCATTTAGTATTTTTCTGAAACATTACACCACGCTATAGGACCCTAATATACACCATGCCATAGGACCCTAATACACTCAGTGTAGAGGACAGTGTCAGGCCTGTCTCCCAGCATTGCTGTCATGAAAGGGTTCCATTATAGGTAAAACTTAATTTGATGCATTCAGTTGAACCATAAGAAATTGCCATTATTACTTGTCTGAAATGGTCAAATATCAGCATTCTTTGTGGACTTAATAGTTTATTAAATCTAACATTAAGTCTAATATTTTTGTTTATGGGTGGCAGGGTAAGAAGATTCTTTGTAGAAAGAGGTATATAAAGATAAGTTTGATTTTGTTCTAGCTTTGGTTCATGTGCAAGCTGAGGCTTCCCACAGGAAAGGCAAGAAATCTCATTATCTTTTTAATAGTAAAGCATATTGGCTTTTCCGGTTTCATACTGCCAAGATTCAGACAGATTCCTGACGTGGTACCTTTCGTCATCATTAATGTTAGATGCCTGATAGTTTCATCAGTACTCAAAGTGAGAGAGTTCATTCACAGTGAACAGAGAGAAATGTGTCTCTTTTTTCCACCTTTAGCTCTGGAAATTGTTGTTTCCTGGTTTGGAAAATAAAAGTAGCTCTGTGCTCTATTTTGGTCTACCACTTACACTAAGCCTCACAAGCCACAGCAGTGCAGTGTGCATTTGGGAAGTTCAGCTCTAAATCTTGGGTTTTCTTGCTTGTCTTTCTTTTCAGAGGCATGAAAGTCATTGAGAGTCGAGCCCAAAAAGATGAAGAAAAAATGGAAATTCAGGAGATCCAACTGAAAGAGGCCAAGCACATTGCTGAAGATGCCGACCGCAAATATGAAGAGGTCAGATCCTGGGGCCCAAAGCCTTGTGGACACCCAGCAGTGGCCTTCAGGAAGCCAGGGAGCAATGTACAGTCTTGATTCCCGAGTGAGGCCATCTGCTTTGTTGGCAGAAATGGGTGGTTTTGAGAAGCAGAGTTCCTTTGTGTCCAGAAAACGGTTCTAATTTTAATCCTGCTAGGGGATCCCAGGCTTTATCAGGAAGCCAATCAGTAGCACTGCGAAGAAGGACCAAAACTCCTCTCCCCCAGCCACAAAGACCCGGACAAAAGATCTTTGGCCGGAAGGGAGAGTTGGGCCCTGTGTCTTGTGAAAGGAGGCTCTCATGCTGTCATGGTGCAAGTCATTTCTTCCCAGAGTGACCTGGCACATCCAGATTGGGCAGCTTAGAGACCACAGACAGTTTCTCAGTGGATTCACAGAGGCCTCTCTCCTCAAGGGTGGTAGAAAACTATTATCAACGCAGGTTTTCAGCAGAATTTGCTCCTGGTCGTGTCCCCATGAAAACAGCCTCCTGTGATAAGAGGCAACTTGATTATTAAGGTTTCTGTTTTTTCCTTATTGGATCACATCGTGGCTATCCTGAAACAGCATTGCCCCTCCTTTTTATTACCATTATTACCTTCAGATTACACTATGCTCACAAGTTTTGATCTGCTTCAGAGGCTCCCTTCCTCTCTCTGGTTCTTCCACTAAATACAAATTTGATTTTGTCAGTTATCTCACCAACTTGTCTCACGTTAGTGTCTCTTGTATTCTTCCACTGCAGTAAGGAGGTAGATGCACAGATCAGCCATCAAATTGATGGAGTTCTTAGGTTTACTTTGTTTTCCTGGCAGCCCCCACCTTTTTAGTACATGTCTCATCCTACTGCTGTTTTTGAGATTGTGAATGTGTATTTTATCCCTCCTTCCACATTTTGGTCTGGCTGCCGGTTCACCTAGGTCAGACTTCCAATTGAGACTGCCCAATCACAGCTAACCATTCTGAGTCAAAGCAGAAGCCTCTGATCTCCTCTCTGCTGGCACTCCTAATAGAGAGTTGCTTCTCTCTGGTCTACCAGAAAGAGGATCATATTGTTTGTAGACAAAACCCTTAGGGCCTGATGGGATCTGATCTCTACCCCCATGCCCTTCTGTTACACAAAGCTTGCAAGACCCATGGTGTGTGTGTTGTGTCTTCCTGCTGCAGGTGGCCCGTAAGCTGGTCATCATTGAGAGCGACCTGGAACGTGCAGAGGAGCGGGCTGAGCTCTCAGAAGGGTAAGCGGGCCCGGCGCCAGGAGGCCACGAATGGGGTGCTGCAGAGCAGTGACTAAACAGCATGACCTTCTGGCAGCTGCACATTACCTGTTTCAGCTCCGGGCTCCTTTTGTGCTCATTTGATGTGGATGAGCCACGAGTATGGAACATGGAGGACTCGTGTGGGGTGTCTTATGTATGAATGCGTGTATCACTGCATGCCTTACCTGCACACTGATTTTGTGAATGGCCTTGTGCATTTCCTGTGTCCACTAACAGCCAAGTCCGACAGCTGGAAGAACAATTAAGAATAATGGATCAGACCTTGAAAGCATTAATGGCTGCAGAGGATAAGGTACTGATGGCTCGTGTGGTTTTTAGGTTTAACTGCAACCCAGACATCTTTCAGCTTCCAATGCCTCCTGGTTCGTTTGGTATAACGACTGCACCTTCACTTCACCCTCTGCTATTTATATCTTGCCTTAAGTGCTTTCCCTTGGTCCTTTATGCTCCTTTGTTTTCCCTTCATAAATGCTCTTTGGGCAGCCAAAAAAGGAGCCAAATTATCGCACTTCAAAGTTGTTGGATTTGGTCACCCTGCCTTCTGCTGTTGCGAGGTTGGGGGGCAGTGTTCCTGGAAAACCTAAACATTTTAATACCTGATGATTTGGCTACTTTAAGGCAGCCCTTCGTCTCTAGGACTCAGTTTTCATTTTTTCCCATCCCTCTCCTTTTTCTCTCCTCCTTCCTTTGGCTTGTCTCCCACCCTTTCTGCCTCTGATCGAAAACATTAGCAAATGTGCCGAGCTTGAAGAAGAATTGAAAACTGTGACGAACAACTTGAAGTCACTGGAGGCTCAGGCTGAGAAGGTAGGCCAGGAGGATGGTGTGGGGGAAAGGCATCTTTTAAGAGCTGCTCAAAAGAGGCCCTGCCAGAAAGCAACACTTACAGTAGACATTTTAGTAAAATGGCAATATTGTGAGGTGATTTTTGGAGAGTTACTAGATAACAAATTCTTTTTTTTAACTAGAGAATTTATTTTATGTTAGGGATATGAGGCATCAATTTAATTTAAACCAAGTGCCAAGTGGATAAGTTATCTTGTTGTTATCCCATGTAAAACAATAGGCAAGAAAGCAGAGAATGTATTGCAGTGTGCCATTTGATATCAGAGGTTCCATTACCTCCTAAGAGATCCTTAACATCTGTTGGCTGAGCTGGCGAGTTCTTTGCATGAGAAGCCATGAGTAGATTGAGCTGCAGCCTGACATCTGGAATGCTCTTTCTAATTACAGTACTCGCAGAAGGAAGACAGATATGAGGAAGAGATCAAGGTCCTTTCCGACAAGCTGAAGGAGGTAATATGAGAGTTGTGGATGAAGCCAACTGGATTTTAAATGAGTTTGTTTTCATGGAACCGGTCAGGGCCTTTTCATTTTAAAGTTCCAATGATCCAAGTCAGGAATATTCAAAGGTCGCCTTGGAGTTTATGTACTGTGCTAACTGCCATTTCTCACAGAGGTGACTGAAACTGACAAGTAGTTTCTGATCCATTTTATAGGTGATGTGCTTCATTTTCATCCTCTAGTTTTCCCTATGTTTGTAGCTACAGGAAACATAAAACTTCCCAACTTTAACTCAAATAAATCATTACAGGCTGAGACTCGGGCTGAGTTTGCGGAGAGGTCAGTAACTAAATTGGAGAAAAGCATTGATGACTTAGAAGGTAAGATCTTAAGTAGTGTTTTTAGTTTAATCCTTATGGTTGAATACCAACCTGGCAAAACAATTTTCCAATTCAAGGGCATCCACATTGATACGCTCCTTTGCACTTGCACATTCTTCCTGTGTGTCCTCTGGGGTTTTTCTCTGTGGCTCTTGAACTCATGAACCTAAGTCTTCTGCTCACGAGGTGACTAGTTAGCCACCAGCCATAGTGGCAAATGCCATCCAGCTTGACTTCATGCTCATTACAAGTGTGGCAGGTTTATTTTTCACTGTGAGTGAGGTGCTTATTGGTGAGAATGACTCTAGTATATTTTATATCTTTAGTGTTACTTCCTAATTAAATTGGGAATGATGTGGTGATTGTGGTCTTGTTTTTAGAAGAACCCATCTTCTTCCAAGTATGAATTCAAAGTAAGGATTTAGGGGTTATTTTAAGTCATATATTATCTTAACAAAATACTTTATATCCTGAAGGAGGAGGGAAAAATTATACTTAAGCATTTCTTCCCTAAGGCACTTAGGTTTTATTTTAGTAATAACCACTCTATCTCACAGATATCCTAAATGTTGAGCTTTGAAGCTTGTGAAGGATTAGCTGTGAACAAGAAAGAAAAAAGACAAATATCTACATCACAGAAGGGATTAGAGAAGGAACTAGTGTTTGGTGCAGATAATAACCAAAATAGTGGAGAAGAGAGAATGACAAATGGTTGCAAAATGATCTGCCAAAGTGCAGCAAAGTATGAAACCTGCAGCATTACAAAAACTAAGTTGCAGACTTGCCATATAAAGTGTGGCGCCCATTGCTTTTCAAGCCTCCTGGACCAGTAATAGGCAGCTTGAGTGGGAAGACCACAGGAGTAGCTTAAATGGCACTAAGAAATCGCTATCCCAGTGGTCTAGTGTGGTCAGGAAGTCAGTGGTTTGAAGGTGGAACCAGATAAGGACTACAGGCTGTAGTCACAAATTGTTCTTCCAAAACACTGCCCTTGCATTTTTTTCCCATTGTTTATAGCTGCAGATGCCTGACTACTCCAGTGTAATTAAAATATAGCTCTGCAAAAGAAAGATGTTCCATTAGCCCCTGCCTCCCCTCACCAGGAGACAGCCTTCTGTGGTTTCGTTTACAATTTAACATGGTTTACTGATATACCTACCATATTTGTTAGGATTTTCATATTGAGTCTTTTTCATTTTATTTTCTAATGGGTTTTGTTCTCTTTGTTTTTGTTTCAATTTACTTAAAACAAAACGCACGCCTCCTGCATTGGCCACCTGCTGCGGCACCAACCCCTTCATGCATTGCCCTTTTCTTGCTGCTGTGTTGGGATGGTGCGCGCACCACCCTCACTCACCCTCCATTTCTTGATCACTCTCCATGTTCTTGCACCTCTGCCTTCCACTTCCTGGTCATAGACGAGCTGTACGCTCAGAAACTGAAGTACAAAGCCATCAGCGAGGAGCTGGACCACGCTCTCAACGATATGACTTCCATGTAAACGTTCATCCACTCTGCCTGCTTACACCCTGCCCTCATGCTAATGTAATAAACTCACCACCATGCCTTCCTTGCTCCCTAATCTCCATCTTTGCACTCTTGTGTTCACCCTTTTTGTCATAACCTAGAATAGTCATTGTTTTTTCACTTTCTGCTAATATAAAGGCCAATTAGATTAAGTCTGTCTATACAAACCATTTTCTTTTCAGAATCCGTTTATTTTGTAAACGCTGAACTAGAGCAGTGAACTAGAATGAGTGACCTTGAGCACTGTCCTTTTGGGAAATTAAGCTAAACTCAAGTAAAACTAGAAGGCCATGCCGTTTGTTGTACAGGAACTTCTCAAAAAATATCAAAATTTGTTTCCTGAAATTCAACTAAGTACAACATAATCATTTTCGTTAAATATAATTTGAAGGAACCCTTAAAGTGTCAGGTTATTGAGAATCTGAGGATAAGGAAATTGGCATGATCCAATACAGCTTTAACAGTGGTACTACAAAAGATCATCTCTTTTACTTTTAAGAATTCTAGAGTAGGCCGGGCACAGTGGCTCACGCCTGTAATCCCAGCACTTTGGGAGGCCGAGGCGGGCGGATCACGAGGTCAGGAGATTGAGACCATCCTGGCTAACACGGTGAAACCCTGTCTCTACTAAAAATACAAAAAAAATTAGCCGGGCGTGGTGGTGGATGCCTGTAGTCCCAGCTACTCAGGAGGCTGAGGCAGGAGAATGGCATGAACCCGGGAGGTGGAGCTTGCAGTCAGCCGAGATCGCACCACCGCACTCCAGCCTGGACGACAGAGCGAGACTCTGTCTCAAGAAAAAAAAGAATGGTAGAGTAAAAAGAACCCTCTGCTGAGTAACCAAGCCTTTAATTTTGTGTTTTTATGAAAGGAATTAAAATACCCACGATAAATATTTACCACAACCTGTGTCAAATAAATGGGAAATTAAACACAGATTGTACAATGTGAGCTTGGGAGTTAATGGCCCAGATTTTACTGTTAGGCAGTAAGAGTTGGAGTAGGTAGTCTTGTTATCATGAGAAGAACCTTGAACAGATACAACTAATTTACATATTACTAACCAAACTTAAACATTAAACTTTTTCTACTACTTTAAATTCTAACCTGGAATGTTTCAGAGTTCTTCATTCTAATATCACCCTGAATTCCATTGAAGCTGGAAATGTCATTTTCCAAGCCCACCTGTCATTCATTTACCCATGCAGAAAAAATGGTAACTTGAAGAGAGTGGCATGTGCCTGCTGCCTTAGAGGTTATAGAATCCCCACAGTCAACAAAAAAGCCTCTAGAGACATGACTGTTGCCATGGAAACCAGAGAAAATGTGTCTTCTCATCCCTCATTTGTAAATGAGGGGGTGGAGCAGATCATCTGTCTCTAAGGTCTTTTTCAGTGCTAAAATGTGGTGATTCTTTGGGAAAAACTTTTTGCATCAAGTATGATTAAATATTCTGAAAGACGAGTGTAGCTTAAAATTTTTTTTGTTTTTAAATTCTGTTCATGGGTCTTCTTAAAATGGACCCTTGCCGAAAGGCGGCCTGTGACGGCCTCAGGTGGGAAGATGGATGTCCTTCCAAGGGTGTGGCTGGCAGTGGGGTTTGCATGACTGCTTCTTGTCTGTGTTTCAAGTGCTCTCATCTATTGGTTTGGTTTCCTTTCTTTTTTTTTTTTTTCTCATTGTGCCACTTTTTTTTTCCTCCCACCTTTTTATCTTCACGCAGATAAGTTTCTTTGCTTCACTTCTCCCAAGACTCCCTCGTCGAGCTGGATGTCCCACCTCTCTGAGCTCTGCATTTGTCTATTCTCCAGCTGACCCTGGTTCTCTCTCTTAGCATCCTGCCTTAGAGCCAGGCACACACTGTGCTTTCTATTGTACAGAAGCTCTTCGTTTCAGTGTCAAATAAACACTGTGTAAGCTATTTCTGTTTGCTATTCTTTTTACTTCTTATTTATTGACATTTTAGTTTCAACATTGAATAAAACTACAAAGCTGCTTCACACATATGAGGGTTAGTGTTTGGCTGCTGCTTTTTCTTTTTAAATACTGAACACTATACAGAATTATATCAGGAGTTTCTAAAGCAGTAGTTCCTTGTTGAACTTCAAAAAAATACCCAGGCCTGCATTCCCTCTCAGAGTTCTGATTTTCAAAGGTTAGAATGAGGTCTGGACATCTGGGGGGGTTTTGGGGGAATTGTGATGGCTCTGCTTTGCAGTCTGGGTCACACAGGGGACATTGCTTGTTGAGAGTTGAAAGGTCTGGCTTGATCAGTGTCTTCCTTTGCTGGAGGTTTAGCTCGGGATGTAGTGACCCCTCTGTGTTGATTATTTCGGTGGCCTTACTTGGGAGGACCTGGCTAACTAATGAAAGGCTCATGATGAATGGTTCTGTAGCTGTCCCATATTACTAGGAAGTTATACATTGAGAAGGGTGAAAAAGAACTTGGATTCAAACAATGTAAGTTTTGGTTATTGTCGATCATCCTTTTATAGCACAAAGAAAAGTTCAAGCTTTTTTGAAGTATATTCATGACTCAGCCACCTTTATTTTGATCATGAAAATGACATCTTAGGTTTTCTAAATATGATTACTCTGTTTAGTCGTGATTTGTTTTGTGCTTTTTAGCACATACTCTTTGGGAGGGATTGTACATAATCTTTGTGTTCAATGGCTGTGTTTTCATTTGTGGACATTTTTAAAATATAGCAATGAAAGTTTCTTTTTTTTTTTCCCAAAAAGATAGTTGGTGGAAATTGTTCAGAAGACAATTGTATTTCATTTGGGCTTCTGTTTTATTTCACAAACAGCAATTAAGTGATTTTTTTAAAAAAATACATTGCAAAAAATAGAACTTTAACTAATATGGACTTTAGTGTTATAATTCCCAACATTTCTCCTTCCTCAACAATCTAGCTATATATTTCTCCTGTTTTTTTTTTAACATGGATGATCTGCATGTTTTGTATATAGTTTTTTTAGCCCGAGAGGGCTGATATACCACCATACTCAAATAAATTTGGACAAACTCAGAAGATAGTGTCATTCTCACTCTACAGAGACTTCAAAGCATAGAGGAAATACTTTTTTTTAAAGAAAGCTGTGAATTAAAGTATTTTAGTCATAGTATGGTGGAATTTTAGAATCTGGACAATGTCTCTCCCTTGAGTTTATAAAGACTTCCATGATTTCATGCTTTTCTTTTCTTAAGGCTCCTTGGGCCTGCTTCTGACTATGATTCCTTCCTCATTCTTTTTTAAATTCAGAATAAGAGAAGTGTACCCTTCTCTGAGTAAATCCTGCTTCCTGATGTAGACAAAATGCCAAGTCTGAAAGTTCTGCTGAGCAGATGTTCATGTAATTCTGGAGGCACATCTGTGTTTTGGAAATCCTTCCAGAGACTTTCGCACTTTCTATAAGTACACTCTACAAGGGGAAGTGGGGCACTAATGGACTGGGAGGGCAGGTCAGGAGTAGCCCAAGGTATGCATGTGCAAGAGGAAAACTTGATAAACTCAAGTTTATCAAGAAATTGTTGATTTCTTGTTCAACTGTTGATTTGAACCAGGCTTCTGGTTCAAAGGGCCAGGCCATAGCTACAGCTGCTCTGGTGGGCCAAACCAAAAGCATCACTGAGTTTGGGCACTTGAAGTTTCAGACAGCTGGGAGTCTCCATAGAACCGGAAGGGAAAACACTTCCAAGGATATGAGCATGTCTTGTCCCTGCCTTTGGGCCACCCATGCACACCAGCTCCACAGCAGCTGAAGCAGAGCAGATCCAGAGGAGGCTGTCGGAGGGACCACTGTCCTTCCTGCTGAATTCATACTGACCCTCTGGATTCTCCAGATTTTCTCCAAAGTTCTTCCATTCTAGCCTGGCCAAACATTTGGGCTCAGCAAACTGAGACAAGCTCCCCACCCATGGCGACACTTCCTATGTCCATAGTGTGAATGTAGTAATGGGATATATGTCTTGGAACCCCCAAGCATATGTCACGTGCAAAACACCGTGGGAAGCAGTGGGGGTGTGGTAAAGAGATGGGCTGGAAAGGCTCTTTGTCCTCAATAAGCTGGGCATCTGATGGGGAGATAGAGGAGTGAAGCGAGTCCGAACTAATAGGCATGTGTATTTGGAGGCAACAAGGAAGAGAGAACCATTCTGACTGGGAGCTCCCTGGAGGAGGTAGCGGACGTTTGACTGGGGTTTGGCATATTCAAAAAATGTGGATGAGCAAAGAGGACAGAGCAGCAGATATTCCAAGCGAGAAAACATAACGAGCATAGCATCCTCCCATGTCCTACCATTTATAAGAGAATGTTAATGTGAGAACTGCTCAGTCTCCTGACAGACCCGGGGGCTGCAGGCACATTTTCCCTAGGGGTAGGTCTGTTAGCTTTTCAAGATCATGAAGTATTTTTAGGTCCAAGTTGTCACCAGCATTCAAAGCCACCGTGCATCCTCCAGCTGTTCCCAGTGCATACCGGGCTCTTGCTTGTCATAGCTTGGATGTCCCCTGGATCATCAGATACAGACTGACTCCTGCACTTGTTTTCCCCCGTAAGCAGATCACGTGTCAGTGTGTAAAATGTATATCACGCTGGTCTTCATGTAGGTGTTGCAAGTTTCGTTCATTTTATACACATCCATTAGCACCACACATGAATGCCATCCTCTTCAAGAAGTAAGCAGATAGGGCTGGGCGCGGTGGCTCATGCCTGTAATCCCAGCACTTCGGGAGGCTGAGGCGGGCGGATCATGAGGTCAGGAGATTGAGACCATTCTGGCTAACACGGTGAAACCCCATCTCTACTAAAAAAAATACAAAAAAAATTAGCCAGGCGTGGTGGCGGGCGCCTGTAGTCCCAGCTACTAGGGAGGCTGAGGCAGGAGATTGGCATGAACCCGGGAGGTGGAGCTTGCAGTGAGCTGAGATCACGCCACTGCACTCCACGCTGGGGGACAGAGCGAGACTAAGTCTCAAAAAACAAAAAAAGCAAGCAGATAAATTCTAAATCAGTGTTGAGTGGTGACAAGTGCTTGTTCTTTTGCTGTTTGAATGGATAACACTATCAAAGCTAGACAGGAGTCAGAATGTGTACCCTGTATTGTGGTGACTGGGGGAAGGACAGAGACTTAATTCCAAATTTCAAAAAATTTCAGTGCAGCAAAAGCAGTAACCCCCAGTTGGTCCTACCTGAGGGGAAAGCCTGCCCTGTGAACGGAGAGGAAAGGGGTTCTGGAAGAGGTGGGCAGCACTGGGCAGGTTGATGTTTCACTTAAGTTCAACACTGAGCCCTAGCAAGGGGTGGATGTCACGCTGGGCTCGCCTCCAGCCAGGCCTGCATTCCCAAATCTATTGCCAGAAACCATGTATGGCTCAGCTCACAAAGTGGTTTAGTGAGGTATAAGAGGAACATTCACTCTTCTTCCTCCTCTTATCCTGTTGCTCCTCCTCCCCTCCTTTCCTCACCAAGAGAGAAATTCTGACACTTCCTAAGTCTACCAAGCTTTTTAGGGTCTACCCTTCCTGGATACAGGACAGGTGACTATGGGGTAAGAGTAAACTGCTCAGCAAGTGACCAGTTGCTGTCCTGCTTGAGGTCTCTTTGTGTTCTCTATTAACTGCCTCTCACCAAGTCTGCTAACCTGTCTTCCTTCTGCCTCTTTTCTGCTAACCTGCTTGCTGACCTGTACAGATCAACTCTACCAGCAACTTGAGCAAAATCGCCGCCTCACTAATGAACTAAAGCTGGCCCTGAATGAGGATTAAACTTAAGAGTGAAAAAACTTGGGCTGAATTCTAGGCGTGGAGCCCATGTGCAGAAAATCTAAGACTGTCCTACCTTCAACTAATAGAGTTGAAAACAGTTGCTTTCTGCAGAAATGCAAATGCAAGGAATTGGCTGAAAGGCTGGCCTTGCCTGCTTGTTTCTCTATATGGCTGGAATAATTACGTTCTCTTTAATCACAAAACAGCTTTTATGGTAGAATACTTATATCAATTCAGCACTGCTCCTTGAAATAGCAGGTCCTCTTGTTTGAACTGATAAATAATGAGGAGCCCCCCCAAAAAATGTTTTCTATTTCCTGACAGCCATGAGTCCTACTTTAAGTATGTATATATATATATATATGTGTGTGTGTGTGTGTGTGTATATATTCCTATCAGATACTCATATTCCTAACTTCTAAATATCTGGTATAGTGTTTGAAATATGATTAAATGTACCTATGCTTGGGCAAAATAGCTTTTGAAAACAGGAACTCATGCCAGAAGCCCCTGGTTGTCTGAAAGGTATGCTTTACTCAGTCTAATGGTGCTGTTGGAGTCTGGGGAGAATGTCATGCTAATAAATAGAACACTATAAAAATATTAAGAGAATGTCCTAATGAAGTGTGCATGAAACATGTTGACAATTTTTTATGAGCAACAGAAATAAATCATTTTAAAAGTTCTCAGAAAACCTATTTATGTCATCTTTGCTTTTGTGAGTTTGTGTTACCGCACAACTCCCAGACTTTTAACTGCCTGTACCTTGGAAATGTCTGCTGTTCGTAACTTCTTCAGTTTGTATAACAGTGCTGCAGCTGTATTTGGTTTTTACCTCTCCCTGTTCCCACGGCACACCGTCAGTGAACCTTCACCAAACCCCACGTGCATTTTATCCTCAGTGAATTGTTGGTGGAGGTGCACCTGACTGCTCTGTGAGAATCCGTGCCATGGCTCCTTTGGGTCAAAGATGCCCTCCCCTCCGTCTTAGGTTCTTGTCTAGAAATGAGTAATGTCTTACAAGCATGCCTAGTTCTAATCATCTCATCCTGTGTTTGTGATTGATGTTTGCCTGCCTAAATGTACAAACCACCATTGTGTCCAAAGCACAGCTATTCATGACTTAATTTTCTAATCTCACCACAGAGAAAGTGGCTCATGCCAAAGAAGAAAACCTTAGTATGCATCAGATGCTGGATCAGACTTTACTGGAGTTAAACAACATGTGAAAACCTCCTTAGCTGCGACCACATTCTTTCGTTTTGTTTTGTTTTGTTTTTAAACACCTGCTTACCCCTTAAATGCAATTTATTTACTTTTACCACTGTCACAGAAACATCCACAAGATACCAGCTAGGTCAGGGGGTGGGGAAAACACATACAAAAAGGCAAGCCCATGTCAGGGCGATCCTGGTTCAAATGTGCCATTTCCCGGGTTGATGCTGCCACACTTTGTAGAGAGTTTAGCAACACAGTGTGCTTAGTCAGCGTAGGAATCCTCACTAAAGCAGAAGAAGTTCCATTCAAAGTGCCAATGATAGAGTCAACAGGAAGGTTAATGTTGGAAACACAATCAGGTGTGGATTGGTGCTACTTTGAACAAAAGGTCCCCCTGTGGTCTTTTGTTCAACATTGTACAATGTAGAACTCTGTCCAACACTAATTTATTTTGTCTTGAGTTTTACTACAAGATGAGACTATGGATCCCGCATGCCTGAATTCACTAAAGCCAAGGGTCTGTAAGCCACGCTGCTCTTCCGAGACTTCCATTCCTTTCTGATTGGCACACGTGCAGCTCATGACAATCTGTAGGATAACAATCAGTGTGGATTTCCACTCTTTTCAGTCCTTCATGTTAAAGATTTAGACACCACATACAACTGGTAAAGGACGTTTTCTTGAGAGTTTTAACTATATGTAAACATTGTATAATGATATGGAATAAAATGCACATTGTAGGACATTTTCTAAATTTGGTGGTCCTGTCATTTGTATGTTCTTAATTTGTGAACTTTTGAACGTGTGACTGACCTGCCTTCCCCCACAAATAGGTTCTCAAAACAATATCCCACAGTCCAGGGGAAACTGGGTTTCATGTGTTACCTTCTCAGAAACACTAAAGGCAGCATTATTTTGGTCTGTTAAAGTTATAACCAAGCAGGAGAGACCCTTTCCAAATGTTGTTTTCAATGTTATTGGTGTATGCCTGCACATACATGTAGGACTTTGGCAGTGGCTTTACTGGTTTGGGGATTTTTCTTCCTGACATATTAGCTAAGCCTCTAGCAGTGGCATAGCCACACAAGAACAAATGATGGGTTAATGTGCCAAATCTGCTGTTGTCCCCCAGCGATATGATTTGACTCAAACTACTGCTTTAGCGAGTCTTTATGACTTTCTGCTTCCCAACTCATGAGTTCTCAATTCCAATACGTCTCCATTTTCTCAGACTTGGAAACTAAAAATGTCATCAGTCATTTCCCTAGCTCTTGAAGACTCTAAGCAAACAAAAATAGATTACAGACAATACTGGCTTCAGCTGTGCTGCAGGGAGAAAAAAGGATGTTCTCACCAAAAGCAAACAGAATGGAAACAAATGAAAACTCATTTGGATGCAGATATATTTTCATTCAAAAGTATTAAATATCTCTGTAACTGTACTTCCATGTCTCTTAATCAGGAATCTCTTCTCCACAGAAAGACAAAGGCTGTAAGGCAAAGAATCCAAGCAGGGTCCCGGAGCCTGGTTTTAGGTCTCCTTCCAAAAAGCTGTCCCCTTGCTCACGGCAAATAAATGCACAGGTCTCAACCTTCCTACAGTTTCAGGACCCCTCGCCTCACCTCTGCCAATCCTCAGCTAGGAAAAAACCCTCTCTGCATCACTCTAGTCATGGAAGCCTTTCCTAAACCTGGTCCTCTTTCACTCGGGGAGCCAGATCTGGCTTCAGATCCAGACTCCACCTTTATGAGACTGCCTAACCTGTCAAGTCCCTAAATCTGAGCTGCTCCATCTTTAACATGGAGATGAGATTAGCACCTAGCTCATAGTTTATAACTGTGGGAGTCTAATCTATAACCACTTCAAGTACACGGCACAGTACCAGGCGCCTAGGTCTTGTTCCATAAGTTAACCGCTCGGCCAGGCATGGTGGCTCACGCCTGTAATCCCACCACTTTGGGAGGCTAAGGCAGGTGGATCGCTTGAGGTCAGGAGTTTGAATGAGACCAGCGTGGCCAACACAGCAAAACCCCGTCTTTACTAAAGTTACAAAAATCAGCCAGGCATGGTGGTGTGCACTTATAATACCAGCTACTCAGGAGGCTGAGGCAGGAGAATCGCTTGAACCCGGGAGGTGGAGGTTGCGGTAAGCCAAGATCACACAACTGCACTCCAGCCTGGATGACAGAGTGAGGCTCCATCTCAAAAAAAAAGTTAACTGCTGTGGTCCTCAACTTGCCATTTGTGCTCCAAAGACCACCACAGAAGATAGTACCCATCCTTGTGAAGCTAAGGGGGGACTAACCTTACCCCAAATTATGATGGTTTTTAACACTTTCGGATCCCATTTATGTGTGCTAAAGAACTTGTACTCACAAGGGTTATTTCACTTAAGCCTCACGTCACTGAGGCTTAGATACTCAGTTCAGTAGCTCCCAAGTAGTGGGGTTGGGCTTCAAACTCTGGCCCTGTGTGACTCCTGAGCCCTGTCTGGAATCTCCTTCCCCTTGTTTCAAACGCTTTACAGCAGAAGAAAAACAGTTTCTAGATAATAGATGAAAACAGATGAAGCCGCAGGTATAATTAGGAGAGGAGGAGGCTGGGAAGATGGAGGTGGAGTCAACCATTTAGCAGCTGACACGACCGTGTGGGAGTGGTTTAACACCTGACTTCCCCTCTGGGTTCCAGGGATCAGACAAGATCAGTTAATTATGAAGCATCATGCCAATTCGAAGAATGATTACCTAATCTTTCAGATTAATATAAAAAAGGAGAACGGCTCTGTCTCTACATGGTACACGCCTGGGGTATGACTGGGTGTGATAACCTCTGAACATGCCACTCTGTGAGGTCAAGGTACAGAGATTAGGACTCTTGAATATGGAAAGGCCAAGGCTGGAAGCTGAGATGGTCACCATTTGGAGAACCATGAGGTGTAGAGAGAGAATTCAAGATTCATGTTCTAAATTCCATTGCTGAAACTTAGCAGTCCCAGATTTCAGAATGAACAGCTGAACAGTTGCCCTGTTCAGAGTAAAACATTGTGGAACTCCACAGAGAAAGGACACAGGTAAAAACATAAGCATCTTCAAAAAATAATGATGAGAGTTCTACAGTTTGTTTTGTTGTTGTTGTTGTTGCTTTTTTGGTTTTTTTTTGAGACAGAGTCTCACTCTGTTGCCCAGGCTGGAGTGCAGTGGCATGATCTCAGCTCACTGAAACCTCCACCTTCTGGGTTCAAGCAATTCTCATGCCCCAGCCTCCCGAGTAGCTGGGATTACAGGTGCATGCCACCACGCCTGGCTAATTTTTGTATAAAAATAGAGTAAGAAAGTACTCTAAAAAGTAGAGACGAGGTTTCACCATGTTGCCCAGGCTGATCTCGAGCTCCTGACCTCAAGTGATCTGCCCACCTCGGCCTCCCAAAGTGCTGGGATTACAGGCATGAGCCACTGTGCCGGCCTACAATCAGTTCTTAAGAGAAAAAAGAAAAGCGCTTTGTGGATACATTCAGAACTTTTTGAGACTGACATTGAAAAGAACAATTCCCCTCCTTATTGTTCCTAGAGATGTCGTTAACAGAAACAAAATCTAATTTTTGCATATGCTGGTTTGTGTCCTCCAGAGTTCAATACTTTGGGCCTGATTTTTCTCCAGGAAAAAAAAATTATATAGATATAGATATAGATATCTGTCTTACTCAAGTATTTGAATGTGTGTGAACCATTTTTTCAACTTGTCAACACTATTTGTAGCTGGTTTTTTTTTTAAATCTACAGTCAGATATATATACAGGGAGAAAAAAAATCCGAATTCTCCAATCAAAACAAAAAGCACTAGGGCGTTCAGGGAGCCATCATTTCCAGAATTGGAGACAAAGGTTTGGAAAGAAAATAGAAATGTTGGGCAGTACAAGAAGTGTTCCTTCCATTATATATACTTTTTGACATTGAGGGTTTTCAGAGCTACATTCCTCCAACAGATGTCATAAATTTTGTGTGTCAAACAATGAATGAAACTATGTTGAGAGTTCACTAATATGAATGTAACTTTTGCCAAATTTTTGACAAATGGGCATCAACCCTGAGGAAAAGGCTGCTTTCTGCTGCCTGTGAGAGTTTTCTTTCCATTTGTTACCAAAGCCATGGAGAACCAAGGGTCGAGTCAAGGCCATATCAGGACCTGCCAAGGCTGTTGCCCTAAACTGAAAACGCTGATTCAGAACTGGAAGGAGCCTTAAGATCATCGAGGACAGAGAAAAACGAGACCTAGAAAGATTTAGTGGTTTGCTCCGAGTCATCCAGCCCCCGTCAAGGCGGGCAGTGCAGCGTGGGGCCTGGAAACCAGAGGCACTGGTTTTGCATCCGCTCCCTGCTCACAGACCGGCCCAGGTTAATGTTGCCATCTGGGCGTTGATTTCTCCATCCCTGAAGGAGGTGGTTTCACTGCCCCTCTCCACGTGCCCACTCACTTCCTCAGGGCTGAGAACCGAATGGGGCAATGTGTGTAGAGTCCCTCTTCTGTTCCTTAGCCCCAATCCTTTTTTTTTTCACCTGCATTAGGTCCTTAGGGAAACTGAAAGTAACTTTTTCCTTTTGAAATGAAAATCCCCAGTACCACTGCCCGGGAGGATATTCACTGCAAGGCCATGGTACCCCACAAGTGGCCCGGAAAGAAAGCTCAAGTCACAGTTTCGAAGTTTGTTTTTGAGTTGTTAATCACCTGCGCACAGGAGGCAAAGAATGTTTCAAAGTAGTAGATTCAAATCTCACATGGAAGCTAAAGGCTGGCTCTGTTGTAAGTTTCTGTTACTCCATTCTCAAACTGCATTTGGATTTGTTGCTTCATGGAAGCCAACAGAACACTGCTCTTAGGCCTGGCATCGGATGTAAATGAAGGCAGTTCAGCCCTTATTTATTCTAGAGAAGCCACGAGGCAGATCCTGTGGAGCCGTGGAATCCACTGTCTCCAGAGGGAAGCTAATGACCGGGAAGGTGAAAGATGCTTTGTCTGTGGCAGGGAAGCAGTTGTTGTGTCTCCGGAGGGGCCGGCTGGGCACAGGGGGGCCGGAGGAGCAGAAGAGTTGGCTCCTCTTGGCGGATGCTGCATGGGGATGGGGTCAGAGGGGACAGCACACATCATGATGGTAAGTCCTGGTCTGTTTTCAACTCCAGAGACACTCAGAAAGGATTTGGAATGCTGCCTTTCCAGTGGGACTCTTGGTTAGACTCATGACTCCAGTGTTAAACTCCCAGATGCCTGCACTGGTATAATATAGCCCTTCGGCCTTCTGGTGAGCTGGGATTCGATGGGCTGCCCACATCCTGCACCTCCACTCCCCCACCTCACCCCAAAGTCCACTTCCTCTATGAAAACCACCCTTCACAATGAAACACTTGCCAAGGAACTGCTTGAATCGTGCTGTGGTCAAGGACGCCTTTATCTGAAGTGAGCCCCATCACTATTCCCAAAAGGATTAAGTATAGTTGCCCAAAGCCCAGTGATGTAAATATTAGAAATGGGAACCCACACCCAGGCAGTAGGGGCTTTTGTTTTTGAAGGGGATGCTGGCTTCCTAGGAATGGCCAAAGCATACCTGCATCTCAGAAGCCTGAGCCAGCGGGAAGTGATTAACCCCTGGGTTACTCAGCTCGAAGCCTGTCATTCCCATGATTTGTTTTCCTGCTATCTTCACACAAAGCACTCCTTTCCAGAACACTCCGGGACTGTCTGCCTAGCACCTTCCGGAGAAATTAAAAAGAGCAAAGGCAGAATAATTTGCCTAAGAATAGGAATGTCAAGAAAATGTGCCTCAACAAAGAGTTGCTAGGCTCAAATCCTGGCCAAACTGTTCATCTCTCTTCAGTTGTTAACCCTCTACTTGAAAACTTCCTATCCGCCATGCCTCCTTTTTCTGGCTTTCGTTCTTCCCTTCTGGCTACAATTTTTTGTTACTCTAATCTCTTGTTCTGCTCACTTTCTCTCAGACACAGAGCTTCCATATTGTCTTCTAGTAACTAAAATTATGAAAGTTAAGATTCATAATTTTGCCTACAAGACAAATTGTATTTCCATTTAAGAATGTTTTACAGTATTTTGGGGACTGTATTTTGGGCTCAGATGGGCCGGAGGAGTAGAAGAGTCAGCTCCTCTTGGCAGATGCTCTGTGGGGCTGGGGGCTGAGAAGCCAGCAAACATCATGATGGCAAATCCTGGTCTGTTTTCAAGGTTGGGGGTTATAGGACAATACAGACAAAGTATAATAGACGTCTTGCCCTCAAGGAGTCTATGGAAGCAACTGAATATGTGCACAAACGCACTAAAAAATAATAAAACAGGATATGATTACATGGCAAATAGACAGTAAATGATACAAGACTGCATGGAAACAGATGTCATGCCCCCTTCCTGGTAGATTTCTAACCATCTAAAACCAGTAGAAAAGGCTCTCCTGGGCATGCTCTATAATTTTCTCAGGGGTACTCCAGCCACAGGCAAATCACCACTCACCCCGGCCTCTCAAATCTTAGAAACAAGAGCTCTGCTAGTTTAAAAATGCTTTGGTTTTACTACTTACTCTGGCTACGAAATTTTTTGTTCATAATTGTAGCTTTTTTCTACCAAATTCTCATTTTAAAATCCTCCCCTCTTACCCACCTCTCATTCCTTGCTGTAGGCCATGTAGTTGTGTTCTGTTTGTTTGTTTGTTTGTTTGTTTGTTTTTAAACTTTTGGTCTTACCATACCTTTGCTTTAATCCTAGAGCATCTGTTAAGCTTTAAAGGAAAGAGCATAAATGAATGCACACATATACTCTTAGAGCCTATAAAATCAGCTTCCTACTCCACCAGGGAGGTCTGAAGGAGCCTTTGGTTTCTGGTAAAGCAAATGGATGAGGATCGCCGCTAACATTCACTTCTCCCACGAGAAGCCTCCCCAGGCTGATTGCTATAGTCGCTAGTGCAGACAGCGACCTGATCTGCTCAGGCTGCCAGACTTCAGAAGCCTCAGCCAGGTTCAGAGCCTCCCTAATCCTAATGGGCTAGGAGCCCTGGGTGTCTCCAGATAACCCATTTTCCAGCCTTCCAAGAAAGAG
The DNA here is from genome assembly GCF_000001405.40 of Homo sapiens. Classification (NCBI taxonomy): domain Eukaryota; kingdom Metazoa; phylum Chordata; class Mammalia; order Primates; family Hominidae; genus Homo; species Homo sapiens. The sequence goes on from NC_000015.10 coordinate 63,078,258, forward strand.
GAGTAGTGGGGCAGTGGGCGAGAGAGAATTGGGTTTCAGTGCTGTTTTAATGTAAACTGCTGGGGGCTGGGAGCTCCCCTTTTGCTCTCCTTGTTTTGGTTCCTACCCCAGAAACATAAAGTATTACTGATAAACATGGATAATTAAATTTGGATAAAAACTACTTGAACCTGAAGAGTTCATTCCAATTTGTATAACAGCAATTGATGTGGGTTGTGTATTTAAAGGAATATTTAAATTTCATGCAGCAATTTGCAAGTTCAAATGAAAAGCTATTTGGCACATTTGGATACTGGGTTGCAAGGGAAATAAGCAAAATGTACACATGAGGTACATGCCATCATATAATTGTGTACATTTTTTATTTGTCACAAAGCATTATAAAAACAATAGAGAAAAACTATGAAGGAAAAAAAAGGTCACCACTGGGAAAAAAAAAAACTTATTTTCCATATGTTTTGCCTGTGTGTTTATGGAAGGCTTTTTATTCAAAATTTTGGTTTTTATTCAAAAAACTTTGCATAAACATCTTCCTGTGTTGCTTCACCTAGTCTTCTGGTTAATGTGCCATAATTTGTTCTCCTCTTTTTGATCACTGGGTTTTTCTAATTTTTTGTTCTCACAACTAGGACTGATGGGAGATTTTTTTGTAATACAGATATTTTCTGACATGTAAGAAATGAAAACATACACTTAAAAAAAACTATTTCATTTAAGCACAGACATACCCTAAATATAGTGTTAAGTTGTTTCTTAACTATGTGGTGATTCCTGCTCCGGCCTGGACTCCAGCCTGGAGAGCCCTTTTTTGATTTCCAGGCCTCAGGTTCTTAAAAGAGAAGCAAAACAACTTTTCCCAAACTGGTGTGGTAAAGCCTTTAAGAAATCTAGTTCCGGCCGGGTGCAGTGGCTCACGCCTGTAATCCCAGCACTTTGGGAGGCCAAGGCAGGTGGATCACCTGAGGTTGGCCTGTCGGCCTGACCAACATGGAGAAGCCCCTTCTCTACTAAAAATACAAAATTAGCCGGGCGTGGTGGCACATGCCTGTAATCCCAGCTAATCAGGAGGCTGAGTCAGGAGAATCGCTTGAACCTGGGAGGCAGAGGTTGCAGTGAGCCGAGATCGAGACACTGCACTCCAGCCTGGGCAACAAGAGCGAAACTCCACCTCAAAAAAAAAAAAAGAAGAAAGGAAAAGAAATCTAGTTCCACACGTTATCCCTTTCCCGCTCCCTCATCTGTGCTGCTCCCCCAACAAAAACACACAAACTTGAGCTTTAAGACATGCCTTCACCGCAGCCACCCGGCTCTTTCTTGTACCCCTTGTCTAGACCTGAGTTGATAAAAGTGAATGATGGGTGTGTGGGCTTAGAGGCACTGCCTCGGGCCTCAGTTCTGGGAAGACCCTTAATTACTGGATGATGAACAGTGACAGAAGAAGGAAGCAGCCATATAGAAAACTTAACTGCCCTGCTAAAGAGGCAGCCTAGATAGTATGTACAATCCCAGCCTTCGAAATTAGACCAGAATTTAACAGCCACCTCTGCCATGTACTGGTTGTGTGACTTAAAGTAAGCTGCTCAACTTCTCTGCAATTATTTCCCCATCTGCAAAATGGGGATAATAATAATAGTACCCAACATCATAACGTTCAGGGCATGAATAACTAAGATACTGCATGAAAAGTTTTAGTATGGTGCCTGGCATAGCAAACTCTCAGTGATAGACAACTTCTATTGCCCTGTTCTTTAAATAGTCTTAGATCCCGGCAATCAGCCCGTAGAAGTCACGCTCCCCAGGATTCAAAGACAAGGCCGCCCCTCACCTCTTCCCTACTCACCTATCAGGCTGCCTTAGTGTGCTGTCATTTTCTCCTTCAAGGCTGCCTCTGATGTTCATTTCACCAGGATGATTCATCGGGATGGGTCAGGGCCAGTGGCGAGTTAGCCTGATAGCCCAGCTGGATCTTCCCCTGAAATCTGATGGAAGCACACTTCACCGCCCGTCAGGACTAAAGTCCGGCATTGGTGAGCAGTAAGAACAGCCCCTCTCCAGTGTGGGAGGAGGGGCCTCGAGTAGACCCCAATGACTGACCCTCATCAGCTCTCCAGGAAGTGCCTGCCCAGTGGCATCCAGAAGAGGTGCCCAGGTCCTGTGTCTCCCCAGGGCACACTGGGGTTTGCCACTGGGGTTAGGTTTCCTGGGGACTTCTCAATGACACTGTGAAAACCTAGCTCACCTCCTTGGTGATCGTACTCTCAGCCACTAAAAGGTTTCCTAGGGCACTTAGAAGTTGAGTTCAGACAATAATAATATCCTGGTCGTCTGGTGAAATCGTTAGCATCTGAGGGGCTGCTTTGCAGTACCCTCTGTTGGGCTTGCGGCTCCTGCCTTTGTATGTTTAACCTTTAAACAAGGGGGTTGGCAGAAGGAAGCAAGCTGTTCTGTCACAGCTGGTCCTGGCGATGCCAGAGGAGGCCCAAGCTGGAGCTTCCTAGTTAGCTTTGGCTTTTGCCTAAAGAGGATTTCAGGAATAGGGCAGGACACAGGGACCCAGCCAACACCAGGAATAAAAGCCAAGCGTCTACTCCATGCTTTTGGTTCTGGCTGGCCAGGGCATCTGACACCAGGGAACATCTTTCCTTTCACACTCCATTGTCCTGGGGCTTCAATTACATTCTTGACTGAGAGCCCAGGAATGAGGATAGCGGGCACTCCAGAAATTAACCTTAGAGAAGTGACTACGTGAGTTTTTAGCCTACTCGCCTCCCTAACAATGGTGCACACCATTGCTGCTCCAGGTGGAGGAGTCACTGCCACCTCCACTAGCTGAGCAAACATCCCTTGGCCTCAGATCTGGGATTAAAAGGAATCAGGAGGTCAGCTCCCCACTCATTAGAGCTGGATTATCCTACGAGGGTTTGTACTGCGTGCATAGACAAAAGCATAGCACCCAAAAGAATGAGACACAGCGACGGAATTTTGTTATTTTATATTTCAAAAAAAGGCATTGGCTAAGTATAGTGGCTCATGCCTGTAATCCCAGCACTTAGGGAGGCCGAGGCAGGAGGATCACTTGAGCCAAGGAGTTTAACATCAGCCTGGGCAACATGGCAAAACCCCATCTCTACAAAAAAAATATAAAAAATTAGCTGGGTGTGGTGGCACACGCCTGTGGTCCCAGCTACTTTGGAGGCTGAAATGAGCCTAGGATCAATTGAACCTAGGAAGTCGAGGCTGCGGTGAGCCGTGATCACACCGCTGCACTCCAACCTGGGCGGGCAACAGAGCGAGACCCTGTCTCAAAAAAGAAAAGGCATTGACAAAGTCATTATTGGAAAAATCTGAATGTATGTAGTCTTATTTCCATTTGTTTCATAGTTTAGTGATGTTTTATCTTGAGTTACAAATCCCTTTGGTGCAAAGGATGATGTCTTATGCTAGCTGCACATCTCGTCGGTCTTATAGCTCACCACCACAGAGAGGTGAGCCCTCCACAAGCCCCTGGTCTGTGTCCTTGACTCTCCCAAGGCCACCACCCCACCTTTCCCCACACTCAGAGCCATCAGCATCACCACCACCATTGATCGTATGAAGACATGCAGACCACTTTTATACTGCATGTGCTTTGTTGCAGGTACTTTTGTGAATCTGCAACACTGAGAAAAACCCAAGTTCAATCCTTAGTTCTTCCCAGTTAACAACTGGGGGATTTGAAGCAAGTTACTCAGCCTTTCTGAATTGCAGTTTACTCAGCCTCTCTGAATGTCAGTTTCCTCCTCTGTAAGAGCCTGCGCCTTATAGTTGTGTTAAAGAACAAAAGCTATCCCAGATACTTGGAAGGCCGACATGGGAGGAGTGCTTGAGGCCAGGAGTTCAAGACCAGCCTGGGCCATAAGCAAGACCCTGTCTCTACAAAAAAAAAAAAAAAAAAAAAAAGTTGTTTTAATTAGCCAGGTGTGGTTGTACATCCCTGTAGTCCTAGCTACTTGGAGCCTGAGGTGGAAAGATCACTTGAGCCCAGGAGTTGGAGACTACAATGAGCTATGATCTCGCCACTGCATTCCAGCCTGGGTGACAGTTGCTCTGATCCCCAGAGCAACTCTCTAAAAAAAAAAAAAAAGAAAAAGAAAGAAAGAAAAAAGGCCAGGTGTGATGACTCACATCTATAATCCCAGCACAGGGAGATCGAGGCAGGAAGATCACTGAACCCAGGAGTTGAAGACAAGCCTGGGCAACGTAGTGAGACCTCATCTCTACAAAAATAAATAAATAACCAGGCATGGTGGCATGTACCTGTAGTGCCAGCTACTTGGGAAGCTGAGGCGGGAGGATTGCCTGAGCCCAGGAGGTCAAGGGTGCAGTGAGCCACGATTGCACCACTGCATTCCAGCCTGGGTGATGGAATGAGACCCTGTCTCTATTTAAATAAGTAAATAAACAAACAAATAAATAAAAAAGAATAAAAGGTAAAACATGTCTGAGGCCTGCTACAAGGCAGATTACCTATAAATATTAGAGTTATTCATGCCCTTTCTTCACTCCTGATCCGCCTAAAAAGAAGATAGAGTAGGTCCCTTCTCTAGGGAAAAGGAACCACAACCACCACCATCTCAGCTTGAGGGACTTGTAGCGAAGCTTTACCCTATGAACCAACCTCGGGAGTCTCCGGCCTCCATTGCCCCACACCTTGGAAGGGGAGGGGCTTCTCTGGAGAGAGGTTTGTTTAAATGTCATTATTTTCTGAAATCATTGCCCAATTTTTCCTATTTTACAGTCAGCCATCCACTATGCATCAGGTGAGTGCGTCTGAGAAGCCTATAGCTGAGGAGTCCTCGGGGAATGAGGTCATCTGGAAACGCAAGCCTCCCTCGGTTTCAGCAACTCATGCACGTGAAGACAGGCCCCTTCCCCAGGCCCCTGTTGCTGCGAAACGGTGTGGGAGGGTGAGGAAAGGTGTAGAGAGGCACTCCCCACACTTTAATGAGCGCAGGAGCCCGTCAGTGATCTTGTCCAGATGCAGATTCTGTTGTGGTGGGGGCTGGCTCCAGCCTCTGCGTTTCTTGCCAGCTCTGGGTGATGCCGGTGCTGCTGGCCTGTGGGCCACACTTTGAGTAGCAGGGCTCTGAGATATGATGTGGTGTGTAACATGGGCATTATTCAGAGGGACTGTAGGTGTCACGGTGGTTGGTGGCAAGAAAAAGAAACCAGTTCATTCAGCTCAGGATTCCCAGCCCTGGAAGGGAGCACCAATGGCCAGGCACCGGGCTTCACTCCAGCCTCAGCCCTGGGACGGTAAGGCCCCGGGAGAAGTTCCATAAGACTGTGTACAGTGAAAAAGAGGTCATTCCTCAATTCTGCATTCGAAAATCGGGGCATCTTAGGAAGGGGACATGAGCACTAGGTGTCCAAAACCCACAAATGCCCACTCCAGCAGGGATTCCTTGGAGCCAGGTGAGTGGGCGGAGAGTGAGATCTGGAGGCCCTGATGAGTCTGAGACAGCGCCTCCTATTTGAGGTCATCTCTCTCTCTGGCTGAAAGAAGGAGGGGTGTGCATAGCAGGGCTGCTGGGGAGGGAGAGAGGAGGGAGGAAGGAGTCTGTGGGCTCTACAATGAAACTGGAGGCCCAAGTCCTCCCGGGACCACAGCGTTCTTAGCGGGAGCCAACGCACAGGCCGGACTAGGAGGTGACAAGTGGGGCATGCTAGGGTACAAAATTTAAGGAGGTGCTTACTCTCAAGTCATAAAAGTACTTGCATATGAATGCCTCCTTAAATTTTTTTTTTTTTTTTTTGAGACGGAATCTTGCTATGTTGCCCAGGCTGGAGTGCGGTGGTGCGATCTTCGCTCACTGCAAGCTCCGCCTTCCGGGTTCACGCCATTCTCCTGCCTCAGCCTCCTGAGTAGCTGGGACTACAGGCACCTGCCACCATGCCCGGCTAATTTTTTTGTATTTTTAGTAGAGACGGGGTTTCACCGTGTTAGCCACGGGGTCTCGATCTCCTGACCTCGTGATCTGCCTGCCTTGGCCTCCCAAAGTGCTGGGATTACAGGCGTGAGCCACCATGCCCAGCCAAATTTTTTTATTTTTTATTTTACTTTTTAAGAGATGGGATCTTGCTCTGTCACCCAGGGGACAGTGCAGTAATATGATTGTAGCTCACTGCAGCCTCCAACTCCTAGACCCAAGCAATCCTCCCTCCCGCCTCAGCCTCCTGAGTAGCTGGGACTACAGGCAGGTGCCACCACACCCAGCTAATTTTAATTTATTTTTCGTAGAAACAGGGTCTCACTATGTTGCCCAGGCTGGTCTCAAACTCCTGGCCTCAAGTGATCTTTCTGCCTCAGCCTCCCAAACTGCTAAGATTACAGGTGTTGGCCACCGCACCCAGCCCCTTCTTAAATTTTGCAAGCTAGTCACTTCACCTGACTCCAGCCCTGCTAAGGAAGAGTAGTCACACTTTGGTCTCCTCTTTACTCTTCCACCTGGGCAAGACACCTCTGGGCCTCTTCTTTTCCCTCAAGCAAAAAAGAACAAGGTAATAGTGAGGAAGGACGATGCTTACCATAAACATCTTCAGAACTTATTTACCTTGAAATGGGTAGCACCAGACCCAGGGCCTGGCATGCTCAATCAATGTTTGTTCAATGAATTAATCAATCCCACCACTAAATGGAAAGGATCTTTCATTGTTTGACAACAGTTGTCCCTCTCAGAGGGCAGAGGCTATTTTTGCATCATCTTTGCACTTAGTGTGTTCCTGGAATATAACAGAGGTCAATAGAAGTCTACTGAACTTGATGGAGGTGAAACTCATTTCACCTGAAGGTAAAGTTAGTAGTTGTTTAGAAGGTGTCAGATGAGGGACCATCTCCAAAATATTTTCAACTCTTTTGAAATTCCTCTATTAATAACTTATTCCTTTGACTTTCATTTTCCTTACCCACTTGTCTTATTTTAAAATGCCAGTGCCAGTAGGGAAAGGTTACATTAACCAAAAAACAAACTTTAACTTCTTTGCGTTTTTGCCCTGGGAAACCTCTAAATCGGAATTTGGCAAACTATGGTCTATGGGCAAAATTCAGCCCATCACCTGTTTTTGTACAACCTGAGAGCTAAGAATGGCTTTTTAATTTTTTTAGTGGTTGAAAAAAAAAACTCAAAAGAGGAATAATCGTTTATGATATGTGAAGATTATATGAAATTCAAATTTCAGTGTTTACAAATAAAGTTTTATTGGAACATAGCCGCATTTATTCACTTAAGCAGTGTCTGTGGCTGCTTTGGTGCTATGATAACAGAGTTAAGAAGTTGTGACAGAGACCTCATGGCCCACAAAGTTTAAGATATTTGCTATCTGGCCCTTTACCGAAAAAGTTTGTTGACTCTGAGGGGGAGCTATCTGTACTCCTGTATTTATCCCATCAACTTGTTTTGGTAATTTTTTTACAAAATCACTAGATATAATCTCATTTTAATAGAAACCATCGCTTAGAGAGATAAATAGATTCCCAAAGAGTTTATGTATAAATAGAAGTCTTATTAATAAAATCCTATTTTTAGTATTTCTGTTTAAAATATTTTAGGTTAGACAAATGAAAATGTTGTCTCTTCTGGTTTTGGAGGACAGGTTTGTCAGAAGCAGGGACTGTGTTACCCTAGAGAAATCTCCTTTTTATCTTGTCTTTTGATTTTGTTTTTGTTTTTTGTTTTGTTTCGTTTTGTTTTGAGACAGGCTCTTGCTCTGTTGCCCAGGCTGGAGTGCAGTGGTGCCATCATAACTCACTGCAACCTGGACCTCCTGGGCTTAAGTGATTCCCCCACCTCAGCCTCCTGAGTAGCTGGGACTACAGGTGCATGCCACCATGCCTAGATAAATTTTTGTATTTTTTGTAGAAACAGGGTTTCTCCATGTTGCCCAGGCTAGTCTTGAACTCCTGATCTCAAGTGATCCTCCTGCCTTGGCCTCCCAAAGTGCTGGGATTACAGGCATCAGCCACAGTGCCTGGCCTAGTTTGTCTTTTACTATGGGTCGTTCTTTGGGCTCAGGCCTATCGGCACTGGTGCATGCCATACTTAATCTCAGAGACTCAGCTTGCTGGAGGCAGACTGAAAGCAAGTATCTCGAAGATGTAGTTTTGAGTTATGACCCAAGCAAGGGAGAGACTTTTCCCAGGGGTAGAGAAGGACATGATTTACTGGAATAGTCCCAAGAATATGCCAGGAAATCATTTGTCTGCAGCTAAATGGTTTCCATACTGCAATGAGTAGGAGGAGTAAACAGGCAAGGATGGGAATTCCAGAAGTGATTTTTCTCCCATTCTCCCCAACCCCCAAGTTTATTGGTAAATGTGTGATTGTCATTTTGCCCCCTGCACCTCATATCCCCACATGTACTCTCTCGCCAAACTTACGGTTTTGTAGCTGATCAACTTCAAGCAAAGTACACTTGGGCTGGGTTGCCAGCCTAAGAATTTTCAAGTAGAGAAAGCTGGTGAAATCTGATCCAATGTGATTCCCCTGGTTCTATGGAATTCTAGATTTTCCCGGATTTGCCAGAGAGATTTTGTTGGTCTCACCAATATGAGCCTTGAGTGTCGCAGCAGGGTAATGCCTAAGAATTCCCGGGTCAATAGCAGCATGTGAGCCTTCTAGCTGCACTCTGCATTGCTGAGAGCAATTTTAAAGTCCATTCAATGGACAGGATGTGAAATGAGGGGAGTTCATGGAAGGCGACAGGATTTTACTCTGCCTGCCCACCTCAGTCGATAGTGAAGCTTTCAAACTCCCTGTTTTCATAGCTTAATGGAGTGTATGTTATGAAATACCTTTAAACAAAGAATCCCTAATCTTTTCCTGATGTGAAGAAACTTTGAATTTTCCCAGAGTCATAAAATCAGAGATGCTAGAATGGAAAGGGAGACCTCATTTTCCAGATGTAGAACTGAAGCCCAGACTGCACTTGGTGAAGCAGGTTACCCGAGGTCTGCAGCTGAGGGGCAGCAGGGTTCACGTTACACGCCAGGGTCCCTGACACCACACCCAGAGCATTTCCCCTTATGCTACAGTCTCCCCATGGCTGATAGGGGTGGGAAGTGGGGGCAGAACTACAAAGACAGATTCTTGGTAGATGGGACCAGCTCATCCAAAAGAAGAGAGAGGAGCTCCTATATGCCAGAGGGCGTAAGCACTGATGGCTGCCACCTCTATCTCTGATACACACTACTGATGTTTATATGTATTGATGTTTATAAAAATTAGCCGGGCGTGGTGGCGGGCGCCTGTAGTCCCAGCTACTTGGGAGGCTGAGGCAGGAGAATGGCGTGAACCCGGGAGGCAGAGCTTGCAGTGAGCCAAGATAGCACCACTGCACTCCAGCCTGGGCGACAGAGCAAGACTCCGTCTCCAAAAAAAAAAAAAAAAAGAACGACAGTGGATCGTATCCTAAACCAGGGCTAAGTTTTATGCTGTTTCCTTTTTCAGGAAGAAAAACAACTACTACATACTCTGCATGGTGTCACCTCTTAAGAAAAATCCCCCAAAAAAGGCCAGACACGGTGGCTCACGCCTGTAATCCCAGCATTTTAGGAGGCCAAGGTGGGTGGATCACCTGAGGTCAGAAGTTTGAGACCAGCCTGGCCAACATAGTGAAACCCCGTCTCTACTAAAAATACAAAAATTAGCCAGGCGTGGTGGCACATGCCTGTAATCCCAGCTAATCAGGAGGCTGAGGCAGGAGAATCACTTGAACCTAGGAGACAGAGGTTACAGTGAGCTGAGATCTCGCCACAGCATTCCAGCCTGGGTGACAGAGCGAGACTCTGTCTCAAAAAAAAAAGAAAAGGAAAGAAAAAAAAAGAAAAATCCCCCAAAAGGATTGGGCATTTGGACCCAACACACGCTGACCACGCCAACAGAACCAGCCTTGTCATTCTTTCACTGGTTCATCTGGGTGTGTGTGTGTTGGGGGGGTGATGGTAGCTCATAGACCAGGAGGTGCCAGGTCTCTGTCCCCTCAGTAGCACAACTGTGCCATTAAATGGACTGTCACACATAAATTTCAGTCCAGAGACCCTTGCCCACCAGGGCCATATTATCACTGTGTGGACCTGGACCCTGCGTACTGTTGCCTTCATGGGCCACTTTATGAAAAAAAAATTAAAAATCATACTTTACATCTGCATTGGTAAGAAGACAAATATATTTGTATTACATGTTAAAACATTTTATTTGACCTAAAAGTTATTTTTTTCTCCCGATTGTAAAAGAAATCGCATCATTTCCATGGGTCCTATTGTGGGCCTTGGGCACTGTGCCTCCTGTGGCTAGTGGGGAAGCTGGCCCTGTTCCCACCCCGGCCCCTCCCCGCCCCCCACCCTCCACAGCTCTGTTTACTTCAACAAGCAGAGAGCTTCTGTTTGCTGAAGGAAATTCACAGTGCAGTGCATTTCTTCCCTGAAGAAAGCCGAATAATAAAAGGCAGTCAGGGAGAAAATAGGACCTTGAGAAAGCCCAGGACTGCAAGTCAAGAGGCTGGATCTCAGCTGGGGCTTTACTACAGGGCTCCTCAGTTGTCCCATGGAGACACAGCTCTGTCTCTCAGGGGGAAGGCTGAAGGTCAAAGGAGCCCAGAGGCAGGATCAGGAGCAGCTGAAATAAAGCCAGAATTCACATTCATCTTATTACTTCTTTTTTTTTTTTTTTTTTTGAGACAAGGTATCTCTCTATTGCCCAGGCCGCAGTGCAGTGGCACAGTCATGGCTCACTGCAGCCTCAAGTCTCCCAGGCTCAAGCGATCCAGATGGCTGAGTAGCTGGGACTACAAGTATGCACCACTACGCCCAACTAATTTTACAAGTAGTAGTAGTAATAGTAGTAGTGCTGGTAGTAGTAGTATTTGTAAAGATGGGGTCTCCCTGTGTTGCCCAGGCTGGTCTCAAACTGCTGAGCTGGAGCAACCCTCCCACCTTGGCCTTCCAAGGTGCTGAGATTACAGGCAGGAGCCACACATCTGGCCTCATCTTATTCCTTTTTAATGGTGAGAACAGGCCAAAAGCAAGCAAAAGCCTTGTCCTGAGAGACGGTGAGATCCTCATCCTGGGAAGTGTCCAGCAGCAGCTCCTGCCCAGGAAGCTCTGGAAGGGATGAAGTCATCGGATAATGCTTGTGTAGAGATGGAGCAATGTTGCTCTGCAGATTCAAGGGGGATAGGGACTGCAGGCATTCCTGGCTGTTTGAAAGAGAAGCGGCCAGACAAGGGAAGTGGTTGATGTGATGCAGGCTCCCTGGAGAGCTGCCCTTGGCAGGATGTGGAGTGAGAGAGGGTGGGCACTGGGAGGGAAAGGGTGGAGCCAAGCAGATGGCAGGAGCTTACAAGGTATGTAAGTGACAGTTCTCCATGGTCCTCAGAATGTGTCCAGGTACCAACCTCATGAAATGTCCATGTAACAGTGAAGGAGCTGGGCTTTGCGGTCAGTTTTGATACCAGTGGAAACTGAAACACAGGCAGATAGACACACAGGAACAGGGAGCAGGGGATCAGAAAGATGCTGGGAATGAGGTGAGGGGTGGGGCAAAATCTTGGGAAGGGCTCTCAGCAAACACCAGCAGAGCCATCTGGTCTGCAGGGCCCCGGGGACAGGGCCTCTGGCCAATGAGCTTTTTTCAAAGGCCTGTGAAAATACGTGACATGCCAAAAAAAAAAAATTATTGAATCTAAAATATAAAAGGAAAAGTATGAAATTGAAAGGAATACATTTTAATTAAATGTCTATAAAACAAACAACGTCAATTCATTCATGTTTAAATTTAGTGTTTCTGGATTCTCTGTTTGAAAATAACGCTAAGGTTTTATTTTCTCCCTCCATAAAATGTACTGTGCATGCACAATGCCAGCCTGGAGAACATAGCCAGACATGTAGTCAATGAGCAGCTATAATTTCAAAAGCAAGATTAATAAAGTCCTTTTGATCCTTTCTACAGCAAAAATGTGATACTCAATGTGAAATATGGGTATATTCTAATGTGTTTGATATTATGTGGAATGCGGACTCCATAATTAAAAGACCCTGGGGCCTGTAATGGTCTTAAACTGGCCCTGGAATTGGGGTCCAGGCTAAATTGAACCAAATCTCTGAGAGGTGAAATGAGAGCCCAGCTGAAGTCTGGGTAATAACAGGATTAGATGGAACCTCAGAACCTTCCAATTCAGAGTCCATCTGAGCACAGGTGCTTTTAACCCTGAAGGGCTGTTCAGACAGATGAGCTTTTAGAGGGTGGACGTGAAGTTCTCTGGGAGGAAGAAGCACCTTTCAAGCGTGATGAACTGTTATGGTAGGTCTCCACTAGAGCTAATATAACTCAGGAAACAGAAAGTGAGCCAGACCAAGTGGGTGGTAAATGACCGCTTGGCTGGGGGCTGGTGGCTGATGGCGGGTGGCTGGTGCAGCGTCACTCAGCAGCGGTAGGTCTCCTGACTGCAGCTGGGATGTGCTGTCACCCACTCCAGCACTAAAATTCAACACTGATTGCCAATTCGCCTTTGAAGGGCGCATTATTTTCTTTAATGATTTTACTCTTACACTTGAGAAAAGGGAGGAGGAAAAAATTGCGTTCTCCAGACACCTCTTGCCCCCTCGTTCTTTGTCTTTGATCCTGTTCCCAAGCTTACGCCATTACACGCCCTCCCTGTCATGCCCAGCTGTGTGCCCTCCCTGCCCGGCCCTCCCCAGCCAGGTTTCTTTGGCTGTGAGGCAGCAAAGGTGCCCAGCAGACACCCCTTCTGCCCTCTCTCAGGCTGCGTTCAGAGCTGGGAGCAGAGAGGCCAGACGGAGGAGGATGCCACCCAGCCTGGCCGCACAGGGCCCAAGGTGACTGGGAGGACCCCGGCTTCCCTCTCACCCCACCCCAGGGGCTCCGGGCAAATGACCTCAGCCTGAAGCAGCCAGTGAGGAGGCGTTTGTAGGGCCACTGGGGTTTGCCAGCTCCTCACTGGCAGATGACCTGGGGGAAGCAGTTTAATAGGTGTGTGTGCCCTTCTATCATGCGTGTCAGTGACCAGAAAGGCAGAGACCAAAGAGCAAAGGTGAGTAGTGACCCTCTACCAGCGAGCAGGCATGGCCCTCCTTCCCTGAGACCCGTCCCCAGCCTTCCTACTCCCTCCATGACAGAGCACACACATGGCCACTGTGGTTTTCATAATAATGAACTCATAAAGAACTAAAATTCACCTAGCACTTTCCGGCTCCCAGAGAGCATTTCCATTTTATTTGATAGTGACAGTGATGCTGGGAACAAAGCAGGACAGACATCAGCACTGTCCCCATGTAATCAGTGACAACACGGTTCCAGGGTGCACTGGCTTGGCCAGTGTTCCGTGGCTAAGATGTGGACAAGCCCAGTGACATTCAAACCTGGGTCTTCTGACTCCAAGACCCATAGTGAGCGGGCTTCAACCCTAAGAACCAACAGGGAAGCACCAGCTCTCACTGAGGAGCCAACCAGGCAATGAGTGTGGATTTGGAGTTGGGATGCACACATGGTGAGTAGCCGTGACCCTAGAATCAGAATATCTGTCTCAAGAAGCTTTTGGGGCTCTTAAAATGCTGACATCATGTAAAGTCATTGACCTTCGGGGGGAAAGATCATTTTATTTATGGCAAGATTCAATGCACTCATTCATTCATGTGTTAATTAATTCAACAAGCACATACATTGAGCACTACTCCATGTTAATAGATGCGAGCCAATTTGCCAAAAAATCAGTGCACCCAAAGACCCAATCTGCTGAATCATTAATTCACTCAATTTAATCCATTTGTCAAATGATTAGTTCACTGATTTTTCCAAATTTACTTGTTGTAGTTGTAACAGCTTGAACAGTAATGTTTTAACAGTGAAAATGTTGGCCAAACAAAAATCTGTAGAAATTCATGTTTTGCAAGTGAAACCCTACCTTCTGGGCAGAATTCCAGCCTTGAACTATATGATAAGATTGTCTTAGGTACCTCTGGTTTCTTTACATGCTTTTGAATGTAAGTGTATATTTTCAAACTTGAAACACTTGAAATATTTTTTCATCAGTTTCTCAAAAGACATTTAATCCTTAACTTGATTGAGGAAGTGTGGAGAAGTAGCTACACAGAAGAACCTGGCCCTGGAGGCAGCCCTGCCTGGTGTGTGAGCCCAGCTCTGCCCCTGTCTTAGCTTTGGCACCTTGGTCGAGTGACTTACACATATGTGATGGGAGCTCGGCCATATCACTTACAAATACTAGGGGAAAAAAACACATCATAGTAATAACAAGGTTATTTCTAGGTGGTGGATTGTAAGTAAATTTACTTGCCTTTTTAAATACTTTGTATTTATTTATTTATTTTGAGATGGAGTCTCGCTTTGTCGCCAGGCTGGAGTGCAGTGGCGCGATCTCAGCTCGCTGCAACCTCCACCTCGCGGGTTCAAGCGATTTTCCTGCCTCAGCCTCCCGAGTAGCTGGGATTACAGGCATGCGCCACCACACCTGGCTAATTTTTGTATTTTTAGTAGAGATGGGGTTTCACCATGTTGGCCAGGCTGGTCTCGAACTCCTGACCTCAGGCGATCCGCCTGCCTCGGCCTCCCAAAGTGCTGGGATTACCGGCATGAGCCACCGTGCCTGTCTAAATACTTTTTGATGTTTTAAAACATCCCTTGAATAATTTTAAGTGTTCACTATGGAAGAGGAACCACACCAGATGGCTTCATATATATTGTTTTAAACCATGTATGTTGTTTTAAACTTCATGTATGTTGTCATAAACCCACAAGATAGGTAATATTATCACTCATTTAGAAAGAAACTGAGGCTCCAAAGCATTAAGTAACTTGCACAAATCCCACAACTCTAATGAGCCTGACTTCCAATCTGTCTGACTTCAAAGCTCGTGCTAATTTGTACTTTCTCTGGCTCAACCGGTGTCCGCCTCTATTATATTAAATGGGTGTAATATTTGCATCTTAAAATATGGTGGGAGGATGGAATGAAATGATAGGTATGAAAGTCCACTGCAAACGATAAAGCCTTCAACAAAGAATATTAATAATAGGTAACGTACACATAGTGTGCGCCCAGTACTGGGCTGTTCCAAGGGCTTTGTAGATATCACATTCCCTTAATCATCTCAGTGATCCTGAGAGGCAGATGGCCATTATCCCCATTTTACAGAAAGGATATTGAAGAACAGAGAAGCTAAGTAACACGCCAGAGTCACACCACCACACATTATACCAGTTACCCAGATGGGAGCCTTTCAATTATAAATGACTCCCAAGTCACCTGTTTCCCAATATTCTCCCCAATTCCTTCCCCAGGGATACACTGTACCTTACTAGGTGGCAGGTAGTACACCTGGCTCAGCAGGAGGTCAGAGATGAAAGGTCAGGCATTAGGTTCAGGGCTCCATGGTATTGCATGGACCTTGCTTTCCGGGGACTGCCTGGGACAACCACGCACTCCAAAGACACTGCTGCCACCTGCTGTTCACATATTCTCCACCCAATGGCTTCTCCCCAGCACCTGCATGCGTGAGCCTCTCAACAGCATTACCGTCTTTCCCAGACCCATTCTGCAGCCTGGGTAAAAGAATTTAAACTTTTGCTCAATTTCAAATGCAAGAAGAGTAAACCCTTAGAAACAGAAGAGTTTGAATAAGGGAGCTGAGACACACTCCTGAGCAGTGTGACCTCGGGGCCCTCAGCCTCTTTAAGTCTGTTTCCTCATTTGTAAAATGAAGACACCATAATAATATGTGCTTCATGCAATTGTTTTTAAAATAAGATTTTTTTCCAATCTACAATTTACTTTCCTATCAGAAAAAAATGCTAAATATGTAAAGGGCAAGGCAGGATGGGACACAATTAAACATCCTAAATACCTACAATCATCTCTGTTTACATTATTGTTTTTAACAAATCTTTAACTTTTTTATTAATAAGGCATCTTGATTTATATTTTGCTACTGATTTTGAGCTCATCAAAGTAAATTCTGTCATTCTATTTGCATTTTATTGAGTACCTGAACCAGAAATGTGAAATGGGGAAAGGGTTACCTGATTTTTTTTTTTAATGAAAAAAGATTTCATAATTAAAATGGTCCCTTCCATCTGAGATTCTCAGAATATTCCCAAGATTCTGGTTCACAAGTTTCACATCACTTCTTTCAGGCAAATGGGCAACCTAAAACTGAGAAAATTGAAGTGGGCTTTTGCCACTTAAGTTCCCTTGGGAACTGACACAAATAGCAAAGCTAAGAGGCCTGGCTCCCGCTACACAGCTATAAACATCACACCAGATTCTGTTTGCCTGAAAACTCCTTCTGACTGAGTCTAGATGCCAGTTGTTAGATGATAGTCAATTTGCATGTTGCCAATCTAATATTCCTGGATCCTTAACTTATGTTGCTGGTTTAGAAGTTCAGTAAAACTGAAACTGTATTAGTAAGTTCCAGCAAGAATGTGTAAACTATTTCAGTAGTATCCACTCTGCTGCATACCATAGACCTGGATGTCATGGTTTAAAGGGGCAGATCTAGCTGCTCTCAACCTCTAAAGGGGAGGCTGAGTGCCAAATCACTCTCCTACGTCCTTGGTATGGACAAAAGAGTAAATGAAGATACTATCAGCTACCTGGATTTATCTTTCTGGTGACAAAACTTTTCCCTCTAAAAAAGTAGCCCTTGAAAACTGTCTTTCCTTTGTGGAAATAAAAATAGCATTTTAAAAGAGACAGCATTTGATACCTATTAAATTGGTAAAATTTTATAATAAATTGCTCAATGCTGGAATGTTAGCAATGAGATCAAATATGTTAATGGCATTAAAATTTGTGGGATCCTTTTGGAAAGCAATAGAAATATATTTGCAAGAACTCTAAAGAGTTTTTAAGCTTTGAGCTAATAATTCTATCCTGGAGACTTTGGTTTTCAACAAAGGCAAAAAGCTATATTTAAGAAGCCACTTGTCGTAGCATTATTTTTATTTTTTGAAACAGCGTTTTGCTCGTTGCCCAGGCTGGAGTGCAATGGTGCAATCTCGGCATACTGCAACCTCCACCTCCCAGGTTCAAACAATTCTCCTGCCTCAGCCTCCCAAGTAGCTGGGATTACAGGTGTGTGACACCAGGCCCGGCTAATTTTGTATTTTTAGTAGAGATGGGGTTTCACTATATTGGTCAGGCTGGTCTCCAACTCCTGATCTCAGGTGTTCCGCCCACCTCGGCCTCCCAAAGTGCCGGGATTACAGGTGTGAGCCACCGTGCCTGGCCCGTTTGTTGTAGCATTATTAATAGTAGAAAAAGAAAAACCTGGCGACAACCTATATCTTCACCCAAAAGGAATCATGATTAATTCAGTTGATGGAATATTATTTCACCATTAAAATGATAAACACGGAGGCTAGGTAGAAATGTAGATGCCTATCAAAGTATAATCACAAAAAGAAGAAAAAGGAAATGTGGAGAAATGCATAAGTGAAAAAGGGGCAGAAAACCAAAATGATATGTACATTGTAACTACAGCCCTCTTAAGTGCTTATGGATGCCAACTAGGCTGTAATGGGCAAAAACACAGAGCTGTGTTAAGATGGTAGAATTCTGGATGATTTCTCTTTATTTCCAAATTCCCTTAATGTGTTTACATTATAAAAAGAAAACTGGCCTTTCAGGGTGTAGATATTCTGAGTTAACCTAGTTACTCTACAGAGTACCTCTTTCTCCAATGGGGAGACAGCCATGATCTATTTGGAAAAGCCAGTGATTTCTCATTCTATCGTAGTAAGTTGCAAAATAAATTCATCAAGCACTACAATGATCAAATATGATATACTGCAATTGGAAGAAGCAGGGCAGAAAAATATCCTCTATTAAAGAATCTTGTGCTCCTAAATCTTCAGTATGTTGATCTGGGTTGATCTGTGCTAAGGTGACACTTGTCCAGCCTTGATGGAAGAATTATAAAGTGACTATGAAATATGTCAAGGCCTGTTTCACTACCAACTTGCATTTGACTAGCACTTTATAATTGTATTTATTTATTTATTTAGAGACAGTCTCACTCTGTCACCCAGGATGGAGTGCAGTGATGCAATCTCAGCTTACTGTGACATCCGCTTCCCAAGCTCAAGCAATTCTCATGCTCCAGTCTCCCAAGTAGCTGGGATCACAGGCACCTGCCACCATGCCCAGAGAATTTTTGTAAATTTAGCAGAGACAAGGTTTCGCCACGTTGGCCAGGCTGGTCTCGAATTCCTGACCTCAAGTGATCCACCCACCTTGGCCTCCCAAAGTGATGGGATTACAGGCAAAAGCCACCGTGCCCGGCCTATAATTTTTAAAATATTTTCACATCTTTTATCAAGTTTGAGTTTCCCAACTCTGTACAGCAGGCAGGGCATGTAGTATTTTACACATGGGGACACTGAGGCTTAGAAAACTAAGTGACTGGCCGGGCGCGGTGGCTCATGCCTGTAATCCCAGCACTTTGGGAGGCCGAGGCATGTAGCATATTAACTCTGAGCTACATGGATTATGGTGAAACTACTGATTGACTTTTTAAGCGCAGAAAGGAATTTTTTTTTTTTTTAAAGACAGAGTTCTCGTTTGTTGCCCAGGCTGGAGTACAATGGCGCGATCTCAGCTCACCACAACTTCTGCCTCCCGGGTTCAAGTGATTCTCCTGCCTCAGCCTCCCGAGTAGCTGGGAATACAGGCATGGGCCACCACATCCAGCTAATTTTGTATTTTTAGTAGAGACGGGGTTTCTCCATGTTGGTCAGGCTGGTCTCAAACTCCCGACCTCAGGTGATCTGCCCGCCTCAGCCTCCCAAAGTGCTGGGATTACAGGCATGAGCCACCGTGACCGGCCCAGAAAGGAATGTTTTGTGAGGTATGAATGGTTAGTGTGCCTGGGGAGGTCCACGCAATGATCTGTTGGAGAGCCTGATAGCAACGTGGTGAGGCCACAGTGTGGTACAATTGCAGGAAGATGACTCAGGACCTCAGTACCCACAAACAGGAGGCATCTATGAGAGGGAGGCGGGGGGTATGCAGTGCCTGATGGAGACTTCGGCAGGAAGAACTAAGGGTGGACCTAGCCTTAGATCTTTGGTCCCTCAGTGATCAAGATTGCTCAGAGGAAAATCTTTCAAACTTAGACTGGGGCATAGAAATAAAGGGAGTAACTCTTGAGATGGTTTCTAAGAAAGAACTAAGTAACCACACATTGATAACAACAGTCATATTCCCAGCCTCCCTGTGGTTCCTGCCATGGCTCTGGGCGCCTATGCTTGAGCCAGCAAGGTCGGGCTTCTCATGCTGGATCTGCAGACTCACCCCCAGACGCCTATGGAATTTCAAATTCTGTCTTTCCATTTGATTACTATTTAAAATTAGATTCATGGTTGCAGGTTCTGGGTCCTCTGGCCATCCACTGAGTACCATAACATGGCTTCACAATCTACACTGGCACTGTGTTTAGATGGGATTGGAGCCAAATAATTCTATTTGAATTGTCACAGGCTAAAGAGAAAAAGAATAGAGATGGACTTACTATGTAAACAAGTAGAGGCCAAAGGACATCACAAAGCATTGTATGCAAAATGTTTTCCTAGTCACTCAAATGGGAAACTGATGGATATGCAGAGTTAACACACAGTCCATGGGGTACAGGCATAGAACACTCTCAAGGAAAAAAAAAAAAAAAAAGGGCAGCACGGCCCTCTGCCCGAGAATGACTTTTTTGGTCTCAGAATCCCTTTCTACTCTTACAAATTACTGAGAACCCCAAAGAGCTTTTGTTTATATGGGTTATAGCTATCAATGTTTATATATTAGAAATTAAAAATGGGAAATTTATTTACCAATTCATTTCTAAACGACAATAATAAACCCATTATTAAAATAAATAACACTTTTAGTAAAAATGTTTTCTAAGATGGAAAACTTTAGTGAAAAGAGTGAAATTCGTCCCTCTCCCTCTCCCTCTCCCCACGGTCTCCCTCTCCCTCTCTTTCCACGGTCTCCCTCTGATGCCGAGCCGAAGCTGGACTGTACTGCTGCCATCTCGGCTCACTGCAACCTCCCTGCCTGATTCTCCTGCCTCAGCCTGCCGAGTGCCTGCGATTGCAGGCGCGTGCCGCCACGCCTGACTGGTTTTCACATTTGTTTGGTGGAGACGAAGTTTCGCTGTGTTGGCCGGGCCGGTCTCCAGCTCCTAACCGCGAGTGATCCGCCAGCCTCGGCCTCCCGAGGTGCCGGGATTGCAGACGGAGTCTGGTTCACTCAGTGCTCAATGGTGCCCAGGCTGGAGTGCAGTGGCGTGATCTCGACTCGCTACAACCTCCACCTCCCAGCCGCCTGCCTTGGCCTCCCAAAGTGCCGAGATTGCAGCCTCTGCCTGGCCGCCACCCCGTCTGGGAAGTGAGGAGCGTCTCTGCCTGGCCGCCCATCGTCTGGGATGTGAGGAGCCCCTCTGCCTGGCTGCCCAGTCTGGAAAGTGAGGAGCGTCTCTGCCCGCCCGCCATCCCATCTAGGAAGTGAGGAGCGCCTCTTTCCGGCCGCCATCCCATCTAGGAAGTGAGGAGTGTCTCTGCCCGGCCGCCCATCGTCTGAGATGTGGGGAGCGCCTCTGCCCCGCCGCCCCGTCTGGGATGTGAGGAGCGCCTCTGCCCTGCCGTGACCCCGTCTGGGAGGTGAGGAGCGTCTCTGCCCGGCCGCCCCGTCTGAGAAGTGAGGAGACCCTCCGCCCGGCAGCCGCCCCGTCTGGGAAGTGAGGAGCGTCCCCGCCTGGCAGCCACCCTGTCCGGGAGGGAGGTGGGGGGTCAGCCCCCCGCCCGGCCAGCCGCCCCGTCCGGGAGGGAGGTGGGGAGTCAGCGCCCCGCCCGGCCAGCCGCCTCGTCTGGGAGGGAGGTGAGGGGCACCTCTGCCTGGCCGCCCCTACTGGGAAGTGAGGAGCCCCTCTGCCCGGCCACCACCCCGTCTGGAACGTGTACCCAACAGCTCATTGAGAACGGGCCATGATGACAATGGCGGTTTTGTGGAATAGAAAGGGGGGAAAGGTGGGGAAAAGATTGAGAAATCGGATGGTTGCTGTGTCTGTGTAGAAAGAAGCAGACATGGGAGACTTTTCATTTTGTTCTGTACCAAGAAAAATTCTTCTTTCTTGGGATCCTGTTGATCTATGACCTTACCCCCAACCCTGTGCTCTCTCAAACATGTGCTGTGTCCACTCACGGTTAAATGGATTAAGGGCGGTGCAAGATGTGCTTTGTTAAACAGATGCTTGAAGGCAGCATGCTCGTTAAGAGTCATCACCACTCCCTAATCTCAAGTACCCAGGGACACAAACACTGCGGAAGGCCGCAGGTTCCTCTGCCTAGGAAAACCAGAGACCTTTGTTCACTTGTTTATCTGCTGACCTTCCATCCACTATTGTCCTATGACCCTGCCAACTCCCCCTCTGCGAGAAACACCCAAGAATGATCAATAAAAAAAAAAGAGTGAAATTCTTTTACATTTTTCCAAATCCATTTAATGTTTGCATTAAACGGAAGATAGCTGCTTTCTTTTATCTGCTTATATAGTCCACTTATTTTGACATAGTTTGCATATATGAAGAAAATATGACCTCACATACATGTATAGATGGAAAAGGGAAGAGTATGTCATTAGACTTTTCAGATAATTCTGGATGTGCTTCTTTGATACTGCACTATAATTCAACAAATGGCATTTTTTTTTTTGAGACGGAGTTTCGCTTTTATCGCCCAGGCTAGAGTGCAATGGCATGATCTCAGCACACTGCACCCTCTGCCTCCCAGGTTCAAGCAATTCTCCTGCCTCAGCCTCCCAAGTAGCTGGGATTACAGGCGTGCACCACCATGTCTGGCTAATTGTTTATTTTTAGTAGAGACAGGGTTTCACCATGTTGGCCAAACTCGTCTCAAACTCCTGACCTCAGGTCATTTGCCCACCTCAGCCTCCCAAAGAGCTGGGATTACAGGCATGAGCCAACACCCCCAGCCAAATGGTAGTTCCTTAAACATTAATTGCAAGGTATAATCTGGAACCGTATCACTGAACTTTTCGTATTCAGTCATACTAAAATTCACTGGTTCATCTTGCGTTTTATTTTACTTTTTAATATATTTTATTTTATTTTCAGACAGGGTCTCACTCTGTCGCCCAGGCTAGAGTGCAGTGGCACGATTACAGCTCACTGCAACCTCAACCCCCCAGGTTCAAGCGATCCTCCCACCTCAGCCTCCTGAGTAGCTGGGACTACAGGCACAAGCCACCACACCCAGCTAATTTTTGTATTTTTTGTAGAGATGGTGTTTTACCACGTTGGTCAGGCTGGTCTCCAACTCCTGGCCTCAAGCAATCCACCTGCCTCGACCTCTCAAAGTGCTGGGATTACAGGTGTGAGCCACTACAACCAGTCTCATCTTGCATTTTAAATGGTTCTTTTTTTATGCAGGATTTTTGTGCTTTGGCCATTTTGAAAATATTGATTCAATGAGTTGTAGACTTCCAAATGTTGACATAGTTCATTATATAGTATCGAAAACTACATTTATTACTATCACCACAAATTTCATAAGAAAAGTATTTTAACACTAGATGGCTGGGCGCAGCGGCCCATGCCTGTAATTTCAGCACTTTGGAAGACCAAGGGGGGCAGATCACTTGAGCCTAGGTGTTCGAGGCCAGCCTGGGTAACACAGTGGGAATGCGTGTCTACAAAAATTTTAAAAATTAGCCTGATATGGTGGCACACACCTGTGGTCCCAGCTCAGATAAGATGGGAGGATCACTACAACTCAGGAGGCCAAGGCTGCAATGAGCCGTGTTTGTGCCACTGCACTCCAGCCTGGGCAACACAGCAAGACCCTATCTCAATTTAAAAAAAACAAAAACTAAAAAACTAAAAAGCTGTCAAGCTTATGGTAGCAGATACAGGCTTCCCCAAATCCTAATTTTCACTTGAAAATTCAGTTTACCATGTGGCAACAAATACTGTCGTATGATTTCCTTGAAGTGACAGGATACTTTATTCATTTTCAGAAAATATCCGCCAAATTCCCAAGTCAAAAGAATAATAGTTTGTCTGTCAGCCATCCCTTTAAGTAAAAATAGGGTTCCATTTTTTTTTAATTAATTTATTTTTTTATTATTATACTTTTAGGGTACATGTGCACATTGTGCAGGTTAGTTACATATGTATACATGTGCCATGCTGGTGTGCTGCACCCACTAACTCGTCATCTAGCATTAGGTATATCTCCCAATGCTATCCCTCCCCCCTCCCCTCACCCCACAACAGTTCCCAGAGTGAGATGTTCCCCTTCCTGTGTCCATGTGATCTCATTGTTCAATTCCCACCTATGAGTGAGAATATGCGGTGTTTGGTTTTTTGTTCTTGCGATAGTTTATGGAGAATGATGACTTCCAATTTCATCCATGTCCCTACAAAGGACATGAACTCATCATTTTTTATGGCTGCATAGTATTCCATGGTGTATATGTGCCACATTTTCTTAATCCAGTCTATCATTGTTGGACATTTGGGTTGGTTCCAAGTCTTTGCTATTTTGAATAATGCTGCAATAAACACACGTGTGCATGTGTCTTTATAGCAGCATGATTTATAGTCCTTTGGTTATATACCCAGTAATGGGATGGCTGGGTCAAATGGTATTTCTAGTTCTAGATCCCTGAGGAATCGCCACACTGACTTCCACAACAGTTGAACTAGTTTACCGTCCCACCAACAGTGTAAAAGTGTTCCTATTTCTCCACATCCTCTCCAGCACCTGTTGTTTCCTGACTTTTTAATGATTGCCATTCTAACTGGTGTGAGATGGTATCTCATTGTGGTTTTGATTTGCATTTCTCTGATGCCCAGTGATGGTGAGCATTTTTTCATGTGTTTTTTGGCTGCATAAATGTCTTCTTTTGAGAAGTGTCTGTTCATGTCCTTCGCCCACTTTTTGATGGGGTTGTTTGTTTTTTTCTTGTAAATTTGTTTGAGTTCATTGTAGATTCTGGATATTAGTCCTTTGTCAGATGAGTAGGTTGCGAAAATTTTCTCCCATTTGTAGGTTGCCTGTTCACTCTGATGGTAGTTTCTTTTGCTGTGCAGAAGCTCTTTAGTTTAATTAAATCCCATTTGTCAATTTTGGCTTTTGTTGCCATTGCTTTTGGTGTTTTAGACATGAAGTCCTTGCCCATGCCTATGTCCTGAATGGTAATGCCTAGGTTTCCTTCTAGGGTTTTTATGGTTTTAGGTCTAACATTTAAGTCTAATCCATCTTGAATTGATTTTTGTATAAGGTGTAAGGAAGGGATCCAGTTTCAGCTTTCTACATATGGCTAGCCAGTTTTCCCAGCACCATTTATTAAATAGGGAATCCTTTCCCCATTGCTTGTTTTTCTCAGGTTTGTCAAAGATCAGAGAGTTGTAGATATGCGGCGTTATGTCTGAGGGCTCTAGGGTTCCATTTAAAAAGCAGCTAATTTGGCCAGGCGCAGTGGCTCATGCCTGTAATCCCAGCACTTTGGGAGGCCGAGGCGGGCGGGTCACGAGGTCAGGAGATCGAGACCATCC
Source organism: Homo sapiens (assembly GCF_000001405.40). Classification (NCBI taxonomy): domain Eukaryota; kingdom Metazoa; phylum Chordata; class Mammalia; order Primates; family Hominidae; genus Homo; species Homo sapiens. Next base: position 63,102,898 of record NC_000015.10, read on the forward strand.
TGGCCAACATGGTGAAACCTCCGTCTCTACTAAAAATATACGAAAAAAAAAATTAGCCAGGCGTAGTGGCACACACCTGTGGTCCCAGCTACTCGGGAGGCTGAGGCAGGAGAATGACATGAACCCAGGAGGCAGAGGTGGGCAGTGAGCCGAGATCACGCCACTGCACTCCAGCCTGGGCGACAGAGTCAGACTCCGTCTCAAAAACATATACACATATATATATAGAAAGAGATATATTATACATATGTATATTATAGATCTCTATCCATATATCTATAATATAGATGATAGGATAGATGGATGGATGGATGGATGGGTAGATAGGTAGATAGATAGATACAGATATCCACCAGCCACAGCCTCTCAAAGTGCTGGGATTACAGACCCCACCACACCCATCCCACATTCTGTAATTTAATCTACACAAATCCCCCTGAGGAAGATACTAGTATCTAGGGCAGGACTAGGGTGAGAGAAGAGGCCCAGGGTACAAAATTGAGGAGTTACATACACAGAGAGAGAGAAAGATATACAAATTAAGGAGGCACTCCCTCTCAGAGCCATGCTGAGGAAAATGAGCCTCCAGAAGGGTAACTTGGCAACAAAGTGGTTAGCAACAGACATGGGGTCCACCCTGGGGTCGGCCTGTGGTAGCCAAAGTGAATGCGATGAAGTGGAGGGGACCACAGGCTTCCTTCCTATGGGTTCTCATGCTGTCACCCCATCCAGATGGTGCAAGCCTCTGAGAGACTGCCCAGCCTGTTCTAGAAAGTTCCCAACTCTGATTTTCCTAACTTTGATTCAAGACTCTGACATACTAAAATCTAACTTCCCCTTCACAGTAATGCCCTGCGGAGACAGCCACACTTTAAACTTCATGAAAGTCTTACAGTAAGGGCCTCTTAAGATTTTCTCAGAGAGCCCACTTCTGACAATTTAATAAGAAAAAGCCTCTTAGGACAAAAACGGGAAGTTACAATCTTTCACCAAGAAGCTAAACCTTTGGCCTCATACCATGGAGGATGCTTTTGGAGGCCATCACCATCACTAGGATGAGTCTTTATACCGGCATTTGGGATTGTCTCTTCACCTAAAGGGTAAAATGGCTCTGCGAATAAGTAAAGCTGCCCCACAATGTAGCTTCTCCCTCTCCTGAAGATGGAAAGATGAGCTGAGTGAGCTATAGAACAGAGCATTTAGTCCAGAGTGAAAGCCAGCACATTAGAATTCGGGGGGCCTTCCTCTGGGAATCCCTGAGGCATTTTTGTAAATAACCAACTCAAGGGCAGGAAAGCCCTTAGAAAAGAATAATTAAAGTCTGTTGGGATAACCGTTCTCAGAGCCCCAAGGCAGACTCTAGCAGAAAGCCTCCCCTCAACGCCTGCCCCAAGGAAAGGAAGCTGAGCAGAGAAATGAGTTACCAAGAAATAACGAGCAAATAAAAAGATGCTCTTTACTCAGGAGGCTGAGGTGGGAGGATCACTTGAGCCTAGGCGTTCGAGGCCAGCCTGAGCAATATAGCAAGACCCTGTCTCTACCACAAAAAAAAAGTATAAATGTATAAAATGATCTTTGTGTTCTTTTCCAACTTTGAGAAATAATGGTTTCTCTGGAAACATGCTATGGACTTAATTATGTCCTCCCAAATTCCTGTGTTAAAATGCGTAATTCTCAGGGTGACTACTTTAGTATGAGACAAGGTTAAATGAGTTCCTCAGGGTGGCGGCCTGATATGATAGGATTAGAGTTCTTATAAGAAGAGACACAAGGAACACTCTGGTTTGCCCAGAAAATCCTCTCCCCGCTTTTTTTTCTCCTCCACTCCCTCTCTCTGCCAAAGGATACAGCAAGGTGGTGGCTGTCCACAAGCCTGGAAAGAGAGCGCTCATATTAGTTGACTACACTGGCACTCTTATCCCAGACTTCAAGCCTCCAGAACCGTGAGAAGATAAATTTCTATTCTTTAAGCCACGCCAAGTCTGTGGTATTTTGCAATGGCAGACCACGATGATGAAAACCTAACACTGGAGCAATCTTTAATGTCCACACTTGGTACTCAGTTGGCTTCCAAAGACCAACCATTATTTACGCTATACTGACTAACCTTGCCTCCATATCCCTTTAATCCTCACCACATAAATCCTCCCCTCACCCCAGTGGGTGATAATTTTTGCTATTTTACAGCTAAAATTCAAGTAATGGACTATTTGGATGATAGCGTGCCCGGAATTGGTTCCTTCCGATATTCTTGGTCTCGCTGACTTTAACAATGAAGCCTCAGACCATTGCGGTGAGTGTTACAGTTCTTAAAGATGGTGTGTCCGGAGTTTGTTGCTTCAGATGTTCAGATGTGTCTGAAATTTCTTCCTTCTGGTGGTTTCATGGTCTCGCTGATTTCAGGAGTAAAGCCACAGACCTTCCGAGTGAGTGTTACACCTCTTAAAAGTAGCGTGTCGACAATTGTTTGTTTCTCCTGGGAGGTTCATGGCCTGGTGGCTTCAGGAGTGAAGCTGCACATCTTTGCCGTGAGTGTTGCAGCTCATAAACATAGTGCAGACCCAAAAAGTAAACAGCAACAAACTCTATGGTAAGCACTTACAACAGAAAGAAACCCCAATCAGTTGCCGCAGCTAGGTTGCGTGGCCTGCTTTTATTCCCTTATTTGGCCCCACCCACATCCTGCTGATTGGTCCACTTTACAGAGAGCTGATTGGTCCGTTTTACAGAGTGCTGATTGGTCCGTTTTTACCAAGTGCTGATTGGTCCGTTTTTACCAAGTGCTGATTGGTGTGTTTACAGACCTTTAGCTAGACACAGAGCACTGATTGGCGCATTTACAATCCTTTAGCTAGACAGAAAAGTTCTCCAAGTCCCCACCCGACCCAAAAGCCCAGCCGGCTTCACCTCTCAATAGAATCAAAAGCAGTAAAGTTCAGAGCTGGGTGGTCATATATGAATCACTTAACCTTTCTTTCTTTTTTCCTTAAAATAGAGATGGGGTCTGCTATGCTGCCCTGGCTGGTTTTAAACTCCTGGGCTCAAGTGATCCTCCCACCTCGGCCTCCCAAAGTGCTCAGATTACAGGCCTGAGCCACCGCTCCCGGCCTGAATCAGTTAACCTTTCTGGGCATTCATATCATTGACTATAAAATGGGGGTAGTGTTAGTTTATGCTTCCCAGATTGCAGATGAGAATCTAAATATCTGCCCACAACCCCCAATGGGAGGTACAGGAGCCAACCAAGCAAGCCATGGTCAGGATCTGGTTCCTGGAGGCTGGAATCCGGGGAAGCCAGAGAGGAGAGAGCCAGAAGGTGAGTGAGTATCCATATTCTTCAACAGCACAGTCCAGTGTTAAGACAGGGCATGAGGACCAGCTCCACTGGAAACACCAGCCAGCGTCTTAACCGGGGAGGAAGGAAGGTGTGTGCTGGGCAAGTGGGGCATGTGACAAAGTGGAACTGAAGTGGCCGTCGCTTGCCTTTAGGCCAGCAGGTAAGATTGGGGTGACCCATGTATCTTATGGTAATGAACAAAATCATTACCATGGCATTGTCTTTTTTTTTTTTTGAGACAGTCTTGCTCTGTCGCCCAGGTTGGCATGCAGTGGCACGATCTTGGCTCACTGCAACCTCCGCCTCCCAGATTCAAGTGATTCTCATGCCTCAGCTTCCCGAGTAGCTGGGATTACAGGTGCATGCCACCACGCCCGGCTGGATTTTTGTATTTTTAGTAGAGATGGGGGTTTCACCATGTTGGCCAGGCTGGTATCGAACTCCCGACCTCAGGCGATCCGCCTGCCTTGGCCTCCCAAAGTGCTGGATTTTTGTTTTTTAACACTCCCACCCCCTCAACCCCCCTCCATCATGCAAAGTGCAGCCAAAGTGGAGAATACTAGATGTTAATGATGAAGTCGGAGGTGTGGTTGGGGTCACTGTGCAGGCGTATGTAGATCTCCACAATGAGGCACAGGGGCCTTCCTTAGAAGTGCGTTGGGTATTAACAGTGATTAAGCATTAATTTGCTTTTCTCATTTCTTCCACTTCTCATAATGTGTAATTGAACAAAAGTAATGGCGAGGTTGGAGCACTCTGGCCAGGCTCCCTGTCCAAGATCCTTCAGCCTCATCCTAAGGTACACACTCCTCTCCCCCACTGTGTGCTGGGAGGCCGGGTTTCTAGCCTTTGGGTAGCAGAATCTGACTGAATGTTCCAAAGGGGTCCACTCACTTTAACAAATGACTTTTTTTTTTTTTTTTTTTGAGACAGGGTCTTGCTCTATTGCCCAGGCTGGAGTGCAGTAACACAATCTCAGCTCACTATAATATCTGCCGCCCGGGTTCAAGCAATTCTCATGCCCCAGCCACCAAGTTGCTGGGATTACAGGCATGTGTCATCACGCCCGGCTAAGATGGGGTTTTGCCATGTTGGCCAGGCTGGTCTCGAACTCCTGCCCTCAAGTGAGCCACCTACCTTGGCCTCCCAAAGTGCTGGGATTACAGGCTTGAGCCACTACCTGCAGCCACAGGTGACTTTAAGATATCCAAGTGGTGCCACCAGGATACTTAGGTCCAGAGACTCAAATGTGAAATCCTGGAAATTCTGTCTCAACAAAGCAACCAAGTGTCTTGTTATTAAAAAAAAAAAAAAAATCACATTGTGGCCAGGCGCGGTGGTTCAGACCTGTAATCCCAGCACTTTAGGAGGCCAAGGCGGCGGCAGTATCACTTGAGGTCAGGAGTTCGAGACCAACCTGGCCAACATGGTGAAACCCCGTCTCTACTAAAAATATAAAAATTAGCTGAGCGTGGTGGTGCATGCCTGTGATCCCAGCTATTTAGGAGGCTGAGGCATGAGAATCGCTTGAACCCGGGAGGCAGAGGTTGCAGTGAGCCCAGATCGTGCCACTGAACTCCAGCCTGGGTGAGAGAGTGAGACTCCGTCTCAAAATAAAATGAAATAAAATATAAAAAAATAATGTTGGGGAAAAAAGTGTTCATGCAGGTTCTTATACCAGTGCATCTGTTCTAAGTGAAAAGGGAAAAAGGGCAAGGATTCCAAGACATGCCTGTTAGAGACATCCAGCCTGTAGCAACGAGGCAGATATTGTTCTGGACTGCATTGACTTTTGCACCCAGAGTTATTTGGTTTGACAGACTGCCAAATCCTGAGGTTCAAAAGACCGTCCGTCACAAGTGGGGAAAGGGGCCAGCATTCTTGGGGTTGGATTCCCAGAATTCTCCAAATGTGAGTGTCCATAAGTAAGCCTCTCAGTCTAAGGCTCCCTCAGGATGGTGGTTTGGTTTTAGAGATAGTCCCTCTCCCCACCGCAAAGAATGTTAGGGGAATTCTGACGATAAAAGCATCAACCATGTTGGCCACCTACGAACTTGAACTTAGATATGTAAACTTCTCCCAGAAGCCACCAACATAGTCATGTCTGCGGTTCACAAGGATGGAGCAACCCCCTCACACTGAAGGCAGCTATTTTCATTAGGCCTGTCACAAAATACACAAGAGCTATCATTTCCTCCTTTTAATAATGTTTCATTGCAGACCAGGCACGGTGGCTCACGCCTGTAATCCCAGCAATTTAGGAGGCCAGGAGGGTGGATCACTTGAGGTCAGGAGTTCAAGACCAGCCTGGCAAACATGGCGAAACTCCGTCTCTACTAAAAATACAAAAATTAGCTGGGCATGGTGGTCCATGCCTGTAGTCCCAGCTACTTGGGAGGCTGAGGCATGAGAATTGCTTGAACCGGGAGGCAGAGGTTGCAGTGAGCTGAGATCACACCACTGCACTCCAGCCTGGGCGACGGAGAGAGACACTGTCCCAAAAAAAAAAAAAAAATCAGACTAGTTAATAGTAACTTATATATGCTGTGAAGTTTGGTTCCATCTTCGAAACTTTCCACCTCTTGCCTCATATTCAAACTGTCACCATCTCCTGTTAGATTTTTACTGCCAAACTACTCTGAGAAACCAACCACTCTGCTGCTTCTCCATTGCTACTACCCCAGCCAGGTCGCCTTCATGTCTCACCTCTGTTACCAAAAGGAGCTCCTAACTGCCCTCCTGTCCTCTCCTCCTTCCCCATAAAAGCTGTTCACCACGCTACAATCAGGAAGATGGTTTCAGCACACGTGATGCCATCCCCACTCTCTCCTTGCTGAAAATCTTTGCTCTTAGGCTAAAACTCAAAACCCCCGCCTTGCCCCCTGCCTGCCTATACAATCCCCCTTGACCTTTCCTCCCCATCTGTCTGTCTCTGCCTGCAGCCACAGTCACCTCCCAGCTCCCTGACTTCTCCCTGTCACCTATCCGATGATCACAGTTCAAATGGCACTTCTATAGGGAAGTTTCCCTTGAGGACCCCCAATCTGGGGCAGGTCTGTGTTAAATTTTCATTAACCATGTTTCTGTCCTTAAGAGCAATTAATCTTCATTTATAATTACATATACGTGAATGTGATGATTTGATTAAAAAAAATTCATTTTCTCCACTGGCCTCTAGGCTCTCTGAGCCTTACCCAAAGCCTGGCACATAAACAGTTTCTTGCAGAATGTTTATAGAATGATTTTCAGAAACGTAGAAATTGACTAACACAGAAAATTGAGAATCAGTTTTTAAAAAAAAAAAAAAGTCACCATGAAGGAGGTATTCCCCAAATTTTGAGACAAGGTTACTAATAAAGCTCAGTACATAATGGATGAGATTATTTCTGCACAGAATCCAGAAAGGAAAGTCCTAACAAGTTATCAAAAAGACAGGGGAAGGGCAGAGCAGACTTTGGAACCTGGGATGTGCGGCCAAAAGTCAGAGAGGTAGGGAGAGAAGGGCAGGGAGCTGTGAGGTCCTGGAGAACACTGGATCAAATGCTGTCACTGGGTACTGGTTTGTAACACAATCTGTCAGAGACGTTAATGGATGGGCATGATTAACAGGAACCCAGGATGGGACAGGTCCCATCAAGCAACCATAAAAGATGACTTGTAATTGTATCAGAGATGGAGAGTTGGGAGTAAGTAGAGCAGGACCTGACAATCAGCACTGGAGTCCGTCTGATAAAAGGCTACAGTGTCTACAAGAAGGGAAGCCTGAGTGTCAGAAGTTTCCACTCCTTGTTGATTGGATGGCAGACTGGGGCCCAGCTGATTTGCAGCCAGCTGATGACCTGTCCATGGAGATTGTACACATCCCTGTACTCTGGTTTCAGGTTCCTCAGCAGCCTTTGCTCATAGGCTGGCTTAACTATGATCCTGCTGTGGGAAGATAAAAAAACTGACCGAAGGAGATAGGCTGAGTAATGGCTCCCTCAAGATGTCCATATTTCATCCCTGGAACCTGTGAATACATTTCTTTATGTGGCAAAAGGGACTTTGTGGCTGTGATTAAACTAAGAACCTTGAAATGAGGAGATTCTCCGGGATCGTCCAGATGCATCAAATGTAACAAGAAGGAGTCAGAGTCAGGCTGGAAGCCGCTATGCTGCTGGCTTTGAAGGCAGATGAAGGGGCCAAGGAATTAGGGTGGTCTCTAGAATCTGGAAAAGGCAATGAAATTGATTCTCCCCTAGAGCTTTCAGAAGGAATGCAGCCTTGCCCACACCTTCATTTTAGACCAGTGAAACTGATTTTAGACTTCTGACTGCCAGAACTGTAAGATAATAAATGTATATTGTTTGAAGCTACTAGGTTTGTGGTCATTTGTTACATCAGCAACAGAAAACTAATACACTAACAAACATAAATATCTGATCAACAGATCAGTACCCAGATCATTCATGAGTCTCTGGAGAGTCTGGTGGCTGTCATTCAGTGCCCCAGGCCAGATTACTGCTAGGGGGTTGCCAAATCAAGTTTCTGGATCTGCTAAGCTGAGTCCCCATGTGGCTGACCTCAACCTCTCTAAGGTCCTTCCACCCTGGGAAGCCTGGCCTGGCCTGAGGAACTGCTGGCTCTTCCTCATGAAAACCACACCGACTGGTCACTGATCACTCATGATGTGTGGGCTGTTAGGTGAGCTCTTGGGAATATAGCATAGACTTTGGTACCAGGGAGGCCTGGTTCACATCCCCTCTCTACGAGCCGTGTGATCATAAATGAGTTATTTAACTTCCTTCAACCTGTGAAATGGAGGTGACATCTCTAGTGTATAGTTCTGTAAGGATTGATAGAGACAATATGTACCTAATCCCAAACACAGGGTCAGGACTACGGTAGTCTTCCAATCAAGCTTGCCCCTTCCTGCGCACAGCCATGAGTCTCACCGTGCTCATCTCTTTGTATACTGGACACTTCAGCTACTTCCTCTTCCGTGTTATAAGCCCCATGGCGGCCCTGTGTTCTGTTAGTCCCCTGGCTACAAGTCAGTGACTTTACCCATCATATTCCTAGTGGCCTGCTGTCTTAGTTGGGGTCTCCCCACAAGTAGAACCTGAGACAAGGATTCCAGCTCAGGTAGTTTGTGGGAGATGATCCTAGGAAACACCACTGAAGATGTGAGACAGGGAAAGGAAGGAGACAATGAAGGATGCGAGATCATGCAAGTTACCCATGTGGCTGAAGCTTGATCCCCTCAGGGAACTCAGAGACAGTTATCCCAGAAGGACAAGAGTGCTGAGGCATTTTACACCTACTCCCACCAGTCTTTATTTTTTTGAAGGGGGCAGCAATTACTCCCCAACACTTCCTGCCTGCTGCACTCATGGGCAAGACAGCCTCCAGCACCAGAGTCCTCAGGCAGGCACTGGCAGCTGGAAGGGCTGACATGGGGAAGTGGGAGGGACAGCTGCCACATCTGAGGAGTGTCACTTTGGCTACCTGCCTCCCTGGTCACAGCTTCCCTCTGGCCTTGCCTATTCCTTGACCAGTCATGAGCTCAACATACCTATTGCATTGTTCTGACCTAACTGCATCCTAGTGTCAAGCTCCTCCAATTTGCAAACAGATAAATGAATTTTTAAAAAGATTTTATCATATATATTTAAGGCATATAACATGATGCTTTGATATACACATAGATAATGAAATGGTTTGTGACGAGAAGGGAGACCATTTCCTCAGCAAACTAACAGCTGCTCTCTCTGGTCTATGCCTTCTACTCTATCTTTAAACATCCTGCATCACTATCTCCATTTTGCAACTGTTAAAGCTCCAGTCTGCATTTGTCAAAGGCTGATCAGGTTCAAGAAAAATTTTTCATCACCATTAAAACCTCTAATTCTTTCTCCCAGCTAACCACATAAAAGTTACAACCACCTCTGGGTTATCATTATGGTCTTGTTATTATTACCTGAGAATGTTTGAAAACATCCCACAGAGAAATCTAACTAAAAGAGTCTAGAAAACAAGAGGGTCACCGTATCAAACACTTGTTTATCACAGGCGGGGTGAAACGCTGGGAGAGGAGGTTATTAGATGTACCCAGCCCTGAAGATCCAACTCTGACACCCTAGATGCTGTTCATTAGTAAGAAATAGTTATGGAGGGCCTACTAGATGCAGAGTGCTTGTGTTGAGTTCCATCAAGAACAGAGAGACGCTTGAGAAACTTCCAGAAATAACTTCTCTTTCCAAAAACAATGCTGAGCCTGTTCCAACTTCCACTATTAGGAAAGTTTTTTTTCTTTCTTTCTTTCTTTTTGGTCTTATCCAGTATCATCTTCTATAGTGAACCTCTTGCTGGGAGGTTTAGAATTTTTGTACCATGTGGCTGAAAGGGACCTCAGAGTGCATGCTGGTTTACAGATACAGATTCTGAGATTCAGAAGGAAAATAATTAGCCTGAAGTGAGCCCACCTCATTGGTGGTAGAGCAGGGCCTGAAATCCTTGCCTCTTGTCCCTAGTGCTCGCCTGCTTTATCCTTTAAACTGTTACTAGGTCGGGCGCGGTGGCTCACGCCTGTAATCCCAGCACTTTTGGAGGCCAAGGCAGGTGGATCACGAGGTCAGGAGTTCAAGACCAGCCTGGCCAAGGTGGTGAAACCCTGTCTTTATTAAAAATACAAAAATTAGCGGGGCGGGTTGGTGGGTGCCTGTAATCCCAGCTACTCAGGAGGCTGAGGCAGAGAATTGCTTGAACCTGGGAGGTGGAGGTTGCAGTGAGCCGAGATTGTTTCACTGCACTCCAGCCTGGGTGACACAGCAAGATTTCATCTCAAAACAAAAAGAAAAAAAAAAAGAAGGTATATAAGGCAGCCAGCACATAGCAGTGACATAGCAGTCTAATAATAATAGTGAGCTGTCACCATTTGTCTCCCTATTGGTGTGACATGGCTTAGTCCAACTTAAGGTCCACTCCTGACTTGAATTCCATTTTCCAGACCCCTGATAGGGTTGGTTCTCTCCAGCTAAAACTCAAGATCTACAAATGAAAACCATCAGAGAATTCAACTTAGCAGACTGCTAAAGCTACTCTCTAAATCAGTAATCATAACCAATTGATTTCACCATTTTTCTATAAAAAGTGCAGTTTTACACTGATTCATATAAAGTTTTCAATACATGTTTGTTGAAACTTTTCCTGTGACTGGCATTGGTCTAACCCTGGAGGAAACTAAGTCTCTAATCTGAGGGAACTCACAAATCATTGGCAGAGAAATCTCAAAAGAACAAACCCAAAAAGTCTAGTACAATTGTAACATGGGGCTAAGTGTGACAATAGAGGAATGCAGGGCACAAAGAGGGAGGAAGACAGTGTTTTCCAGGTGGACGCTGGGGGAAAAAACGTTCCAGGAAGAAAGAAAAGCCCGTCCAATGGCCTGGAGACATTAAACAGCCATCTATTTTAATAGAACTGAGATCGAATCACAGGTGGGATAGAGATGGAGTAGGAGGGAGGAGCCTGATTCTGAGAAGCCTTTTGTATCAGGCACGTTCTTAGCTGTAAATTCAAAGACCACTCTGGCCAGTTAAATAGAAAATGAATTTATTAAAACATATGGGGTGGGATGGCTACATATTTTATCTCCTCATTTGAGAGGGAAAGTGGAGTTATTTCTAATTATGCCAGGATTGCAAGTGTAAAGGACACACGAATGGAGTCTTTTAAGATTCGGGTGCTCCTAGAAGCTGGGCTGTTGACAGCGGCCTTGCGCCTGATACAGTGGTGGGTACAGTGGGGCAGCCCTGCCACACTGTGAGAACCCCTGCCACTTACTGCCCAGAGAGCTGCATGTCTCATCCAACACCGTCAATGGCATTGCCAGCTTCTGAAAATGTGCACCTCTGACTGGTGAGGCCTGCTTCACACACCTGCTGCCAAGCGAAGGGAGACAGACTAGGAAAGTAAATTCCTGATGGCACCACCTACCCGCTTCAGCCGGGACCTCCCTGCGGCTTTAAATGGCACCCTGGTCAGCTCCTAGAGAGAGGCCATTGAACTGGACTTGGCAGGGGAAATAGTACCTGAAGCAACCAAATATTCACTTGAAATTACACTGTTTTGATAGCTTCATGTGACGGAAAAGGTGTTGGACCAGATGGAGTTATCACTAAAGTTCCCCTCTACCCTGGTGGGGAGGGATTTGGCCAAGCAAAGCAGGTAGCAATTACTGGGAAAAACAAAACCTTCGTTGTTTATACTTCGGTGGATTGGGACCTCTCAAACAACCAGTTACAGTTGTTAACTGCCCTTTTGGGGGTATGAAAAACCCAGACCTTCCAGGGTCAGAGGCCTGGCCTCCTTCTTGGCAGAAGAGGAAATGAAGTTCATTCCTTTGTGGTGAACCTGATTCTGAAAAAACAAAACCCATTTTTTTCTCAGTAGGTTATCCTACCACATGTCCAACCATAGGAGTCTGGACTTTCTCTTATTGGTTAAGCTTTAAAGCATTTTGAACAGGAGTTAGATATGGTTATATTTGAGTTTCAGAATATTCATCCTGGTTCATATTCCACCTTTTTTTTTTTTTTTTTGAGACAGGGTCTCACTTTGTCACCCAGGCTGGAGTGCAGTGATGCAATATTGTCTCATTGCAGCCTCAGCCTCCTGGGCTCAAGTGATCCTCCCATTTCAGCCTCTCGAGTAGCTGGGACCACAGGCACACACCACCACACCCAGCTAATTTTTGCATTTTTTGTAGAGACGGGGTTTCACCATGTTACGCAGGCTGATCTTGAACTCCTGAGCTCAAGCAATCTGCCTGCCTTGGACTCCCAAAGTGCTAGGATTACAGGTATGAGCCACCACGCCTGGCCATCTTTATTTTTTTAATTAAACTTTTCCATAAGTTTATTGCGAGTACATAGAAACATAATTGATATTTTATGCTTATCATGTATCCTACGACCTTGCTGGACAAACATTCTAATTTTAGGAGGTGATGGGTTTTTGTTTTCCCTTTAACATTTTTTTTTTTTTTTTTTTTTTTTGAGATGGAATCTTGCCCTATTGCCCAGGCTGGAGTGCAGTGGTGTGATCTTGACTCACTGAAACTTCTGCCTCCTGGGTTCAAGTGATTCTCGTGCCTCAGCCTCCCGAGTAGCTGGGACTACAGGCAGGCACCACCATGCCTAGCTAATTTTTGTATTTTTAGTAGAGACAGGGTTTCATCATGTTGGCCAGGCTGGTCTCAAACTTCTGGCCTCAAGCAATCTGCCTGCCTCAGCCTCCCAAAGTGCTGGGATTAACAGGCATGAGCCACTGTGCCCAGCTCCTTTAAAATTGTTTACATAAGCAATCATGGCCTCTGCAAATAAGGACAATTTTATCTCTTTCTTTTTGATCTGTGTGCTTTTAATTGTCTTTCTTGCCTTATTGCACTCGATATAATTTCTAGCACCTTGTTGAATAAGAAAGATTAGAGTGGACATACTTGCTTCGTATGTCTTTCCCACTAAACATAATGTTAGCAATAGATTTTTTTGTAGATGTTCTTTATCAATTTGAAGAAGTTTTTCTCTATTCCTATTTTCCTAAGGGTTTTTTCGGTCATGAATGTGTTTTGCCTAATGATTGATATGTCTGCATCAATTGATATGATCATGTGATTTTTCTTTTTTAGCTTGTTAATGTGGTTAATAGTATACACTATACTGAGATATAGTAGGACAGGACTTGTGGCTAGAAGCAGCTGTAGAAGAGCATTCCTTCTTCTAAAGAAATAGCAGCAGAAGGAGATAAGGTACTGGATGGTCAGTCCTCAGCCTCATCTCTTACCTCACGCCCCTTAGTTCTCTACTCCACCCACCATGACTATCTTTTTTTTTTTTTTTGAGACGGGGTCTCACTCTGTTGCCCAGGCTGGAGTGCAGTGGCACAATCTCAGCTCATTGCAACCTCTGCCTCCTAGGACCAAGTGATTCTCCTGCCTCAGCCTCCCTAGTAGCTGGAATTACAGGTGCACACTACCACACCTGGCTAATTTTTGTATTTTTAGTAGAGATGGGGTTTCGCCATGTTGTCCAGGCTGGTCTTGAACTCCTGACTTCAGGTGATCTGCCTGCCTTGGCCTCCCACAGTGCTGGGATTACAGGCATGAGCCACCACACCTGGCCCATGACTATCTTTTAATTCCTTGAATGAAACCGCCTCTTCCCACCACAAGGCCTTAGCATTTGCTAATTCCTTGCATGGAACACTTCCCTTCTCTTTCTGCCCATACTTAACCAAGGTAATTCCTGTTTATCCTTAAAGTCTTGGATGTAATTTCATTTCATTAGGAAAGTCTTCCTTCATCTCCCAGATCAGATAACATCTCACATTATAACCTCTCAACACAGTATGCACCTCTCCTTCACAGCACTCATTACAACTAGGATTTTACATTTAATCTTGCCGTTCTGTTTATCATGACTCTATTACCGTATAGACTGCAAGTTCCAGGAGGGCTGGGACTATGTCTATTCTGAGTTGTTGGACAGAAGTTTCTATTGGTGTACCAGTGGTTTCTGTCTGAGTCCCACTCAGTATTTTGTTTTGTTTTCCTGAGACAGGGTCTCGCTCTGTCACCCAGGCTGGAGTTCAGAGGCATGATCACAGCTCACTGCAGCCTCGACCTCCCAGGGTCAGCAGTCCTTCCACCTCAGCCTCCCAAGTAGCTGGTAGTCACAGGCCACCATGCCCGGCTAATTTTTTAAAATTTTCTGTAGAGAACGGGTCTCACTATGTTGCCAGGGCTGGTCTCAAACTCCTGGGCTCAAGCAATCCTCCCACCTTGGCCTCCTAGATTGCTGGGTGTGAGCCACCGTGCCCAGCCTATAGTTTAACTTTAAAGCAAGGATGATTAGTCCCTCCCCAAAACTAACCCCCAAGGAGATAAGATGGGTATACACATAAGTAACAATGTTATGTTAAAAATTTGTAAGAGCACTGTGACCTGACAAAGACAAAGAAGCTTACCCTTGCTGCCACCCAGATGTCTGTGGTCACTGGTCACCTTTTGACCTAAGCCTCTTCCCGTTTTCCCCCTCCCCTAACATAAAAGGAGCCCAACATTCACATTTACTTAAGATGCTTCTTTAGGACAGTAGTCTGCCATCTTGGTTTGCTGGCTCCACAGAATAAAGTCATCTTCCCTGCTCCAACGCCTGTCTCTTGACTGATTGGCTGTTGTGTGGTGAGCAGTACAAGCTTTGGACGCAGTTACAGCAGTCCATCAAAACTGTAGCTCCAGCTTCAGAAGAGATGATATTAAAGTTCTCTCATGATCTTTTATTTCCCCAATTTCTGATAAGTGCATTTTCATATTTATATGGTTTTGCTTCATTTATTCCTATTTTGTTTTGTAATTCCTTTTTTGTTGTGTAGATATTATACATTTATTTATCTTTTATATATATTTTCAACAAATATATAAAATATATAAATACACAAATATATAAAAAATATTTTATATATACTTGTTTTATATATTTCAATATATAAAAATATATATTTAAAAATATATATTTGTTTTAAAATATATATATTTGTTTTATTTTCTATCACCCATCTTTTTCTTAGCCAGGGAAAGGCCTCTCTTTTTCCTCTTTTCCTGTATATCCTTCTACTGATTTTATTTTGTTTGGGGTGATTTCACAATTTGGTGGTTGATTTTATTGTCAGTGTTTTTTAGAAAACTTTTAAAAATATGTTTTGGAAACTTGGTTTGCAGATTTATTTTTAGTGGAAAGTTTCTTTCCTTCCCCTTTTCCTCACTTTTTTTCTCTCTTCCCATTCTTCTCCATGTGTAGTCATTTACCTTTTTTATTTATTTTTTTTTTTGAGACAAAGTCTCGCTCTGTCATCTAGGCTGCAGTGCAGTGGCGTGATTTCAGCTCACTGCAACCTCCGCCTCCCGGGTTCCAGTGATTCTCCTGCCTCGGCCTCCCGAGTAGCTGGGACTACAAGTATGTGCCACCATGCCCAGCTAATTTTTGTATTTTTAGTAGAGACGGGGTTTCACCATGTTGGCCAGGCTGGTCTTGATCTCTTAACCTCGTGATCCACCTGCCTCAGCCTCCAAAAGTGCTGGGATTACAGGAGTGAGCCACCGCGCCTGGCCTGTTTACCTTTCTTCTATCTGGTCTCTGCGGCTCCCACCCCAAAGCCAGCTCAAATGCTGGGGCTCTGGGCTCCTGCCCTAGAGTTGTAGTAAAGATCCTGCCAACAAGTCTGCAGGCTGCTTGGTCAGGTTGCCTCCTGGGCACTCAGCTTGCTGGAGAACAATTTATTTTCTGTTACCTTCTGAGAAAAGAAAATAACTTTTATGTGAAGAATGCAAGTCCTTTCAAATTATCAGGCCCAGGGAGACATTAAAATGAGATGGTGGCTGAGTATTGTGGCTCACACCTGTAATCCCAGCACTTTGGGAGGTCGAGGTGGGAGGATCGCTTAAGCCCAGGTGTTTGAGATCAACCTGGGCAACATGGCGAAAGCCCATCTCTAAAAAAAATACAAAAATTAGCCAGGTGTGGTGGTGCATGCCTGTGGTCCTAGCTACTCAAGAGGCTAAGGTGGGAGGATCACCTGAGCCTGGGAGGTTGGGGCTGCAATGAGCCATGATCACGCCACTGCACTCCAGCCAGGGCAACAGAGTGAGACCTTATCTTAAAAAAAAAAAAAAAAAAAAAGAGATGGCATTCATGTCCTACCCCCACAATAAGCTATGTATTCATCTCTTGAAACTGCTTGCTGTTGCCACGAGTAGTTATAAATTAACCTAATAATGGGGCACCAGACGCTAGAACCCATACCCTGTTGCTTAACAATGTATATAGCCAATCATTGTTATTTCTGTAAACCAATGGGGATCCCTGACAAACAACTTTGTATCAGCCCATTCCCTGTCCCCCTTTTTTTGCCTTTAAAGGCAAAGGAGGACAGGGGAGCTCCCCTTAATGGGGAGCTCATTCCAAGTTTCCTTGGGTCTGAGTCTTCAGGGCAGCTGTCCTCACTTTGGCTAAAGTAAAGTCTTTAAATTATATTTTGTGCCTCAGCCTCTTCCTTTTAGGTTAACACTTCCCAGAAGCCATACTTCAAATGGCCTCTCTGTACCTGCTTCTAGACTGGAAGTCCACCAGGACATTGGCTTTTGCCCTGTACATGGCAAACACAGGGCTCTGTTTCTTTTTTTATTTTTTATCCAAGGAGAGGTACAGAAGAGTGCAAAAAACACATATGTGAAACCAGCCCAATTGTCCAATAGAATATGTTTATGGTTTATTTTGAATAAAGAGAGAAAATTGACCTGCCCAGTCTTAAAACTTGAGAAACTTACATTTGTCTTATCTGAGTTCCTTTTGGAGGAAACCAACCATCAGGTCTCCCAGATAGTATCAAGAAACTGAAACTTACCAGATCACCACATTTGGACAATGAGACACCAGATCCTTCACCTGTCATGATTGCCTAACCCAGCGGTTCCCAGCTTTTTTGGCACCAGGGACAGGTTTCATGGAAGAAAGTTTTTCCATGGGGTGTGGGGTTGGGGCTGATGGGTATGGTTTCAGGATGAAACTGTTCCACCTCAGATCATCAGGCATTAGTTAGATTATCATAAGGAGCAAGCAACCTAGATCCCTCACATGCGCAGTTCACAATAGGGTTCGAGCTCCTATGAGCATCTAAGGTCATGACTGATCTGACAGGAGGTGGAGCTCAGGCAATAATGCTCCCTCACCTGCCACTCACCTCCTGCTGTGTGGCCCAGTTCCTAACTAGTCCATGGCCCAGGGGTTGGGACCCCCGGCCTAACCAACCACCTGCTTCCTGTTGAACAATTCTTCTTCCTTATCCCTCCCTATTTCCTGTTTCCCCACACATAGTTACATTTCTTCCTTGCTATATAAACCCCTAATTTTAGTTAGCTGAGGAAATGGACTTGAGACTGAACTCCCGTTTCCCTGGCTGCAGCACCTGAAAAAGCTTTGTTTTCCCCCGGCGATACTCATTGTCTTGGTGACTGGCTTTCTGTGTGGCGAGCAATGGGATCTAGGCTAAACCCTTGGTGTTTCAGTAACATATGTACAGTTTAAAGAAAAATTATGTACAGTTTAAATAAAAGTGGGCACTCATAACCACCACTGACTGCGTCTTTTACATTTTTCTCTTTATATTTTTTCTCTCATGTTCTTGGAGTAGTGGTGACCCCCACCGTGGGAACCTCCAGTACTATCTTAATAGAGTACATCTGTCCACTATAACTGCAGTTTCAGTGTCAAACGCTCTGGGTCCTAGGATATTCTGGTCTCTTGGAGTCTTGGGTTTTGTGAGTAGCCCCAGAAGCTTTACTTATTTAGCCCCACTATTTTCTTGCTAGGTATGGATACCATTATTGCCTTTTCCTCCTATTAAATAATTATTACCTCAATATATTTATTTTGAGGTATGTATATGTTTACTCAGTAAGTTTATTACCTCAATATGTTTGTCCTGATGGCTTGTCAGTTCAAGTCTGTGAGCTCTCTTCTTTATTCCACCTGCAAGAAAAGACAGGGCCATTTTGTATATGGGGCATATTGCCCCAGTGCTGAAGGTATAAAGCCTACAAGCTTTCAAAGATTGTGTGTGTGTGTGTGTGTGTGTGTGTGTGTATGTATGTATCCCAAAATATAAAAATTACAAAACTGATAAATGTTTAAGTAACTTCAAATTAACATATCAATTTCATTACACGTTAAACTAGGATTTTATACACATTTTACATTTTGTAGCAATTTGAGATTAGGTTTCTTATTTCACAAGAATGTCTGATCATTTACAGATGCTGAGAAATCATAGGTAATTGTAAATTATAATAGTTACTTTTGGATTAAAATTTTTCAAGCACGAAATTTTTAAAAAACACTTTATCTTTTATAGCAAAAGAAAGGTAATATAAGGTCTGGATGTAACTTCATGTCTTTGGTACGGTGTGGAGCTAGAATTCCAGAAGCAATAGATTTTAAAACATCTTTAGGGAAATGGGTGAATTGAAATGAGACATAAGGGAGATGGCAAGAGAGTGAAAAGAAGCGCGTTCTAAAGGGGGAAAGGAGAAAGGGAAAGGAAAGGAGAAAGGCATCTCTAAAGGGAAAGGAGATGCCTGCTGAGCGTCTACTGTGTGCCCTGCGCTGTTCCAGAAGTTGAGGATCCAAAACTAAGTCTAGGCTCCCCAAAGAAGTCCCACTCTGGTAAGGAATCTGACAAGTAGTTAAATGATACAAAGTGTTAACTGTTGTTAAAGAAGTGTGCACACTGAGGGGCAAGATGGTAAGGGCGAGAACTCCCATGGGACGGGAACTAGGAAGGCTTCTGGGAGGTGACGCTTGATCTGAGGGTAAGCAAAGGAAAAAAAGGAAAGAGAGACAGAAAGGAAAAACAAGGAAGAGACAAGAAAAGGGAGAGGAAGAAGGGCTCGATGCGATCGGCGCTCGGGTAGTCAGGCGTCGACTGCTAGGGTCTGACCGCGGTCCCCACCCCCGTCCCGCCCCCTGCCCTTCCCTCCGCCCCGCGCCGCGGCTGGCAGGGTGTGCGTGAGTTTGGTGGCGGCCGGCTGTGCAGAGACGCCATGTACCGGCTCATGTCAGCAGTGACTGCCCGGGCTGCCGCCCCCGGGGGCTTGGCCTCAAGCTGCGGACGACGCGGGGTCCATCAGCGCGCCGGGCTGCCGCCTCTCGGCCACGGCTGGGTCGGGGGCCTCGGGCTGGGGCTGGGGCTGGCGCTCGGGGTGAAGCTGGCAGGTGGGCTGAGGGGCGCGGCCCCGGCGCAGTCCCCCGCGGCCCCCGACCCTGAGGCGTCGCCTCTGGCCGAGCCGCCACAGGAGCAGTCCCTCGCCCCGTGGTCTCCGCAGACCCCGGCGCCGCCCTGCTCCAGGTGCTTCGCCAGAGCCATCGAGAGCAGCCGCGACCTGCTGCACAGGATCAAGGTGCGGCCACTGGAGCGGGGGGCGTAGGGGGCCGGGGATCCACCCCTGTCGGCGGTGCTGTCGGGGGCTGAGTGGACCCCACCCGGGGCGGCGGGGTGCCCGCGATCGGCTTCCGAGAAAGACTTCCCATTTCCCCACCGCCGAGCCGTGGTCAGACGCTCTTGGGGGTTCCCCAAATCTGGGTGGAGGTCACCGCCTGTCTCGGGGACCGCCCCTTCCCCCTAGGGGGCGGACAGGCACATCCCTTGCTGTTAGTGAGTGACCATGGCCTGGGACGAGGTGGGCGGGGCCCAGGTGGAGGGGGCGGGGCCCAGGCTCAGGGGGCGGGGCCTTGGAAGGTCCCCGAGGAGAGCGCTGGGCTTTTTCAGCAGGCCCGTAACTGTCGGTTCTTTCCCCTTCGGTCTTAGGATGAGGTGGGCGCACCGGGCATAGTGGTTGGAGTTTCTGTAGATGGAAAAGAAGTCTGGTCAGAAGGTGGGTTCAGAAAATTGTTGTTTTGTTCTGTGCCAGTTGGTAAATAAAATATTGTTTTACTGGTTAGAGTGGATCCCATGAAATGCTATTGCATTTACATAAAACGATGCATATTGTAGAGAAAACATCTAACATAATAAAGAGTCAGGTGTTTTTAAATCACGGTAAGGTTTAAAATGTGACTAATAAATTGGAGTCATGAGGATGGCTACCCACTCCCACTTTTCTCTTAGGACTGGATTTATTAGTCTGAAAGTTTTATACAGTAGTCCCTCCTTATCCTGGGGATATATTCCAAGACCCTCAGTGGATGCCTGAAAAAGTGGATGATATTGAACCCTGTATATACTATATTTTATCTTATATATACATATCTATGATAAAGTTTATAAATCAGGCATAGTAAGAGATTAGCAACAATAATAAAATAGAACAATCACAACAATACTCTGAGTGGCATGCAATTTAAAGCTTACGAATTGTTTATTTCTGGAATTTTCCATTTAATACTTTCGGACCATGGATAACTGAAACTGAGGAAAGCGAAACCACAGATAAGGGGTAACTACTGTGTAGAACAATCCATTAACTGAGTACTTGCAGGTAACACTTATGGGTAGATAAAACTCAGAATTTGTGAAGTTTTCTTTTTTAATTAAGTTAACAATTTCTTGAGGCCTCTCTTCCGTAAAAAGCAAAGTGCTAAGTACTGGGGTTATACACTATTGTAGGGACCAGCCCCACAGGGTCGGTGGGTCTCTCCCTGTGTGCGGCGACGAGAGAGTGTAGAAATAAAGACACAAGACAAAGAGATAAAAGAAAAGACAGCTGGGCCCGGGGGACCGCTACCACCAATGCGCGGAGACCGGTAGTGGCCCCGAATGTCTGGCTGCGCTGTTATTTATTGGATACAAAGCAAAAGGGGCAGGGTAAAGAGTGTGGGTCATCTCCAATGATAGGTAAGGTCACGTGGGTCACGTGTCCACTGGACAGGGGGCCCTTCCCTGCCTGGCAGCCGAGGCAGAGAGGGAGAGGAGACAGAGGGAAAGACAGCTTATGCCATTATTTCTGCATATCAGAGACTTTTAGTACTTTCACTAATTGACTACTGCTATCTAGAAGGCAGAGCCAGGTGTACAGGATGGAACATGAAGGCGGACTAGGAGCGTGACCACTGAAGCACAGCATCACAGGGAGACGGTTAGGCCTCCGGATAACTGCGGGCAAGCCTGACTGATGTCAGGCCCTCCACAAGAGGTGGAGGAGCAGAGTCTTCTCTAAACTCCCCCGGAGAAAAGGAGACTCCCTTTCTGGTTCTACTAAGTAGCGGGTGTTTTTTCTTGACGCTCTTCGCTACCGCTAGACCACGGTCCGGCTGGCAACGGGCGTCTTCCTAGATGCTGGCGTTACCGCTAGACCAAGGAGTCCTTCTGGTGGCCCTGTCTGGGCGTAACAGAACGCTCGCAGTCTTGTCTTCTGGTCACTCCTCACTGTGTCCCCTCAGCTCCTATCTCTGTATGGCCTGGTTTTTCCTTGGCTATGATTATAGAGCAAGGATTATTATAATATTGGAATAAAGACTAATTGCTACAAACTAATAAGATTAATGATATATATAATCATATCTAAGATCTATATCTGGTATAACTATTCTTGTTTTATATTTTATTATACTGGAACAGCTCGTGTCCTCGGTCTCTTGCCTCAGCGCCTGGGTGGCTTGCCGCCCACACACTATTCCTTGTCTTTAATGACTTTTCAGTCTACTTTATTAGGCTTTTTAACCAGGTAGAGGTGTCATCTATTTTTTTCAAACAGAAGGCAAAAAACTTAGGGAGAGGGATTTCTATTCATTTTATGATACTTTTATCAAGGCATTATTTTTCATAACTTCTCTGTTGCACAGAAATTGATCTAATTGGTCATCCTAGGTTTCTAGGAGTCCCACTTTTAGAAAATGATGTTTCAGGCCAGGTGCAGTGGCTCACGCCTGTAATCCTAGCACTTTGAGAGGCAGAGGCAGGTGGGTTGCCTGAGCTTAGGAGTTCGAGACCAGCCTGGACAACGTGGCAAAACCCCATCTCTACTAAAAACACAAAAAATTAGCCAGCCATGCTAGTGCGTGCCTGTAATCTCAGCTACTCGGGAGGCCAGGATACGAGAATCGCTTGAACTCGGGAGGCGGAGGTTTGCAGTGAGCCAAGATCGTTCACTGCACTCCAGCCTGGGCAACAGCGAGACTCTGTCTCAAAAAAAAAGAAAAAAAAATGTTTCATATGCCATTTAAAGGCAGTAAGTTGATGGGCGCAGTAGGGGTTTGAATTTGAAGAAAAATGGGCCAGTTGAGGTGGCGCACGCCTGTAATCCCAGCGCTTAGGGAGTCCAGGGAGGAAGGATGGCTGAAGACCAGAAGTTTGAGACCAGCTTAGGCACCATAGCGACACCTGTGTCTCTATAAAAAAAATTTTATTTATTTATTTTTTTTTTGGAGTTTCACTCTTGTTGCCCAGGCTGGAGTGCAATAGTGCGATCTCAGCTCACCACAACCTCCACCTCCCAGGTTCAAGTGATTCTCCTGCCTCGTCCTCCCGATTAGCTGGGATTACAGGCATGCACCACCACGCCTGGCTAATTTTTGTATTTTAAGTAGAGACGGGGATTCTCCATGTTGGTCAGGCTGGTCTCGAACTCCCGACCTCAGGTGATGCGCCTGCCTCGGCATCCCAAAGTGCTGGGATTACAGGCGTGAGCCACCGTGCCCAGCTTAAAATTTTTTAAAAAAGGAAAATGATTCTTCCTTCAAGTATAAGTATAATCTAATCATTATACCTAATTTATGATAAGTCTTGTAATCAAAAATTATATAAATGTCAGCTTTATGGACTTTATGCAAATATTTTTTAGATATTTAAGATTATACAAATTTATAGTCATTGTATTCCTTTTCTTTTCAGATCTCTGTTCTCTTTTTATTTATTTATTTATTTATTTTTTGGACAGGGTCTCTTACTGTGTCTCCCAGGCTGGCGTGCAGTGGTGTGATCTTGGCTCACTGCAATCTCAAACTCCTGGGCTCAGATGATTCTCCCACCTCAGCCTCCTGACTAGCTGAGACTACAGGTGCACTCCACCACGCCAGGCTTTTTTCTTTCTTTCTTTCTTTTTTTTTTTTGTATATTTTGTAGAGATGCGGTTTCTGCCATGTTGCTCAGGCTAGTCTCGAAATCCTGAGCTCAAGTAATCCACCCGTCTCCGCCTCCCAAAGTGCTGGGATTGCAGGCACTTTCTCTTTCTTAGTTAGATTTACGCACTTTCAGCCTGTGAGAACATGGAAACCAAATTTAAAATTTTTTCTAGAAAAAGCTTTAAGTTAGTACATAATTTTCCTCCTGGTTTGCAGTCGAATTAAATTGATGGTTAGCTAGATTTGGTTTGCAGGACATCTTTTCACACATTTTTGAGACAGTTTCACTTTGTCGCCCTGGCTGGAGTGCAGTGGCGTTTTCTCAGCTCACCGCAACCTCTGCCTCCAAGGTTCAAGCGATTCTCCTGCCTCAGCCTCCCGAGTAGCTGGGATTACAGGCACACGCCACCATGACTGGCCAATTTTTGTATTTTTAGTAGAGACGGGGTTTTACCATGTTGGCCAGGCTAGTCTTGAACTCCCAATCTCAGGTGATCTGCTCACCTTGGCCACCCAAAGTGCTCAGATTATAGGCATGAGTCACCATGCCCGGCCCACACTTACTTTTATTGAGTGGCTATTTCAAGGAATTCAGTGGAAATTTACTCAAAAGTCAAAAATAAATATAATCTGAAGAAGAATAATGATGTTTTCTTTAAAGAATACTTTATTTAAAATGTGGAATAACTCAGTTGTTTAGATAAGCTAAGAAAAATTTGTATCTAAGTCATAGAAAATTGCTATTGCAAACAGGGTACAATTTCACTTTAGTTATAAGGTTAAATTGTTAGGCTTACCGATATACTAAGATTTTAATCCTTTACATGTCCAGTGTTAAGTAACTTATAAAAGTGGAGTATCTTTTCTTTTAGATAAACACAGCATGTTTAAAGATAGTATTATTTCAGGGTTTGAAAACTTGTTTGACCATGAAGCCTGTTAATAGTGACTT
The DNA here is from genome assembly GCF_000001405.40 of Homo sapiens. Classification (NCBI taxonomy): domain Eukaryota; kingdom Metazoa; phylum Chordata; class Mammalia; order Primates; family Hominidae; genus Homo; species Homo sapiens. The sequence goes on from NC_000015.10 coordinate 63,126,839, forward strand.
TTTGCTTTTTTCCCCCAAAGGTTTAGGTTATGCTGATGTTGAGAACCGTGTACCATGTAAACCAGAGACAGTTATGCGAATTGCTAGCATCAGCAAAAGTCTCACCATGGTTGCTCTTGCCAAATTGTGGGAAGCAGGGAAACTGGATCTTGATATTCCAGTACAACATTATGTTCCCGAATTCCCAGAAAAAGAATATGAAGGTGAAAAGGTACTGAAACTCACAGTTCATTTTACTAATGGCATGTTAAATGGTTTATGCTGGAATTTATATTTAAAATGTTTCATAGGATTCTTTGGCTTGTTTTTAGTTATTGTTAATGTATTAGTTTTTCTTAATCCAGATGATAATCAGGTAGGTATTTTTCTGAAATTTGAGGCTAAGGATTTGTACATGACATTTTCCCAGCAGCAGTTCTAAGTGGAAAATATTACTGAGACATTATTCCGAGGCAACTAACTTTCTATTTTTCAGGTTAATATTGTAATTGAATTTTCATGTTTTTACAATTAGGTTTCTGTCACAACAAGATTACTGATTTCCCATTTAAGTGGAATTCGTCATTATGAAAAGGACATAAAAAAGGTGAAAGAAGAGAAAGCTTATAAAGCCTTGAAGATGATGAAAGAGAATGTTGCATTTGAGCAAGAAAAAGAAGGCAAAAGTAATGAAAAGAATGATTTTACTAAATTTAAAACAGAGCAGGAGAATGAAGCCAAATGCCGGAATTCAAAACCTGGCAAGAAAAAGAATGATTTTGAACAAGGCGAATTATATTTGAGAGAAAAGTTTGAAAATTCAATTGAATCCCTAAGATTATTTAAAAATGATCCTTTGTTCTTCAAACCTGGTGAGTGTTAATCCCTTCTCTTAACAAAATCATCATTACTGAAATGTTAATTTTCAGGAAATCCAAAATGATACCATCCGGAGTGCATTCATTGAGGTTGATGATTGTGATACGGACTAGTCTGGTGCTTGCGTTTTTGTCTGTAGTTTCTAACAAAGCCTAGCATCCAGGCAGCTTGTTTAAATTTTGCCTCATTGGAGACTACCCAGTCATTTAGAGGATTCTCAGTATCAAGATGTTCATGCAAACTTATGGAGAAATGTTGGAATAATAGTTCTCTAAATACAACCTGGACCAAAGTAGACATGATAAGGTATTGCTGATATTTTAGTATTTAGTTAGAATTTAAATTGCTCAACTTATTTTGTGCCTTTATTTCTTAAAGAAATGAGTGTTCATCACTAATTTTTTGCCAAAAATCTGCTCTATACAAATAATTATCTTTGTTTTATTTTTTGATTTGGTGCCTATTGAAGCTACTTAATATCTAAATTTACCATAGTTTGATATACTTATATTCATTTTTCATTTTAAAAGCTTTTAGTTGAATAGATATTTTATAGATATGACTAATAAGAGCAAATAAGATATAATTATGGATTTTATCTTAAAAATAAAGTTCCATGCTGGGCACAGTTGGCTCACGCCTATAATCCCAGCACTTACAGAGGGAAAAGTGGGAGGATCGCTTGAGCCCAGGAGTTTAAGACTAGTCTGGGCAACAAAGCAAGGCCCTGTTTCTCCAAAAAAAATTTTAAATTAGCCAGGTTCAGTGGCCTGTGTGTGTAAGTAGTCCTAGCTACTCAGGAGGCTGAGGCGGGAGGATCCCTGAGCCCAGGAGTTCAAAGTTGTAGTGGGTTGTGATCATACCACTTTACTCTAGCTTGGGCAACAGCAAGAGCAAGACCCTGTCTCAAACCAGTTTGAGTTTGTCCAGAACCCAAAATGATATAAAGTTATTTATTTGAAATACTATGTATATTTGAATATATATTTAAATTCAAATATGTATTTGAAACAAAGTTTGTGTGCCTACATTTATTTTATTTTATTTTATTTATTTATTTATTTTGAGATGGAGTCTGGCCCTGTCACCCAGGCTGGAGTACAGTGGCGGGATCTCAGCTCACTGCAAACTCTGCCTCCTGGGTTTAAGCGATTTTCCTTCTTCAGCCCCCTGAGTAGCTGGGATTATGGGTGCCCGCCACCACACCTGGCTAATTTTTGTATTTTAGTAGAGACAGGGTTTCACCATGTTGGCCAGGCTGGTCTCGAACTCCTGACCTCAGGTGATCCTCCCCCCTTGGCCTCCCAAAGTGCTAGGACACAGGAGTGAGCCACCGCTCCTGACCCATATATTTTATTAAAATAAGAACGTGTTTGCCCATTTATGCCCTAAACAATGAGTAGAGGTATATTAAGAACAAAGTTGACTCAAGAAATCAAATTTGCTTTTCTTTTCTTTCTGTTCCTGTTTTGTTGTCACTTTGAAATATTTTTGTTTTGTTTTGAGGTAGGATTTATTTGCTTACTTTATTATCAGAGAAAGGAGCAGATTTATGTGAAATGTTAAGTATGCTGATCATAATTTTATTCTTGTGTTAAGGACTTGGAATAAGGACAGTTGCAAAGTTAACTCAATTTGTTGATGTATTGCCTGTGTTCTTTTTCTGAATGCTGAAGTAAAATATTCCAGTTTTAAAAGTATGCCAATTTTCAGTGGGAATATATTTTATATGTTTTTGAATAATAATCAAGTATTTTATTTTTTTCCTCCTCGCAATGATGTCTCAAGGTAGTCAGTTTTTGTATTCAACTTTTGGCTATACCCTACTGGCAGCCATAGTAGAGAGAGCTTCAGGATGTAAATATTTGGACTATATGCAGAAAATATTCCATGACTTGGATATGCTGACGACTGTGCAGGAAGAAAACGAGCCAGTGATTTACAATAGAGCAAGGTAAATGAATACCTTCTGCTGTGTCTAGCTATATCGCATCTTAACACTATTTTATTAATTAAAAGTCAAATTTTCTTTGTTTCCATTCCAAAATCAACCTGCCACATTTTGGGAGCTTTTCTACATGTCTGTTTTCTCATCTGTAAAGTGAAGGAAGTAAAACATGTTTATAAAGTACACTAAGACCCTTTGATGAAAGATAGCAATAATATTAATAATTCAAACATGAATAACTAAACCAAAATTGCACCCACCATGAGCATCTGTAATTTGCTCTTTAACCATTCCTTTTTTAGGTTTTAACTAATACTTTGTTTACGTGTTATTAGTTTTTAATTGTTTTCATACTGTTTTGAAATAATTTTATACTTATAGAAAAGTTGCAAGAGTAGTACAAAGGATTCACATATCCTCTTTACTCAGATTCCCTTAATGTTAGTTTACCGCATTTGCATTACCTTTCTGTCTACATATGTGTTTGTTTCTGAACCATTTGGAAATAAGTTGTAGACGTGATACCCCTTTACCTATAAATATTTACATGTGTATTTTCTAAAAACAAGGACATTCAGGGCCGGGTGCAGTGGCTCACGCCTGTAATCCCAACACTTTGGAAGGCCGAGGTGGGTGGATCACCTGAGGTCAGGAGTTCAAGACCAGCCTGGCCAATGTGGTGAAATCAACCCTCTCTCTACTAAAAATGCAAAAATTAGCCAGGTGTGGTGGCGGGTGCCTATAATCCCAGCCACGCGGGAGGCTGAGGCAGGAGAATCGCTTGAACCCAGGAGGTGGAGTTGCAGTAAGCCAAGATCGTGCCCCTGCACTTCAGGCTGGGCGAAAGAGTGAGACTCCATGTCAAAAAAGGAAAAAAAAAAAAAAAAAAAGGACATTTGGGAAATTAACATAGATACAATGCTTTTATTAAATCTACAGACCTTACTCAAATTTTGCCAGTTGTTCCAATAATGTCCTTTATAGCAAAAGAGCAGAAAAACTTTTTTTTCTGGTCTAGGATCTAATCCATGATCTCACATTGCATTTACTTGTCATATCTATCAGAAGTCACTTGACATCAGTTTGTCCCATTATTGCTGATGGTATTTTAATCACTTTTTGAGGTGGTGCCTGTCAGGTTATTGTAAAGTTACTATTTTTACTTTATAATTAACAAGTATATTTGGAGGAGATAATTTGAGATGATGTAAAAATCCTCTTTCTCATCAAACTTTCTACTAGTTTTAGCATCTATCAGTGATTCATGACTGAATCAGTTATTACAGTGATGGTTGTCAAATGGTGATTTTCTAATTCCATCATCCATTCTGTATTTATCAGTTGGCATTCTATTATAAGAAGGTGCGGGCCGGGGCGGTGGCTCACGCCTGTAATCCCATCACTTTGGGAGGCTGAGGTGGGCGGATCACATGAGACCAAGTTTGAGACCAGCCTGGCCAACATGGCGAAACCCCATCTCTACTGAAAATACAAAAAATCAGCCGGGCATGGTGGCATACACTTGTAATCTCGGCTGCTCGGGAGTCTGAGGCAGGAGAATCTCTTGAACCCAGGAGGCAGAGGTTGCAGTGAGCCAAGATCATGCCACTGCACTCCAGCCTGGGCGACAAAGTGAGACTCCATCTCAGAAAAAAAAGTGCTTTCCCTTCTCTCTTATTTATTTATTCATACCAGTATGCACTCATGGATTCTTATTTTAGTCAATGAGTTATAATCTGTCACTGTCATTATTTAATATGTTGCTTTTAAAATAGTATATGAAATAATAAAACTGTAACAGTAAATGGTTATTAGATTGCTTACCTATATGTGTATTTTTTGTTTTGTTTTGCCTTACATTTGTAAATATTTATTAAGCAAATACTACATGCCACATACTATACCACATAATAGAGCTAACCTGACATAGCTCCTGCCCTCCAGGAGCTTACAGACCAACATCTAGCAAATAATTCAATTAAGTACATACATTTTCTTTCAAAAAGAATACATGTTATGACTAGGCACAGTGGTTCACACCTGTAATCCCAGCACTTTGGGAGGCCAAGGCAGGAGGATTGCTTGAGCCCAAGAGTTTGAGACTAGCTAGGGCAACATAGTGAGACCCCGTCTCCACAAAAAATACAAAAATTAGCCAGGCATGGTGGTGCGTGCCTGTAGTCCTAGTTACTCGGGAGGCTGAGGTGGGAGGATTGTTTGATCCCAGAAGGTGGAGGTTGTAGTGAGCTGAGGTCGCCCCACTACACTCTAGTCTGAGTAACAGAGCAAGACTCTGTCACCGCCCCCAACAAAAAAAAAAAAGAATATGATGATTATGTAACATAGTTATCAGTGGGGCCACACTGCCCTTTAGATATGTAGCTAACATGGTAATCCCCTAATTTCTTTTTGTAATTATTATTTTAGATTCAGGGTGTACATGTGCAGGTTTGTTACATGGATATTATATAATGCTGAGGTTTGGACTTAAATTGAACCTGTCACCCAAATAATGAGCTTAGTACCTAATAGGTAGTTTTTTAACCCTTGCCCTCCTCCCTGCGTCCCCCTTTTTTGAGTCCTTGGTGTCTCTTGTTTCCATCTTTATGTTCACGTGTACCCAGTGTTTAGCCCCTACTTACAAGTGAGAATATGTGGTATTTGATTTCCTGTTTCTACATTAATTCACTTAGGATAATGGCCTCTAGCTACATTTATGTTGCTGCAAAGGACATGATTTTGTTCTTTTTTATGTATATGTGTAGATATTTAATTGAATGATTTTCTGCTTTATTTTGTGTGTGTTGATAGTAAACATTAAAATGCTCTTCTTATTTGGATTATGCAGACCTCTGCTACATGCCATTAATAAGAGTAATTAAGATTTTGGGGGCGGGGCAAGGTGGCTCACACCTGTAATCCCAGCACTTTGGGAGGCTGAAGCAGGTGGATTGTCTGAGCTCAGGAGATCAAGACCAGCCTGGGTAATATGGTAACACCCCATCTCTACCAAAAGTACAAAAAAAATTAGCCAGGCATGGTAGTGTGTACCTGTAGTCCTGACTACTTGGGAGGCTGAGTTGGGAGGATCACTTGAGCCTGGGAACTTGAGGCTCCACTGAGCTGTGATTGCACCACTGCACTCCAGCCTGGGCAAGAGAGCGAGACCCCATTTAAAAAAAATTTTTTTTTGATATATTATAAAAATACAAAGCAATATCTAAAATAATTGAACACTTAAAAACTATCTGGGTATAAACACTGTTTTACAGTGAGGCATCCTTAGGTACTTTTTAATAAGTTTTAAGATTTAAAACATTTAAACGACATTTTCTCTCCATTTTCTTTTACAGCTTTTAAATATAAACTATCAAGTTGAAGTTACTTACGTAAATTTGAATTGGGTGTTCAAACAAAATTCTAGGCAAATTGCTTAAGCAGACTTTAATATTTTATGGAGAGGCTTTAGAACAGATTTTGACAAGTTAACTAGAATTTTTACCCTTAGGAGTGAAAAATGCTATGATTTTATATAATTTCATATTTGATTCATTTACCACTATAATAGGAAAGGGTTTAGTCAGCTTTTTAGCCTTTACAAATTTTATATTTTAATTTATGCTTTCTCTTATGGAGACATTTTCTATGACTTAGAGTTTTAACTACTAATTTACATAATCTAAAATAACTCTGGCCAGGTGCTGTGTGGCTCATGCCTGTAATCCCAGCACTTTGAGAGGCCAAGGCAGGAGGATCATTTGAGGCCAGGAGTTTGAGACCAGCCTTGGCAACAGAGTGAGACCCCATCCCTACAAAAATTCTTTAAAAAATTAGGCGGGCATAGTAGCGCACACCTGCGGTCCTAGTTAATCAGGAGGAGAGGATCACTTGAGCCCTGGAGTTTCAGGCTGCAGTGAGCTATGATTATACCCTGCTCTCCAGCCTGGGTGACAAAGCAAGATCCTGTCTCTAAACGTTAATTAATTACTTAGTTAATTAAATAAAACAAGCACAAGACTATATGAAAGTGCTAAAAAATTTCCATGTTCAGCTGAGATGAGACAGGATTAAAGTAATGTGAACTAAATACAGATTTCTTGTCTGAACTGGTATACTTCAAAAAACACACATGGAAGTATTGAATTTTAAAATTATAAACATTTGAGCTTATTTTGTAGAGAAAAATTTGAGACACAGTATTAGCAAATGCGATAAAGATTTGTTTGACTTTTTAAAGTAATTTGGGGTTTTATTATTAGAGGAAAAAGTATTTGGAAAGCAAATACTTGGTAACTTTTCAAAAATACTTTAATTCAGAAAGAACAAAATACTTATGAAAGGGCAGTTGTGTCAAATGTTAGGAGGGTGAGTCAGAAGTTTATAAAATGGCCAGTTGAGTTATATCTTGATTATTTGTGGTCAGAATTAATTCAGTTTTTTAAGTATTTGTATTCTTTACTGATTTTTATCTGTTTACTCCTCTCTCTTCATACCATAGTGGTTTTCAAACTGTAGGTTTGTATGTCCAATTATTGAGTTGGAAAATCAGTTTAGTGGGTTGAGTACCAGGATTTCTTTTTTTTTAATGGAAAAAAATAGAATAGAATATGATAAAGTACATTGCAGGTAGTAAAGGTAAATATAAGCTTTGGGATAAAGGTTAGGCTGCTGCATTAAAGGGGCACCAAAATGCAGTGGCGTGAGGAAAATAAAAGTTTAATTCCCCCTTGCAGCATTCCTGAGGTGAGCTGTTCTGATTGGTTCCCCACAAGCCTTTAAGAGGCCAGATTCATCCATCTTACTGCTCCTCTCTCCACAGTGGTGTCCCTGTCTGTACACCTGAAGCTCAATCACAGCCCTGCAGGTGCCCCAGCCTCCTGAAAAGAGAAAGGGTATGGAGCATGTACTCAGGGCCTTAAGGTCTCCAGACTTGCAAGTGTCACACTTCATTTCTGTCCACCTTCTGTTGGCAAAAACTTAGCTGTATGGTCACACTTTGCGACAAGGGAGGCTGAGAAATGTAATTTGTAGCTGAGCAGGCATGTGCCTTGCTTTACTTTATTACTAATGAAGAAGAGTCAATTTTGTGAACAACCAGCCATCTATGCCACTGGCCACTGTGTTGCTCCATAAAACTTCTGTTTTAGAAGGGTGTGATGTGTGTGTGATGTGTGTGTGTGTGTGTGTGTGTGTGTTTTCATTCAGTCAAAAGGAGAAATATATTCCTCACTGTGGGTTGAGGTTAAAAAAAAAGTTTGAAAGCCATTCAGTGGACTATGTCAAACTAAAATTTTATTATAATTTTTGCTAGTAATTTGTGAAAGGGGCTTTGGAAGAGAATTTTGAATGTTAATTACTGATAGGAATTTTACAGTTATATTTTATTTTCCATTTTATTATTTGATTTGTTAGAAAGGTAGCACATTTAACAAATCAACTATTACTTTTACCTTGCATATTTCCATTAGTACATGCTTTACAAATGGTTTAATTGTACTTTATAAAGAAATAGATGAAATGGTGGCTTTTTTTGGAAAATTTTTTAGCTTTGTGTTCTTATCTACATACTAGTTTTGTTCAATCTTCTGTTGTATTTAAATTATAATTGTTCAATTATCAGCTTATTTAAAAGGATTAAATATGCATTGCAAATCAGTTTGTGGCCTAAAAGAGATTTCTTGGGGACCCAAAATAAATTAGATTAGCAACAAGCAATGAATTTTAATTTTTTAAATGGCCTGTGGTTCTCAACTACTTCAGACTCTTTGTGTTTATTATTTTTGGATCTAGCATTATATTTTACTGGAAAGCACAAGAAAAATGATAAATACCATTGGGAGGCCAAGAGGGGTGGATTGCTTGAGCCTCGGTGTTCAAGACCAGCCTGGGCAACATGGTGAAACCCTGTCAGACAATACAAAAAAAATCAGCCGGGCATGGTGGCATGCGCCTGTAGTCCCAGCTACTTGGAGGCTGAGCGGGGAGGATCACCTGAGCCCAGGAAGTTGATGCCGCAGTGAGCTGTGATCATGCCACTGCACTCTAACCTGATGATGGAATGAGACCCTGTCTCAAAAACAAAAGACAAATACCAGAAGTTGTCAGTTGAATCTAAAAAAAGATTCTCTAGTAAAGATGGCATGGATGTATGACCTTACTATGATTTAGATCTAGACATCTGAAAGTTTGAAAATGGACGTCTAGCTCTGTGTATAAGGGGGAGAAGGACGTTATGTCCACTCATTGAGCCTCTTTTCTAAGCTAGAAATTAAGTCTCTGTGAATGTGCAGACTGCAGAGCAGCTATTATTTCCTGTTTTCTTGATGAGTAATTAACTTGTGACTTGCGCAAAAATCAAAATATGCCATATGATGGTGAGTCAATTTCATTTTCTTTTCTTTTTTTTTTTTTTTTTGAGACAAGATCTCACTCTGTTGCCTAGGCAGGAATGCAGTGGCACAATCATACCTCACTGCAGCCTTGAACTCCCTGGCTCAAGTGATCCTCCTGTATCAGCCTTCCAAGTAGCTGGAACTACAGATGTGTGCCACCACACCTGGCTGATTTTTAAATTTTTTTGTAGAGATGAGATCTTGCTGTGTTTCCCAGGCTGATCTCCTGACCTCAAATGATCCTCCCTCCTCAGCCTCCCAAAGTGTTGGGATTACAGGCGTGAGCCTAGCTCATTTTATTTTCTATTCTTTGAAAAAAGGCGATGGGTTTCTATCTCTAGTGTTAAGGGTCCCTATCAGCTCTGAGATGCTTTTGGTTTGGTTTTTTTGTTTTGTCTTGTTTTAATTTTTGGTAGTTCTCGATGGTTCTAAAGGGTAGTTGATTCATTTTAGTTAGATAAAATGGGCTGCTGAAATAAAATAGGGCACTAAAAGAGGAAATATTGTTACCTAGGAAAATGTTTTGTCTGTTTGCTTTATTTATTTTATTTGATACAGTATCTATTTGGGCCTCTAAAACTCAACTCTGATTCTTTTTTGTAATAATTATTTTAAAGGAGTTTAAAGGCACCAGCTTTTTGGGGGAGTTCAGGGAGTAAAAGGAATCTCTTCAAAGATACAGGCAAAAATAAAACCTTGAAGTAAAACTTAATAAATATATATGTTTGGATTCATTTGTTTTATGGTACCATTTTGAGGGGAAAAAAATGTTTCCAGCTTCGTTATGTAGTCTACTGACTTGTTGGGTATAACCATAAACCTGTTTATAATATCCTGACTAAGGCTTTTTAGAGTTACTATGTTTCCAGGAGTAAATATTTCTCTTCTTTATCACTTCTCTGTGTGTTTATGCATGTGTTTAAAATAGTACCATACGGTGTCTGTCACCTGTTTAAAAGTATCTCACCAGAATCCCACCTCACAATAGCACTTAAATTCTTTTGCTCAGATTTGAGTCACAACATCACACTTAGCTGTAAGGGAGGCAAGAGAATTGTTTTTAACTGGATATGTTGTTGTCTTGAATAAAATTGGGATTTTCTTAAATGGAACAGTGGGGACACTGTTTCTGTTTAGGCACATAACTATACTGATTCTGTGTAGCAAATATACTCTGTATAGGCAAGTACACTAAATAACCCAGTAAGTGAACATCACAAAGGAGCTCAGTGAATGTTCTTGCCACTGAAAGACACTCAATTTGTTGATAGGGGAATCCTCAGTCAATGCCTCGGCTTATTATTAGAACTTGGCCATATTTTTTATGTGTTTGGCACAATGTTTGCAACAAAAATTTCTAATTTTATAACTAGATGGGATGAAAACCAAATAAAATGAATATTTTCTGGAGTGTTTGCTGCATTTTTTAATGTTTAAAATTTTTAATTTCAATTTTTATGGGTACATAGCAGCTGTATATATTTATGGGGTACGTGAGATGTTTTGATACAGGCATGCACTGCAAAACAATCACTCGTGTAAAATGAGTTATCCATCCCCTCAAGTATTTATCCTTTGTGTTACAAATGATCCAATCCTACTCTTTTAGTTATTTTAAAATGTACAATTTTTATTGACCATAATCACCATGTTGTATTCTCAAATACTGGATCTTATTGATTATTTATGTTTCTTTTGTACCCGTTAACCATCCCCCACCTTCTCTCAACTTTGGCTGTATTTTGACAGTATAAATATGGCCTTTACCTTCTATTTCTAAAGTGTCTTCTAGAATTAAGAATTGTTCCATATCAAGCTCTTTTTCATGCCTTTAGCTGACAGACTCTCTACTGGTAGTTCAATTCAAATGTTAATACTAAATGTTAAAGTGGGATTGTTTTTATAACATGCATTTGAAATTATGTTGGTTTTCAAACTTCTTATAACAATAAATACCAAGTGATGAATATTGTCTCTAAAGACATTTAAGAAGCATTTTAAAAATAAGGCTGGGCGCAGTGGCTCATGCCTGTAATCACAGCACTTTGGGAGGTGGAGGCAGGTGGATCACTTGAGCCCAGGAGTTCGAGACCACCCTAAGCAACATGGCAAAACCCTCTCTCTACAAAAAATACAAAAATTAGCCAGGCAAGGTTGTGTGTGCCTGTAGTGCCAGCTACTCAGGAGGCTGAGGTGGGGGATTACCTGAGCCTGGGATCACACCACTGCACTCCAGCCTGGGTGACAGAGTGAGACCCTGTCCCCCCACCCTTGAAAAAAAGTATTTTTAGTTTCTAAGTTTGTAGATGTAGATTTCTGTGGTGATATAACATTCTTGTGCAGAATCTGGAGATTCTTATAAATAAGTATGAAGAAGCTGTTTGTCATCTGGCGTCATCCCATCAGTTAGTTACAAAAATGTCTCAGTAACCTAGTCAAGAACTTGTGTCTATATTCTTTTAAGCAGAAATGTTCTAGGAATTTGAAATGGTAAAGTTTATCTTTCAGCTGAATAAAATTATTTTCATAAAAATGTACTAATTTGTCCTATGTGAAAAGGAACTAAGAGATTAAAATCTAGAATTTGCTTATTAAAGCTAGAATTATAAAGTCTAGAAGTCTCCATATTTTTATATTTAAAGGAGGAATGACTGAGGAGTTCTAGTTTCCAGTCTTAATGTAAGTGGTTTGAAATGCTTTACTGTTAAAAGGAAGTTACAGAGCTGGGCGCAGTGGCTTACACCTGTAATCCTAGCACTTTGGGAAACCAAGGCTGGCAGATTACATGAGGTCAGGAGTTTCTGACCAGCCTGGCCAACATAGGGAAACCCCGTTTCTACTAAAAATACTATATATATATATTAGCTGTGCGTGGTGGTGGGCGCCTGTAATCCCAGCTACTCAGGAGGCTGAGGGAGAATCACTTGAATCCGGGAGGCAGAGATCACAGTGTGCCGAGATCGTGCCACTGCACTCCAGCCTAGGTGAAAGAGCAAGACTCTGTTTCAAAAAAAAAAAAAAAAAAAAATCGGCCAGGAACAGTGGCTCACGCCTATAATCCCAGCACTTTGGGAGGCCGAGGCAGGCAGATCACCTGAGTTCGGGAGTTCAAAACCAGCCTGGCCAACATGATGAAGCCCCGTCTCTACTAAAAATCCAAAAAAAAAAAAAAAAAAAAAATTAGCTGGGCATAGTGGTGCATGCCTGTAATCCCAGCTACTGGGGAGGCTGAGGCAGGAGAATCAGTTGAACCCAGGAACAGTGAGCTGAGATTGTGCTGCTGCACTCCAGCCTGGGCACCAGAGCAAGACTCAGTGTCAAAAATCAATAAATAGGCCGGGCATGGTGGCTCATGCCTATAATCCCAACACTTTGAGAGGCCAAGGTGGGCGGATCACCTGAGGTCAGGAGTTTGAGACCAGCCTGGCCAACATGGCAAAACCCCACCTCTACTAAAAATATAAAAGTTAGCCAGATGTGGTGGCGCACAACTGTAATCCCAGCTACTCGGGAGGCTGAGGCAGGAGAATCACTTGAACCCGGGAAGTGGAGGTTGCAGTGAGCCAAGATCGCGCCATTGCACTCCAGCCTAGGCGATAAGAGTGAAAGTCTGTCTCAAAAATAAATAAGTAAATATACAGAAAAAAATTAGCTGGGCATGGTGGCAGCACGTGTAATCCCAGCTACTGGGGAGGCTGAGGCAGGAGAACCAAACTGCAGCCTGGTCAACAGAGCAAGACTCTGTCTCAAAAAAAAGAAGTTACAGAAAGCTGATTATTGGCTGGGCACAGTGGCTCATGCCTGTAATCCCAGCACTTTGGGAGGCAGAGGCGAGTGGATTGCTTGAGGCCAGGAGTTCGAGACCAGGCTGGACAACAGTGAGACCTTCATCTCTACCAAAAAAAAAAAAAAAAAAAAATCTTAGCCAGGTATGGTGGTACACACCTGTGGTCCCAGCTGCTCAAGAGGCTGAGGCAGGAAGATTGCTTGAGCCCTGGAGGTTGAGGCTACAGTTAGCCATGATTGTACCGCTGCAGTCCAGCCTAGGCAATAGTGCAAGACTCTGTCTCAAAAGAAAAGTAGAAATTTATTTCTCAATGAAAAAATGTGTTTCTATTATGTAACTTTTAGATTTAATTTTATTTGGTTGGCTGGAATTACAAATATAATCAGGAGTTGACACAAAGTAATGAGGGCCTAAAATTTGAGAGTTGTCATAGGAATAGAAGGAAGGGAGAAGGGTAAGACACAAAGCAGAGATTGAATAAATAGGATTTAGCATCTTACTGGATGTGAGAGTTTAGGGCAAGAAAGTCATTAAAAGTTGTATAATGAAGGTTTTAATGGAGAGAAACATGACAGACATGTTGATTTTGAGACAATGAGAAAACCACCTCTTTTTTAAAATCTTCAGACACATACCTGTGGCCACTCATTTCCTAACTGCCAACCCTACTTCACTCAATATTATGACTTGTACTTTTAGGGGACGTATAAGAATCTTGAAAAAAGAAGAAAGGATTCAAACTAGGGTTTGCTAACTCCAGCCTTTCCCACTGCACCAAGAAACTACCATGTCACATCATTATATATGATATGTATATGGTATTTTGTTTAGAATTTTTTTTTAGATAGGGTCTTGCTTTGCTGCCCAGGCTGGACTCAAACTCCTGGGCTCAAGTGATCCTCCTGCCTTAGCCTCCTGAGTTGCTGGGATTACAGGCACCAGCTGCTGCACCCAGCTTATATGGTATTTTTATCCAAGAAATCTAGTCATCTTACAAATAACCTTATTCCTAAACATCCCAAAGTGCTTTGGATGTTTACAGTTTTGGTTATAAAATTCATTTGTGGCACGATGCAACATTAACCCCAAGGACAAGGAATATCTACCAAATGATAACTTTCTCCATATGCACAGGGCAAATATGTCATGTGTAATATTAACCAATACATTTTTGCAGGTATTAAAGGTTTGATACACTCAGCATGGACAAGCCATACCAATAGAAAAAAACCACTTTCTATGCTTTAATTCAAAAGGTAATTAGACTATCTTACTTAGTTATCTGTGTGTCATTAGGACCTGAATCATACTGAAAATTAGTGGTTAGTTTATAGTTTCTGAGAATGTATGATCATTACATTGAAATACAATCTCTCTCATGTATACATTTTTCTATCATCATGTGTGAAGCCAGTGACTATGAAATTTTTCATGATCATTTCTTATTTCCTTTTAGATTTTATGTTTACAATAAAAAGAAACGTCTTGTCAACACACCTTACGTGGATAACTCCTATAAATGGGCTGGTGGTGGATTTCTGTCTACAGTGGGTGACCTTCTGAAATTTGGGAATGCAATGCTTTATGGTTACCAAGTTGGGCTGTTTAAGAACTCAAATGAAAATCTTTTACCTGGATACCTCAAACCAGAAACAATGGTTATGATGTGGACCCCAGTCCCTAACACAGAGATGTCTTGGGATAAAGAGGGTAAATATGCAATGGCGTGGGGTGTTGTGGAAAGGAAACAAACGTATGGTTCGTGTAGAAAGCAACGGCATTATGCTTCACATACTGGAGGGGCAGTGGGTGCCAGTAGTGTCCTGCTGGTCCTTCCTGAAGAACTGGATACAGAGACTATAAATAACAAGGTTCCCCCAAGAGGAATCATTGTTTCTATCATATGTAACATGCAATCTGTTGGCCTCAATAGCACCGCTTTGAAGATTGCCCTTGAATTTGATAAAGACAGATCAGACTGATAACCTTAACACCATAGGTGCAAAATGAGTTGTTCTGAGGTTTTTTTGAAACATTAAAGTTCCAAAACATGACATTTTTAAGAATAAATTTGAAATAGAGTATAACTGAATGCAGAGAATTATGTACCTCTAATTGCTTAATTTTGTAATGGTCTTTTATTGTAGAATTGGTTCTTTATACTCAGGGAAGTAATTATATTGTTTTTACTTTTTGAAAAAAGTGTTAACTCTTGAAATAAAATATTCTGATAAAATATGTACTTTCTGCATGTGTAATACAGAGAAAATCTCATTCAACAGGAGCCTCCAAATATCCGAGGTTTTTTTTCTTTTCTTTTTTTTTTTTTTTTTTTTTTGAAATGGACTCTTGCTGTGTTACCCAGCCTGGAGTGCAGTGGTGTGATCTTGGCTCACCACAACCTCTGCTTCCTGAGTTCAAGCGATTCTCCTGCCTCAGCCTCCCAAGTAGCTGGGATTACAGGCACCCACCACCATGCCCAGCCACTTTTTGAATTTTTAATAGAGACAGCATTTCGCCATGTTGGCCAGGCTGGTCTCGAACTCTTGATCTCAGGTGATCCATCCGCCTCAGCCTGCCAAAGTGCTGGGGATTACAGGCGTGAGACACTGTGCCCAGCCCAAATATCCTTTTAATATGAGAGCAGAAACAAAAGCATGAGAAATGGTATATTAGTTATCCACTACAGCTTAAAAGAAACGTTCAGAGAAGGAATCGGGAAATCAGGAGCAATATAGTCACGTGGGTCTGGCGCGGTCTCTAATGAGGTTGCAGACAAGGTGTTATGATCATCTGAAGAATTCTCCAGGGCTGGAGGAAATGCTTCCACATGGCTTACTTGCATGACTGCTGGCAAGAGTCAGTTCTCTGGCTGGTGGGTGGCAAGGGGACTCAGTTTGTCACCACATGGACCTCTCTGTAGGGCTGCTTGAGTATCTTATGGTAGTTGGCTTCCCGCAGAGTAAGTGATGAGACAGAGAGTGCCAGGCAGAAGTCACTCTTTTATAAACTAGCCTCAAGTCACATACCATCACATTTGCCAAATTCCATGGGTTACATGGGGCCTAATAAATGTTGAAGAGATTATATACATTGTGAATATTAGGAGGCAGGAATCACTGGGTGTCAACTTGGAAGTTGGGTACCACAGTCTGACCTCTGGTCCCCAATGATTTATGTCCTTCCCAATGCAAAATACTCTTACCTCCTTTCAAATCCTCCAGAAGTTT
This sequence comes from Homo sapiens, assembly GCF_000001405.40. Lineage (NCBI taxonomy): Eukaryota > Metazoa > Chordata > Mammalia > Primates > Hominidae > Homo > Homo sapiens. Next base: position 63,143,054 of record NC_000015.10, read on the forward strand.
CACCTTAATATAGCATCAGCTCAAAGCCCAGTATCTTATCATCTAAATCAGGTCAGGTGCAAGTGTGAATGAGGGCTCCTTGGGATGAGTTCCTTAGGTACAGCAACTCAAGTAGTTTCTCTTAAGACCTGTGAACTGTAGTTATTTGCTCCCCATATGTGTAACATACCGTAGCACAGCAGATATAGGATAATTGCTAGATACCGTCCTCTTCAAAAAGTAGGGAAGTGGAAGACATACAGGAGACTGGCAATTCTGAAATTCAGTCAGACAGAGGTTGGCAACTCTGATTAGTATTCAAGGCTTCAGAATAATTCTTAGTTCTTGGCTATGTTCTCTGGGCTCTTAGTTCTACCTTACGAGTTATACTTTTTCTTTTTTTTAAGAGACAGCTGTTCACCATATTTCCCAGGCTGGTCTTCAACTACTGGGCTCAAGTGATCCACCCACCTCAGCCTCCCAAAGTGCTGGGATTATAGGCATGAGCCACCGCACCCAGCCCCTGAGTTATACTTTTTTTAATTGTTCTTTTTTACTTTTTTTTTTTTTTTTTTGAGACAGGGTTTCCCTCTGTCACCCAGGCTGGAGTACAGTGGCACAATCTCGGCTCACTGCAGCCTTAGCCTCCTGGGTTCAAGCAATTCTCCCACCTCAGCCTCTCGAGTAGCTGGGATTACAGGTGCGTGCCACCACTCCCGACTAATTTTTGTATTTTTAGTAGAGACAGCGTTTCACCATGTTGGCCAGGCTGGTCTCGAACTCCTGACCTCAGGTGATCCGCCCCCCTCGGCCTCCCAAAGTGCTGGGATTACAGGCGTGAGCCACTAAGCCTGGCCGCTTCCCCATACCTTTTTTTCATGAAAGGTAGCGTATCTTTCTAGCTGAGTGGTTTTCTCAGTGTGCTTTCCACTTGTAGAAGTTTGGAGACCCAAAGGCCTTTTTATACTCTCTTTCCTTTCCATCTAAGTTAACAGTGGTTCTGCCAATATAATATTTTATTTCTCTAATTTTTGAATTTTTTTTAGCAACCCTATTAACTGACAATATAATATTTTAAAATGTTAAGAGTATCCTGTGAATTTTATTGGGGTTTATGCCAGTAGACAAAAGCCACCCCAAAGTCCCTTCAGAATATCCCCTCTCTAACTTGGGGCTTGTCTCTGCCAAGATAATGGGAAGAACTAATTACGCTAATAATCTAATGAACTCTATTGTTTAAATAGTTCTCTGAAGCACCATGTTGATTCATTTTGAAGTCTTGAGAAAGGATTGTATAGTCATGCCCTCAATATCATCTTTAGACTATGTTTTCCTGGAAGTGCCCTCAATTATTATCTTTGCCTTGAAGCCATTTCTTAATTTTGGCATCATTTGCAATCTGAAGAGTCTGGGAATTTTTTAAACCATCAATTATTAATTCTTTACCAATAGTTCTTCCATTAGCTTATCTTTCTCTTGCATGTTAGTATAAGCAACAAGAATTAAGGAAGCACATTCAACACTGTGTATGGCTCTCTGCTCCTTCTCTTGCCCTGTGACATCCGGGCTCCCCCTTCTCTTTCCGCCATGGTTGTAAGCTTCCTGAGGCCCTCACCAGAAGCACATGCCAGCACCATGCTTCCTGTCCAGCCTGCAGAACCGTGAGCCAAATAAACCTCTTTTTATAAATTACCCAGCCTCAAAACAAAAAAACAAAAAACAACAACAAAAAAAAAAAAACACTGCATATGGAAATCCCATCAGCTAGTCACCCAATTCATTAGGCACATTTTCTGTTTTCTGAGTTACTCCTGGCGACAGTGTTGCTAAATTTTCTGTCAGTACTAAACAAGAATCCCTTCCTCTAATTGCCAATAAGATTTCTCTTACTTTCCTTAAGACTACACCTGCAGCCTCTTCAAAGGCCATACTTCTCAACAATTTCTTCAAGGCTCTTCAGGTTTTCATTAACACTTTCCTTAAAGTCCTTCCAACTTCCATCCGCTGCTCTGTTCCAAATACATACACACATACACACACACACGTAATTTAGATATAATTCACAGTCCATATGCCATAAAATTCTTTAACGTGTACAATTCAGTGGTTTTTAGTATAGTCACGAGATTATGTACCCATTACCACTATCCAATTCATTTTCACCCCAAGAAGAAACCTCATACCCATTAGCATTTGCTCCCCATTCCTCTGTCCTTCCAGCCCCTGGTAACCAGCAATCTACTTTCTATCTCTTTGGATTTGCCTGTTACGGATGTTTCATATAAATGGAATCACACCATATCTGGCCTTCTGTGTCTTGAGCTTTTTCCTGTAGTATAATGTGTATTAGTTATCTATTACTGCATAACAAATTACCCCAAAGCTTATTGTCTCACAGTTTGTGTTTCAGAAATTTGGGGGCAGCTTTGCTGGGTGTTTCTAGCTCAGGGTCTCATGAGTTTGTAGACAAGATGTCAGCAGGGGCTTCAGGCATCTGAGGGAAGGCTTGACTGGGGCTGGATAATCTGATTCCAAAATGATTCACCCACGTGGCCATGGGCAAGAGGTCTTTGTGGCTTGCTGGCTTTGGGCAAGAGTTTTCAGTTTCTCACCACATGGCCCTCTCCATAGGTCTGCTTGTCTGTGCTATGGCTTCCCTTTAGAGCAGGCGATTGAAGAAACAGGGAAACACCTCAATGTCTTTTATAAATCAGCCTTGGAAGCCATATGCCATCACTTATGCCAAATTCTGTTGGTTACAGAAACCAACCCTGATTTGGTGTGGGAGAGGACTGTAGAAAGGAGTGGATACCAGAAGGTTGGGATCATTGGGAGCCATTTTGGAGGCTGCAGTGTTAACGTATTGGGGAATTTTGTTCTAACAGCCACAGATCATGTGTACTAGAGATTACCAGTGTGCCACTGAACTCAGGAAAATTCAAAAAGAAATCAAAGTTTTTATACACCCTAATAAAGGAAGGGCTTTTCTATAATTCTGAGCCCTAAATCTGTTTCTTCCCTTAACACTTTATACAAGTAAATAGATGGATATCTCTGAGTTGGTTGAAGTAGAAAGAGAGCAGCTCTCTAAAACAGATCCATTTCATCTCCTTATTTCTTTCTGACTTCTGATCTCTAGGTCCTGTATTCATGTTTGTCAAGTTTTCAATCCGTGCCCTTAGATAAACATAAAAATGTCATGCCTTTCTTTAATGTTATTTTAACATTAAATGTTTAATGTTTCTTTAATGTTAGTGTTTTATGTTATTTGGAATTTATTTATTTTTTAGAAACAGAATCTTGCTCTGGCACCCAGGCTAGAGTGCAGTGACATGATCGTAACTCACTGTAACCTGGGCTCAAGTGATCCGCCCACCTTGGCCTTCCAAAGTGCTGGGATTACAGGCATGAACCACCATGCCTGGGCCCCCATTTGGAATTTTCTTTTATTTTTATTTATTTATTTATTTAGAGATAGGGTCTCACTCTGTCACCCAGGCTGGAATGCAGTGGTACAATCATGGTTCACTGCAGCCTTGACCTTCCAGCCTCAGGTGATCTTCCCACCTCAGCTTCCTGAGTAGCTAGAAATGCAGGTGCACTCCACTATGCCTGGATAATTTTTTGTAGAGTAGGGGTTTCACAATATTGTCCAGGCTGATCTTGAACTCCTGGACTCAAGCAATCCTCCTGCCTCAGCCTCTCAAAGTGCTGGGATTACAGGCATGAGCTACCGTGCCCGACCACCAATTCTTTGATGGCCACGATTTCCTCTCATTCCATTGTGCATGCAACTTTGCAATGTGATTTTGCTGCTTTTTCCATCCAAAGGTGGAGCTCTTTCTCCACTCTCTTGAATCTGGTCTTGCTTTATGATTTGCTTTTTGACCCACTGAATGTGGTGGAAATAATGTTGCACAAGTCCCACTGCATAGGCTTTAAGTGGCTTTCAAGCTTTTGTCTGCCACCTTCTAAGAACACTACCCCAAGATTGCCATGTAAAGAAGCCAGACTAGCTTACTGAAGGATGGGGGACCATGTGGAGGGGAACAGAGATGCCCCAGCTGACAGCTAGCACCAGCTGCCAGACCTATGATTTGAGCCTCCAGGTGAAGGTGGCTGTGTAAGTGAACCTAGATGAGACCAACAGAGTAAGCAGCCAACTCATATACTCATGAGAAATAGTAATAAGTCAACATTTTAAGCTATTAGATTTGGGGGTGACTTGTTTTGTAGCAAAAGTTAACATATCTATGCTCCAGTGTGGTGGTAAGGTGGGTAAATCACTTTAGGGAAAAAATGGAACATTAAAGTACTTGATGTTGAATAGACATGACTGCTTTCCACTTAAAAAAAAATACCACACAAACTATTTTTTTTTTTTTAAGACACAGTTTCGCTCTTGTTGCCCAAGCTGGAGTACAATGGCGCGTTCTCGGCTCACTGCAACCTCCACCTCCCAGGTTCAAGTGATTCTCCTGCTTCAGCCTCCTGAGTAGCTGGAACTACCGGCACATGCCACGCCCGGCTAATTTTCGTATTTTTAGTACAGACGGGGTTTCATCGTATTGGTCAGGCTGGTCTCAAACTCCTGACCTCAGTTGATCCACCCGCCTTGACCTCCCAAAATGCTGAGATTACAGACGTGAGCCATCGCGCCTGGCCCACACAAACTATTAACAGAGCACTTACTGTGGGGAAGGCATTTTGCTAAGCTCTTTGTATATGCTATCTCATTATACCTTCAACATAACTCTATTAAGTAGAAATATTATTATTTTTTCACAAGGTCACAAACCATTAACTAGCACTTGTTTCAAACCCACACATATCTGACTCTAAAGCCTGTTTTAACCATTATCGTGACTTCCCATAAAAAGCATCTCTAGGCCAACGCAGTAGCTCACACCTGTATTCCCAACGCTCTGGAAGGCTGAGATGGGCGGACCACTTGAGCCCAGAAGTTGAGACCAGCCTGGGCAACATGGTGAAACCCTGTCTCTACAAAAAATACAAAAATAAACCAGGTATGGTGGCATGGGCCTGTAGTCCCAGCTACTTGGGAGAATGAGGCGGGAGGATCACTTGAGCCCAGGAGGCAGAGGTTGCAGTGAGGCGAGATCGCATCGCTGCACTCTCTAGCTTGGGCAACAAAGCAAGACTCTGTCTAAAAAAAAAAAAAAGGCATCTCTAAAAATTTACCAATCCAATAAAAGTCATATTTAATGGCATGCAATTTTATTGATGCAGTCTTCAGTTTAAAAGTTTGTCACATAAAAATGAATAAAAATAAATATGTTGGTATTTTAATTAGTTGGCTACAAATAAAGAAAAAACACAACTTCAAATTAATACAAAGACAAGATAAAGAACATAGAGTCATAATCTTACACAACCCCTCTGTTCTAAATACATAGCATGATATATAAAATGTGTAATGAGAAAATTAAAAAGACTTTCATAGACACAAAACACTGAGCAGGGCTGAAGCTGAGGGTCTGCCGGGCTCTGGTTCAAAAGGCTGTGGCAGCTCCAATTTCTGTTCCTATAGAATAACTGAAACTAACACTGCTTCCCTAAGATTTAAAATGAAAGCTTATTAACTAAATTAGGACTATTCTGCCTAAATTCTTTGAAAGGTGAAGTTTTGCTAGGTGTGAAAGTGAGAGTAGCCCTAGTAGTGTAGGGGGAAAGCGAGCCAGAATCAGTAGGACACAAATCAGCAGAGAAAATTTGCAATTCTGGCATCTCCTTTGAAACAAAATTCAAAGGCTATTTAAGTGTCGATCAATAGCAAACACCATGACCTGATGTCATTTCTTTTTTTTTTTTTTTTTTTTTTTTCTGAGACAGTCTTGCTCTGTCGCCCAGGCTGGAGTGCAGTGGTACGATCTGGGCTCACTGCAAGCTCCGCCTCCCAGGTTCAAGCAATTCTCCTGCCTCAGCCTCCCGAGTAGCTGGGACTACAGGCGCCCGACACCACGCCCAGCTAATTTTTGTATTTTTAGCAGAGACGCGGTTTCATCATGTTGGCCAGGATGGTCTCAATCTCGACCTCGTGATCCGCCGCCTGGGCCTCCCAAAGTGTTGGGATTACAGGCGTGAGCCACCGCGCCCGGCCCCTGATGTCATTTTCTATGCCTATAGTTGTGAAAAAGTAGCTGTAAAATCCTAAAAGAATACAAGGTCATTATTCTATAAAAGTTATCCTTTTCTTTGTAAAATGCAATAATGTACTCTATTCCTTCCAAAGATTTAAGTTTTTTTCCATGGAAAATTACGAAGACATGAGAGGCCGAGGCAGGCGGATCACGAGGTCAGCAGATCGAGACCATCCTGGCTAACACGGTGAAACCCCATCTCTACTAAAAATACTTTAAAAAAATTAGCCCGGCGTGGTGGCACACGCCTGTAGTCTCAGGTACTCTGGAGGCTGAGGCAGGAGAATGGCGTGAACCCAGGAGGAGGAGCTTGCGGTGAACTGAGATTGCGCCACTGCACTTCAGCCTGGGCGACGGAGCAAGACTCCGTCTCAAAAAAAAAAAAAAAAAAGAAAGAAAAAGAAAAAAGAGAATTACAAAGACATAATTTAAGAATCTCAGTTTCCAAATATGGGGTAGAATTTTACAACTTTATATTCTGTGGTAGCAGAATAATGGCCCTCTAAAGATTCCCACACCCTAATCCCCAGAACCTACGAATATGTTACCTTACATAGCAAAATGGATTTTGCAGATGTCATTAAGAATACTTTATTTGGCCGGATGCAGTGGCTCACACCTGTAATGCCAGCACTTTGGGAGGCTGAGGTGGGCGGATGGCCTGAGGCAAGGAGTTCAAGACCAGCCTGGGCAACATGGCGAAACCCCATCTCTACAAAAAATACAAAAAATTAGCGGGGTGTGGTGGCACGTGCCTGTAGTTCCAGCTACTCGGGAGGCTGAGGCCAGAGGGTCACTCAAGCCTGGGAGGTGGAGGAGGTTGCAGTGAGCTGAGATCACGCCACTGCACTCCACCTAGGGAACAGAGCAAGACTCCATCTCAAAAATAAATAAATAAAAAGTGAAAACACTCTAAGTATCTATCAACTGATGAATGGATAAACATTGTATATTATTACACAGAATATTGTCAAAAAAAGGAATGAAATATTGATACATGCAACAGCATGGACAGCCCTTGAAAACATTATGCTAAGTGAAACATACAGAAGCTACATACCATGTGATTCCATTTATACGAAATAGCATTATATGAAATATTGAGAAGAAGCAAATCCATGGAGACAAAAGTAGCTTAGTGGCTGCCAATGGCTGAGAGGAGGGAAGAATAGGGAGTGAATGCTGATAGGTATGAAGTTTCTTTCTAAGGTGATGAAAATGGTCTGGGATTAGACAGTAGTAATGGTTGCACAACCTTGTAAATATAGTAAAAACTACTGACTTTTACATCACAGAAGTTTGGATTTTATAGTATCTGAATCATATCTCCAGAAAAATAAAACAGAAAGGAATTAGAGCTTTATCAGATGACTTACAGGAACGACCAGACACAAAACCATTTGTCATCTCATCAGGCCAGAAGCCAAGAATTTCATTTTATTTTTAGCTTATTTATTTTTTTCTTGAGCTGGAGTCTTGCTCTGTCACCCAGGCTGGAGTGCAGAGGCGTGATCTTGGCTCACTGCAAGCTCCGCCTCCCAGGTTCACGCCATTCTCCTGCCTCAGCCTCCCAAGTAGCTGGGACTACAGGCGCCCACCACCATGCCCGGCTAATTTTTTGTATTTTTAGTAGAGACGGGGTTACACCGTGTTAGCCAGGGTGGTCTCGATCTCCTGACCTCGTGATCCACCCGCCTCGGCCTCCCAAAGTGCTGGGATTATAGGCGTGAGCCACTGCGCCCGGCCTATTTTTAGCTATCTTTATGTAACTGGTTTTTCCATTTAGGAAGCCTTCCCCTAAAAATAAATTTATATTAAGTTTATGGAAGGTTTCCTTTACAAATATATTTACATTAAAATATGAAGTCAATATAAATAATATTTAAAACATTCAGTATATAATAATGTATGTGGCTGACCCTGAAGTTTGGGAAAGTCCTGGTGTCCTATTCAGCACTTTTCAAAACCAGTAATACCATCTAGATTAATAATAAAGTAAAACTTAATACACCATTCGTTTCCCAATGCCATGTAAATCCTTAGATGTGTTCTTTCTTTGAGACACAGCTTCACGCTGTCACCCAGGCTGAAGTGCAGTGGTGCGATTTTGGCTCACTGCAACCTCTGCCTCCTGGTTTCAAGCAATTCTTGTGCCTCAGCCTCCCAAGTAGCTGGGACTACAGGTGTACACCACCACGCCCAGCTAATTTTTGTATGTTTAGTAGAGACGGGGTTTCACTGTGTTGGCCAGGCTGGTCTCGAACTCCTGACTGCAAGTGATCTGCCTGCCTCAGCCTCCCAAACTGCTGGGATTATAGGTGTGAGCCACCGCGCCCAGCCCTTAGATGTGGTCTTTAAAGTATAATCCTTTTTTAAAAAATACTTCCAAGGGAATTTTCAGGGTTTGTTAGATTAGTCCTCATCATAGGTTTGATTCCTTCTCATCAAAAGCTGTCATCCCACTGTCTCTCCTTATAGCCAAGTATCCTAAACTGTGCAAGCTGAAGTGCCTTGGAGTACCTCAGGAAAAACACTTGACACTGACGCATCTTTTGTATAAACTACTAGTTCCAGGAAGTTCAGTTTCAATATGATATGGCACTACATTCCCTTTGATGGCATCCTATCCTTGTGAAGCTGGGTTTGGAGCCACTGCTATGACAAAAAGCACCATGCAAAAATCAATGTGGAAGAAATAAGGACAATGGTGTCCAATCTGATTTCAATTTTGAGAAACTGTATGGAGCCCAAAAGGCACACACATTCCATTAGTAACTGTGATGATTTAAGGATGAGATAAAAATTATCACATCAGGCTGGGCACAGTGGCTCACACCTGTAATCCCAGCACTTTGGTAGGCCAAGGCAGATCACCTGAGGCCAGGAGTTCCTTACAGCCTGGGCAACACAGCCAGAGCCCCATCTCTACAAAAAAATTAGGCGGGCGTGGTGGCACGTGCCTGAAGTCTCCGCTACTCAGGAGGCAGAGGTGGGAGGCTTGCTTGAGCCCAGGAGTTTGAGGTCACAATGAGCTATGACCCTCCAACCTGGGCAATAGAGCCAAGACACTGTCTCTATTTTTAAAAAAATCATCACATCACTTTTGCTCTTGTGTGTGTATAGTTTTTTTCAAATGGCTACTAGAGTTGTTAGAACATAAGTTAATAAATGTAACTGTTAGGTATTTCTTTTGGCCAAGGAATGGCCTGAAAAAAATTACTGAGATTCTAATGATGTCAGAAACTAAAAGTCTGAGAATCTCTGGGTCATCTACATATATATGTATATATATATATTTTTTTTTTCTTTTTTTTTTTGAGACGGAGTTTCGTGCTTGTTGCCCAGGCTAGAGTGCAATGGCACGATCTTGGCTCACCACAACCTCCACCTCCCAGGTTCAAGCGAATTCTCCTGCCTCAGCCTCCCGAGTTAGCTGAGATTACAGGCATGCACCACCACGCCCAGCTAATTTTGCATTTTTAGTAGAGACGGGGTTTTTCCATGTTGGTCAGGCTGGTCTTGAACTCCCGACCTCAGGTGATCCACCTGCCTCAGGCTCCCAAAGTGCTGGGATTACAGGTGTGAGCCACTGCGCCCAGCCTTCCTTATACAACTATATACACCCCAAACTTGCCATCATTCTTTAGTTCTTGTGCAACAGTTCTCTGATTTAAGCAGTATGTAAGAGGATCAGTTGCTCACATTAGAGGCCTACCTGTTGATAGGAAATGCCTGTTTTAAATACCTGCCACAAGGTAACAAATCAAATAGAAGCAGAGTAGAAACTGGACTATCTTCCTAGTCCAATGAGGAGTTGTATAGTGAGTGGATACACTCCCCGTCTCAGCTCCCCAGGATTACTTCATAAACTATGAAAATGACAATGAGGCAGGCACCAGAACCACTCAACACACATCTGTAGTCAGGAGTGCTCACCTATCTGGGCCAGAGAATTCAACACCATCTACTATCCCCAACCAGGACTTCTGCGGGTAAATCATGCCACTTCAGATTTCTCCTCAAATTTTCTACCCTAAAAAGGAGCTTCCAATAAATAACTCACACCCCAGCTAGCAGTTACTGTCCTAAATTATATAGTAGTATAGCAAGGCCACATAAATCCAAGGCATTACACTGTGATCAATATGTATTTTTTTGAAACTATTCTTTTTAATTATAGTTTAAGTTCTGGGGTACACGTGCAGGACGTGCAAAATATGTACTTCTTTAAGATGTTTCCACAGGTACAACAGCAGAACTACATTTAGAATTCACAAATAATAGACTTTACATCTGTAATCCTTTAATCCCATTCATAGCAATTTGGAAAAGGAATGAAAATAAAATATTTAGGGTTTCTACTCTTGAAAATGAGACACAAATTAGCCAGGCATGGTGGTGTGTGCCTATAATCCCAGCTACTTGGGAGGACAAGGCAAGAGAATTGCTTGGACCTGGGAGGCGGAGGTTGCAGTGAGCCGAGATCGCACCACTGCACTCCAGCTTGAGTGACAGAGCAGGACTCTCTCTCTCAAAAAAAAAAAAAAAGACACAAACTAATCAGAATAAATTTTAAAATGTTTAAACCAAATTCATATACACCATATATATAAATGTATGGCATACTCAAATATATTTTAAAAAAAGAAAAAGAGGGGATTTGCCCATAATCAAAACTTTATTGAAAAACTGACACCAAAATAGGAGATTACTGCTGTATACCTTACAAAACCAAATGTAATTACATTATCTTGGTAAATTAATTAGAATTATGGAATTTATGATAAGGCTTTCTGTGAGACAACACAAAATTAAAATTCAGGAAGCTGTTTGAATCATTAGTGTTGCTTTCTTCTAAATGAACACCCTGCAAAAGAATCATGAGAGTATATTAAACAAGTGCATTCTACCTTTGCTATAATTTTAATGACAAAAAGTACTTTTAAGTAAAATACTGAAGTTTTAAGAATATTGGATTAATACTCATATACAGATTATTTATCCTTTTATACCAGAAATTTGCTATAATACATCTATCATATCTGAGTTTACTCTGGTATGACTATAAGTGTCACTCCTGTTTCTCAAATGCTATAATGAAGTCTACTTAAGACCATGAGCCTGAATTCAACAGTGAAGACTGTTTCAAGCAAGCTGTCAGAAGATATACTCTTAATTTTTAGGAACTATTCTGAATACTTTTCTCAAGTAAATAATTTTGATTAGAGGTATTTTCAGACCTATTAGGAAAACTCTAGAACAGATAGACCCATTAAACCATCTGTCAGCATATGGGCACTAAATTCCAAAATCATGACATGACATACTTTGTTTCAAAAATCTCCCAAGTATACTTAGCAATATTACTTAGCAATATTACTCTTAAAAAAATCATGTGCTGACTCCATATTTAGATCTCACCAGGTCACACCAAATAGATCTCAGATTTGCTGCCAATCCACTTGAACTCTTCCAGTGAGAGCATGGAACTTACAGCTCCCCAAAATATCACAAGCAAATTTATAACATCATTATGGAATCACAAATTTACAAGTATTACTATGGAAACTATATATATAATTTTTTTTTCTTATTGCACTAAAGTGAAAGAGGAATTAAAATTAGGTTTTTATATTAATCATTGCAGTTGCTCATAAAAGTAAAATCTCTGGCATTTTAACTTATATATTAGCTATCTGTTGCTTAGCTGGCAATGATAAAAAAAAAACTATTATATGTACTAAATATATATGGAACAAAATTTTGTAAAAGAAATTTTAAAATTCTATATGGTTTTAAAAATCTGTATGTCCTGGCCGGCGAGGTGGCTCATGCCTGTAATCCCAGCACTTTGGGAGGCCGAGGCGGGCAGACCATGAGGTCAGGAGATCAAGACCATCCTGGCTAACACAGTGAAACCCCACCTCTACTAAAAATACAAAAAATTAGCCAGGCATGGTGGCACGCGCCTGTGGTCCCAGCTACTTGGGAGGCAGAGGCAAGAGAATCACTTGAACCGGGGAGGCAGAAGTTGCAGTGAGCTGAGATGGCGCCACTGCACTCCAGCCTGGGTGACAGAGCGAGACTCCTAATAAAAAAAAAAAATAATAAATAAATAAATAAATAAATCTGCATGTCCTATAACATGTAGTTATTCTTTTGCTTCTATTCTGACTTAATTTATTCCAAGTTAAGCAAACTAAGTGAATAAATGTGTTCTAAACTAAGAAAAATAAGTCAATGGAGTTCACTGCAAGGTCAAGAGTATAAATATATCCATTTGAACAGGCCATTCTTTACTGAAAGCACACAATGAAAGATAAGTTATTTTGGTAATCATTAAGATTTCTTTAAACTTTTCAGTGAAGATAGAGACATTTATAATCATCAATCTCATCACTGGGTTGGAGAATGCCAAATGATATACCTTCTGTGAGTCTGGCCTTTCCTCCTGTAGGCTGGCACAACACTGTTGAACAACCTACACAAAGAACCACTGTCTGAGCATGGCTGAAAACCGTGGTGATCTTGTAGCAACCTAAAAAAAAAAAAAGGCAATGTTAAAAATGAAAAGCAGAGGAAAACAGCACCTGTTCGACATTTCTGGTAATATGTAAAAAAATCAGTAACTTCAGTGCTATGAAACAGCAAGCCACATGTGTAACATAAACTTTTCTAGCAGCGACACAAAATTTTTTAAAAACAGGTAAAATCAATAATATATTTCATTAAACTTAATATTTCCAAAATATCATTTCAACATGTAATCAATGTATTTTTTTTCTGTGCTACATCGTCAAAATCCAGTGAGTATTTTACAATTAAAGAACATCTCTATTTTGAGTATCCACATTTTGATTATCCACAAGTGCTCAGTAGCCACATTCAGCTAATGGCCATTGTATTGGGCAGCACAGCTTTAGACTGAAGAATCAACAGACTTTTCTTTGTATCATGAAACAGAAAACTCATCGTCTGAAGAGCTTAAAGACTTGCTAAGTCAAATGGCATATCTCCTTTGAATGCCTGTTTTCACTTACCCCGAAATGTTTCTACAATGGTTTCAGTACATTTATTATGAAAATGTCCCTGACATTTCCAATTCTGTAATCCCACTTCTACTCAACAGAGGGTTCTAATGTATCTTAACTATACACACCACACTAGCAATCCCTACAGAAATTTTCTTTAGTAAAGGAATTAAGATTTCAAATTTTACCTGGACATTTTACATCCATAAAGTAAGAATTTGGACTTTGTACTAGGCGTTTCTTTTTATGTTTTTTCTTTTCCTCTTCCAAGGACGGATGTAGTAAATCTCTAGCCAACTGAACAAAGAAGCATATTATTACTATTAGTTTTAAACCACAACGCTGGCACATTTAACCATACGTGAAATATACATGCAAAAACAGGAATAACGGTCATCCTCGGCAGAAGCAACACGTCAGATAGTAAAGTTATTTTTCGAAACCTGTTAATAACTTTCATCAGTACTTTTCATAATACTTGTGTTCTCCAAGTCCCTAGAAAAGGGCTTTCGCACGATCAGGAAACATATGGTAAGGCAAACTTTGTCCTTCTTTACTCAACTGCGTAATGAACTGTCTTCGATGAAAACTGCGCGAAGTCGAGGTGCTAAGCAAAGAAAGTGACCCCGACTGTGGACTCGCTTAGAGTAGAAACTGCTGAAGTAGACCAGACAACGTCAGCGCCTGGGTGATTTTTGCTCCTGTGGCTCAACAGCTGATCTGACAGGAATTCTTGCTGAGCGACCGTCCTTGACGGAATTAATATATAAGGCAACAACGAGGACAGTTTTTAAAAAAGGAAAACAAGTAGGAAATCGCTTCCGAAAGAAGGCAGAGGGGGCGAGAAACACCAATCACTGGGAAAGCCAAAAGACCCAAAGATCACAACCTCAGGGGCATCCTCAAAGACCAAGACCGCTCATAAGCTACACAGAGAACTGTTCCCCTCCCAGCCACCGCCTCTGAATTGCAGCCCACGCCCCTGCAGGGCCAGCCGCGCCGCGGTGACCGGGCAAGTCACTACATGCCCGCCACGCGCGAAGACGCTGCGCAACCTGAGCCGCCTCGCCACTCTCGGACACTACAGGCCCGAGAGGCAGCCGGACTCATCCGTCCCATATGACTCTCGGTAAAGAAGCCCAAAACAAACCCGGAGCCCGATGTAAACAACTCACAGGCATGTTGATCCTCTTGCAAGCTCAGCCCTACCAGACCTCCCAGCCCACACAGCTAGCAAGCTGCAAGCGATCTGCGCTCGGCATCAACTTCCGGGATAGAAGCTGCTGGGAGGAGCGGCGGGGCGGGCTTGTCTGCTCTAGGCCCTCCTCTCGGTGGTAGGGGGACGCCGCAGCAGGGTACTCGGGTCCAGGGCGCAGGGAAGACCCGGGGATGGTGAGCGTTCCAGGGTGCCAAGTCCCGTGGGTCTAACGGGCTTGTTGGCGAGCGCCGCGGGCTCTGCAGTGCCTGAGGCCAGAATCTGGCTGGGGAGCGGCCTCGGGCTTAGGCCATGGCGAGGGAGCGCCCGCGGCCACCGGGGCCGGCGCCACCCCGGAACCCGGCGGGCCGCTCAGCCCCCGGCCCCCTGGCCCGGCCGCTCTCGGTTAGCTCTGGGGGTGGGCACACGGGGCAATGCCACTATTCTCTTCTTTTGTGTATTAAAAAATACAGTATTATTAACCATTAATACGTGCCAGAGAGATTATGAAAGAGGCTCGTATCCTTTTGGCTTCCCTTTTCAAGGCGCAGATTTCGAAGTTTTCTGCGGGGTATGGCTGTGCCTTAGGTTTGCTTTGTTCTGAAAAAAAGTTTTTAAAACAGCACGGATTCGCTGCTGTGCCTCATTCACTAAGAGGCCCCACCCCTTCCGAGGATTACTCGTCCTTTGCAGAGTGGACAACTAGGGGGCCTGAGAAAGGCGAATGTCACCGATGACCGAACATGAGTCTTTATCATTATTATTATTTGAGACAAGGTCTCGCTTTTTTGCCCAGGCTGGAATGCAATGGTGCCATCACAGCTCACTGCAGCCTCGACCTCCTGGGCTCAAGCGATTCTCCCGCCTCAGCCTCCCGAGTAGCTGGGACCACAGGAACACGCCATTATTCTTTTTTTTTTTTTTTTTTTCCTTGGAGACAGGGTCCTGCTATATTGCCCAGGCTTGTCTCCAATTCCTAGGCTCAAGAAGTCCTTCCACCTCAGCCTCCCAAGTAGTTGGGACTACCGGCGCGTGACAGCATGCTCTATTTTTGAGGAGGAAACTCTATGCTTGAAAAATGGGTGTCATGGGCGACCAAAAGGCAAGAAACCAGAAAGACACTTTACCAGAAAATTGGTCTAACTGGATTTTTTTTTTTTTTTTTTTTTTTTTTGGCAGAGTCTTGCTCTGTCACCCAGGCTGGAGTACAGTGGCGCGATCTTGGCTCACTGCAACCTCCGCCTCCTGGGTTCACGCGATTCTCCTGCCTCAATCCTCCCAAGTACCTGAGATTACAGGTGTCCATCACCATGTCCGGCTACTTTTTGTGTTTTTAGTAGAGACGGGGGATGGTGGGGGGGGGGTTCACTATGTTGGCCAAGCTGGTCTCGAACTCCTGACCTCAAGTGATCTGCCCGCCTTGGCCTCCCAAAGTGTTGGGATTACAGGCGTGAGCCACCGCGTCCCGCCCTGACTTGATGTTCTTAATCACCTTATTTGTCTTTGCAAAAAGGATACATGTATAATATACATTTTGGGAAATGCAGAAAAATAGAAGAAAATTTACCATCTGTAAATAAACATTTTTAACTTTTGACCTATATCCTTCCCAATATTTTTTACTCTCTTGGATATAGGTTTATTTTGGGTTTTGACTTAACCTAATTGGGATCATCTTGTGCATAATCTTTTGTAGACTTGAATTTTCCTCCCACTTACTATAAAATGAGCATCACTCCATGTCACTACATATTCTTTTTTTTTTTTAAATAAGGTCTCACTGTGTTGCCCAGGCTGGAGTGCAGTGGCACAATCTTGGCTCACTGCAGCCTCGACCTCCTGGGCTCAAGCAATTGTCCCCCCTCAGCCTCCTGAGTAGTTGGGACTGCAGGTACAAGCCACCACGCCTGGCTAATTTTTGTAATGTTTGTAGAGATGGGGTTTCGCCATGTTGCCCAGGCTGGAATATTCTACATTATGCTTCTTAATGGGCATATAGCATTTGTCCTGTGACTATATATATTTTCACTTCAGCCATACACTAAATTGGGCATTAGGTTTGGGTTTTTAAATATTTGATACTTAAAAATTAATAAAAATTGGTGAATATTAAATATTTAATGTATATAAGTATATAGAATAATACAATTGTATACACAGAATAGTGGCCCCCAAAGACATCAGTGGCCTAATCCTCAGAACCTTTAGTTACATGGCAAGTGGAATAAAGGTTGCTGATTAGCTGATTTAATCTAGAAGGAGTATCCTGGATTATCTGTGTAGGCCCAGTGGAATCACAAGGGTTCTTGAAAGTGGAAGAGGAAGACAGAAGAGCGAGAAGGAGATGTGGTAATGGAAGGTCTGAGAGGTGCTATGTTGATGGCTTGTAGATGGAAGAGGGCCATGAGCCAAGGAATGTGGGCAGCGTCTAGAAGCTGGAAAAGGCAAGGAAATGGACTCCCTCCTGGATCTCCCAAAGAGGGACACAGCCCTGCCAACATCTCAACTTTAGCCCAATAAGACCTGGCTCAGACTTCTGTCCAGAACTGTAAGATAATAAATTTGTCTTGTTGCCTGTAATTTCAGCACTTTGGGAGGCCAAGGTGGGCAGATCATCTGGGGTCAGGAGTTCGAGATCAGCCTGGCCAACATGGTGAAACTGCGTCTCTACTAAAAATACAAAAATTAGCCGGGCGTGGTGGCACACACCTGTAGACACCAGCTACTTGGGAGGCTGAGGCAGGGGAATTGCTTGAACCTGGGAGGCAGAGGTTGCAGTGAGCGGAGATGGCGCCAATGCACTCCAGCCTGGGCAACAGAGCGAGACTCTGTCTCAATAAATAAATAAATAAATAAATAAATAAATAAATAAATACATTTATGTTGTTTTAAGCCATTACATTTATGGTAATTGATTACAGCAACAATAGAAAATTAATGCAATAAATGAAGATCCATGTACCCACTACCTAGCTCTGTCAAAGCTTAACATTCAGTACTCCCTCCCAGCAACTTTTCATTATTAACGCTACAATAAACATTTTTATAGATACGTTTTTGTGTTTGTCCTCATTCCCTTAGGATAAATTCCTGGAGGAGGAATTGCTGAGTCAAAAGTTATGCACATTTTAAGGTTTGTAATATAAACTGCCAAATTACCCTCCAGAAAAGCGAAACCAATTTATTTTCCAGATATAAATGTATGTGAATGTCCCTTTCTTTGCACCCTTGATAATACTGGATATTTTGTTTTTCCCTATCTCAATCCAGAAGAACTATTGTTTTGAACTAATACTTTGTCATATTTCATTGTTGTTGTAATTAATATTTTCCATATGCTTATTGGCCATTAGCATTTTTCTACTTTTGTTTTCTTGTGTTTTTGAAACAGGGTCTTGCTCTATTGCCCAGGCTGGAGTGCAGCATCAAACTCCCAGCCTCAAGCAATCCTCCTGCCTCTGCCTCTCAGAATGCTGGGATTACACTGTGACACACTGTGCCCTGCCTAATTTTATTTTTTGATAATTTGTTTTAATCATGCAGAAGTTTTTAATGTTATATATTCACACACACACATACATATTTCAAATTTATTGCTTTTTTCCCTTTTGCTATTGTGTTTAGAGAGGACTTGGTCACTGTAGGATTAACTGAATATTTGCCGTTGCTTTCTTCTAATTCTCTTGTGATATTTATTCTTTAACTTTTTAATTAAGTTGGAATTTATTTTGGCACTTCATGTATCATAGGTCTCAGAACAATTTCTGATTATTAGGCCTAGTTATGGCTTCAGTTCTTGTTAACTAATGCCCGGTGTAGTGTCAAAATCCTCCAGCCTCTCAGACACTCACAGGCAGCCTGAGAAATAAAATTTTCCAGGTCAAGAAGACCTGGACTCTAATTACAACTCTGCCTCCTCCTCCAAAGCTCAGTTTCTCCTAAAATGTTTTCAGGCCCCTGCACTGATGGCAGATGGAGGGCCCTGGAGTCCCTTTACACTTGGCACCCTGCTCTCAGGGATCCTGCAGAAGGAGCTCCCACCTGGCTTTCCAAAGAACTGTAGAGCACCAGTCAAAATCCTATTTACTGCCCTGAGAACTTTCCATCCATTCTAGCTGGCCAGGTCTAAGTAGGTGCCACTGAAACCTTCCATTTGGCACTGGCTCCCTTCACCTCAGAAGGGTGTGGGGGCCATCTCTACTCCCATCTCCCTTTACCAAATTCTTTTTTTTTTTAGATGGAATTCCAGGCTGGAGTGTAGTGGTCCCGATCTCGGCTCACTGAAACATCTGCCTCCTGGGTTCAAGTGATTCTTGTGCCTCAGCCTCCCAAGTAGCTGGGACTACAGGTGCACGCATCATGCCCAGCTAATTTTTGTACTTTTAGTAGAGACGAGGTTTCACCATGTTGGCCAGGCTGGTCTCAAACTCCTGACCTCAGGTGATCCGCCCACTTCGGCCTCCCAAAGTGCTGGGATTACAGGTGTGAGCCACTGCGCCCAGCCTCCCTTTACCAACTTCTAGTGCTGATAAAACACATAGGTGTTCGGACAGGCTAAGCCGGGAACCCAACTAGTGCTAAATTTCAGGCCCCAAGTGCTGCTCTAAATAAATCAGATCCCCAGCTTTCCCCTGGACTGAAGTTTTTCAATGCCTATGCCCTTTTCCCAGAAAGATGATCAAGGGTTTAGTTTAGTTTTGCTTTTAAGAAATTCAGGCCAGGCGCAGTGGCTCATGCCTATAATCCCAGCACTCTGGGAGGCCGAGGCGGATGGATGATTTGAGGTCAGGAGTTCAAGACCAGCTTGGCCAACATGGTGAGACCCCATCTTTACTAAAAATACAAAAATTAGCCAGACATCAAGGTGTGTGCCTGTAATCCCAGCTACTCAGGAGGCTGAGGTAGAAGAATCATTTGAACCCGGGAGGCGGAGGTTTCAGTGAGCTGAGATCGCGACACTGCACTCCAGCCTGGGCAACAGAATGAGACTCCGTCTCAAAAAAAAAAAAAAAAAAAAAAATTTAGAGTTTGAGGTGGAGGTCCTAAAGATAACTTTTCTTTTTCTGAGTCAAGGTCTCACTCTGTTGCCCACACTGGAGTGCAGTGGTGTGAAACAGCTCACTGTCGCCTTCACATCCTGGGCTCAAGCAATCTCATCAGCCTCCAGAGTAGCTGGGACCATAGATGTGTACCACCACACCTGACTTATTTTTTAAAAATTTTGTAGAGACGGGGTTTTGCCATGTTGCCCAGACTGAAGATAACTTTTCTTTTTTTTTTTTTTTTTGAGATGGAGTCTCACTCCGTCGCCCAGGCTGGAGTGCAGTGACATGATCTCAGCTCACTGCAACCTCCACCTCCCAGGTTCAAGCAATTCTCCTGCCTCAGCCTCCCCAGTAGCTGGGACTACGGGCATATGCCACCACGCCCAAGCTAATTTTTATATTTTTAGTAGAGACGGGGTTTCACCATGTTGGCCAGGCTGGTCTCGAACGCCTGACCTCAGGTGGTCCACCCACCTTGGCCTCCCAAAGTGTTGGGATTACAGGCGTGAGCCACCGCGCCCGGCCTAAAGATAACTTTTCATACCCTTTCTAAGTATTTTTCTGAGACACTTCGAGAAATCTGTGTCATCAGGAAACTATAACAAGACTGCATTCTTTTTTCTCTTCCATTGTCCACCTATTGGCAGTTATTAAAGTGCTTGTGGCTCATTCTCAACACACTCCTGAAATCAGCAGCAACTTCTGCAAGTGTGTGTCTTTTCTGCCTACCAGTTCTCCAACAGGACCACACCCATGGCCCCCAAAGTGCCAACTGTAGAGTTGCCATCTATCTGTTATTCATGAGGATGCTTCATGAAACTCTCTTCAGTCATCCCTTCTGAGTGGCCATCTGTGATCTGCCAAGACCCTGACACGAGGATCCCCTGTCAGGATGTGGTCCTCTTTTAGCCTAGAAGGCGTTGCAGTTGGGGTCCATCTGCTCCTCAGTCATCAATCAAACCAAATCACCGCAGAAACATCCTTTGTCCCTGCCTGTGGGACCATTCAGTTTTAACAGGCTGCGGCTCCTCCTGTTCTATGCTTGAAATGGATATGGGAATCTTAAAGGAGACAGCCTGTAGTCCTAGCCATGTAGATCCTTGCCACTTTGTGGACCAGCCACCTACAAACTTTTTGGAAATAGAGACTCTCAGGCGCCACCCCTGAACTACTGAGTCAGAATCTGCATTTTAACAATGGTGATCCTTGTGCACATCCCTGTGTGAGAAGCACTGGCCTAGATATATCACACTGCCATTCTCTCTGGAGTCTTCCTACCTCCCCGCTGGGGCCGTCAGGAAGCCAG
Source organism: Homo sapiens (assembly GCF_000001405.40). Lineage (NCBI taxonomy): Eukaryota > Metazoa > Chordata > Mammalia > Primates > Hominidae > Homo > Homo sapiens. The sequence goes on from NC_000015.10 coordinate 63,163,771, forward strand.
AACCCAGGTTTCTGCTACTCCAGGGTAACAAATCAAGGATTTTTCTCTATATTGGAACAGGAAAGCACTCCTCTTTCACTGCTTCTCCAAGATACTCTATTCATTCCAGCAAATCTCATTCTCTCTTACCATATCTAGGAACCTTTTAAGTCAGTGATACCAAAGTTGTTTGCTTTTTGGAATCACCAAAGGAGCAGCTGAGGTCAATTAAATTAGAGTATTTAGGGGTGGAACCCAGGCGGCAGTATTTTTAAAACTCCCCAGGTGATTCCATGAACAGCCAGCATTGCACTTCCTGCTATAAATTGTCTGGAGGGCTTAGAATTTATAAAAGCAAAGCCCAGAAAGTACTATATGCTTCTAATGCTTAAAAGGAGAATGAGGGAAAAATACAGGGAGAAAAAAATCATTAATATTTCAAAATAGCCAAGCTTGGCAGCCAGGTGAGATCTCCTAGCACTTGTCCTGCTTGCCTTGATGATCAGGTCTCTTCATTTCCCCTACCATTGCTTCCTGCAAACCTTCTCACTATCCGCCCGAGACTCCAGAGGGGAAGGTAAGCTACTGAGAGACACGGTGTTTTCTCAGACTTCATTGTAACGCACAGTTCATACTGTCAAGGTGTTTTATGAGGGTGCTGAGGCCAGCATAAATTTATGCAAATATAATCTCTCCCCTTTCTGAACTCTTAATCCCTACCTTAACCACTTGTCAATAACTACTGCTGTCTTATATGAACTTTTTAAAAAATGCTCTTATACTGCTATGCTATTTCACTTTCCATGTGTCATGCCTTCTCTTCCCCAAAAGTCCATAGGCTTTTTTTTTTTTTTTTTCTGAGATGGAGCCTCGCTCTTGTCGTCCAGGCTGTAGTGCAGTGGCGCGATCTCAGCTCACTGCAACCTTCACCTCCCAGGTTCAAGCAATTCTCCTGCCTCAGCCTCCTGAGTAGCTGGGATTACAGGCAGGAGCCACTGTTTAGTAGAGAGGGGGTTTCACTGTGTTGGCCAGGCTGGTCTCAAACTCCTGACCTCAGGTGATCTGCCTGCCTTGGCCTCCCAAAGTGCGGGGATTACAGGCGTGAGCCACTGTGCCTGGCCCATAGGGTTCTTGAAGATCAGAATTTGGTCTCATCTCCCCAAAAGCCTAGCACAGTGCATAATGGGCACTCCAGGAATATGCTGAGTACCATACTCAATAGAGCTGACTTGATGGTCATTCTTTAATAATGATTCCAGTTATCCAGAATCCCTTTCTTCTCATCATAGTTTTAGTTGATCCTTCTTGATGCACTCCTTTGATCATTCCTCTGTCTCAACTTGGTGTTATGAAAAGACCAAAAGACCACTGAATTCTGCCTAAGCCTCAGTTAACTTGTTTCTAAAATTAGGAAAGTTCAGGTGCGGTGGCTTACAACTGTAATCCCTACACTTTGGGAGACCAAGGGAAAGGATTGCTTAAGGCCAGAAGTTCAAGACCAGCCTGGGTAACACAGCCAGATCTCATTTCTACAAAAAAAGAAAAAAGAACATTAGGTGAGCATGATGGCATGTGCCTGTGGTCCCAGCTACTCAGGAGGCTGAGGTGGGAGGATCGCTTGAGCCCGGGAGGGTGAGGCTGCAAAGAGCCATGATTGCACCACTACACTCCAGCCTGGGTGACATTGAGACCCTGTCTCCAAAAACAAACAAACAAATAAGATAAAATTAGGAAAGTGATTCAAAGTCACTGCAGAGTTAATGCGACGACACTGTAGTAACCTCTGCTGCTTCTTCCCTTGGGAAGTGGGTACAAGCAAAATAAGTGAAAAGCATTCTGTTTTTCCATTAGATAAAAGCTGACTAAAAGGCTAATGGGTTAAAGGGCTCAAAGTACAAAGAAGAATGGTGTTCTACTTATTCACACTGAAAAACTTATTCAACTATTTATGGAATGTCTGCTATATACAAAACAGTAAGCAATTTGGAAACCCTATTTCCAGGGAGCACAGAAACTTTAATAGCCGTTTAACCTCTAAGTTGTGTCTCTATCTATAAAATGAAAATATTTATACCTATTTCATAAGGTTATATGAAGAAAAAATGAGATGAGGCATAGTATACCGCAAGTGTTCAATAAATGCCAACTGTAATTCCTAGTGGTTGTCAGGAAGCTAGAACCCAGATTCCTACTACTCCAGGGTAACAAATAAAGGATTTTTCTCCACATTGGAGCAGGAAAGCACCTCTCTTCCCCCGTTCATTCTAGCAAATCTCATTCTCTCTTACCACTTCTAGGAACCCTCTAAGTCAATAAAACCCAAATTTGTTGTACATTAGAATCACCAAAGGAGCAGCTGAAGTCGATTAAATTAGAGTACTTGGGGGTAGAACCCAGCTGGCAGTGTTTTTGTAAACTCCCCAGGTAATTCCATCAGCAGCTAGGGTTGAGAACCACTGCTGTATAAGTTCTCCCGGGTGCTTAGCGTTTGCAAAAGAAATCAGTTGGCTCTGGGAATCTTGGACTGATGGCATTTCCCTCATAACAACTTGTAAAATGCAATGTCATTACAACAGTTGTGCCTTAAGGAAGATGATGAGAATATGTTCTATCTGCAAAAAATACTTACTGGAGTCTCTGAATCAAAAGCTCAGAGACTATTATTTCAAGATCCAATAGGTGGCACAAGGAGCCACTTATACAGGACAAGTGCTGGCCAGCAGAGAACTTTAACTTCCTGTTTCCAGGGGGCCTTCACCTTGGAGATGTCTTCCTACTCATGTTACACAGCCATTCCATAAGTAGCTATGCATAATAGCCCCCTTCAATATACAGAACATAGTTATTTTGGGTTTCCCTAAAGACAGAATATATGGCCTACAGGGCAGGTGAGAGTAAAGCTAGTCTTCCCTAAGTATTTCCCCAATATTTCACTCATCTGAAACTCATTAACTAAAGGAAACCACTTAAATTCCAATTGCCCTCACACAAAAGTGAAATAGCAGCAGGTGGCTCACGCCTGTAATCCCGGCACTTTGGGAGGCTGAGGCAGGCGGATCACTTGAGGTCATGAGTTCGAGACCAGCCTGACCAATATGGTGAGCTGTGCCCCCCCCCCACCCCCACCCCCGTCTCTACTAATAATACAGAAATTAGCTGGGTGTGGTGGCGGGCACCTGTAATCCTAGCTACTCGGGAGGCTGAGGCAGGAGAATCACTTGAACCCGGGAGGAGGAGGTTGCGGTGAGCTGAGATAGTGCCACTGTACTCCAGGCTGGGTGACAGAGTGAAACTCCATCTCCAAACAAACAAAAAAACATGAAATAGCATTGGCTTTAAATGTATTTTTATAGAGACACATAATTGAACAATCTACTAGAAGGGCTATTGTCATTTAGTCGTGCCAGGCCAGTAGTCATTAGGTAGCATAGACTCTCAAACAGTAGGGCATTGGTCAGCGAGCTTGGAGGTGGGGAGGAAGGGGTAGGTGTGCTGATCAGTAGTGTTTGCTAATTTCCATGGTGAAAATATTCCCACTATGACCACTTTCAGTCTACTAAGGTGAAGTCAATTTACAGAGAGTTGGGAAGAGATGAGCACAACCTTCTGATCGGTAATACCTAAGTCTTCTTGGAGTATTTCCATTATCATCAGAACTGCTAATAAAATATCTGTATTGATCATTTTGGGATTCTTTTCCTCTATCCTCTGATCAAAAAGCAGGGAGCAGAAATGAAAAATGAAAGAAAGGATGATCTGTTAGACTAATCCACAGACTGGAAAATTGGCCTTGAATAAAGAAGAGTTGACCTTCTTAATAATTTTACCTGCCTGGGCATAATACATTGCACAGAGTAAGGGCTCTATGGGACATTGCTTTCTGACTTGTAAATAATGTGGTTAAATATTAAAGATAGAATTTCAGATTAGAGGCCAGGTGTGGTGGCTCACGCCTGTAATCCTAGCAGTTTGGGAGGCCAAGGCAGGAGTATCACTTGAGCTCAGAAGTTTGAGACCAGGCTGGGCAACATAGTGAGAAACCATCTCTACTGAAAAAAAAAAAAGAAAAAAATTCATTCCACATTAGGGATAATCCACTCCAATTTTAGACAGCTCTACTTATTCCTTATGTTGTATCAAAATCTGCTTGCTTTTTAATTTGAATTCACCTATTGAAGTTCTGTCTAGGGAGGGAACATAGAAATACATATCATTCATTTTACAAACAAGTCTAGGCTGGTCACAGTGGCTCACACTTACCATCCCAGCACTTTGGGAGGTCAAGGTGGGAGGATCACTTGAGGCCAGGAGTTCACGACCACCCTGAGCAACATAGGGAGACCCTATCTCTACCAAAAAAAGAAAATTAGCTGGGCATGGTAGCACATGCCTATAGTACCAGCTACTCAAGAGACTGAGGAGGGAGGATCACTTGAACCCAGGAGTTTGAGATTATGAGTGAGCTGTGATCTCACCACTGCACTCCAGCCTGGGCGACAGAGTGAGATTCTGTCTCTAAAAAAATAAAAATAAACTCTAGAGCTAATTAAGGATGATATTTCATCTCCTCTAAGGCTTTATTTCTCCAGGATGAGTATCATTGGCTCCTATAAACAGTTTCCCATCACCCTTATCACATTTCTCTAGTCATGCTCCAATTTGCCCATTTCTCTCTTAAAATAGGCCCAATGACTGAACACACTGCCAGCTGAGAATAACAGGGAATTATTACTTGTCCTGTTCGGATTATCGTAAGTGTATCAATACATCCCAATATCACAAAGGTTTTTTTGTCAATGCAGTGGTATCACACTGTTGATTTACATAAACTTATAGCTGACTAAAATCCTGTCTTTTAAAACTATTAAACCTCACATTCCTTATGCTATAATTGCATTTTAAGAAATCTAAATACAGTGAATATACTAAAAATGTTTTTTAATTTTTTTATTTTTTATTCGTTTATTTATTTATTTATTTTTGAGACGGAGTCTCGCTGTTTCACCAGGCTGGAGTGCAGTGATGCGATCTCGGCTCATTGCAACCTCCGCCTCCTGGGTTCCAGCGATTCTCCTGCCTCAGCCTCCCGAGTACCTGGGACTACAGGTGCATGCCACCACACCCAGCTAATTTTTGTATTTTTAGTAGAGAGGGGATTTCACTATGTTGGCCGAGATGGTCTCGATCTCTTGACCTTGTGATCCAACTGCCTCTGCCTCCCAAAGTGCTGGGATTACAGGCGTGAGCCACCGTGCCCCACCCTAAAAACTAATGAATTGTATATTTTAATTGGCGAACTGTATGGTATGTAAATTATATCTCAATAAACCTGTTAAAAAAATCTAAGTACAGGAAAGAAAGACAGTTTTATTTTATCAAATACCTGCTACATTTTGCCAGGCACATTAGCTCATATGATCTTTTCAACAATCCCTTTGGGTTCTAGAAAAATTAAGTAACTTGTCCTGCTGGGTGTGGTGGCTCACGCCTGTAATCCCAGCACTTTGGGAGGCTGAGGCAGGTGGATCACGAGGTCAGGAGTTCAAGACCAGCCTGACCAACATGGCAAAACCCCGTCTCTACTAAAAATACAAAAATTAGCCAGGCATGGTGGCACGCATAGAAGGCTGAGGCATGAGAATTGCTTGAACCCAGGAGGCCGAGGTTGCAGTGAGCCAAGATCATGCCACTACACTCCAGCCTGGGTGACAAAGCGAGACTCTGTCTCAAAAAAAAAAAAAAAGCAGGACAAGTCACAGAGTAAACTAACTGTGTCTCCTGAACTACTGAGACAGGGCTTCTTAAAGCCTTCCATCTAGACAGAGGATTTGCATGTGAACCCGGGGCAGGGCCAAAGCTACAGATGAGTATCAAATGCCCCAGCAATGGGACTGACCGATTGTCAGGGGAATTGGCAAGACCAGTGCCAATCCTGTTTTGTTCTGGGTATGCCATCTATAATGCCATCCATCCACTTCCCTATGACACAAGAAGGTATATCAGGAAGTGACTAGGAGAAAACATTATTTTAGGGATAAGTGTGAATCTGTTGCATTTAATATTGTGATCAGTAAAAATTATCTGTGCATGTCTGATTTAGACAGGCCAGTTGAGTGTGATGGGACTAGCAGGGTAGGTGTGAACAGGCAGACACTTTCTGTGCAACCAGAATCTCTGGCTAAGCCTCTCTCCCTGCCAGCCCACGGACTTAGCCAAGTCTCCTTGGGTTTCCAGTAACAGAGGCATCTCACACTTGCCTGAGCTAAAATGGAGAGTGTGCTGGGCACCCGCCAGGGCAGGAAGGGCAGCTGGGCCACATGGGGTGGGAACAAAGCCCTGAGAGGCCACTGTGAATGGAGACAGCCATGCTCTTGCCACCTCCCTTTTTCTCTTGGGGTGACCTGGTTTCTCATCTCTTTCTCCCTGACACTGTGTCAGTCTCCTTTCTCCACAGCCCAGTTTTCCTTCTATGGTACACAGTGAAAATGGCCAGGCCAGCCCCCCAGTATAAGCTGTCCTAGTTCCAGGGCCAACTGTGACTGACCAGAGGCCTGTGTCCTAATTCCAGGTGCCCTGGAGAGAGAATCTGGTTGTCTCAGCTTGGGTCAGGAGTGTCTACCCTGGTCATCTGTGGTAGAGCCTCAGGGCCACTTGAGGAGACAGTGACTGCTGGGGCCACCCCTGTGGAAGAAGGCTAGGGGCAACTTTGAGGAAAGGAGGCACAGACTGAACAGAAGACCCTAAAGGTGCCCACTCCCTCCAGGCGTCTTTGCTGCCTTTGGCACCACAGCTGGTGGCTCTGCGCTACCCCCTCCAGGCTGCCTGCCTTCTCCCTCAAACCCCTAGCATTAATGGGACATTGTTTGTTAACTGAAAACATTTTCTCCACAAACTTCGGCAAACTGGTGGTGAATGTCTACAACAAAAACATTTTTTCCTGTGGAACAATCAAATCCGAGGACCACATGTTGAGGGGAGAAACCATTTAAACTAAAGACATACCAAGTACATTGGAACTGAGTCAGTTTACAAGGATCTACATGTGTCTAACAGTATATTTTACAACCAACAAAATTACTATGCATAATATACAAGTAATTTATTTGCAAAATGCCTTTCTAAACAGCCCTCACATTATGTCTAAATGAGAACTATCTTATTCACACTTCTTCAAGTGGCCAAAGAAGAAAATCTGAAATAAGGGGTGAGAAGCAGAAAATCTAGAGGTTCTGACCTAAGTGGGTCCTGCTTCTGACTTATAAGGTGCCATTAAGGGAACTATGGGGCACGTTGTTAAATCCAAAGGCTATACTGTGAGCCTTGGAGAGCAACTAAGACTCCTTCCCCCATAATCTCTGATAGTGGTGGTGGTGGTGATGATGATGATGATGATATCACCTGAGCACTGATTTTGTGCCAGGCACCGTGCTAGGCACTCTTCACATGGATTATCTAATTTGATCTTTCCAACATCCCTATGAGGTAGATAGTAATATTATCCCCATTTTACACATGAGGAAACTGAGGCACAGAGATAGTTAAGTACCATTCCTAAGTTCTCAGAAATGGTAACTTGCAGAACCAAGCTATAAACCTAAGTCTGGCTGAAGCTGAAGACCTTTCATCCTTATGAATATAATATATCTAGATCTTCCAACAAGATTTTTTTTAAATTTTGAAAACAAAACTCCCTAATGGACATTAGGCCTTCCTATCGTTTTCATCACTCATTATGTCTTTATTTCCAGTGCATTTGAACAAGTATCTTTTATATTTTCTATAAAGAAGTACCGAGGTCAAGGGCAATATAAAAATGATTAAGACCCTCTTGGGGTTTTTGAGGAGCTCAAGGTCATCTAATATTAGGAAGAGCCTGTATAAGCATAATTATAACATAATACTGAATATGATCTGTCATCCTGGAAACACAGGGCTCTAAGAGATTAAGGGAAGGAGTGGTCATGTCCACTAAGCATATACAAGTTATGATTTGCTGCATGTGAATGTTGCTAGATGAATTGTGTGAAAGAGACAGAAATCCCATGTTAGCCAAAGTAACCAACAGTGCCCAGGTGTGATCCTCAGTGGGACCACTATGACTTCTGGTAAGTTAGGTAGCCATGTATATTAGTCTGTTCTCACATTGGTATAAAGAACTACCTGAGACTGGGTAATTTATTTATAAAAAGAGGTTTGACTCACAATTCCACACGCTGTACAGGAGGCATGGCTGGGGAGGCCTCAGGAAACTTACAATCATGGTGGAAGGCGAAGAGAAAGCAGGCACATTGTCTTTGTTTGTTTGTTTTTGTTTTTGAGATGGAGTCTCCCACTGTTGCCCAGGCTGGAGTGCAGTGGCACAATCTTGGCTCACAGCAACCTCAGCCTCCCAGGTTCAAGCGATTCTCCTGCCTCAGCCTCCCAAGTAGCTGGGACTACAGGCATGCGCCACCACGCCCAGCTAATTTTTTGTATTTTTAGTAGAGATGGGGTTTCACTGCGTTAGCCAGGATGGTCTCGATCTCCTGACGTCGTGATCTGCCCGCCTCGGCCTTCCAAAGTGCTAGGATTACAGGCATGAGCCACTGCTCTCGGCCTGGCACGTGTTACATGGCCGAAGCAGGGGGAAGAGAGCTAAGGGAGAGGTGTTACAGACTTTTAAACAACCAGATGTCATAAGAACTCACTATCACGAGAACAGCAAGGGGGAAGGCCGCCCCCATGATCCAATCATCTCCCACCAGGCCTCTCCTCCAACACTGGGGATTACAATTCACACATGAGATTTCGGCAGGGACACAAATCCAAACCATATCACCATGTCTTTAAGTGAAGTAGGAAAGACACAAGACTTTAAAGGAAGGAATGGATCCTAGATAGGCCTGAGCCTCGTAGCGTGTTCTCAGTAAGCACTGTCCCTGAAGAAAAGACTCCTATCATGAGCTGTCAGCCAGCAAACCCAGGCAGGGATGATAGGAAGACCTGCAGAGGAGATCTTTGGAAAGAGCTTTTCCCTCAGTGTGACACTTTAGATCTCAAGGATCTCTCCAGAACAGTCCCAGGAATAAACGGATACACCTTGTTCTTTGTACTTTGATTGCAAAAACCAGCCCATCATCTGCCACCAGCTGGACCCAGTGAATTTTGGAGCTGCCTGCCATGCAGACATCTGAGATGTGCGTTGATTACATGCTCTGCCCCCCCACTGCCATTGCTAAGCCCTGCTTTCTGTTCAGGCAATGTGAGCCAACTGTGCCTTCCTGCTCCTCTGTTGTCTGCAGCAGTCTGTGATCAGGACTCAGAGGCTTAACCATAGCAGTGGAAAGCAGGATGCACTCCAAACTTAGCTGACTTTGGATAAAATGGCTCTAAAGCTCTTTTTCATTTATATACAACTTTACATTACAAAGCCCATCACAATCAGCATTAATTAAACCTGCCACTCATTGCCCTCTGAGGTAGAGCTGAATTAGTCTGCTTATTTTACAGCTGACAAAACAGACAGAAAGGCTTAAGGATTTGCTGAAGTGAAGTGGGGTTCAATCAAGGAAGCCTGGCATGATTCCCTTTCTAGTTCATTCTTCTTCTCCTGGAGGAGGACTTCAAAATGCCTAGCTCCTAACTCTGAGCAGCTAAAGGAAGCCAAGTGGGAAGAGAAGCTTGGCAGAGCAGCCGTGGCGATCTAGAACAGAACATCAGTGTGAGGTTTGGATGATGTGAGCACAGCCAGGTCATGTTTTCCTGATTCTCAGTGGATATTACACACATGCGCGCGCAAGCACACACACACACATGCGCACACGCACACACACATACACACACACACACACACACAGTTTCCCTTGTTGGGTCAGGGAGCAGAAGGATGTTGGAACGTAGTTGGAGCGCTGGTTGGCAGCAATGCTCTGTTTGACCTGGTGGCAAAGTGGCCCACCCATTACCCACACTCCAACCACTTACCAGAGCCTTTATATTAGAATTTTAAACACACTCAAAATCAAACACATTCCAAGGACAGGCCCCATTTTGTGGGGCATGGAGCAAGAATGAAAATGAAAACCAACATATCATATGTCTAAATATTTAAAAATTCTAGCCAAAGCTAACAAACTTGGGTTTCCTACCTTGACAGATATACCTTTACAATGATGCAGATAATTGGTTTGAATTTAGAATATTTCAGCTCCTTAGAGGTCCATACCAAAACGTGGTGGCCCAGGAGAGCAGCCCTGGCCCAGAACAGTGCCCTTCCTTCACCCCTCAAATTGGGCCCACATCATGAAGGGCCTCACACACACACGATGTGGATTCCAGCCCATATGTCCAAGCGCTGGCCATATCATCACCCCCTTTTGGTGGCCACTTGGGGCTATGGCCCAATTGTACAGTCCACCCTCAGAAGGATAGATCAGGGCTGGGTGCAGTGGCTCACACCTGTAGTCCCAGTACTTTGGGAGGCTCACTTGAGGTCAGGAGTTTGAGACCAGCCTGGCCAACATGGTGAAAACCCGTCTTTACTAAAAATACAAAAATTAGCTGGGCATGGTAGTAGGTGCCTATAATCCCAACTACTCGAGAGGCTGAGGCAGGAGAATCACTTGAACCCTGGAGGTGGAGCTTGCAGTGAGCTGAGATTGCGCCACTGCACTCCAGCCTGAGCAACAGAGCAAGATTCAGTTTCAAATAAAAAATAAATAAAAAAGGCCGAGCACGGTGGCTCATGCCTGTAATCCTAGCACTTCGGGAGGCCGAGATGAGTGGATTGCCTCAGCTCAGGAGTTCAAGACCAGCCTGGGCAACACGGTGAAACCCTGTCTCTATTAAAATACAAAAAATTAGCCGGGCGTGGCCATGTGTGCCTGTAATCCAAGCTACTTGGGAGGTTGAGGCAGGAGAATTGCTTGAACCCCGGAGGTGGAGGTTGCAGTGAGCTGAGATCACACCACTGTACTCCAGCCTGGGTGACAGAGCGAGACTCCGTCTCCAAAAAATAAAAAAAGAAGAAAAAGAAAGAAAGAAAGATCGATCAGGAGAAGAGGCCCATACCAATCCTGGAAGCAGGGCCATTGGCAGGGAATCCTGAGTTCTGGGTACCTGGAATGTAGCCTAAAAAGATGGCATGGCTCTGGGTGAGTAAATCCACTTAGCCTGTAAACTCCTTGCCCAGTGGAGAGGACTGACCAGAAGAGAACAAGGGTAGCATAGGGCTCTCTACACAGTGGGCCCCAGGGGAAGAGGCCCCTCTTGCCAAGACCTAAGAGCAAATCATATCTGGCCAAATAATAAATAAGCCAAAGATGTGAGTTAATAGAGTCTGCACAAATCTGGGTACCATTATTTCTACCTCAACTATACAACACAAAGGCATGAGCTGTTTCAATATTTTATCTGCTACCTCCAATAAATAACTTACTTATTCTGGGCAGTAGGCATTATCTCCAGTAGGTATAAGGGCCAGAGAACAAATGAATGAGCTCCATAAGTAAATATTTTACTGCTAAGGTTGCACTCCCATACAAAACCAGACATCAAAACTCTAGAGGATGATCCTAAGGTCAGTGCCACTGCTGCTGCCTCCCCAGAATGGACCAAGGGGGTGGAAGAGAAGCTTGATTCCCTGGACTGCTGGGCATTGCTTTTTGTGGGGGTTGCTTGGGTCAGTCAAGGTTGTGAGGAGCTGTCAGACAAAACAGCTTCTGTCCACATCATTTCCTTCAGAATCAGGGTCATGATCACAGTCCTGGCTTTGAGATGCAAAGAAGCTAAAATTATGAGCTTCCTTATTGTTCCCCCATATCTCAGTTTTGCATAATAATTTACAACATTTAATATTAAGGGAAATATGTCCACATGTAAAAAGTATTTTCATCACCAAATTCTCAAGGCAAAAGATGTAAGGAAATGTGTACAATGTTTATTTGGATGCAAATTCGTTGTTGTGTGTTCAAACGTTAACAGCATTGAATTCTGGATTCTCGGCTCAGGCGAGGGTTAGTTCAACTTTCTCCAACAATACTGTTCATAATATATGAAGGATACATTCCTTAATGATCTTTGGAGGTTGGTTATATAATTTAATTTCCTTAAAGTTTTTGTTTTGTTTTATTCTGTTTTTGAGACGGAGTCTCGCTCTGTCGCCCAGGCTGGAGTGCAATGGCACGATCTTGGCTCACCGCAACCTCCGCCTCCCAGGGGGTTCAAGTGATTCTCCTGCCTTAGCCTCCCAAGTAGCTGGGATTACAGGCGCCCATGCCCAGCTAATTTTTGTATTTTTAATAGAGACAGGTTGGCCAGGCTAGTCACGAACTCCTGACCTCAGGTGATCCAAGAGCCTTGGCCTCCCAAAGTGCTGGGATTACAGGCATGAGCCACCACACCCGGCTTCCTTTAAATTTTTTCGCTTTTCATATGGAGGTAGAAACAGAGCCCAAATCAGAATTTAAAAGTTGGTTCAGACTAGTAGGTGGTGGTCACTTCTGGGGTGTAAACAGGCAGGTTCTTTTCCTACCCCCTTCACCTTCTCCCCAACAGATCCACTATCTGTTCAGATAGAGCCATTCTGGAAAGCTAGGGACAATTTTTATTCCCTGACTAATCCCATTTTTGGTTGTCACTTGGCAACTTGGTCTATATTGCAGCCTGTACAAGCATCCAGCTTCCCGAAGGCATCCCTGAAACCTCGCTCAATGCAGTTCAGGTTCCCATGTCATCTTGATTCATCCTCCTTGCTCATCCATTTAAGGTGAATTGTGGGTCTAAAGTAGGTGACTCAACGCTGGTCAGCAAGACCTTGCTGGGATGGTTCACCCAAGAGCATTGCTCTTAGGTGATGCTGTTGATTGCTAGTAAAACCCAATGTCATTGATACTGAGTGTGGTAACCTTCCATGTATCAACAATAGTTAGGGAATTAGGTGTTCTAATACACTGGGTAATCCACTTAATTATAGACTACCAGTGTCTAAATAAATATAAACTAGTTTTGAAATAACTATAAGGCTGCGCGCAGTGGTTTATGCCTGTAATCCCAGCACTTTGGGAGGCCGAGACGGGTGGATCACTTGAGGTCAGGAGTTCAAGACCAGCCTGGTCAACATGGTGAAACCCCATTTCCACAAAATAATAAAAAAATTAGCCAGGCGTGGTGGCGCGCTCCTGTAATCCCAGCTACTTGGGAGGTTGAGGCAGGAGAATTGCTTGAACCTGGGAGGCAGAAGTTGGAGTGAGCGGAGATTGCACCACTGCACTCCAGCCTGGGCGACAGAGTGAGACTCTGTCAAAAAAAAAAAAAAAGAACTATAAACTAGCACCACAGTACATTACCAGTATATCATAATTCTACCTAGTATTTTAACTATTTAAGTGTGGGTCCCACCTCCCATGAAGGCCATGTGCTTCTTACGGAGTGGTCTGTGTCAGTTCATCTTTATTCCTCTTATGGTATCTAGTAAGTTGCTTTATATATTGTAGGTGCTAAAAGAGCTTTTGTTGAATGAAACTATAGAACACAAACTATCATTTACTAACATGACTTAATCCTGTGATGACTCAGAAGGCCCTCCAGGATCACACATTTCTTCAAGGTTGTTATTATGTGTGTTATCTATGGGGATGTTTAAACACAGACCAAGTGGTTGAAAGGGGAATTCTGCAGTGCCTGGAAGATAGGACTTGATAACTACCAGCTCATTCCAATTCTGTGTGTATGTATTGAAGAGTCAAATATAGAAATGATCTCATTTATTATCACCTGAATGAAACATGTTTATGAAACCAAGAGATTACAAGTGAAAACTGTCAAATAGCCTCTGTTAATAAGCCTTAACCAGAATTCATGGTCCTTGACCATGATAAGTCAATTAATCTGAAAAGGTAGGATTCCATTAGTGCTGTGAGTGAATTATTACCATTATTTAATTTTATTAAAACCTGCTCATTAGATTGTAATTTACTAATTAATGCAAACATATTTGTCACTATGTGGCTAATATATGCCAAGCCTGTGTTAGTCAGTCATTAGGGATACAATGTAAATATAATTCATGCCCTCAAGAAATTCAAATAATTTCTCTGTAAAAACACTTCATTGTGCAGATCATTTTTACAGCACTTTAAATGTCAATGTGGGAAATTAGCCTGGGTGTGATATGACCCTCTAACCTAGCCTATAATTCATTCAAAATACAGAACAATACAAAGCAAAAAATGCCAGTTAGTTTAATTACTTGACATTAGTCTTTTTCTCAAAAACACAATATACAGAATGTTCATTCAGAATTCTGGGTAAATATGCTTCTGCACAGATGATTTTAATTTCAGGTTAGTACAACATCTGCCAGTCCCCCAGAGCTTGAGGGTGAAGCAGCTTCCCCAGGTGTGGAGGAGAGAGAGCCATCACAGCGCCCCACCCTCTTCTCTGATCTTTCTGTGGATCTGACAGTGACAGAGGCGGCAGCAGGGAGCCCTGCCCTGGGACTCAGGAGAAGCCTGGGAGCAGGGACGGGTGTTCTCAGTCCAGTCTGTCAGGAATTCTGGGAATGGATGCTGCCGTCTTTCCTCACAGCTTCCTGTAAACATGCTGATTTTCAACTTGATAGTAGGACTTTGCTATTTAGTGTTTTCATATCTAAAACTAAGGGGTTAGGTTTCGAGGGGTGGCTTAGCCTCTAATCTCAGCACTTTGTGAGCCCGAGGCAGGTAGATCACTTCAGGCAAGGAGTCTGAGACCAGCCGAGGCAACATGGTGAAACCCCATCTCTACCAAAAAAATATAAAAATTAGCTGGGCGTGGTGGTGCGGGCCTGTGGTCCCAGCTGAGGTGGAAGGATACCTTGAGCCGAGGTGAGAGGATACCTTGAGCCGACGTGAGAGGATACCTTGAGCCCAGGTGAGAGGATACCTTGAGCCGAGGTGAGAGGATACCTTGAGCCTGGGAGGTAGAGGTTGCAGTGAGCCAAGATCATGCCACTGCACTCCAAGCTGGGTGACAGAGAGAGACCCTGTCTCAAAATAAATAAATTTAAAAAAAATAAAAATAAAAATAAGGGCCGAGTGCGGTGGCTCTCACGCCTGTAATACCAGCACTTTGGGAGGCCAAGGCGGGTGGATCACCTGAAGTCAGGAGTTCAAGACCAGCCTGGCCAATATGGTGAAACCCATCTCTACTAAAAATACAAAAAATTAGCCAGGTGTGGTGGCGGGCGCCTGTAGTCCCAGCTACTCGGGAGGCTCAGGCAGGAGAATCGCCGGAACCCAGGAGGCAGAGGCTGCAGTGAGCCGAGATGGCGCCACTGCACTCCAGCCTGGGCGATAGAGTGAGACTCTGTCTCAAAAAAACAAAAACAAAAAACGAACAAACAAGCAAAAAAAAGGGTTTGGATTAAATGAGTTTCCTAACATACAGTCTGAGGACACAAGCCCCATAAGATGCGCCATCAGAATGGAGTGTGGGAAAAGCCGTGTGCCACACCTTGCGGTGGAGACTCACAGCTGCGCCTCTGCATACTGACGTCAGAGAAGCCGCACCATCTAAACAACTGATAGCAGCATTTCTCAAAAAGCTTAGCCCTGAAATCTTTTCTTCTTGTATCACCTGCTAGCATCTGCTGACTCACTTAGCGTTCTGAGGTACACATTTTGAGAAACCCTGGAATACATCTCTATAGTCATTGGATTTTTGTTTTGTTTTTTCTCGAGATGGAGTTTCGCCCTGTCACCAGGCTGGAGTGCAGTGGCGCAATCTCGGCTCACTGCAACCTCTGCCTCTGGGTTCAAGCAATTCTGCTGCCTCAGCCTCCTGACTAGCTGGGATTACAGGCACCCGCCACCACGCCCGGCTAATTTTTGTATTTTTAGTAGAGACGGGGTTTCTCCCCGTTGGCCAGGCTGGTGTCGAACTCCTGACCTCGTGATCTGCCCACCTCAGCCTCCCGAAGTGCTGGGATTACAGGTGTGAGCCACCGCACCCGGCCTAGACATTGGTTTTTATGGCCTCTTTTTTTGAGACGGAGTCTCGCTCTGTTGCCAGGCTGGAGTGCTGTGGCGTGATATCAGCTCACTGCAACTTCCAACTCCCTGGTTCAAGCGATTCTCCTGCCTCAGCCTCCCGAGTAGCCGGGATTACAGGCACGCACCATCACGCCCAGCTAATTTTTGTATTTTTAGTAGAGACGGAGTTTCACCATGTTGGCCTGGATGGTCTCAATCTCCTGACCTCGTGATCCGCCTGCCTTGGCCTCCCAAAGTACTGGGATTACAGGCGTGAGCTACAGCGCCCGGCAGGTTTTTATGGCCTCTTAAAGCAAGAAGTAGTCTTAGAAGTCAGAGGTCCATTGAGGTTAGGTAGCCTGTCAAGGATCTCAGTTAGTCACTGGGCAGACTAGGTCCCTTTCATCTGTCAATTTCTTACATTTGTATTCTCATAACCTTGATGGATACAATTTTACTGTGAGGAAAGCTAGAAAAAGCATCAGCAATTGAAATCCACAGACAATTCCTAAGCCCCAGAGTTTCCACTTTTGGGTGAGCCCTGTTGGTTGAAGTGACTCCTGATTAAGCAAAAGTGATTAGAAATACTATATTTTCTAATGATGACTGTCTACAGGCTAGTGGAGGTGTTACTGAATAGAGACTTATACACAATTCAAGAAGCCACTGAGAAGAGGGAAAGCAGAAACAAACAGTATGGAGTCCAGAGCCCAAGTAATTAGCTCCTGGTGATGAAAAGTAAATTAATTTTTTTGATACTGGGCTCAAGGAGATCCTCTGATTTTTTTTTTTTTTTTTTAAGTACTAAGTATAAGTCACAGATTCAGTTGGCGTCAGATCTTGAAAAAGAGATCTGATACTTTCTATACTGACCTTAAAGCCTAGTCTCCTGGATAGGGTCTCCTTTTTGCCAGCTCGAAAAAAATCTCACACATCTCTTCACTTGGTCTTTGCCTTGAGTTAAAAGAACAAAAATAATTTTAGGCTTTAATCTCTTTTTATGCAGTTTACTTGCAAAAAATTATTTAAGTTGGTGGCTAAGTAAACAATGGTATTCTCTCAGCAGTTAATTCCACTGGCTTTTCCACAGTCCCAACTATAGTATAGCCTAGCCCCAAAGTAATTAAAGAAGCAAGCAATTTGCGTTCTTTTTCTACAAAACTACTCTTGAGTAGCAGATGGCAAACACAAATGTTTTGCTCTAGAGACATATGGAAACCTCTCTGTTTCATAAAAGCCTCAATAAATATTAAACCCCAAATGATGCCATTCATTGCAGAAATAAAATGTGATAATCCCCCAAACAGCCTAATTAGACCATATAGCTACTTGAGTTTCAGAAAGCAATAGGTGGGAAATTACTATGTGATTGGGATTTCATTCGCAGTTTCTCTTAATCTGAATATTCAACCTGGCCCAAAAGAATCACCTATTCAGCCTTATTTATTCAGCATTCTATTAGGTTATCATCATCATTTATGCTTGTAATTTTAAAAGTGAATAATCAAAGAATCCTGCTTGATTTCATATTAACTCTTCAGTTCTGTCTGAACCAGTGAGAGCAAGGAATTTCACAAAGGGAGAGGGTGTTTTATCACAGGTTCTGGAGCAATTCAACATGTTCCCTGATTAACTCTGTTTATAATCCCTTGCTGCTGTTAAACCAGGAAAAAAAAAAAAGTCAGAGCCAGGTGCAGTAGTGTGCACCTGTAGTCCTAGCTACTCAGGAGGCCGAGGCAGGAGGATCACTTGAGCTCCGGAGTTTGAAGTTACAGTGAGCTATGATCGTGCCTGTGAATAGCCATGCACTCCAGCCTATGGAACATTGTGAGACCCTGCCTCTAAATATATATACATGTCTATGTTTAAGGTTATTCGGGAAATGATTATGATTATTCATATTAAGTAGGAATTGCAGGAAGAAATCTGATTGGAGTTGGCTCAGAATAATGCAGAATTTCATTTTTCTCTTAACCCAGTAATTTGGCAACCCAACAAATCATTGTTGCTATCTCAGGACTGAAACTTGGTGCTCCTTGGAAAGAGAGAAGCAATGATAACTGAGTCATAAGGGTGAATTGAATGTTGTTTAGAACAAGGAACTAAGTATCTTGGGCTCCTTTCCCGGCTCCACACCCTACATAGCCTCAATGGGACTCACAAGACCTCTGAGGTTGCTGATAAATCCCCTGATTCACCAGGGTGTTTGGGTGGCTTGGGAGACTATTGTGTGAAAGATCAGAACTTCCAGGTCTCAGGACATCTGTTATCGGGGCCTGGATTCAAGAGCTCAAAGGATTTTACAGATGGGAATGGATGATTTCATTCAGTTCCTCCCATTTTACAGTTAAGGAAACTGAGGCACAGAAATGCTGTGCTTGTTTAAGGTCACAGAACTATTTAGTAGCAGAGGGGAAACAGAACTCAGGTCATCTGATGCTAAGTTCAGTCCTTTTGACAATAACAAAGTCCCAGGACAGATTTGTCAGAGCCTGATAGAATAATTAGAAAGTTTGCTTCAGGAACCATTTAAGGGTATAAAGCCCATTTTAAAGTCTTTGCTGCCAAAATGGGCTTTATACCGTCAGCTGATTCCTGAAGTAGCGCAGAAAAGGGGCCAGGTGTCAAAGTGCTTTGGTTAATTCTGGCTTTGGGTTACCCATTCCCTCCTCAAGGAGGCCATATTTCCTTCTTCCCAGTTAAGCATCAACCCATCTGTTTAGAGAATGACAAATCACACTTTTTCTGGATTCAGTTCTGTGATTTCTCCAATGTAATCAATCACTTGGTAGTACTTGACACAAATATCCATGTGATGGCCAAGCATCGTGGCTCACACCTGTAATCCCAGCACTTTGGGTGGCCGAGGTGGGCGGATCACCAGAGGTCAGGAGTTCGAGACCAGCCTGATGAATACGGTGAAACTCTGTCTCTACTAAACACACAAAAATTAGCCAGGTGTGGTGGCATGTGCCTGAAATCCTAGCTACTCAGGAGGCTGAGGCATGAGAATTGCTTGAACCCGGGAGGCAGAGGTTGCAGTGAGCCGAGATCGTGCCATTACACTCCAGCCTGGACAATACAATGAGACTCAGTCTCAAAAACAAGCAAACAAATATCCATGTGCATTTGACACGTAAACACAGATGGTGCTCATTTGTTTCCCAGCCTTATCTTCTCCAGTCTTCACTAATAGAACCCTGTGTTTAGGGTGAGGCTGACTCTACACCCAGTCCCAGTGGCTTACATCAGTTGACAGAGGCCACTCTCTTGGGCCCTGCATAGGTTCAGGGAAGGGCAGTCAAGGCCCATGGAACTCAATTCCTGGGTATTTATTTGAACTTTTGGGGAAAAGGATTCTCTACATTCTGCTCTGTTTGAATCTGGAAGCAAGGAGCCCTAGGAGTTTCAGGAAGACATTTTGCAACCACATGGGGCTAGCCTATTGAAATAAGTGCTATCTTGAAGACGTGTTGCTAAGATGCTGACAAAGAGAAGCCAAGAACTGGGCATGTAATTTGAGCTACTAGATTAAGTCTCACCTGTCACTAGGCTTATATCTGATAATTCTAGTTTAGGGTTAAATATATTTATGGTTTAAATCAGTATTTTTATTTAGGTCATTTAGTATTCTGTTATTTACTACCATAAGAATCCCAATACCTGTTCTGATGCTGATTGTGAGTTTCAGCACATCTTGACTTTGCTATTGGATAAGAGTCCATTTTAAAGTTGGCCCCAAAAGACTTAAAAAAAAAACCAAAAAAAACAAACAAAAAACCTCAAGTTTACAAGAAGCTCTACCCAAAAAGCTCTACCCAAAATGCATAGTCCTTATTGCACGTCTTACTTTACACAAAATCCCACAAAATAGCAATGCCTAGCTTAATGAAATGAATGAATTTTGCTAATATTTTATTGTCAGCAACTTTATTACCAGAGAAAGAAATAATATAAGAGGTATTAGAATGAATTCCTTCCAAACCACCCTTTGGTGCAGGAGTCCTCAACCCCCGAGGCAGTGGGCCAGTTGTGGTCAGTGGCCTGTTAGGAACTGGGCTACACACCAGGAGGTGAGCAGCAGGTGAGCAAGCATTACCACCTGTGCTCCACCTCCTGTCAGAACTGAGGTGGCACTAGATTCTCAGAGGAGCACGAACCCCATTGTGAACTGCGTGTGTGAGGGATCTAGGTTGCCCACTCCTTATGAGAATCTAATGCCTAGGCCTGGTGCGGTGGCTCACACCTGTAATCCCAGCTCTTTGGGAGCCCAAGACAGGAGGATCACCTGAGGTCAGGAGTTTGAGACCAGCTTGGCCAACACGGTGAAACCCCATCTCTACTAAAAACAAAAACTAGCCGGGTGTGGTGGTGTGTGCCTGTAATCCCAGCTACTCAGGAGGCTGAGGCAGGAAAATCGCTTGAACCTGGGGAGGGGAGGTTCCAGGGAGCCTAGATCGTGCCACTGCACTCCAGCCTGGGTGACAGAGTGAGACTCTGTCCCAAAAAGAAAAAAAAAAAAGAATCTAATGCTTGATGTTCTGTCATTGTCTCGCATCACCCCTAGATGGGACCATCTAGTTGCAGGAAAACAAGCTCGGGGCTCCCACTGATTCTACATTATTGTAGAATGTACATAATGTAGGGGTCTTATCATCTCTCATTTTTATTTAACTTTTGCATCCAGTGGTGATATGCATAATATGTAACAATCAGTTTGGCAGGAACACTTGACCAATCAGATTGGAAGCCTGGCCAATCAGAATGGATGCCCAAATCATCAAAATCAACACCCAACCAATGAGAATGAGAATGGATGCCCCACTAATCCGAATGAAAAGCCAACCAATCAGAATGGACAACTTATCTTCACCTATCAAGATAAATGCAATGTGTACGAGCCTCACATTTACCATTGAATTTTTCATTTGTGGGCTCTCCCCTCAATTAGCTGGGAGCAAACTGAGGGCAAGGACCACATGAGACATCTTTTTGTATCCTCCAGGTGGCCTTGCTTAGCTGGTTTCAAAGTGTGAACTTAATGAATGTTTGAGTGGACATTTTTCACCTAGTGATTGCTCAGGAAATATCAGTCAGTGGAAAGGGTACAGTTTGTCCCTCTGATTAGGATAATTGTAGAATTATACACTGGAGTATCACTAAATAGCATTTTTTAATGACACACAGGTGACATGAAAAATTGGTATTTTTAAGGGCTTATCATTCAATGTGATCTTGACAAACCAGAAAAATAATACATAATTATGCTGATTTCTTAAACACAACAATGAATAGTGTACTTACTGAATGAATAACATCTAAATACAAGGTAGAGTACAAACAGAAAGATATTAGCGAGGTCCCAAACACCTAATATAGCAAATAATAAACTAAAGGTGTCCAGATGTTTTAAAATTAGCTAGACTGCTAAGATGCTAGTCAGATCTTCATTCATTGGTTCATTCAACACCTTGAGTGCCTGCTATGTATAAAACATCATGCTAAGCATGCTGGGGATGCAGCAATACATTAGCAGTCTCTTTCCTCAAAGAGCTCAACTTTTAAGGGAGCAGACAAAGAAGCACACAAACCATTCAATAACAGAGAGAGAACTTATTCAACAGCTGAGTCATCAGTCAGTGAAGATAATCACCATAAAGGACATCTTTGTAGCCCACCGGGACAGCTGTGCTCAACAGATGGCAGAGGGCCAGAACCTAAGAGTAGTTGGGCAGAAGTGTCAACCGAGATGGGTACACACTGATTCCCAGAGGCTGCTTTGCCTTTAATTTTTCAGGACCATGTGAGCTCCTGGATTCTTGTAAGATACAATTAAGGAGAGGAAAAGTCCCAATAATAACTGATTTTGGGCCGGGCGCGGTGGCTCATGCCTGTAATCCCAGCACTTTGGGAGGCCAAGGTGGGCGGATCACCTGAGGTCAGGAGTTGGAGATCAGCCTGGCCAACATGGTGAAATCCCGTCTCTATTAAAAATATAAAAATTAGCTGGGCATTGTGATGGGAACCTGTAATCCCAGCTACTCGGGAGGCTGAGGCAGGGGAAATGCTTGAATCCAGGAGGCAGAGGTTGCAGTGAGTTGAGACTGTGCCATTGCACTCCAGCCTGGGCAACAAGAGTGAAACTCCGTCTCAAAAACAAACAAAAAAAACCTGATATTGGTTTTGCCAGCCTTTGATAAGTAGGGGTCTCAGCCAAATTTAATTTCGTTAAAGCCATTAAGAAAGGTGATTTCTTGCTCTCAAGTGTCATGGAGCAACTTAAACCAGTTTAAAAATTCTTAAACTATTTTGAAAATTTGCTTAGAGAACACACAGACCCTCAAGACTATGTTTGTAGAATCTTGGGAGTGGACCTCCAAGATGAATACATTACTGTGGAGAGTGAATAATGCCTTTGGAATTGTGCAACATGGCAGTCTTGCTTGCTACCATGAGGAAAGCTAGCCTGAGGACAAAGTAAACACAGAGAAGAGCAGGAACAAGAGCATACAGGAAAATGAACTAAAGCTTTGATCAAAACCAGCCAAAAGCTCACATAGACCTCATACCAGACAGACCTACTTTCAGCATCAAAACCCATTTCCTTAGAAAGTTCACAGGGAAGAACTCGGATTGACGCAGCCTGGGTCATATGCCCACCTCTGTGGCATGTGGAGTGAAGTGACATGATTCACAGCCATCATTAGAAAGAGGAGTGGCTTTCCAAAAACAGAAAGAGTGCTGGTCTGACAAAATTCACAGAAGGTAGACTCCTTGGACATCTAGATTTCTGTAGTCAAGCTGTCATGTACAATATTAACCCTATAGAAGGCTTCAATAAACATTTGCTAAATCAAATTGAATGTGCCTGGTGCTCTGCAGTGATGTAGTATTTACAGGGTGGGCTTGGGAAACTGACAGAAAGTATTGATGTGGTTCACTCAGAGCATAGTAACTTGGAGTTTAAAACGGGGTCCACTGATAGCTCTCGGAGAAAGAAGGAACAGTGGCAACCAGCAACCTGCTACCTGAAGTAACTGTACTGCTACAAATATACTTAATGTCCAGTCCTTTGAGCAAAATGCCTTGATTCAATAGTACTCAGTTACTACCACCAGAATCCGATATCTAAATAACATTGTTGCACAAAATATGAAAATGAATAATGTGTAAGAGAAAAAAATCTGATTCTTTTTGAAGTAGTATCAATATGTCAAAATGCTTGAATGGTTCAACAGTGGTGCACAAACTTACCAGCTAGAAAGTCCCAATATTATATATACTTGGTAGCAGAGAAAAACTGGGGAAGTGAAAATAAGACAACATTATTATTTTTTAAAATTCCCATCAATTAACAAAATTCCCCTAAGAAAATTTAGGGACTTTAAAATTCCTAATGCTAGTTTCTCTTTTGAACTTAAGTTCTTTACCGTATCACTACATTTTTATTCATATAGAAAGAGAGTGATAATAGTTGCATACAGACAGTGGGACTAAACATCATTTTAATAAATATGCGGTTTTTTTTTTTCTTTTGAGACAGAGTCTTGCTCTGTCACCCTGGCTGGAGTGCAGTGGTGCAATCTCGGCTCACTGCAAGCTCCGCCTCCCGGGTTCATGCCATTCTCCTGCCTCAGCCTCCCGAGTAGCTGGGACTACAGGCGCCCGCCACCATGCCCGGCTAATTTTTTGTACTTTTAGTAGAGACGGGGTTTCACCGTGTTAGCCAGGATGGTCTCGATCTCCTGACCTCGTGATCTGCCCGCCTGGGCCTCCCAAAGTGCTGGGATTACAGGCGTGAGCCACCGCGCCTGGCCATAAATATACATTTTTAAAAAGAAATAAATTCCACTGGTCTTTGCGGAATTTTTTCCCCTTCTTTTCCAGGAATGAGGAGGAAGATATAGAACAATCCACACTGTTCAGATCATGGCTGAAGCCACGTTCAGAGGCTTGCTCAAGGACTGGCTTGGGCAAGAGGGCTCAGCCTGTGCCAGAGGGCAGAATCCTTCTTCATTAGGGGCAGACACTGTGACTTTGAACTCATTAGAGCTTTGTTCCTATCTAGTGGACTCTAGGAATGAGACATTCCGTAAGCAGCAGCAGCAGCAGCAGCAGCCCTCTGGCTACTGTATGATCAATCAGTTAATGATGACACATTTCATCTTTTACCCGCATAGAAAATGAAGGCCAATTCTAGGGCCAACTAAGTCTTCTGCCACAATGCAACTGAGAATGGATTATCAGTGGCACTGTTCCTAAAGTCACAAGGCACACAGTATGTGTCCTTAGAAAAGCCTGCTGGTTTGTTCAACTAACTGTCCACGGTTTTTCCCCCCCCCCCTTTTCTTATTCCACTAATGGTGGAGTCCACTGGTTCCCTTAATAACCTCTAGCCTTCCAGAAGGTGTTTCCTTATAGCTAAGGTAAATGTCTGGACCAGTGGTTCTCAAATACTTTGGTTTCAAGACCCCTTCATCCTCTTAAAACTTATTGAAGACTCCAAGAAGCTTTTTTTCATGTGGGTTTTACCTGTCGGTATTTGACATATTAGAAATTAAAACTTCGAAGGGAGAACAACAGATGAGAGACACAGAGCCCTGGCAGGGTGGACTCCTAGTCCCACACCTTCTTAGCCTTTTGCTTCCACATTACCTGAACCAGTCAACACCCCTTTCACAACAGCTAATCCGGTTGGGTTTCTGCCACTAGCAAATGAAAGGGGACTGAACAATACATCCACAAAACAGAGAATTAGCCTAAGACAATAAATAATAAAGGATTAACTTGAGTATAACAGAATGCTGTTTCCTCCCTATATTCGTCATCAATTAAGTGAGAGCCTACTGAAGAGTAATGAATATTACCATCACTGCTAACAGTGCCTTATGGGTTTCAAAGAACTTTCACATTTAGTATTTAAGTTTCACTGGAACCCTATGAAGTATCTTGTTTCATATCCATTTTACAGATGAGAAAACTGAAATGTCCAGTGCCTGTGTGACTTGTCACAGCGGTTTTGCAGCAGAGCCAAGACTAAATTCAAATCTTACTCTCTAAATTCCCGTGGCCCGCCTCACAGGATGCTTGCAGTTTCATGGGGCACAGACCTGTAGCACAAGACTTCCCAGATTTAAAAATCCATCCTCCTGCGAGGAGAGGGGAGCGATCAGCGTAGCAGATTCTCTAAATACTCATTGTATTTGGCTCTGGTCTGTGTGGCGTGAAGAAGGGGGCACGAGTGAGGTTCGAGTTAGCATGGTAACCATTCTTTCTCAGCTCTGTGACTGAGGGGCTGCGGGAGGGGGTTATAGTGGTGCTGGGCATGGCCTCGGGGAGAAGCTGGATAATGCCCTCTGCAGATAACCCGTAGGCTGCGCCACAGCAGCGCCAAGGAAAGAAAGCATCTCTGCTCCAGGTCTCGGCGGAAGAGATGCGGGAACTACGGGGCTCTGATTCTGAGGTCCTGGATTTGGAAGGCGTCTGCACACAAAGAAATAACAAAGTTAAGTTCCCGCGGCTCGACCAGCAGAGTACGAAACGGGGCCTCCCTTCCCAGCTCGGGTGGAAACGCCTCCACCCTGTCACCCCGCCCATAGCAGGTCTTTTATCCGCTGGAGCCGCCTGGACAGTCCTCGCGGGGCACGCCCGAGGCTCCCCGGAGGAACTACAAGTCCCATGAAGTCCCGGGGCGCGGGCGGTGATGACGAAGCCCTCGCCGATTGGCCGCACGGGGCGGGGCGCGCAGGCCTTCTCCGAGAGGAGGGGCGGGGCGTGGGGCGGGGCGAGCAGCGGCGGATTGGCGGGCACGCCCCCTCGCCCGCGGCCCCCTCCCCGCCTCTCTCCACCGCCTCCTCTGGCTCCCCGGTCAGAGGGCCGGAGCGAGAAGATGGCGAAGACGTACGATTATCTCTTCAAGCTCCTGCTGATCGGCGACTCGGGGGTAGGCAAGACCTGCCTCCTGTTCCGCTTCTCAGAGGACGCCTTCAACACCACCTTCATCTCCACCATCGGTGAGGGAGGGGCCGCGGCCCGGGACCGGGTAGAGAATTGGGGGGCGGGTACTAGGGGACGGGGAAAGGGCGGGGGGCGCTTGGGAGCCCGGGAGAGGAGACCCCGGGGACTGCAAGGTGGCGGGGGCACTGAGAGGGGCGAGGGCGTGAGGGAGAGGGGCGAGGGCGTGAGGGAGAGAGGCGAGCGGGAACGTGAGGCTAAGGGCGAAGGGGG
Organism: Homo sapiens; assembly: GCF_000001405.40. Taxonomy (NCBI): domain Eukaryota; kingdom Metazoa; phylum Chordata; class Mammalia; order Primates; family Hominidae; genus Homo; species Homo sapiens. The sequence goes on from NC_000015.10 coordinate 63,189,963, forward strand.
AACTTGGGGGCAAAGGAACGGGAAGGGGAACAGAGGAACAAGGACTAGGGGTATTGGGGGAACGAGAGGGTTCGGAGACTGACAGGGAGGGGTCTTTGAGGGACAAAATGTGTTGGGGGGAAGACTCAGGAAATCTCATGTAGAGAGAAGGGGATAGTGGACGTGCCAATGATTAAAAGACAGGAGAGGAAGGAAATGTGAAGGGGGAAATGAGGGATGGGGGCAATGAGAGGGATGTGAAGTAAAGGGACAGAGGACACAAGGGACAGAGAGGTGAGAACCAGGCAACTGGAAGGGAATTCAGGGGAATGAGCGGTCAGGAGGTGAGGAAGAAGGGGACGGCTGGCCACAGGAGGTCTGGACTGAGATGTCGTAGGAGGGGACAGAAGAAAATTGTAGGTGGAAGAAGAGTTCAAGGGATCAGAGGGCAGAATGAGGATACTTGATGGAGAAAGTAAAGGGATCTGGGTGTGAGACAGAAAGGAAAAGAGGAAGCAACATCATAGTAAAGGGAGGTTGAGCAGAGAAGACAGAGGAGATGGAAAAGAGAGGAAATGGAAAGTAGTGGGGCGCAAGACTTGCTATAGTAACTGATTACCATTTTCTCTTCACTTCCTTTGGATCAAGTGCAGGAGAAAGCAAAATGTGACTAATGATGGAATAATGTCTATAGAGCGTTAATTTGTTCTGTGAGTGTTAATGGATGTTAAGGGAATTGGTGACTTTTGGAAATGATGTGGTCAGGAAAATATGGTTCACCTCTTTACTACCATCTCCTGAGAAGCAAGACTTCTCAGTATTTTAAATCCTTCGGTTTGAATGTTTAACAGCTTCTCAGCCAAGGAAATGAACTTACATTCTACCTGCCTCCCTGTATATTTTGCTTTGGTTCTAATTATTGTTAAGTGAATCACAACATGTGATATACCTCTCAGTTACTTCCAATTGAATCAAGAGTTTTTCTGATCCTGGCTGGGAGCTGTCCTTTCTACTTTTGTACTGGAAGACACTGTGTTCAGGTAATAAGATCTCTTAACTTATCATAAACTGAAGACCAAGTCAAAGCTGGTTTTAAGCTGTTTTAGAAGTGACCACCTTAACATCATTTCTCCTGTTAAATAGTTGCAGGTTAATTAAGTACCTTAAGAATACCTCAGCTTTTGGTTGTGTTGGTGATGTTTCTGGCCTCTAATAGTGGCTTATTTAGTCATCTTTCGTATGGTTCTTACAGCATATTTCACCATGAATTTCTGGGTTGGGAAATAATAGAGAGCTAGTGCTTTGGTAATACGTGTGTTTAAATATTTGTGTATTTTTAAGGATAATTTATCTTTTTTTAAAAAAAGAGTATTTGGTATAGAACACTCTTTAAGTATTAGTAAAGGCTATGGTTTGTTTGCTCATTCTGGATTCTTTCATATAGATTGAATGGTCTAAAATCTCCTGGGTGTTATGATGTCTGGGCTTAGGGAAGTTTGAATTGCAAGTTCTTGGCAGTCAGTCTTGAGTGGGACTTTTTCTTTTCTGAAAAAGCAGATTTTAAATGTCATCTCTCAAGTATATTCCTAAGATTTGGTGGTAGCTGCTGGTACAGCAACTAAAGGGTGTTAATTTTTGACATTTGTATTAATTTCAAAGCCTCAAATAACAATTTTTCATTGTTGAATGCATACTGCAGTACAGATGGTAAAGGATAATTTCTAACAAGTTGAGTGGGTGTCCTTTTGTCCATTCTGTATTTGAGCCTCCCAGAAGTATCTCCTGCCTTGAAAGTAAGTGAATCTCGCTGATGCTGTTTTTGTTAAGCTTCTTGGACGACTTGCTTGTTTGTAATAGTTTTATTCGTTTTCTCTTTTTCCCTTAATTTTTGTCCCATGTTTCCTGTAAGGGTATCTGGTTCCTTTTAAAATAGTAGCTTTTAAAAATTACTTTTCATTTTGAAGGGTTCAAGTCTATCAGTGGATTTCAAAAAATGATGGAAATGAGGTTCTTTGGAGGGTGACAGCTATGAAGGCATGAAAACCAGTGTCCTGAAACAGATTAGAATAGGAAGTGAACATGAAAAGGAGGTGAATCTCATGTGACATCTTGGTCTTTATATTTTCTGTGAGGTGGATGTGGTAAAAAGAGGTGTGAGCTGTGTCTTCAGTTGACGTGGAGGAGGGGAAATCCCATACCTCTTATTTAGCCCCAGAGCTCCAACAGGAAGTGGTAGCACACTGCCTTCAAACTGCAGAATTTATATACACACTGCCTTCAAACTGCAGAATTATATAGAAACCTAATGCTCTGCAGTCAAAATTAAGCTGGGAAAATAAGGTGAATGTTAGCACCATTCTGGTTCCACAGACTCTTCACTGATTACAAGTATAGATTTTGAGTGTTGACATCTCTAGCAGCCACTCCCTCCATGCCCCTCACCTCATTCCCAGGTGATCTGAAGTTACTGAGGTGACAGCCCATCTCCTCCCTAGTCATGAAGTACCTAAGTGTGTAAGTTCCTGTGCTTTTCTGACTGGGTTTTGATGAAGTCTGCCATAGCATTGCTGACAGCACTTGATAAGCTCTGTGTCATACGGAAAAGATGTATTTCTCAACGCCTGGGGTTTGTGTGTATGTGTTTTGGTAGATATGTATGGGTGTCTGTTTCTTCCCATGAAGATACATTTTAAGTCTTAATTTTGCTTTGTCAAAGTTTTAGTAGTTTTAAAAATGGTAATCTGCCATCTTTCGACACTGTTTTGATAGGGGTTCTGTCATCACGAAGGGAAGGAGACAGTCATTTTGATTCCAGATACAGTTGTCTCAGAGATACTTTCTTCTTCTCACTTCTCTAAGGTCTTGCTATTGGCTGGGTGTGGTGGCTCAAGCTTGTAACCCCAGCACTTTGGGAGACTGAGGTGGGAGGATCACTTGAAGCCAGGAGTTCAAGACCAGCCTGGGAAACATAGCGAGACTCTGTCTCTACAAAAATACAAAAATTCACCAAACGGTGTATGCCTGTATTCCTAGCTACTTGGGAGGCTGAGGCAGGAAGATCACTTGAGGCCAGGAGTTTGACACCAGTCTGGGCAACATAGCAAGACCCCATCTCTACAAAAAGTAAATTAAAAAATTAGCCAGGTGGAGTGGTGCACACCTTTAGTACTAGCTACTTGGGAGGCTGAGGCAGGAGGATAACGTGAGCCCAGGAGTTCAAGGTTATTACAGTAAGCTATGATTGCACCACTGCTCTCCAGCCTGGGAGACAGAGCAAGATTCTGTCTCTAAAAAATAGATAAGTAAATAAATAAGGTTTTGCTATCTTCTCTGATATCTCAGGTCCCTTCATTTCCTTTTTGCTCTTTGAGGGGTGTTGGAAGGTAGATTTTCTTGTATCTGACTTTTTGAAGATCTTCTAGTATATCTGTCAATAGTTTAGTTAACTGTGAGGAAAGGATGTTTTATCCATTTGAAATTATTGGTCAAGTGCCTAGGACCAACTCGCCTTTCACTCCAAATGTTTGAAAATTGAATTTTTTTTATTGGCTCTAAAAACCCTTATGTAATCATAATTAACATTTAATTGGCCAAGCGCAGTGGCTCATGCCTGTAATCTCAGCACTTTGGGAGGCCAAGGCAGGCGGATCACAAGGTCAGGAGATTGAGACCATCCCGGCTAATACGGTGAACCCCGTCTCTACTAAAAAATACAAAAAATTAGCCGGGGGTGGCAGCGGGCACCTGTAGTCCCAGCTACTTGGGAGGCTGAGGCAGGAGAATGGCGTGAACCTGGGAGGCCGAGCTTGCAGTGAGCTGAGATCGCGCCACTGCATTCCAGCCTGGGCGACAGAGCAAGACTCCATCTCAAAAAACAACAACAACAACAACATCAAAAACATTTAATTAAGTGCCTGTAAAATGTAACATAAAGACAACTAGGAATGATGATACAGTTAGCTATAGATTATATTTCCTCTGGGAAATGGATGCATTTTAATATTGATATGAGGGCATACCGACGTCTTGAAATGGCTCTGGACAGAAAAAGGTGCTGGTTTAACAAAAAGAGATAACCCAGCCCTGTCCTCTTGACAGGACAATCAGAGCTTCTTCCCTTTGCCGTCTCTCTGCTGCCCTGCCCCCTTCTTCCTGTTAGGTATTTCCTGAGTGGTTTCACTATTTAGTATAGTCATAGTTTAACAGCAGAAAGAGTCTTAGATATTATCTACTTTATTCCTGTCCCAATTTTATAAATAAAAAAAAAATGAAGGTTTAATTGACACCCTCAAAATTACACAGCTGATTATAGCAGATCCTGTAGTGAAACCCCAGATCCAAGTCTATGTCACTTTTCACAACTGAGTTGCTACTATTCCTAATCAGTATGATTATCCCCATTAATTCAAGTCATCACCTTTTCCAGGGAAGAATTAGAGTTTGCACATACGCCTTTATGTGAGGAAAGTTAAGACATTTCTGTTTTGATTAGCCGAGTCTGTTCAGGTGAATAGCAAATGTTACTACAATGACTCTGAGTTCTGTTGGAGTTTATACTGGAATAACTCAGCGCATAGCTGTCCTTTGCCCTTTCTGTGTCTATAGTTTCACATTAGGAGATCAAAGTGTATCCTATCATTAAAATTTCTTCCATACGTAAAGTAACTAATGAAATCATATTAATGGGGGTATGTTAGTAATTGTTGTAGCTTAGTCTCATCAGAGTACTTTTAGACATTTTATTCTGTAACACTGGATATTTTTCTTGGGTTCACTTTCCTTAAAATCAGGGGTTAGCACACTATAGCCTATGGGCCAAGTGTGACCTGCAGCCTGTTTTTGTGTAGCTCACAGGCTAAGAATGGTTTTTATATTTTAAAGGTTATTAAAAAATAAAGCAATATGCAAAAGAGACCATATGTATCCCACAAAGCTTAAAAATATTTACTAACTGGTTCTTTGTAGAAAGTTTGCTGACCGTTACTTAAAATTAAAAACTATTTTTGGTTGGTAGCATTTCAAAGCTTTTATCAAGACTTATTGACTGAAAAACAAACTTTGTCATATTTACATTTTTATCCAAGATGACATCAACATTTGGCTGAGCATAATCCAGATACGTAGAGCAAGTTGATTTTCATTTTCATAGTTGTTTTCCTTGGTTTCAACTTCTCAAACAAAAATATGCAAGGAACATGCAAGTTCATATTGAACATTTTGTACATAAAGCCTTATTTTAATGTCATTGTGTTCTTTCAAAGCTGCCAGTAGATTTCCCATCTAAGCAATAGCATTGATAACGACTCTGGTTCAGAAAAAGTAGAATTTAATACTTGATCATAAAGGATTAAACTCATCTCTTCAATCAATGTTCTAGTGAATGAAAAAAGCCTTCCTACATATAAAGGATGGGCATGGGGAAACTGAGTCTTGGGTACAAATATGGATCTGTCTGAAGAATGTGTACTTTAATGAAGAGCTTCACCAGCTGTTCTGCAGGCAGCAAGTCAGGGAGGAGGTTCTCTTGGCAACAGCAGCGAGATTGTTTGGATCCACTGAGAAAAGCTGGAGGGAAATAGGTTTAGATATTGTTTTAGAGGTAAATAAGTCTAGTCTTTGAGGACAAAGAAAAATTTAGCAGTATATTTTTGAATTGAATCCAATAACTGAATCTGAAAAGAACCATAGATCCTGAAGTGGATGAGCAGGGAGCTGCTGGCCTCAGGCCAGCTCGAGTCTAGGTCTGCCTGTCTTCACCCAGCTCTGGACATCAGCTCTCCTGTGGGTGTTAGAACTGTTACTTGAGAATATTTTGCAGGAATAGAGTTTTCATAGCATGAGAAGAGGGTTGGGGGTGAGGATGGGGAAGTAGATTTTAGGTGGCGAGTAATGTGGAGTATGATATCACTAAGCTTCAGAAATGCAAGTAGCCACGGAAATGTAAAAAGGGAAATTCAAGGTAAGATTGTAGATTCTTACTACCTAGGTTAGGGGTTGCAAACTCACATGGTTCTGGTGGGAACTATGAGTAAGGGGAGTGGACCCAGAATGGGAAGCAGCAGGGTGTGATGTGGACCCTGGATTGTATGTATTCCCTCTCTTAGGGCGTGGCTGCTTTTTATTTGCAGCTTTACCATTGCCATGCTGGAAAATCATCACATATTTCAAGATTTGCTGAAAATTTCTCATAAAAACTCAACTTTATGGGCAATTAATAAAAACAAACAAAAAACAATGTGAGGGCCATTACAATAAGGGCCAAACAGACATGTCTGTGGGCTAGATGAGGCCTGTGAGCTACCAGCTTGCAAAGCAGGCATGGCCATCAAGGATGTATGGTGGTTACAGTACTTTAAAATAGATCCTTTATCAGAGCTGGTATTGACATGAAAAAGCCTTAAATTATTTTCATTTTCCAGGCAGATGAGGTGGACTAGTATGTTTGGCATTATGGAGATAGCATGTTGAATTAAGAGCAATGGGCATCTGCCGTTCTAGCTTTGTGGGCTTTGGGGAGTCAGTTATCCTTCTAGGGCCTTAGTTCCTTATAACAGAGTGTAAGAATACTGTGTCTACCTTTCAGAGTTGCTGTGAGCTCCTTAAGGCAAAAATCAAGTCATATTCGCCTTTTAAATCTCCAAGGCCTGTATTAAATGTCTGCACATTGGATGAATGAACGGATGAAGGGATGAATTGTGAAAGCCCTATATGAGCTGTAAAGCATAGCTTGAATTTGTTACTATTCTCTTTCACAGTATTATAGATGATTAGATGATATTTGAGTTAAGATAAAAAGTGTTTAATTTGGACTCTTAACACAGGAATGTTACTTCCCCCAGTATAAAATGCTACATATCTTTCTATAATCAGTTTGAAAGGTTTGTTTTAGAATATCAAAGATATTTTACTTATCTTTCAGTCTCCATAATAAGCTGTTTTAACACCCAGCTTCCAACCCCCCACTAACATAAATACCAAATAGAAAATGAGTGAAATCACTGGGTTTGCATTATAAGAGCCATTTCAGCTTTGTCTCTGCCCATTAGCTTCAAACAATGCAACAGATGCCTGTTAACAGTTTCATGCCCATTTTTAATTAGCAGATGGAGCTGTGTTTGTGTCTGTGTTCTGCCCAGCACTCATTTGAGTGACAGGGTAGTGAGTGGATTAGACCTGGACTGAGCGTTTGGGTTGAATAAGGCCAAATTCTATTTAAAAAAAATATTTATATAAATATTTTTATATAGAGCCCTTGTGTATCTCACTGGAATAGCATATGTCTATAGTACTGATGTTTATGGTTATGTTTTATTCTCATCTTACAGAAAAAAATGATCATTTTATAGTTTAAATAAAGGGTTTTCTTTAGTCTTGAAACTGTCTTGAAGTGGCTTTCTTTTTTTTTTTCTTTCTTTCTTTCTTTCTTTTCTTTTTTTTTTTTTTTTTTTTTAAGACAGAGTCTTGTTCTTTCGCCCAGGCTGGAATGTGTTGGTGCAATCTCGGCTTGCTGCAACCTCCGCCTCCTGGTCTCAAGCAGTTCTCCTGCCTCAGCCTCTGGAGTAGCTGGGACCCCGGGTGCACACTACCATACCTGGTTAATTTTTGTATTTTTTACAGAGAGAAGGTTTCGCTGTGTTGTCCAGGCTGGTCTCAAACTCCTGAGCTCAAGTAATCTGTCTGCCTCGGCCTCCCAAAGTGTTAGCATTACAGTGAGCCACCACACCTGGCTGAAATGGCTTTCTTTAAAGACCCATTTCAATATGTTGGCATAGTATGTTGAGGAATATGCAAAGCTGGGATGAAAAATGTCAATCCTGATGGATTGGTAGTGGCTGCCAGGAATGCTGTGTTCTGTTGAGTTCTGAGGTCCTGTCTGAGCTCAGCAAGGCTGAGGGCTGTGATGGATTCCTAATGTCTGCCATGGACAGTAGGGAAAGAGAGGGAGGGCGGCAACTTCCTACACATTTGCTGTTTTCTAAAATGAATAGGTAGCTATTTGCTGTCCAACATGTTATGGCTAAATTTCAATATTAGTAATATTATTAGTAAATAATTATTAGATATAGTATGTCTGGAGAGGTGCCCTTTTCCTATGTTCAGTTTTGTGTTTTGGGATTTTTCTTATTTCAAGTTGAATTAATAAGAACCTGAAAGGAGGTAGGTACCTGGTTGTCCTTAGAGGAAGAAATAAATCTGCTTTTCAAAAAAAGTTACTTAGTTGCTTGGGACTTCCTTTGGGAGGCCGCATAAAGTGGTGGAAACAGTTTGGGAACAGTTCTCTACAGCAGCTCAATTAGCTGTGATGAAAGTATTTTCTTGCTGTCCTACTTGTAGCATTTAGCATTAGTTTAACTAGGCACTTTGGTATTTACCTGTTTACTGCAACTTTGGACATTTTCCTGGGAGCTCTCATCTTCCTCAGCCCAGAAGTTTAATTCTTGACTCTCAGGGAAAATGCTAACACTCTGCTTGTTATCATGTTCATCGTATTTAGGCTGGCTACCACTGAGAAAGCCTGGATAATGGTGGTACTTGTGGTCTCATGACAGCATTGCAGGATTTCAAAGCACTTTGCAAAAGCTCAGTTAGGTATAGAATCCCACTTCATTATGATAAAAACCATCTGCAGAGCTGTTAAGCAACGTGTAGTATTGCACGGCCTTCTGCTGGCAAAGCTAGGACTGGCGTGGCTTCCCATATCACATTATAATTTTGCATATTTTGGTGAAGAACTTGGCGGTAATTATTTTAATAAATCATAGATGTTATCCTGATGTATAAAGTGGAAGGACAACTCTGAAGATATATGGTCAAGTTTTAATGTGAAGTATTGGATAATCTATTAAAAGTTGAATTGTAAATTCGTTTCTTATGCAATATTTGTTTATCTGGAATGGATATTGCAGCATACTCTAATCTCCTTATGCACACATACATACGAATACACAAAATCCATTACAAAAAAAAGAGTTTGTGTTGGGAGATGTCAGTGACTAACCCTTCTGTAATTTGTTTATTGCTTATGAATTTGGATGTGATAGTTTTTTATGGTTTTCAACAAGGAATCGTTTACTTTTTCTCTTCTAAATATCTCTGAGTAAAATCTTGATACAGCATGGAAAACAATTCTTTATTGAGAGTCAACTGTTCCCCTTTTGGAATGACTCCAACCACTTTCTTGTTTCACTGTCTGTTAGCACCTCACCCATACCAAGATTTAGAGAGAGGGGATTGGGTTGGGAAGAGAAAAATGAAAACATTTCCCTTCCCCTATCTCTTTGGCTACTTGGTTCAGTCTCTTTTTGCTTTTGTTAGCAATTGGAGTAAACTATTGGATAAAGAGTTAGAAATGTCTCTGTAAAATAGTTTGAGAATTAATAGTGACCTTTGACTTCGATTTTTCTCTTACATTGTTTAGAACTAGATAATTTTTAAAAAATTGGTGCCTCTCTCTGCCATAGCCAGTAATGAACACAGACCAGGGTGTTGTCCACAAACAAATTTGAGTTGTTGCATTCCCTATTTTGTCTACATCATTTTGAAAATTTCCAACCTTATAGAAGGATGAAAAATTTGTGGGAAAAGTGAAATAATTTCTTTAACATGCACAAAATTCCATTATAATTAAGTTGAAAAACATGCATATATAAATATATATAATATCATCAGAGTTATGTCTTTATTTTGGCCCTTCAGCGTTCAACTTTGGGTTTTTTTTGTTTGTTTTTTGTTTCTTTGTGGGCTTTTTTTGAGACTTTGTCATCAGTCTGGAATTAGTGGCCTCCTGTGCACTACCACGCCCAGCCAATTTTTGTATTTTTTGTAGAAACTTGGCTTCACCTGTTGCCCAGGTTGGTCTTGAATCCTGAGCTCAAGTGATCTGCCCGCCTCAACCTCCCAAAGTGCTAGGATTACAGGTGTGAGCCACTGCCCCCGGCCAGCCTTCAACTTTGATAAGCACTATTACATTTTACATTTATGTTGTGATCTTATTATATGATTTACCGTTTTTTGTTCAAGTTATCTCTTAATTCTTATTTTAAAAAGTACGTAGGGCTGTGACAAACAATTGGTTTGTGTTTTGAATTATTCATGGCACAAACCCCTCCTGAAAACATCAGACTAGACTTTTCTGATCATGAAGGGTGAGTGCAGGCCTCGATGGTCTTCAGGTCTCTTCTGGCTGCAGCATTCTGTGAGTCTGTGAAATCAAACAGTGTCTATAAAAGGGTTTGTCCTTTTCTTTCTTCAGTTAATGATTGTGGATGAGGATTCTTTGCACTGGTAGACACTAGTGTTTTGATGACATGAAGACAGAAGAAGAAGTAGCATTAGTTAATTCAAACAAGCCTGTATTGATCTTGTAAATTGGCTAAAATCTTTGTTGTACTAAAGAGATTGCTTAATGTTTTTGAATCCTATTCTTTAAAATGTTTTGGTTTGAGTAATAAAGCTAAATATCACCAGAAAGATAACTTATTGAAAATTGTAAAAGTATTTCTTTGAGAAGAAATGTATAAAGTATTTTCAAATAGTCTCATTTACTTCCTGTAAAACATGGTGAGGCTAGGTGCAGTGGCTCACGCATGCAATCCCAGCACTTTGGGAGGCCAAGGAGGGAGTATCCCTTGTACCCAGGAGTTCAAGACCAGCCTAGGCAACATAGTGAGACACTCAACACCACAAAAAGAAAAAGCATGACAAGACAAAAAAAAAAAAAACCTCATGGTGAGATAGGTGAAAAATAGTCTAAAATAATAGGAAGCCCTTTGCTGGTGCTAAATTTCCATTTGACAGATGGTGGGCCTGAGGCCTAGAGGCATCGGGGTTGCCCAAGGTCACACAAAGCCTGACATTGAGCATTTGTTTTTTAATTTCAAATCTATTTTCTCTTACACCCCATCTGCCTTCATTTCTCTTGCTATGAAAAGACACTGATGGTTTGGCATACAGTCTGGGCGTAGTCAACATTTTGTGGGAGAAAAGGAAGGAATTAGACTAGGAGATCTGGGATGCAAGTATATATTCGGCCCTTGATTAGCCTTTTGCTTTGGGGTTAAAAGGGAGTGGCTGGGGGTGGGTGAGGTTTTAACTAGATTTCCAAGAACCTCTTTCCTCCTTGCTTTTGAAGTTGGGGGTGGGGGTACTATATTGGTTTGTCAGTCAGCTACTCATGCCAAACATTAGGTCATTATCACTTTCACTAAATTCACTCATTCAACACTTTTTGGTCTGCAAAATTTTGAAACGGGAAAGAGTTAATGAATACCCAGGCAATTTTAACACAATGATGAAAAAGGCTACAAAGGAGTAAATCTCCGTGTTATGAAAGTGTGCAGAGGAGAGGTCGAGGAAGGGCTCTAGGAGGGAATTATATCTCAGCTCAGATTGGACCCCAAAGGAGGAGTTAGTTGGGTAGAATGGAAGAGAGTAAGGAAGGGAGGCTCTCTGGGCAGAGCCACTCCTGCCCTCCAGAGAGATAGCATAGCCCTTGAAGGAGGAACTTGAAGACATCTTGTTTGGCTGAAGCCTCAGGTAAGTGGGGGATGTGACAAGAGGTGAAGTTGGGTCATTAGAGGGCAGAAGAGCTTCTAACCTTATTCAAGAGTCTGGACTTTATCCTAGAGCAGTAGGGAGCCACTGTAGGATCATATATGGGGAGGCCAATTAGGACGTTAAGAAACAACATCATTTGCCCATTCCCTTCACTTGGACCTTTGCCGTTTACAAAGTACTTTCACTTATGTTATTACTTTATGTAAACTACTCAATAATCATATAAGGTAGAAGGAGATAGATATCTCCTTGTTGTAGACAAGGAATCTAAAGTTCTGAGAGGGTAGTTGACTGATTAATCAAGTAAGAAGCTAGAGGGGCCAACACGTGAGCCTCGCACTTCAGTTCTGGACTGTACTCTAGCTGCAACAACCTCTTCCTCTCAAAACAGGTGCTGGAGTTTTCCACAGGACTCTGTGTGTTGGGCACTTACCCATAGGACCAGCCCCTTTCAGTGGTCTATAATAACTATTGGCCGGGCGCGGTGGCTCACACCTGTAATCCCAGCACTTTGGGAGGCCGAGGCGGGCGGATCCACAAGGTCAGGAGATCGAGACCATCCTGGCTAACACGGTGAAACCCCGTCTCTACTAAAAAAAAAAAAAAAAAAAAAAAAAAAAAATACAAAAAATTAGCTGGGCGTGGTGGCAGGCACCTGTAGTCCCAGCTACTTGGGAGGCTGAGGGAGGAGAATGGCGTGAACCCGGGAGGCAGAGCTTGCAGTGAGCCGAGATCGCGCCACTGCACTCCAGCCAGGGCGACAGAGCGAGACTCCGTCTCAAAAAGAAAAAAGAAAAAAAAGAACTATTAAAACTGACCAACAAACCCTTGAAAAGTATGTTGAGTGGGAAGATGAAATCAACCTCTCCTTGGACAAGCCTGAGTAATAGCTAATGCAAACATGCATCAAGTTCCCTCTTGGCCCCCAGAGGTCAGTGGACTTGTGGTTTGGGTCTCCCGGTTTCTAACTCAGGCCCTTAGGAAGCAATCAAATATGTGTGCAGCAGAATGGGAACAGGAGGGGACAGAGTTTAATTATGAATCTGACTCTTTCGTGAAAAGGAAACTAATTGTATCAGAAATCTCAGTGTTGTCTGTCCACATGGGGACTGTTGGTTTGTTATGCTTGTATGCTGTTGGCCTTAGACTACTAAGTGCTAGGAACAGCTACCTTAATTGTGAGCTTCCTTCCTTTGGCAATTTAAGTTTAAACTTCATGTCAGCCTGTCCTTTTATTTGAAGGTGAAATTGTGTCTATTCTAGCTTTTGTTTGTAAAAACCTTGTTTGGCAAAGTTTTCCTCGCAGACACAGTAGCATTGTAAACTAGATGAACACCTGATTTGTTTAAGTCTCCATAATGCCTCTGTGATCCAGAAAGCAGAGAAACCCGAGCAACTCAGCTTTTTATATAACGAAGTCCACTTGCTAAAACGCATGAGCTTGCCTCATAGGGAAGTCTCTGAGCCCTCTCTTAGCCTTTATAGTCTTGATTTATGCAGTGGTCATTGGTTTCTCTATGGCCCAAAAAGATTAGGAGCAGGGCTGAGGGCCTCTTGGAGGCAGGCCACCAACATCGGAGAGGAAAAATTGGCAGTGTGGGACTATGGAAGACATTCATTATGTGACTTCAGACATGTCAACAGTAAACTTCCTGGGCTTTTATTTCTTCGTGTATGAAAAGGAAATGTTGTCCTAGATACACTGTAAAGTCTCTGTCCAAACTCTGATCCTAAGTTATAACCAATGGACTTACTGACAAAATGGAAAAAGTAGACATAAGAACTCAAAATAATGGTGTAGCTAAAAGAACTTGGGCTTTTGAGATAGAAACTCCAAAGTTCAAATTCCTGTTTGAAAGCCTTGGGCAAATTATTCAGTCATTTTCTTTATTATAAGAAGGATAGAAACTCCCTTGTAGGACTTTTATTTTTTGAGAATTGAATGCTGTTACTGTGTGTATGATGTGTTTGTCACATGGAAAGCACACACAAAAAGTGTGTAAATGCATATGAATGAAATCAGCCCCTAGTTCACTGAGGGTAGGTCCAGACAGCTGTAAGAACCTTGGTAATCTTTGGGGGCTTCATTGTTACAGCACTTGATTTTAATAAGAGCTAACATTTATTGAGTGCTTACTGTATACCAAATTCTAGGCATTAACATTATTCATGGATTGACCCGTTTAATTCTTGCAACGCGTCTTAGTTGTGTTCCGTTATCCCTATTTTCCAAATGAGGTAATTGAGGCACAGAATGTTTGAATAACCTTTCAAGGTCATATAGCTAGTAAACGGCAGTCTAGTTCCAGAATCCATTTTTAAACCCCATGTTTTTTTTCAATCCCAACAGTGACTCAGAAGTATTTTTTCTGATTCATTATCTTCAGGGAGGTGGTATGGTGCAGGGTGAACTGCGGGTGTCACTCCTTACCAGCTGGGTGACCTCAATGAGGTTTTTAACCTGCGTGGTCCCTTAGTTCCTCTTCTCTGCAGAGGGTTGTCGGGGGGTGGTTGAATGAAGTGCTGTGGTAAAGCATTAATGAAGCACAGGGCCTATCACGCAGTCAGGCTCAGTATAAGGTGAGGTGTTTTTTTTTTAATCCAGGTAACATAAGAAGCACCTGTTAGCATGAGTTCCATACAAAATATGAGCGGGAGCATTCATTTTGGTTACTTAAAGGAATGTATGTCTGTTTTCTAGAAAATTACTTCTTAATAAAATTTAGGACTACGTGCATTTTACAAAGCTAGAATTGGAAATATTTGTCTTTAAATTCATCCCCAGAGTGATGGTGATTATCCCCTACATCAGCGGGTGTAAGGAGGCATTGAAAAATCAGCCCTTGACCTCGGGTGCAGCATGTTAGTGTAATATCAGGAGCAAGTTCTTCCAGTTGCTGCAGACTCTCAGGGCATCTTGAATTCCTACTTTGGGTGAAAACATAAACAAAAAACAGCGTAGAACACCCTGTCTAGAAGGGACAAATGTTTCCATTTAAATATTCTAGTTCAATACCCTCTGTTAGGGCCCTGAATTTTAAGTACAGTGAGTTTCTGAGTGAAATCTCCTGAATTTTAATGAGTTTGTTTGCATACATGAATTCGAACAATACATTAAATCTTAAAACATGGTAGCTGATTTTAATGGAGTAAATTACCCAACTTGAAAGTTAGTGAATAGGTTTTTCTTTCCCTAATAATCAAGATGCTGCTTCCATCTCAAAAAAGTCATTAATCATACTTTTACAGTATCAATACATGCTGTTAGTTTCTTTTTCATCTTTAAACTGTCTCAAGAGATTTAGGAAAAGAAATGTGCATAAGTGAGCATAAAGTGTGATTTCCTCCATTTAACACTTTTTCTTATACAAGGATGAGGGCTGGGTGCAGTGGCACATGCCTATAATCCAAGCACTTTGGGAGGCCGAGGCAGGAGGCTTGCTTGAGCTCAGGAGTTAGAGACCAGCCTAGGCAGCATAGGGAGACCTCATCTCTACAAAAAAAAAAATAAGAAAATTGGCTGGGTATGGTGGCTCATGCCTGTATTCCCAGCACTTTGGGAGGCCGAGGCAGGCGGATCACCTGAGATCAGGAGTTTGAGACCAGCCTGGTCAACATGGTGAAACCCCGTCTCTACAAAAATACAAAAAAAGTTAGCAGGGCATGATGGTGGGCACCTGTAATCCCAGCTACTTGGGAGGCTGAGGCGGGAGAATCGCTTGAACCCAGGAGATGGAAGTTGCAGTGAGCCGAGATTGCGCCATTGCACTCCAGCCTGGGTGACAGAGTGAGACTCCATCTGTAAGTAAATAAATAAACAAATAAATAAATAAAAATAAATACAATTTAAAAATTAGCCAGGTGTGATCATGCGCCTGTAGTCCCAGCTATTCAGGAGGCTGAAGTGAGAGGATTACTTGAGCCCAGGAGGTTGAGGCTACAGTGAGCTATGATGGCACCATTGTACTCCAGCCTGGGCAACAAAGTGAGACCCTGTATCAAAAAACAAACAAAAAAAATACTCACACACACACGGGATGATATGTGGTAGGGACAAGGGCATGAAGGGCCTCAAGGCAGTGTAAGGAGGATAGATTTTATTCTGACCATAGTTATGTTCAGGGAAGTGACACATTTTATTTCTTTGCTCTGAAAACGTGTCAGGTTCATAAGAAGTGACACATTTGATTTATAATTTTAAAAGCAGTTTTAAGAGAGTTCATTTTGAAGTTTAATGGCACTGAAAAACCATGCCGTGAAACTCTCAGGTCCAGTCTGTTCCCTAAAATTTTGATGTACCCAGAAAAGCATATTGTAAAAAATGTTCAGATGGTAAGAGTTTTACTTTCTAATAAAGCATACAGATTTGTGATGGGGAGTTCAGTTCATGGGCAGTAAAAGCAGTGAAATGTGCCTCCATGGTGGAAGAGCAGGAGCTTTCAGGGCCTGTCATATCCAATTGGAAGCTCCTGGAGGACAGGAACTGTAACTGGCCTCTTCAGAGCTCTTTTATCTGGTGCTTAGGCACACAGTATCTGTTTGTGGAATAAATGAACTAACACCATGTATTTCCTTCTGAGGAATGACTCTTGGGTCCC
The DNA here is from genome assembly GCF_000001405.40 of Homo sapiens. Lineage (NCBI taxonomy): Eukaryota > Metazoa > Chordata > Mammalia > Primates > Hominidae > Homo > Homo sapiens. Next base: position 63,206,096 of record NC_000015.10, read on the forward strand.
TGCAGTAGTGATATCTCTTTTATTAGCACATACATACGTTTCAAAGGATGTGTAATTATCACCTATTATTGCCTATGGTCTTTTTCTAGATGTGAGAGCAATAAAATCAGCCCATTTCTTTTTTTACCCAGAGTATTTATCTATAGTAATAAATGCCTGCTAACTTCATTTATGCCGCACATAAATATGTACAGTTCCTGGGGCAGAGAAGGCCCTGAGTAAATGTTTTTTTTTAATGACTGTGCAGTTGATAGCCCATAGCAATCTCCTTAAGTCCCAGCTGTTGGTGTCTCACTGAAATCATAGCAGAAGACTCCCCTCTCCCCCTCATTTTCCTGAAAAGATCCCCTACTCCCTAACAAGTGCTTCCCCAGCATCCTTTCTTATCATCTCTAATTTCTGGATATTTTCACCTTTCCTTGTTTCTTTCGCCCTTCTCTCCAAGGAGCCAGTGCTAACCTGTTGGTTGGTATGCTTGATGTAATAATACCTTCCCACTCTCCTGGGACCTGGCCCTGGCAGTCATTCCCCTCCTCTCCTCCGTCATCTGTCTTCTCTGTCTAGTTCTCTGCTTGCCCTTTCTGCTCTACTTTCAACCCTATTGAAATCATCCTCATTCTACATAGGATATCCCATAAACTCGCTACTTTCTCAAGTCACCCATCTCCCCTTTCTCCTTCCTTGTTCCTTAATTTCTTGAAAGAGAGAAGTCTTGTCCCCCATCTCCTCACTCATTAACCCCTCAAAGTCCTGCTCTGCCCCCTTCAAAACTGCACTCAGGTCATCATGACCTCCTTGTTAACAACTGTCCAGTGGTCCTTTCTCAGTCTTTGTCATCCTTGGCCTCTCATCAGCATTTCACACTGTTTATTATCTGCTCCTTGAAACTCATTCCTCCTTTGGCTTCCAGGAATTGTCTGCTCCAGCATACTTCCTACTCTTCTAACCGCTCCTCCCCTTTCCATGGTAGTCTCATTTTGCCTTTTAATGGAAGTCACTTCCAAGTGTCTGTTCTCTAGGTTTTCCTTTTTTTCTCTTTTAGAAATTGGACACTTCAATAAAATTTGTAATTACGTCCATCTGTGTGATTATTGCATTGATGTCCATATCTCCTGCCAGATTGTAAACTCCGCGAGTGCACATATCAGATCCATTATGGTTCTCATCATATCCCTAGCTCCTAGCGCAGTGCGGGGCACGTATAAGTGCTCGAAAGCTCCCACGTGGTGATGGAGCTAAGCTTGCCCCCTTCCATGTGTGACTACCCAACTTTCTGTCTCCTCCTCTTCCCGGCCTCTCTCAGACTCCTCTGTGTGCATCCCACCCCACGGTCAGTTCATTTCCTCTTTTTATCTAGTACCCTTTCATGAATTGTCATATATTTTTTAACCCATATTTTTTTTCAGGTATTTAGGCTCAAAACCTGGAAGTCATCTTTGACTCTTTCCTTTTCCTTAGTTTTTTGTTTTTTTGTTTTTTTTTGGAGAAGGAATCTTGCTCTGTCACCAGGCTGGAGTGCAGTGGCGTGATCTCGGCTCACTGCAATCTCCGCCTCCTGGGTTCAAGCGATTCCCTTGCCTCAGCCTCTCGAGTAGCTGGGACTACAGGTGCGTGCCACCACACCCGGCAAATTTTCTTTTTTGGTATTTTAGTAGAGACGGGGTTTCACCATGTTGGCCAGGATGGTCTCGATCTCCTGACTTCATGATCTGCCCACCTCGGCCTTCCAAAGTGCTGGGATTACAGGCGTGAGCCACCGCGCCTGGCCCCTTTTCCTCAGTTCTTATGTACAATTTGTTGCCAAGTCCTTTCCATTCTTTCTTCTGCCACCCTAATTTAGGCCCTCAATACCTCTCTCCTGGACTTTGCCATGTCCTTCTAAGTGACCCGAGCACTTCCAGTCTCATTTGGGCAGCGTCCTTCCCGAATTCCATTCTGTACACTTCAAGCAAATTAGTTTTAGAGCATAGCTCTGATTATCATATTAATCCCTTATCCCTCCCTTAAAAGTCTTATTTTTTACTTTGTCCACTGGAATACATCATCGTTGGCCTATCATTCCAAACTCCCTACAGTGTGGCTTCAGCTATATCTCTCTCTGTTTTTTACAGGAATCCTAAACTCTAACCCAGGGACCCTCAACATCTGTGCTGGGTGGACTGTGGCCACATTTTCAGCTGGCCAGTGTAAGGGTTTTAGAGGCCCTTACATGAGAAGAAATACAATTTTTAAGTCTCTGAGTTGATGTGCTTCTTACATTTTTGGAATTAAAATGCCTCTTTACTTATAAAATGCTGGTAGTAATAGATGGTCATTATCTCACTGTCATTTGTGAAAGAAAAAACGATTGTAATAGAATTCTTGCTATTTTTTTTCTCTAAGGGAGGTAAGTTTTCTCCCTAAGCAAACTTTATGGAATGCACAATGCTTGGCTTTCACCTTCTTTTATTCTCACTACCACCACCTTTTATTCTCGCCTGCACATTTTACTAATTCACAAAATTAAAAAGTGTAAGATTAACTGCTCTACTGCTCTGCCCAGAATGGCAGGTTCCAAGAACACACCTCATTTCGGCCTGTTGACATCTGTCTTTCCTGATGTTCCTCATATGTCACTTTCTTTATGAGGCCATGTCAGAATTGTCTCTCTTCACCCCCAACCCAACCACCAAGATGCTCTTTCCTCAGTGGGACTTTGTACTCTGTAGTACTTTGATCTTTCATGTGGCACTTACCATGTTGTTCCTATAAGTAGAACCGTCTTCCTTTGCTTCCCCAACCCTCCACTCCCACGATAATTTTTTTTTTTTTTTTTGAGGGGGAGTCTCCCTCTGTTGCCCAGGCTGGATTGCAGTGATGGAATCTCAGCTCACTGCAACCTCCACCTCCTGGGTTCAAGCGATTCTGCCTCAGCCTCCCGAGTAGCTGGGATTATAGGTGCCCGCCACCACACACGGCTAATTTTTTGTATTTTTAGTAGAGACAGAGTTTCGCCATGTTGCCCAGGCTGGTTTTGAACTCCTGAGCTCACGCAATCTACCTGCCTCGGCCTCCCAAAGTGCTGGGACCCACGATGAATTCCTTTAGGACAGAAACATGTTTTGTCTTTGTGTTCTTTGCGTTGCCGAATACCATACTTTGTACCTATTTGGTGCTTGAAAAAATTGTCATTGAACTGAAATTTTAGGATGATATTATGAAATACTTTGATGAGGCTGGGTGCAGTGGCTCACACTTGTAATCCCAGCACTTTGGGAGGCCGAGGCAGGTGGATCACCTGAAGTCAGGAGTTTGAGACCAGACTGGCCAACATGGTGAAACCCTGTCTCTACTAAAAATACAAAAATTAGCCAAGCGTAGTGGCAGGCACCTGTAATCCCAGCTACTCGGAAGGCTGAGGCAGGAGAATCGCTTGAACCCGGGAGGCGGAGGTTGCAGTGAGCCGAGATCACACCACTGCACTCCAGCCTGGGAGACAAAAAGCGAAAAAATAAAATAAAATAAAATAAGAAAGAAATAATTTGATGAAATAAAACCGTCATTTTCTGGGGAAGGGAGCCTTTAAAGGTACCAGTTTAGAACTTTTTTTCTGATGATTCTGAAATTAGAATTATAGTTGCTTACTGAAACATGTTAGGAATGATTGCTCGTTTATCTTTTTTTTTTTAATTATACTTTAAGTTCTGGGATACATGTGCAGAATGTGCAGGTTTGTTACACAGGTATACATGTGCCATGGTGGTTTGCTGTACCCATCAACCCGTCATCTACATTAGGTATTTCTCCTAATGCTCTGCCTCCCCTTGCCCCCCACTCCCCAACAGGCCCCGGTGTGTGATGTTCCCCTCCCTGTGTCCATGTGTTCTCATTGTTGAACTCCCGCTTATGAGAGAGAACATGCAGTGTTTGGTTTTCTGTTCCTGTGTTAGTTTGCTGAGAATGACCATTTATCTTTTAAAGATAAAATAATCTTAGACTGCAACTCTAGACATCTCAGAGTAGGATTCAGGCCTGCTGTAGTTGTGGTGGTGAAGTGGAGAAGTTGCATGTTTCATTGGCTTTCTTTTGTGAAAATTGATTTTCATTTTATTTTGACAGAAGAGGCCCTAAAAATCTTCTTTTTCCCCAGGTAAGAGGCTACAGTTTCTTTGCCTCTGGCCCTCTCTAGAGCTGTCAGTGCCCTGTGAACATTGGCCTGATTTAGACAATGAGGCTTTCTCTGTGTCTTTGAGAAAGCCATCTTTGTGCTGTGCACAGCACTGTTACTTTCATTCTTGATTACAAAATGTTTCCTCAATGAATTTCTTTTTTCTTCCTGCTTTGTCTACCTCTACTCTCTCCCCTAAAATCTTTTGTTACTGAGACTGAATTGTGTGAAAGCAAACCTGGGTAAGAGATAGGTAGTGCCACAGCTAGGCTTCCTGCTGTCTGCACAAGGGAACCTTTGGTGCTGTCCAGGTACCTTCCACCTCCAGCTTCCCAACCTTCTGTGGATCATTTTTCAATTTTTTCACACCAAAGCACTGAGATAATTTGGATGTGGGGAACGTGGCAGGGTTTCTGACATGGAAGACCCTGAAAGGAGTAGGAAGTATGTGCCGTGGCCTCCCGCTGTCTTTTCTATTGAGAAAGGGGTGGGCAAGTAGTGGGTGGTAGCTGCAGCTGTGGGCAAGGCCCATTCTTGGCCTTTTTTTTACTAGGCTGTAGGCTGGTTTTTATTGAGTGGCTGGTATGCAAATAAAAGATGAGAAATGTAATTGTCTTCTGAAGAGAACAAAGAGAAATTTAATTGTCTCTCGTTAACATCACACCACAGGCATTTTCTATCAGCATACTCGAGATACTGTGTGGTGTGGTTCTAATTAACTTTGAAGAGCCAGAGCTCAACTCAACCTGAGGAAACCACTTTTGCCAAAAGATACCACTACACAAGGGACCCATCAGAGCTCTTGCAATATCAAAAGATAAACAGCAGGGAAAGAATTTGGGGAAGGATCCTATGGTTGGTTTGAGATGTGCGTCTTATCTGCAAAAACCCAAATAAAAGTGAAAGACCAGCTCTGCTTTTATTAGCTTAAGTGTTTTGTGTTAAAATCTCTTTTGGCCTAACTTTTCTTTATTGACAAGAGAACAAATAGTAGAATATCCTTTGTAGATCGGAAGTATAGAAATTACTGAGAATACTGGGAAATGCTTCACAGATGTTCCTGAAACTACAGCCAGATTGAGTGAATTCTTGTCCCTTTCTGAGTTGGGAGGTTGGGAGATTATTGTCTCACGTACTGTGATATTATAACTGTGTTCTACCCCAGACTATATGTGTTCACCATCTCTCTCATTGAGATTCTGGTTTAACCCTATTATATCCTTAACTTTGATGGCCATTAGAATAGGAAAGAATGTTTACGCAAGACTTTAGAGAGAGCCATAGTTTGATATTTCCTTTATAAAGCTTCCTGATACTGTGTTTAGTATTTACTTTCTTTAAATGTATCTTCTTAAAAGTACAGGTAGTGTGGTAGAGTTCAAAATTAACTTCCAGTTAAATCCAGTCATAGTTTTGGTGGATTTTTTTTGCCAAGCACCGCATTTTTCTTAGTATTGTCATATATTGACTGACACTAGTCAATTGCAACTAGTGACTGGTCATGATAGATATTGATAGACATCTCATAACTGTCATGGCTGAAGGGGAGTTGCCCCTAGTTGATCATTCAACAACATGAAGAGCCCTGTGTTTTTTTCTTTTTTTTAGAGACAGGATTTCACTCTGTCATTTAGGCTGGAGTGCAGTGGCGCAATCATGGCTCACTGCAGCCTCAACTTCCCAGGCTCAGGTGATTCTCCCACCTCAGCTTCCCAAGTAGCTGGGACTACAGGTGTGTCCCACCATGCCCAGCTCATTTTATTTAATTTTTTAAGAGAGGGAGTCTCTCTATGTTGCCTGGGCTGGTCTTGAACTCCTGGGCTCAAGCAGTCCTCCTGCCTCAGCATCCCAAAGCGCTGGGATTACAGTCATGAGCCACAGTGCCTGGCCTAAAAGCCCCATCTTCCTACACAGTGCGTTGTAGTCTTTCCTCCTGAATTGATGTAGAGGCATCCTTGATGTATAACAAGCAGAGCATGCTGAACTAGTTCGCAGCAAAAAACAAACAACGAAAACTTGATATCCAGGTTGTTCTTGGATAGGTCACCATGTTTATCATTTTTAAACATCCGGGGTTGTGAGATAAAGTTGTTAAGGGAGGGATTGCACCAGCACATTTTTCTGTTTCAGTTCATGTTCATCTGACTCATATTTATTCTAGTCTAACCTCATTTTGCGTGAAAATTTTTGTACTAGAAAATGTCACTTTCAATTAGGGGAGGGGAAATTCTGATTGGGGATCAGAAGAGTCAAGATGTATTAGTGATAATTTGGCATCACTTTTGATTCAAGGTAAAAACACAGAATCCCTAAAAATGTAGTAAAGTAAAAAGTGATTCATATAACTAGATAGGGGAAAGGAAATGTCACTGCTGAGCTTTACTGTGGGAAGAGGGGGAGGTGAAGGAAATTATTACAAAATTTTTGTACGTGATGAGGAGACAGCCTCTGGACTTCCCCAAATATTTCCGTATTCCCTAAAACAGCTCTAGTGAATTGCTTCATGATTGGTGTATGAATAGAAAGACACTAGAACTCTTAAACTTGATCTTGAAAGGCCCGTCTTTGTATATAATCATCCACAGATGTCCGTATGTGATTATATATTCCCATAGTGAGGCAATGATAAATGTAAATGAGAACCATGATATAATTTTGCCTTGCTTGCATGCACATTTTCAGAATAGAATTAAAAGCACATGCCACTGTCAGTAGTTAACTATGAGGTTTGTCTTAGTTTTTTATAAGGCTTTGGCAGAGGCCTAAAGCATGTTTTAGTGTCTAAGTCTTCCCTCCCTCCCTCTCTTCCTCCCTTCTTTCCTCCCTTCCTTCCCTCTTTGGAATCAAAAAGGAACTCTCTAGGTTCTGACTATTCTCTTTTCAGAACTAGGGACAATTTCAGCTTGTACACAGATTAATTTTCATTTTTTGGCTTCTCTGCTGGTACCTGAAATTGTAACTAAGTTATTACTAGATAATTCCTTTCTGACTTCTTCCTTCAAATAAAATCTGATAAGGACAAATGTCTTCTAGGTACTATTTCAGGTGGATATGTTTGGAGGGGGACGTGGGGCAAAGCAGAGGATAGGCTAGGGGTGCTGTTATAATGTAACTTAGGTCAGTTGATTGGTGCTTAGTAAATCATGGTTTTCTGTATAGTGCCAAATGCTCAGAAAATCTGTACTGGATAAAGAATTTCTTGTTCAAGTCTATTTAGTTACTGTACTTATGCCTAAAACTGGAATGTGCTCCTCTTTTAAATTCAGTAGGCTGTGCATTTATGACTATAGATGATACCACTTTCATTTTTAAAATAATGATAAAAGCTTAAGTTGTAAATTTAAGTTGTAATATGGACACTTAAAAAAAAACCCAAAACAAAACAATCTTCCTTCTGGTTATGGGGAATTCCTACATGAGTTCTTTCCAACTGCTTTTGTTTATATGAGTGTTGAAACTTAAAATGAGTAAATTCTGTCTTCCAAATAATTTTCTACATTTTCCATTTATTTCCATCGCTTATATCTGCTCTCAAGAACAAAACAAAAGTGGTTTCCAGGCCAGGCGCGGTGGCTCACGCCTGTAATCCCAGCACTTTGGGAGGCAGAGGCGGGCAGATCACGAGGTCAGGAGTTCGAGACCAGCCTGGGCAACATGGTGAAACCCCTACTCTAATAAAAATACAAAAATTAGCTGGGCGTTGTGGCATGTGTCTGTAATCCCAGCTACTCGGGAGGCTGAGGCAGGAGAATTGCTTGAACCTGGGAGGTGGAGGTTGTGGTGAGCCAAGATTGTGCCACTGCACTCCAGCCTGGGTGACAGAGCGAGACTCTGTCTCAGGGGAAAAAAAAAAGTGGTTTCGTTTGCTATACCAACGTGTAAAATGTAGAAATTTCCAGTGTTTAAAAATTCTGATTGGCTATTCCTTTCAAGGTATTACAGTGTGGGAGGTAAAGGATCTAATGTAGTTATCTAGGAGTTTAAGTTTGAAAAAGAATTCAACAGTGTTGAATTCCTTGGAAATGGGTACGCTCAGTTTCTTTCTTTTTTTTTTTTTTTTTTTTTTTGAGACGGAGTCTCACTCTGCTACCCATGCTGGAGTGCAGGGCCATGATCTCGGCTCACTGTAGCCTCCGCCTCCCAGGTTGCAGCGATTCTCCTGCCTCAGCCTCCCGGGTAGCTGGGATTACAGGCAGGTGCCACCGTGCCTGGCTAATTTTTGTATTTTCAGTAGAGACGGGGTTTCACCATGTTGGCCAGGCTGGTCTTGAACTCTTGTCCTCAGGTGATCTGCCCACCACGGCTTCTCACTTGATCTTAGCCAAAAGGCCGAGAAGCCATCCACCACGGCTTCTCAAAGTGCTAGGATTACAGGCGTGAGCCACCATGCCCAACCGTTTCTAACACTTCACAAAGCTTTTCCATCTGACAGTGGATTTGACCAGAGTGGGTTCTCTTGCTTCTAATTTCAGCAGCAGTTCATTTCTCTTTTTTAATGTAACCCTTGAGCTGTGGGGGTTGAAACCTGCTTCTGAGAATTCATGTTTCTTATCTTTTCCTCCTAAAACTGCATATAGTGGTGTTCTCCCCACCAAAAGAAACAATAAAAATAATTTCCCATGGAATACACATATAGTATTTAATTTTATTTTTTCTTGTTTACTAAGGTCTTTAAAATTGAGTAGGGCATCTACAGCTCTCTGTCCTCAGACCTTCCACCTCATTCTTATGGAGTCAGGAGTTTGCAATCTTCACAGGTTTCTGATCTCCTTTCCTATCCCAGACACAAGAGATACCTGCTGTTGCTATTTGTGACCAAATACCATATTTGTCAATAACTACCAACAGGGGCTCTGGGAATCTGGAAGCTGAAGACATCACTCTTGATAATTCAGTCCAAGGGCCCTTTGTCCCTCATACCCATCCTTTCTCTACTGGGATTTAGACTTTTGCCTTTCCTGCATCTGATCATAGTCTCATCGTGAAATGTGAGTACTTTCATATTAGATCTTATTCATTGATGCATTGATTTTATTTTAAAATTCATTTGTATACTTCCATACTTCTGATTAAAGTGTTCCAAAAATTGTCTTGATATTTTTTACTTAACTGCTGATTTTTCAAAGATATTAAATGAAAAACTGCCTTCTGGTCAATAACAAGTTTGTAAAGAGTAGGAAGTAATTTTTATACTTATATAAAAATTTAACCAGTTAACGCTGTATCTTTGTCATACTGTATTTCTTTTTAGTCTTCGAAGGAACTGAGAATCCCTATGATAGACTTCGCTACTTGTAAATGGACTATCAAAAGGAAAGTTCTTTCTAGTTTACTTTGAAAAATGCCTGAGGTCCTCATAATTTTCATTTTTATTTTAGTCAGTTTTAGAATTGTCAACTCAGTCTTATTTTCACAACCCTTTACTTTTTACTGAAAGTTGAAGTGGGAATTGGCAGAAGATTCAGAAGAAAGAGCAACTATATTATATTTGCCCTTAAAATTTTACCCTATAGACCAGGCATAGCTGCTCATGCCTATAATTCCAGCACTTTGGGAGGCTGAGGCAGGATGATTGTTTGACCCCAGGTGTTTGAGACCAGCCTGGGCAACATGGCGAGACCCCATCTCCATAAAAAATTTTAAAAATTAGCCAGGTGTGGTGACATGCACCTGTGGTCCCAGCTACTCTGGCGGCTGAGGTGGGAGGATCACTTGAACCCAGGAGGTTGAGGCTGCAGTGAGCCTTGTTTGTGTCACTGCACTCCAGTCTGGGCAGCAGAATGAGACCGTCTCAAAAAAAAGAAAAATTAAAGAAAATTACCCTATTCAAGAGTCCATAATTAGCATCTTAGCACCATATGATGTGTTTTTCTTCTCTATAATTTTTCATATATATTATCTACTGTGATTTCTCCTCTCTTTTAACATCCATATAAATGTTTCAATCCAACTTTTACTTTAATTAATTAATTAATTAATTAATTAATTATTATTTTTTTTTTTGGAGACAGAGTCTTGCTCTGTCTCCCCCACTGGAGTGCAGCGGCACAATCTTGGCTCACTGCAACCTCCGCCTCCTGGTTTCATGCAATTCTCCTGCCTCAACCTCCCAAGTATCTGGGACTACAGGCGCACACCATAACACCCGGCTAATTTTTTGTATTTTAGTAGAACTGGGGTTTCACCATGTTGTCCAGGTTGGTCTTGAACTCGTGAGCTCGAGCAGTCCACCTGCCTTGGCCTGCCAAAGTGCTGGGATTACAGGCGTGAGCCACTGTGCCTGGCCTCAATCCAACTTTTAAATGTTCAGTACCACTGATTTAAAAGTTCTGACTTGTGGCTTGTCTCGGTGGCTCACGCCTGTAATCCCAGCACTTTGGGAGGCCAAGGCGGGCAGATCACAAGGCAGGAGTTCGAGACCAGCCTGGCCAATATGATGAAACCCTGTCTCTACTAAAAATACAAAAATTAGTCGGGCATGGTGGTGTGCACCTGTAGTCCCAGCTCTTTGGGAGGCTGAGACAGGAGAATCGCTTGAACCTGGGAGGCAGAGGTTGCAGTGAGCTGAGATCATGCCGCTGCACTCCAGCCTGGGTGACAGAGTGAGACTCTGTCTCAAAAAAAAAAAAAAAAAAGTTTTGACTTGTAAAGTATTCCTCCTTTTTTAGTCATAAAGTGGTATCAGTGCAGTAGTCTCTGTTGCTAACACACTGGGGGACTTTTGCTAGAGAGAAGTTGGCCTCTGACTAGATGCACATGGGTTGATTACATCTATGTTTCTCTTAGTTCCACTGAATCTAATTTTCTTTCATTTCATTTCCTTATATCCTCTGAGCTCATGGTAGTTTCCTTCATCTTTAGAAAGAATAATCAGATATCTCATTAGATAAATCATATATGATTAATGTATGATTAGTCAGATAAAAGGAATTCAAATGTACTTCGAAGAGACTAATGAAAAGATGGTACATACGAGGGCCTAATGGTTTGAGGAATAAGCGTAATGGAGTTAGGATTGTTCTATATAATTACTTTCTTTTTGTGTAAAAGATGCAAAAATAAACGTCCTTTACATTTAAAAATATTGAATGGAATATGGGGTTTTTCCATTGGAACTTTCTAATCATTTCTAGTATTTATTCCAGCAGCAATTTAGACATTTAAGGAAAATGTTTTTCACCATGTGCCATGTTTTTGGGTCAGTGAGAAAGCCTTAACCAAGACGATTGTTGGGTGGTACTGTGTATAATAACTCCAGATCCTTGACCAAGTTTGGAGAGTCACTTATGGCCATTTGAAACCAAATGAAGGATCAAAGGACTAATTATTTTGAATACCTCTGAGTGTTTTCCCCAAGCTTGAGAAGAGTTTCATTCAGCTATAAAATGCTCATTGTGCAAATGAGTGGTTTCCATGCTGTATAATTAAAGCATTGCCTTTAATAATATTTTATTACCTTTAGCTTGTCTTTTTAATTTGAGGAAAATCTAAACAATTTAAAGTAAAACGTGATAAAGACAGTTTTTCGGGAGAGAGAAGGGTAGATCGCTATGTTTATTCCACTTAGTATCTATATCAAATATTTGTATCAAAAGCAGACTCTCACTTTAAAATTATTCTTCTAGTGGCAAGATTCTTTTCCCTAGATTGAGAGTACAGAGCTCACATAGTAATAACTGCTGTTAAAATAGACACTTAGAACTATAGAGCTAAAGCTTAGGTTCCAAACTAAGCGAAGCTGCCATTTTCTGAAATAATGTCTTTCTTATTTAAAAGGACCAGTTCCTTTTTGCCTTTTTTCCCCTTCCTCACTTCCTTCCTATTGCTCCATGTATGTTGTACATGTGGTTATCTGTTCTTTTTTTTTTATGCTTCTACCCTTATGTTGGCAAAAGAAATGCACCAATGGGAGGTGAAGGTTTAAAATATAACAGTTGAGTTCATTATCCCAGTTTTATCACTTTCTACAAGTATAAGCAAGTTACTTATCTGGACCTCTGTTTCCTCTTACGTTAAATGGGGATTAAAGCCCCCTTGCAGACTTGTTATGAGAATAGTGATAAGGAATATTCAGTACCTATCACAGTGCCTGGCCTTAAGTGGGTCCTTAAGAAGTGCTAGCTATTTTTATTAATGATAGCCTATCCCATTATAGCTGTCAGCATCATTATCTGCTGAGCAGGGATCTCAGGAGAGTATCTTGAAGAATATCGTTGGACTCCACTATACGGGGTTATCTAATCTGAAGCTCATTTTGTTTGGCTGCATTTTGTTCTAAGAGTTTGTGCTTTAGACATTCTGGATTGTTTTAAGCTGGAGTCATTTATTTTGCAGGCAATTATTTCCTCATTTAAAGGGCATAGTCCCACTTCATTCATTTGAAATGATGTCAGTTACCACACTACTGAACTCTTCTGGCCTTTTGTGATGGGCGTTTCTCTCTTTTGTTTCTTGGCCTTAGGCTGATAAATCAAAGTATCTCAGGTGATACAGGAATTCCCGGCAATGTCATATTCAAAATATTGGGCATGTTGCTCAAGCAGTATTTCCATTATTGGAATTCTCCTTTTTTCCTTTAAATCTTAGCCTCCCTGCTTGTTAATATGTTACTTTACTCACAAAATAGGAAGAAAAAAAAACACTTTAGCCTCTTAAGTTTAACAAATATTTTAGGGGCAGCTATATACAAGACCCTGAAGTTGTCATTTTTCTCTCTCTCACTAAAAAGTGAAGCTAAAATGATCTTTTCTTCCAGCAGTGGATTTTTTTTTTTTTTTTTTTTTTTTTTTTTAGAAGGAAAGAGATCACCAGGTGCCGGGAGACTGAGGTGGGTAGATCACGAGGTCAGAAGGTCGAGGCCATCCTGGCCAACACGGTGAAACCCCGTCTCCACTAAAATACAAAAATTTAGCCGGGGTGGTGGCACGCGCCTGTAGTCCCAGTTACTCAGGAGGCTGAGGCAGGGGAATTGCTTGAACTTGGGAGGCAGAGATTGTAGTGAGCTGAGATCACGCCACTGCACTCCAGCCTGGCAAAGGAGCGAGACTCCCATCAAAAAAAAAAAAAAAGAAAGAAAGAGAGAAAGAGATCGAGAGAGAGAATGTGACCTTTACTTGACTTCCAGGATGTTCTTTAAGCCAATGTTTTCAATATGGGTTGCAACCCATTACTGGGTCATGAAGTCAATTTACTGTGTCCAGACCAACTTTTTTTTTTTTTTTTAAATGGAGGGAAAGAGAACAGACAAGAACATGACAACAGATAAGAGAACACAGAGTCCACTGCACATGTAAGAGTAACAAGGAGTAAGGGTCAAGTGCTATTTCATAAAACTTTTGTTTCAGTTATGTAAGTATGTATATATGTGGAATGTGTTGTTATATAAAAATTATTTCTTACCAGTGGGTTAAAAAAGGCAGAAAGCCACTGCTGTGGGGCAGTTTGCCACTGAAGACTTGTCTCATTTTTTAGAAAAACCAATTCTATGGAGGCTGTATTTGATCAGACAGATCCCTTTTTTTCCATGAAAGAAAACTGGGTCTTTTACTATTGAGCCTATATTGATGGAAGGCTTCCACTGCTGGCTTAACTGGCTGTGTTTTTGAGAGGGTCTCTTGGGTAATGAGTCTATTATCTCTCTTCTTTTTTGGTTTTCTGCTTTCTACTCTTTCTACATGGACTCTGGAAGCCATTCTAGTTGTTGGAACAATGGTAGAAGTTCCCACACAACGTAGAGACATCCACAACATTTGGTTTTGTGATTGTTGTCCAAGTGTTAAGAAAACTATGGTTTCTGAAGAAAGTAAGACTTTCTAACCAATATGAAATATCCAATTATTTCCCCCCACTTCAGTGTTAGCCCTTATATCAGGCCTTTTAATATAATTACAAAATTGCTATTTATTTCAGTGTGTTGAATTTTTAAAAATCACCCGAACCCCTAAACCTGTCTAAGTTAACGTGGTTAGAATTGAGACAATGGTAGCAGAACCTTTCGTTCTATTTCATTTCTCTAGAAGAGACTGCATTGTTGCCTTTTCTTCATTCTAAAATGAAGACATCTACTTTATGTATGCTTAGTACTGTTTTGTCATTTGTACTTAATAATTTAAGAAAATTATTCTAGAATGTTCTTTAGGCCGGTGTTTTTAATATGGATTGCAACCCTTTATTGGGTCATGAAGTCAATTTACTGTGTACAGACCAACTTTTTTTTTTTAAATGGAGGGAAAGACAGTAGGACAAGAACATGAGAATAGAAGAGAGTACAGTGTTCACTGCACATATAAGAGTAAGGAGGAGTAAGAGTCAAGTGGTATTTTTTGAAACTTTCAGTGGTTTCATATTTTAGTGTTTTTTGTGTTTCACTTTTTTGTTTTATCACTTAAAGTTACCCAAATATGTAACTTAATTTGCCAGCCATTAAGATTCATTCCAGTAGGATCAATCTAGACATATGTAAACCTGATTGTATTCCAAAGTAATTGATCAGTGTCAAGAAATGTTTATTGAGTGCCTGTTACTTGCTTGGCAAACAGGAGGGAGGTTCCAAATGAAGTACTGTAAGTAAAAGATGAGGCTCCTGCTTTTTTTTAAAAAGGGTTTATCTTTCATTTATTCCTTTAAACATTTATCAGGCACTTATTTAATCAGCCGTATACAGTGCTAGATCCTCTGCTCAAGTGTAATTGGGAAGGTAAAACTTAAATGAAACAACAAAAATAATTAATTGCCACATGCATAATGATATGCATTCTAAATTCTGTAGGAGTTTAGGGTAGAGAGTGAGCAGAGTTGGCTGGAATAACTGGAGGACAGAGGAGGTAGAGTTTCTGAATCTTGAGGCACTTTCAGGATTCAGATGGAAAGGATGGAGAATGTTCCAGACAATGGGGAGATCTTGAAAAATGCTTAGAGGCAGGGAATACCACAGAGCATGAAAGAGGCATTTCTGAGGTTTTATGCTGAGGAATTGTGAAAAATAATGTTGGATATGTTGGATGGGGCCATATATTTTAAGATGGGTAATTGTAGAGTTACATAAACTAAAAAGGTATCCAGTATCCTGTGGTGCATACAGTCTACTTTGGGAGAAGGGAGGGATTATAAATAACTAATGAAGCTATACTGTATGTATTATGATGGAAGCTAGTACTGTGCTAGAAGTATTATAAGCAAAAAGCTTGAATGGCCATGTCAGTGGTTACCTTTGAGCTATATTAGTACTGCTCTGGCTTAGGGCTTGGCAACATCGCTGACTCAGTGACAAACTTCCTTTTTGGAAGTCCTGGCTCCTCACTTGCCAGCATATGACACTCCCAGTTCACCAGGTCATCCTGTCCCGAACTGCCCAGTTAATTGTGAAGCTATAAGACAGTCCTGGCCAGGGCTCATCTCCACCGCTAGCTGGGGATCCCACCACATAGCTAGACAGGTTCCTGAATGGACTTCTCCTTCAGGACCAGAGCATGGTTGGGGGTCTGTACATGTGCTTGCCTTCCACCCTGGGCTCACGAATTAATAGTGGAAATGTCTTCAAAGCAATTATTAAAAGTAATTATTGCTATGATTTCACTTTTGATTCTCCATTTATTTCACTTCTGTCTGCTTATTTATTTACCTACTTGATGTTTGTGGAGGCATGTATCAGTCAGCTTTTGCAGTTATACAACCCCAAAATCTCAGTTGCTTGTAACAGTCACATATTTGATTATTGCAGCTGAGGATTAACTGTAGCCCTTGGTCAGTTTTCTCTAATATTCATTCTTCCCTGTTTCTCCACCCAGGCTTCTGGGTCAGCTAGCTTCAGACTGGGTTCAGCTGATTAGAGAAACTGGCAGGAAATAATGCAAGAGGAGAAAGGGAGAAACCAAGATATTTCTCTTTTTCCCTTCTTGCCTTGGGTGGCTTCTCTAGCAGAGACTGTTTCTCTCTGGCTTTAGTTCTCACTGGACAGGACCACCATGGTTCTTGTCCAGTGACTCTATGTCTTCAGTTCCTATAACACCATCTCCTCCTTTTGTCTGTCCAGCTAAGGGGTGGTAGTGGCTCCCTGCTGTTGTCATCTCTTCCTTTTGTCTCTCCGGCTTAGGGGTGGTAGTGGCTCCCTGCTGTTGTTAAACCTTTTACCATCCCCAATATGGTTTGCAGCAATTTAATGCCTTATATAGCCAGTTCCCTCTATTAAATTCCTTCTGTTGTAAATACAGTCATGCACCACATAACAACATTATAGTGAATGATGGATCATATATAGGATGGTTGTCCCATAAGTTGATGATGATGATGATAATGATGATTTTTATTATTATTTGAGACGGAGTCTCACTCTGTTGCTCAGGCTGGAGTGCAGTGGCACAATCTTGGCTCACTGCAACCTCCGCTTCCTGGGCGCAAGCAATTCTCCTGCCTCAGCCTCCCGAGTAACTGGGACTACAGGCATATGCCACGACACCCGACTAATTTTTTTTGTATTTTTAGTAGAGATGGGGTTTCACCATGTTGGTCAGGCTGGTCTCGAACTCCTGACCTCAAGTGATCCTCCCGCTTTGGCCTCCCAAAGTGCTGGGATTACAGGTGTGAGCCACCATGCCCGGCCCACATAAGATTATAATGGAGCTAAAACATTTCTGTTGCCTAGTGACATCATAACTATTGTAATGTTGTACTACAGTTACCTTATTTTTTAAATATAATTTTGGTGTAGCTTAGGTGTATAGTGTTTATAGAGTCTACAGTAGTGTACAGTAATGTCCTAGGCCTTCACATTCACTCATCACTCTCTCATTGATTCCTTCAGAGCAACTTCCAGTCCTGTAAGCGCCTTTCATGGTAAGTACCCTATATAGGTATACCATTTTTATTTTACTTATTTTTTGTTATTTTTTGAGACGGAATCTTGCTCTGTCACCCAGGCTGGTATGCAGTGGCATGATTTTGGCTCACTGCAACCTCCACCTCCCGGGTTCAAGCGATTCTCCTGCCTCAGCCTCCCAAGTAGCTGGTACTACAGGCACCTGCCACCATGCCCGGCTAATTTTTGTATTTTTAGTAGAGACGGGGTTTCACTGTATTGGCCAGGCTGGTCTCGAACTCCTGACCTCAGGTGATCCACTTGCCTCGGCCCCAAAGTGCTGGGATTACAGGCATGAGCCACTGGGCCCAGCCACCATTTTTTATCTTTTATACCATGTTTTTACTGTACTTTTTCTATGTTTAGATATGTTTAAACACACAAATACTTACCATTGTGTTACAGTTGCATACAGTATTTGGTACAGTAGCATACTATATAAGTTTGTAGCCTAGGAGCAATAAACAGGCTATACTACGTAGACTAGGTGTGTAGTACATGCTATGATGTTTGCACAAAGACGAAACCACCTAAAAATGCATTTTCCAGAACGTCTGGTTGTTAAGTGACACATGACTATACTTGAAGACACACGACTGTACTTGTACTGGTTGTTAAGTGACACGTGACTGTACTTGGTTGTTAAGTGACACATGACTGTATTTGATTTCTTTTTCCTGACTAGACCCTGACTGATACACTGTTCCAAAAAAGGAGTTTTTCTTTTGTCTTTATATTGTTTTCTTCTATAGTGCGGCCTCACATAGAGGAATAAAAACAACCCATTTTATTATCCCACAAAATGTCTGCTAATGAAGCAGTGTGATGTAGTGGACAGAGTATTGGATTTGGAATCACTGTCACTTATAGCACTGTGGTGTTGGGTAAGTCACTCATTCTCTCCGTGTGGAGATACTTATGATTCCTGTTATACCTACATCTTCAGGGTTGTCTGTGATGATCAAAACAAGGAAATGCTTATAAACTATCAAGCTTTATTCAAGTGATGCACGGAGCCTCAATGATGTTGTAGAACAGTCTGCCAGCTGGCCATATTTTATTTTATTTATTTTTATCATTTGTAGTTGTTTCCAACATAGTTTCTTTCTCATTATAAACTCAGAATTGGAAGATGCAACTATAATTAGATAGAGAAAAGTTATAGAAAATATTCATCCCATGTTGGAAGATATTTATGTATATTTAAAAGGTATTCTTCAAATGGCCAAGTACATTTGACCACTGATAATACCCCAGGTATCCAAACTTTTTTAGTTCTTCCTAGTCTTACTGTAGAACCAAGATCATGTTTCCTGGAGCAGCATGAGTGTCACAGTCCCTGTCACATAGGCTAACATGGGATGGATTTCAATCATATGAGTGGAAAATTACCTAATTGCCCCATCTCCTTAACATCTCTTATTTTGAACCTTGCCTTGGGAGATAGCTTCATTCTGATTCAAAACAGACCTACATAGATGGGGTCTTCTCTAGTTTGCCAGGATGATCAGATCTATTTCAGATTAATCTAGAAATAAGGATTTCATAATAAAATGGCTGTGCTAAGCATACTCAGAGGCTCAAAGAACTAATTCCTAATATTCAGGTCCACCAAGAATGGACCAATTTTCCTTTTGTGATCGCGACATAATCTGGAGTTAGGTTCAACTTTAAGGGATGTATTAGAAACAGATTCCTCCCAAGTCCTCCATAATCTGAGCTAGTACCTCCTCCAGGGTGGACTCTAAAGGGTGATTCTCCTGTTAGTGTCACTTGAGACACAGAATCCTCATCTTTAGCCCAACGAGGGGAGATCAGATATCAGAGATGGGCAGACATGGGTTGAAACCCCAGCTCTGCCACTTTCTTGTTGTTTGTACAAGTTACTTAACCTCTTAGAGCAGCAGGTTCTTTATCAGTGAAATGAGGGTTAGGGATGGATATTTCCTATAGTTCTACCTGGCACATAGTAGGTACACAATAAATATAATATCGTCTTTAACGTAATATCATCATGCTTATCAGACAAAGGACTTTGGAGTCAGGATTCAAAACTCTGCAGCTGCACTACCAAAGTTTGCTGAGCCTCTTAGCCTTTGTTAATGTAACTTAACCGTGTTGGAGTTTTTAGTATTACCATTCCTTATAAATATGTTTGACAATTTTTATTTTTAGCTAGTCATCAAAGCTCTTACAAGTCAGAATTTCAGACTTGACCAGGACTATAGTTTATTTACTGGAGTGCTAGGAGAGAATGCAAAAGTGATGGTATATTGAGTACTTTTAATTTTTATTGCTGTCATATATTTTAAGCCGAATTTGTTTCTAAACAACATGAAAAGTTACTATTAACATTTTTGCCATTTGTGAGAGACAAATGCCGCTTGCTTACTCTCAGCCTTTTGGGTGATAAATATATACTTGCTTCTGGAAATGACAGCAGACACTTTCATATCTTAGGAAATCATGGTTTTGTTAGTTCATCATCTGTTGTTAGTTCCTGCTCCTGAAGAGCAAACCTTAGAATATTGTCTTTAGCAAAGACACCAGTATGGAGTAGGATTTTCACATTATGAAATTTTAATGACTATTAGCCTAGGAGCTCCTTGAGACTCATAACTTTTCATTGTTGTATTCCTCAGTGCCTAGCGTAGTGTCAGGCTCATGGAGGTGCCCACTAATTCTTTTTCTTTTTTCTTGTTTAGCTCATTGGCAAGAAGAATTTAATATTTTTTTCCTTCTCTGTTTTATTTTTTTCTTTCTGAAAGAGGGTCTCGCTCTGTCACCCAGGATGGAGTGCAGTGGCGTGATCATAGCTCACTGTAGCCTCGACCTCCTGGGCTCAAGCAATCATCCCACCTCGGCCCCATCAGTAGCTGCGACTACAGGTGCTTGCCACCATGCCTGGCTCATTTTTGTATTTTCTGTAGAGACGGGATTTTGCCATGTTCCCAGGCTGGTCTTGAACTCCTGGGCTCAAGTGATCCTCTTGCCTATGCCTCCCAAAGTGCTGGGATTACAGGTGTGAGCCACTGTGCCCAGCCACTAATTCTTTGTCAAATTAAATCTTGAAATTTGCCCTTGCCTTAGTCAATCTGATTTTCGCTAAATTTGCCTTCATTTGACTAAGGTAAACCTTATTGTATCTATCATGTGTGGTTGAGCACTCTTTAGCCATATCTGTTACATAGCTAAAATGAAGCAGCCTCCGTCAGTTTTCTGTTCTACAATTTGATAAATGGATTATACTCACACGTAGGATAAGGAATTGGTTGTAAATCAGATAAGGGGCCAAATCTCCCACTTTTCTGACTTCAGTATCATAATCTCCAAATATGGACTTCAGCCTTCAACTTTGAGTCCTGCAAAGGTATATTACCTATGCAAAATAGATTAAATATCAGTTTTTCAGAATGCACACATTTTTTTCTGCTTTCTTCTCTCACCCTCAGAAATTCATGCCAAGATCTGCCGTCTATGGTTGTGATCTGTTCCTAAAATGGCCAGCGTCATTTTTCTTCACACTTCTCATTCTGCTGATAGACAATTTGAGGTTAAAAATACATAGTCATTGTGTTTTCACATTTCTTAACTTCTTTGTGTTACAGGAAAGGGGTTCTGATCCAGACCCCAAGAGAGGGTTCTTGGATCTCATGTAAGAAAGAATTCAGGGCGGGTCTGCAGTGCAAAGTGAAAGCAAGTTTATTAAGAAAGTAAATGAGTAAAAGAATGGCTACTCCATAGACAGAGCTGCCCCAAGGGCAGCTGGTTGCCCATTTTTATGGTTTTTTTTTAAATGATATTGCTAAACAAGGGGTGGATTATTCATGCCTCCCCTTTTTAGGCCATATAGGGTAACTTCTTGACATTGCCATGACATTTGTAAACTGTCATGGTGCTGGTGGGAGTGTAGCAGTGACAACGACCAGAGGTCACTCTTGTGGCCATTTTGGTTTTGGTGGCTTTGGGCTGGTTCCTTTAGGGCAAACTGTTTTATCAGCAAGGTCTTTATGAGCTTTATTTTGTGCTGACGTCCTGTCTCATCCTGTGACTTAGAATGCCTTAGCTATCTGGGAATGCAGCCCAGTGGGTTTCAGCCTTATTTTACCCAGCTCCTGTTTAAGATGGAGTTGCTCTGGTTCACACGCCTCTGACATTTGCATCCACTGTTGTATGTATTTCCTGACCTAATGACAATGAGGACCAAACTGAGAACACCAAAACTGTGACCACTAGATACAGAAATCCTGCCCCAGGCTTGCCTGAGGACATCTTTGAAATAACACTGTGCCTGTAAAGTTATCTGTGAGTGAATAGTTCTGTTTTTGTTTTTCGTGTTAGTAACTTAGGGTTACTGTTAGGGTGCTGCAAACGTACTTTTGGATCAGGCAGAAACGGGGTAAATGAAGTTAACATTGTAAAATACTAACTTTTCAATTGCAGAGGTTAATTTACAAGTTGATGTTCAATTTTGTTTTATTTAGTTTTGGTTGTTTTCCTCAACCGTTCATGTATGGAAACATTCTGGCTCTGTCCACCCAGGAACCCAGAATTCTTCACCCTCTGAACCCCTGGATTTGTTTTTAAAATAATCTGTGCATACCTGCTGTTTGTTTTGTTCTTAACTTCATTGTATTATGGGGCTTTATAAACAGAAAGATGAGTTAAAAATATAACAAAACAAATTGTTCACCAAGGCTGCTTTTGCCCTTTGTCTGTGTGGGAATTCACCATGATCCTCAGCTGAGCAGCTTTTAAAATCCAGTGAGCACCCTCTTTTCTTTTCTTTTTTCTCTTTTCCTTTCCTTTCCTTTCTTTTCTTTCTTTTCTCTTTCCTTTCCTTTCTTTTCTTCCTTTTCTCTTTCCTTTTCTTCCTTTCCTTTCTCTTCTTCCTTTTCTCTTTCCTTTTCTTCCTTTCCTTTCTCTTTCACAGGGTCTCACTTTGTCACCCACGCTGGAGCGTAGTCACCCAGGTTGGAGACACAAACATGGCTCACTGCAGCTTCGACCTCCTAGGCTCAAGCAATTCTCCCACCTTAGCCTCCTAAGTAGTTGGGACTACAGGCACACACCACCACACCCAGCTAATTGTTTTATTTTTTTGTAGAGTAGGGTCTCCTTTGTGGCCCAAGCTGGTCTCAAACTCCTGGGCTCAAGCGATCCTCCTGCCTTGGTCTCCCAAAGTGCTGGGATTATAGGTGTGAGCTACCGAACCCTGCCCCAGTGAGCTCACTTTATTAAAACTTGTACTGCTGCCCTCTCCTGTTTTACAGCTGATTAGATTAATTGAATGTGGCTAATAAATTATGATATGGCAAACTCAGAATTATCTGTGTTAATTAGGGACAGGGATAGCCTGGAAAAATGAATTCTGCAAATGATGCCTTTCCTCCTGGATTTGTTTCTGCAGATGGTCATAAAACACAGCATGTGAAAGCAAGTTCATGTCTTGATCCCTTTCTTTGTTTCCCACATGCTGTCTTGCAGGTGACAAGAAATAAACTGGAACTGCAGTATTAGAGAAAGAGGAACATATTTGTCTGGGCTCTTTGGTGGATAATGATTGCAGTCCCCAATTCACACTAGCTCTTTCAGATGGAGTGTGTGAATTAGTTGTTTGGTGCCCTTTTTTTGTGCTTTTTTTCCCATAGAAACAAGATTATACTAAATGCTAAGATTTTGCAAGGGCAGCCCCTAAAAGCTTCTTTAATTCAGAATTTGAAGTATACTTACAGTGAGTACTATTTTCGCTATTGTATGTATAATATTTTCTTCAGAATTTATCAATGCAAAAATAATGAGTAAGTGAAAACTTTAGTTTGTAATTTTGAAAATCATCTCACATTAATATACTTAGCCTAACATAGCTATATAATTGTTTTACATGTTGCTTTCCATATGTACATGTATTTTCTACATGGTTGCAGACAGTGCATTTTATATTTTGCCACGTTTATAACATGATAACATAAATATTTTCGAGATCTCTATATAACCTTGGTAACAATCAAGGATCACTTTTAATAGCTTCAAAATATTCCTTCATGGTAAATAAGACACAAAGCCTTCAGTGGCTACCCCAGCATTGGGAAATAAGGGGTGGGGGAGAGGAGGAAAGCTATTTTCCAGGAAGTATTTCTATGCATGCCTAAGAGAAGACATATCTTTTGGTTGCTCACTCCCAGGTATTCTGCTATAGAAATAAAGGTCATTGCCCTTCGGGGCTCAAGTTCAGGCTAGAGATTTCCAAATGAGTCTTCGGTATCTTATGTGTCAGTCATTTGGGGTGACTGCCTGATGATGACCTGTTTAAAAAGCATCTTGTAACTTTGAAAAATATTCCTGAGGAAGATAGGTGCTCACAGACATTCAGTGATCCTTAATGTATTTCTCCAGTATTTGAAAAGAAGGCATGGTGGCTCACGCCTGTAATCCCAGCACTTTGGGAGACCAAGGCGGGCAGATTGCCTGAGGTCAGGAGTTCAAGCCATTCTGGCCAACATGGTGAAACCATGTCTCAACTAAAAATCCAAAAATTAGCCAGGCTTGGTGGCACGTGCCTGTAATTCCAGCTACTCAGGAGGCTGAGGCACAAGAATCTCTTGAACCCTGGGGGCAGAGGTTGCAGTGAGCCGAGATTGCACCACGGCACTCCAGCCTAGGTGACAGAGCAAGACGCTGTTTCAAAAAAAAAAAAAAAAAAAAAAAAAAAAAAGAAGCCAAACCAAGGAAGTAATAGAGGACAGAATCTTTTGGCACCCTATAAAGTTAGTAGAGTGTCTTTATTTTAAGGTGAATGGCTACATATATAGATGAGTGTAATTGGCCATGAAGGTTATAGAGTGTTGTCACCTTCAAACTTTTGTATCATAGAGGATTGTGCTTACAAATCAGGAGGATGTAGTCACTGGTAGTTTTTCATTATTGATTGGGAAAAATATGCCATTTGTGCCAAAATGTTGATTTTTTTTTTACTCATCCTCTTACCTGCATTACTCTGTTGGTTGTAACTTTACTCATCAGCAATAGCTTATTATAATTATCCTTCCATCACACTGGCTACAGTGAGCTGTAAGTGCTGCTTAATTTTCATACACTTTTGTGGCATTGATGTTGGTTTTGATCAAGAAAAGGCTCTTGTTAACTAGATTCAGAACGCTGGAAGTTTGCAGTTATGTTTGTTTATTTTATAATCTCTTACCACTTTTGTTGTTGTTGTTGCTGAGACAGAGTCTTGCTCTTGTCGCCCAGGCTGGAGTGCAGTGGCTTGATCTCGGCTCACTGCAACCTCCGCCTCCCGGGTTCGAGGAATTCTCCTGCCTCAGCCTCCCTGGTAGCTGGGATTACAGGCGCCCACCACCACACCTGGCTAATTTTTGTATTTTTAGTAGAGACACGGTTTCGCCACGTTGGCCAAGCTGTTTTCGAACTCCTGACCTCAGGTGATCCGCCCGCCTGGACTTCCCAAAATGCTGGGATTACAGGCGTGAGCCACCACGCCCGGCCTGTTATCACTTTTTATTTAGAGAAAAGTCAGTGGGATAAGAGGATGAGAGAAGGCAGAGGCAGGCCTGCAGGAGAGAGTATGATTTTACTACTTATTATTATTATTATTTTAGAGACAGGGCCTTGCTCTGTTTCCCAGGTGGGAGTGCAGTGGCACAATCATAGCTCACTGTAGCCTTGAACTCCTAGGCTCAAATGATCCTCCTGCCTCTGTCTCCCGAGTAGCTAGGACTACAGGCATGTGCCACCATGCCCAGCTAATTTTTAATTTAATTTAATTTAATTTGTAGAGATGGGCTCTCACTATGTTGCCCAGGCTGGGAGAGTATGACTTTAGGTTTTTCTCTACTGCCTCTAGTAATTTGGTAAAGACCCTTCCTCCTCCCCTCTCTACTAAAATGTTTATTTGTATTAATTGGGTGGGAAAATTACCAAATTTTACAGTTCATACCAATATAAGCTGAAATATTTCTGAACAAAGTGACTTGGGAATTTTCCTGGAAAGTAAAAATATGTATACAGCTAAAGTTTGTTTTAACCCTGGTTATTATCTGATACATTACATGGATAGCATTCTTTTTAATTTTTTCTTTTTAAGAATTCATTCTAAAAGGGAAAAGAGATATCATTTGTTTTTAGTTAGTTGTACTATGTAGTGTTATTACTTAGTTCTATTAGTTTATTTTTTTAGCTTTCATTTACCTCTAAATGAATGGAAAATACGATACATGGTCAATACTTGGAAAGAGCCAAATAATCAGTTTCACTGCATTTTTGGTGCAACATCATTGGAATGTAGTTGTAATTTTTTCCAGTGATAATTCCAGTGATTTGGCAATATGGTCTTCCCATAGCAATAGCGCCTTAGTACCTAAAATCAGGGATTTGCGTGTTTTTTGTTTTTTTTTTTAACTTCAGTTTTTGAATGTCTTCAGAGTATTCACCTCACCCTTAAATGAAACAGATCTGACTCAGTTGTCAGAATTCAAACAAGGAAATTCTAGGTTTAGGAAATAATAGAGGTTCATACTCGAGGGGTTTTCCTGCTACAAAGGTACACTTTATCAGAAACAATGGATGCAGCAAGAGAGACGCAACTGGTTTTGTTTTGGAGCAGTTTGGTTCTTGAGATAATGATGAATTAATAGTGGGGAAAGAAATGGAAGCTCAGAGGCATTCTGAACTTTCATTCTTTAAGAAAGGTTAGTTCACCAGTTAGCCCCTTTATGAAAAGAGACTTTATTGAAGGTACAACATCTGTTCACTGAGAATCTCTAAAATCCACATTTTGACATCTTCGAGCTTATTGCTACTTCTAGATTGAGTAACACTTGAAACACATTTCCTTTTCAAAGTGCAAGATTTGCAAAAGAGACTTGTCATGAAGTCTTTTGGCCTGGCTTAAATGGTGAGCTGAATGCTGGATAATCTCTGCTGGCTCCTTAATCAGATTTAAAATTCTCAGTGTTTCCTAATTGTTTCTGCATACTTTACCTGAGTTGTAGCTGTATTATTACACTTTATTTGCTATTTTTGTCTTTCTTGACTTTTGGTAGTTCTAGCATTTAGAAACCTTTTATTTATGATTCAACACATAGTTATATTTTAGTAGTTATCATTTGATATATAGTTATTTATTTTGCTCATTTATTTCCCAGAGATATATTAAGGGTTAATTAGATCATTATATTTTAACCTTACAAATTAAAGCCCTTCGAGACTCAAATAGAGACATTGTTTAAAACTATTCTTAATTGTACTATTTGTATATCTATAATGCATGTTTATGGCTCAAAGAGAAATTAGTAAATTCTTCCTAATTTCTGAAATTAGTTTATGAGTTTGTTATATTTTGTTGGTATGATTAGATCTTATGGGTACAGCTGTCATATGAAGAATGCCAAGAATTGAATTTAATTTAGTAACAAATAGAAAATTCTGAAACAGTGTAAAGCCGTTCAGCTTTTTTAGCAGGAAGTGGTAATGTGTGTCACTGTTGACATATATAAATGCCATTTAATTTGCCACTTCCTATTCATAGGATGGAAGAACCAAACACGTCAGAAAATTCTAGTCCATCTTCTTAGTTTATCAGGTTTTTTTTTAAGGGCAAGTTATATTTGCTGACCATTTGTCCCCCTTAAAAAATGCCCCGTTTTCCTCTGTTGGGTTGAACAAAGCTAAAATAAACGTATTTGGCTGCCAGTGATCATTTCACACTGTTGTTAAATGTTTTCTAAACTTACTTTTATTGTGTTTTTCCTCCTAAACTTTAGACTTCCTAATTTTCAAACAAGAAAACAATTTTAATATAAATAAACAAAAATTTAAATAGTTATAAATATATCCAGCAAAATAACTTATACTTGGTGAAAATAGCTTTATAACTTATGCGACGTATATTTATGAAAGAACAATGCCTTGACCTCTTTTTTTTCAATCTAAGTAGCATTCTTTTTTTTTTTCTTTTTTGTTGAGAATAGTCTCATGGCATGCCAGGGCTGGGGAGTGGTGGCGCAATGATCATAGCTCACTGCAGCCTTTAACTCCTGGCCTCAAGCTATCCGCTCACTTCAGCCTCCCAGGTAGCTAGGACCACAGGCACGTGCCACCACATCCAGCTAATTTTTAATTTTTTTTTTTTTAGAGGTGGGGTCTCATCATGTTGCCCAGGCTGGTCTCCAACTCCTGGCCTCAAGTGATCCTCCCACCTCAGCCTCCCTAAATGCTGGGATTACAGGCATTAGCCACTGTTCCCAGTCTCAATCTAAGTAACATTCTTGATTTATTTCTACCTTTACATTTTCTCCAAGTCCTTTATTTTGAGAAAAAAATATTTTAAAGCTTCAGTTTATGACTCATTTTTTATTTCAGTAGTCCATTTTTCTAATTAGAGATTTCAACTAATTATCCTAAAATCAGCTACTCTAAAATTTCATTAATCTAAATTCAAACCAAAAAAAGCATAAGCAAAATTTGATTGTCAAAGAAAGTTTCAAAACTGGCAAGAACTGTATCTTTATTGTTAATCAAAATCTTAAGGAGGTGAATGTAGCATTTCTTTAAAGTAGACTTCAATATTTGGGAAACTATTTTTCTATTTCTGGAAGATCTCTGAAATGTAAATATACAAACCACATAACCCATATTCAGATAGCCTGGGATCACGTGTTTCCAAATGTACTTTTGAAACAAAGTCCTGTTTTTTTTTCCTTTTTAACTGTAAAAGCACAGTATTTAACTTCTGCTTCTTAAAGTGGGTCAAAGGGGATAGATAACCTTTGTAGAAAAATGTGCAGTGCTGTGAGTAAACCCAGCATTGAAATCTTGCATTGTTATGATTCATTGAAAGGCTGAATGACCCAGAAGTCTGAATTTTTTTTCAAGGTTCTCATGACTGCAGCCAAATTAGTCTTTTAAAAGAAATTCAGTGGGAACGAGGTATAGAAAACCTTAGTTGAAGGTCCCTGATGTTTTTCTACCCCTGATTTTTCTGGACCAGGCAGCAGACTTCCCCAGGAGACCCAAGATAGTACTCAAAGCAGGAGAGCTGTGTGTGTTCTAAGCTGCAGCACCCACCGGCCAAAATGCATCAAGTCACAGCTTATGCTGAAGGTCAGGAGAACTAGTTGGCCCTAGAGAGAGAGTTCCGAAGGCCAAGAAAACTACTCTTTCCCACACTCCAGCAATGGTATCCTTTCACCCATTCACAAACGCAGGGGCAACCTCCCTATTCTCTTGAAACAGAAAAGATTATGTTATTAATATCTGTTGACTGACTAATTTAACTTTAGTGTAAAAGAGTCTTGTCAATCTGTCCCTTTACCATGTTCAATTATATCTAATTTGTGGAATGAAAAGTGGCCCAGTACTGCTCATTCCAAGTTCCTTTTCCCTGTTAGATCTGTTAACTATGGACTTGGGCCAGGTTGAAAGTTTCCTTCTTTCTGTTTTGCTGGCCAAGCCCTTCCCCTCAGCTGCCTCCAGCGACATCACTGGTTGCTGAGAAATATCTGGTAAGCAGTACTCTGGGTAAGAGCTTGCTCCTTACCCCTCACTGGTGCCACGTGGTGAGGTATCTGCGAGCTCTGATGCCCTGTGGGTTGCGCTGGACAATGCAGAAACCTCAAATACCACCCTGCCTTCTCCTCAGAGGTGCAGGAAAGAGCCTCCTGGCCCAAACCTCCCACCCCAAGGGTGGGGCAGTGGCTGTCCGCCTTCTCCCATTGAATGGAAAATCAGAACTCCTTTGTTCTTCCTGCCAGAGTGCCACTCCCAACAGTGACCCAAATGTGTATTCTTCACTTGTCCTTGGTCCAAGTCAAAACTCCTTTTCCTCGAGGTGGAGAAGAAAAGTCCCCAAACCCCCTGCTTGAAATCAGAGTAGCTAGCATTCCTTGCCACCCCACTTCCCTGCTCTGCCCCTCACTTTCTGAACTTGATCCAATCTGAACTTGATCCAGTATTAGTTACCTGGAAATCTGACATGTGAAGGCATGCATTCATTAATGGTAGTGGAAAAATCAACCAAAATTTCAGAGATAAAATGTACCCCTAGAAGATTTAGTCAGGGAAAAAGCAGGCACTACCATACCATCCTTGTTCGATATAAAGAAGGACTGTAAGCCATTGGTGACCAGGCATGGATGGGGTGGGCTACCAAGGGCTCACAGGACCTCTTTATACTGTATTGAATAAGAGCGATAGAGCCTGCTTTTCCCCTGACTAAATCTTCTAAGGTACCGCTCATCTCTAAAATTTGGTTTGGTTTTTTACTGCCGTTAATGAACATACCTCCATGTATGTTTTCCAGGTTACTAATATTTGCTTTTTAAAAGAATTTCAAAAACTTTTAGACCTATTAAAGTATAGCTAATATAAGACATTCTCATGTCCATGTACCCACCACTCAATTTTAGAAATAATAAATTATAGAGTCAAAGTCCCCTATGAATCCCTCCTCTTCCATTTCTCTCTAGAGGTAACATTGAGTATTATCCTTAATTTGTTAATAATCATTCCTATCCATGTTTTATACTGTAATTATACATGGATATATATATAAAAATATACTATATATATTTTATATATATGAATGATAATACTGTTGTTTTGGCATTTTAAATATTTTTTTCAGAAATATACAAATTGGTTTGACTGTATATTTCTGCAACTTGTTCTTTTCACTTACCATCATCTTTTTTAGATTCATCTATGTTGATAAATATGGCTTTTGTTCACTGCTCGAGTATTCCTACTCTACTTGTATACCAAGGCATTCTCCAGTTGGTGGACGTTTAAGTTGTTGCCTGTGTTCTATACTATGACCCTTAAAGAGGAAGTTTCCCCACCAAGATGTGGATGTTCTTGTACGTCTCCCTTTGGGAAGGTCTGATCTTTAAAAGCCAAAACTTGATTTTAACCTAACCTTTTTTTATTGGTCTTCGTGAATCTGCGTAAATTGCTGCATCTCTCTTGGCCTCAGTTTTCTTAGCCACACAGACAGGACTGAACTAAATGATCTCTAAAGTACTTCTCAAGTCTATAATTCTATGATTCTCTTTCATACTTATTTCCCTGCCTCCTTATGTTATAAGCAACCATTTAGCATAAGAGTCAATTCAGGAAAGCAAAATCTGTTAGAGAGAGTTTCTAAATTCAAAATGAAAATGCCTTTGAGTCATTCCCTTGGGAATGTTTTCTTACAGTTTATATTTCCTACTGTATTGACTAGATAAATATTAATAAGGAAAGTGGGACTACTTTAAAACCATCAAAAAATGAGTGTTGAGGTATATTTGAGCAACATGGAAATACCTTTGGAATCTTGCCTTCTAAACTCAGATGTTGGATTGTGTTTCCAGCTGGGTGGGCTGCATGCCTCCTGGTGGGTCATGGACTGCTCATGAGTCAGGATGACTCAGGGTCATCATTTTGAACATGAATTATTATATTATGTGCTGCCAAAAAATGATGTTCTCAAAAAGACTTTTGAAATACAAAAAGTCTTTTAAAAAAAAATTGTGGGTACATAGTAGATGTATATATTTATGGGTTACATGAGATATTTTGATACAGGCATGCAATGAGTAATAATAATCACATCAGGGTAAATGGAGTATCCATCACCTCAAGCATTTTTATCCTTTGTGTTACAAACAGTCCAATTATACTTGTAGTTATTTTAAAATGTATAATTAAATTATTTTTGATTATAGTCACCTATTGTCCTAGCAAATACTAGGTCTTATTCTAACTATTTTTTGTACCCATTAACCATTACCACTTTCCCCTACCCCCCACTACCCTTCCCAGCCTAACCATTCTTCTACTCTCTATCTCCATGAATTCAATCATTTTAATTTTTAGCTCCCACAAATAAATTAGAACATGCGAAGTTTGTCTTTCTGTACCTGGCTTATTTCACTTAATATAATGACCTCCAGTTCCATCCATGTTGATGCAAATGACAGGATCTCATTCTTTTTATGGCTGAATAGTACTCCATTGTGTATATGTACCACATTTTCTTTGTCCATTCATCTGTTGATGGATGCTTAGATTGCTTCCAAATCTTGGCTATTGTGAATAGTGCTGCAATAAACATGGGAGTGCAGTTATTTCTTTGACATACTCATTTCCTTCCTTTTGGAGCAGGATTGCTGGGTCATATGATAGCTCTATATTTGATTTTGTGAGGAGACTTCAAACTGTTCTCCATAGTGGCTGTACTAATTTGCATTCCCACCCACAGTGTGCAAGGGTTCCCTTTTCTCCACATCCCTGCCAGTGTTTGTTATTGCCTATCTTTTGGATAAAAGCCGTTTTAAATGGGGTGAGATGATATCTCATTGTAGTTTTCATTTGCATTTCTCTGATGATCACTGATGTTGAACACCTTTTCATGTATCTGTTTGCCATTTGTATGTCTTTTGAAAAATGTCTGCTTAGGTCTTCTGCTCATTTTAAAATCAGATTATAAGATTTTTTCCTGTAGAGCTGTTTGAGCTCCTTATATATTCTGATTATTAATAGCTTGTCAGATGGGTAGTTTGCAAATATTTTTTCCCATTCTGTGTGTTGTCTCTTCACTTTGCTCATTGTTTCCTTTGCTGTACAGAAGCTTTTTAACTTGATGTGATCCTGTTTGTTCATTTTTGCATTGGTTGACTGTGCTTGCAGGGTATTACTGTAGAAATATTTGCCCAATCCAATGTCCTGGAGAGTTTCCCCAATGTTTTCTTTTAGTAGTTTCATAGTTTGAAGTCTTAGGTTTAAGTCTTTAATCCATTTTGATTTGATTTTTGTATATGGCAAGAGGTGGGGGTCTAGTTTCATTCTTCGGCATACAGATACCCAGTTTTCCCAGCACCATTTATTGAAGAGACTGTCCTTTCCCCCAATGTATGTACTTGGCACCTTTGTCAAAATGAGTTCACTGTAGATATATAGATTTATCTCTGGGTTCTCTGTTCTGTTCCACTGGTATATGTGTCTATTTTTATGCTAGTACCATGCCATTTTGGTTACCATAGCTCTGTAGTATAATTTAAACAAAGGGCTTTTTGACCTGAAGGATAATGTCCTTCAAAAACTATGTTTTTTGAGATTGTATAGTCCTTTTAAATTAAAAAAAAAAAAAAGTTGCTCCCTTACTGCCAGGATGACCTCTGGTTCTTGCTGCTGTTGGTGTGATAGCCCCCTCCTTCTTTCTAGTCTCCAGTCATCTGGGGCTAGGGGATAAGCCAAGTCTTTGGAGTTGTGGGCTGGAGGACTCTCCTAGCAGCTGTGGTCACAGTTCAGCACAGAGATGTTGTGGCAGCTACTTGGGCTGCTCATTGTCCCCTTTTTCTTTCTTATTTTCTAGTTCTTAGCTGAACACTACATGAAATTGCCTTCAGAGAAGTACTACAGTTTCTCATTAAATGTAATAACATTCATGACAGGATAGTAGTGCAGCTCTTTCATATAGATATGAGTATACAGTTTGTCCTTTCATATAGCTATGAATATAAAATTTTATTAATGAGATAGGTTTGAGTATTATATAGAGGATATATAATAGGTATATAATATAGAGGATATTATGATTTTTCTCAATAGCCTTTCTATTCTATTTTTAGCAGCCTATGGATTCTAGGAGTGACCCAGCTCCAGGGATAGGACTTGATTAATCTAAATTTAGAGAATGGATTTAGATTAATCCAATCTTGGTAATTCCCCGTGGCAGTGATTAGTTCAGGAATTCAGCCTTAGCCTGCCAGAACATGACATTCCCATGGTTATAAGTCCAGAAATGAGACATGAAGGAAAACTTGTTGGAGGCTTTGGGGAAATGCTTTCTCACTTTTGAGAGGAAGAGGAAAATAATCTCTTTTCTTCTGGTATTGCTGTTGTGGTCAGGAACTGCTATCAGTCAAGAGTGTGAAATTGATACTCCCTGGAGGGCAGAACCCAGGGAGGTGCAGAGAAATGAGCTGGAGCCCTAGATTGAGCCATCTCTGAACCCCATTCACCACTGGACTTGTTGTAGATGAGTCAACAAATTGCCTTAAGCTAGTTTGATTTGGGGTTTCTGCTATTTGCAGCTGAAAGCATCCTGATTATATTATCATTTTACAGCTAATTATTCTTTTAATCCCTGGAGTAGCATCAGGAAATTATCTTTGCTTTAAATTTTAACATGAATGTTAATCCACTACTGATATTATTGTCAAGCTAATTGTAATGTGTCTTCATTTTCTTATTGGAATAAGATTTCTCAGCATCCTGACTATTGTAACTATAATATATTAAGAAATTTCCGAAGTTTTTTTTTTTTTTTTTTTTGAGACAGAGTCTCACTCTGTTGCCCAGGCTGGAATGCAGTGGTGCAATCTCGGCTCACTGCAACCTCTACCTCCTGGGTTCAAGTGATTCATTTTCCTGCCTTAGCCTCCCCGCTAGCTGGGATTACAGGCACCCACCACCACACCCAGCTAATTTTTTTAGTAGAGTAGGGGTTTTGCCATGTTGGCCAGGCTGGCCAACTCCTGACCTCAGGTGATCTGCCTGCCTTGGCCTCCCAAAGTGCTGGGATTACAGGCGTGAGCCACCGCACCTGGCCAAATTTCCAAAGTTTTTAAAGCCATCTTTACCCTTAGTAGTATATAATATTTACTTAAATATGTAAGAGTACCTACCCTTTAATTTAGTTACTGTACACATGTTTCTGTGCACAACTTAACTGGCAAAGAGAGGATGGAGTCTTCGCATGATCTGAGAGCAATTGCAGGGCACTATGTTAATAAAACCCAATAACACAGGATTAAATCACTGTGCAAAAACCAGGCTTTGAGGCAGAGCTGAGGAGAGAAGAGAGGGAACTACATGGGTGGAATGGCATCCTCAGAGAAGGCTGCAAAGTGAGGTGGTCATGCAGGAGTGCAGGAAAGGAGGTATGGGGCCCACTGAGAGAAGCAAAAGGCCTCATTTGGAGAAACTCTGAGGTTTGCAGTGTCAGGAGAATGGTGCATCTGGTGGGAAAGGCTGTATCACCAGGCTGAAGAAGTTGGCTCCACGGCTTCTTAAATAGTGCAGTGACATTACCACAGGGATTGTTGCAAGTTAGTCTAGAAGTGACATGTAGGGGAATTAGACCAGGGAGAGATGTTGGCACAGTATCCTGGAAAGCTATTACAAATAATCCATGCATGAAGTGACAAGAGCTGTAGGGTTATAGACTGAATGTGTAATCTCTTAGGTTTATATGGAATTTCAGAGTTCCCAGAGCACGTTCACACACATCGTCTAATTTATCTAATTAGATCCTGTCAACCTTTTTTTATGGATGAGGATATATAGGTTCAGAGCAGTCAAGCAGCCTGTTCACAAGTTTTTAGTGACAGTTCAGTCATTAAACTGAACTAACCTACAGTTCAGTGCTTTTCAATGAATTTTTACCTCTTGTAGTGAAATTCTTACTTACTAAAACTGTTGCCTATTTTCTAGGTCCCCACTTGCTTTTTTTTTTCCATATGGTGCTAATTTGACTTTGTTCTGCAGCCGTTGTCTGTCAGTTGGCCCTTGACAACAGCATAAGCAAAAGCTAAATGCCATAGTTCACAGCTCTTAGAAACTTTGAAAACCTTTGAGTAGTGAAAAGATGGCTAAGTGTCACCATCTTGTAGAACTTCCTCACATAACTGAAAGGTAATGTTCCTAACAAAAAAAAAAAAAAAAAAGCCTCTGTCAGTAGAAGGTTTTTGAAGTGTTTTAAATGAATGGAGAGTGAGGCTTTAAGGAGCCTCAAATTGGCATTATTGAGTGAAGGTGGTAAAGTTGCCCATGACTTCTAATTACAGGCAAAATCAACCTTAATAAGAACAGGCGTTACTACTTTAATAAGCCAGAATAAGGAAAATATTAATCTGAACAAATATTCTGGTATACATCGTCGTTTATTTAAAACGTGAATGAAGGTTGGGCAGGCTAGCTCACACCTGTAATCCCAGCACTTTGAGAGGCTAAGGCAGGTGGATCACATGAGGCCAGGAATTTGAGACCAGCCTGGTCAACATGGTGAAACCCCATCTCTACTGAAAATACCAAAGTTAACTGGGTGTAGTGGAGCACACTGTAATCCCAGCTAGTCGCGAGGCTGAGGCAGGAGGCAGGAGAATCGCTTGAACCCAAGAGGCGAAGGTTGCGGTGAGCCAAGATCGCGCCACTGCACTCCAGCCTGCACAACAGAAGGAGACCCATCTCAAAAAAAATAAGTGAATGAATTATTAAGTGGTAAAATGTTGGACATTGGCCTTTTAATTAATTTATTCAGGTATACAGTAGGCATTTTGAAAGTCATTGTTTTTTTTATTTTGGTAAAAACATAATATGTAAGTTACAGTCTTAACCATTTTTCAGTGTACAGTTCAGTAGTTTTACAAGCCTGTTCACACTGTGGTGCAACTGATCCGTAGAACTATTTCATCTTGCAAATCTGACACTCCATACCTATTAAACAACTATTCCTTTCCCCCTCCTTCCAGATCCTGGTAACTACCATTGTACTACTTTCTGTTTCTATGGATTTGGAAAGTCATGAATTTTTTTAAAATGTTAATCTGAAGAAACATGTATTGAGTACATACCAGGTTTTGGGCATTGTTCTTGATGCCAGGCCCAAAGAGAGGTAAAGGATAGAGGAGGATTCCTAGAGGGTCTTTGTTACACTGGATTTGGTGGCATATAAAACGTAAATCACAATAAAAATCAATGTCTATTAAGTCTTAAATGAGTGATGGAAACAGTATATTTTGTCAGATGCTAGCAGTAATATTTATGCTGAGTTGCTGAGTTTTGTGTCACCTTTACAGACCCTGAAATGCTGAGGGAGGTGCCTTAGAGGAGAAAATATGAGCCAGATAACTTGGGAATAGTGGTTATCAGATTGCATTAGGTTGCTGCAAAAGTAATTGCGGTTTTTGCCATTCTTAATGGCAATTACTTTTGCAGCAACCTAATATTTATTAATAATTTATGGTTGTTAGTGAGGGGAAATAATGGTTGAGAAGGTGTTCTGCTAAATTAGCTTGGGTGTGATTGTTGCCTATTTCAAGACACAAGAGTATCTAAAAAGGCTCCGTGGGGGAAAAGTACCACACAGAGAAAAAAGGAGGAAATTCGGTTGGTTTATGTCTATGCATTGTATAAAGCTGGAGCTAGGAAGCAGCCTTTTGGGTGCTTTCAATGTTTATATGAAAAAATACTGTAGTAACATAGCAGTTGAATGCTCCCCACCTAAATAAAACTGGAGTTGGCTGGGTGGCTCACGCCTATAATCCTAACACTTTGGGAGGCCGAGGCGGGTGGATCACGAGGTCGGTCAGGAGATTGAGACCACCCTGGCCAACATGGTGAAACCCCGTCTCCACTAAAAATACAAAAAATTATCTGGGCGTGATGGTGCATACCTGTAGTCCCAGCTACTCGGGAGGCTGAGGCGGGAGAATCACTTGAACCTGGGAGGTGGAGGTTGCAGTGAGCTGAGATTGCTCCACTGCACTCCAGCCTGGTGACAGAGTGAGACTCTGTCTCAAAAAACAAAACAAAACAAAACTGGAGTTAATGTTTAAGTCAATTTAGAGGATATGTAATTTACGTGTTTTCCTGAAATTTCTTGGAAACCACTTTAAGGGGTTCTATATAGCAGTGGTCCCCAACCTTTTTGTCACCAGGGACTGGTTTCATGGAAGACAGTTTTTCCTCCAGGGACTGGAGGTGGTGGTGGTGTGGGGGTGGGGGTGGTTTAGGAATGATTCAAGCACATTACATTTATTATGCACTTATATTCTATTTTTATTACATTGTAATATATAATGAAATTATTATACAACTCACCAATGTAGAATCAGCGGGAGCTGTGAGCATGTTTTCCTGCAACAAGATGGTCCTATCTGGGGATGATAGAAGACAGTGACAGATCATCAGGCATTAGATTCTCATAGGAGTGCACAACCTAGATCCCCCACATGGGCAGTTCACAATAGGGTTTGAGCACCTATGAGAATCTAATGCCACTGCTGATCTGACAGGAGGCTGAACTTAGGCAGCAATGCAAGTAATGGGGAGCAGCTGTAAATATAGATGAAGCTTCTCTCACTTGCCTGCCACTGAATTCCTGCTGTGCAGCCCAGTACTGGTCTGTGGCCCAGGGATTGAGAAACCCTGCTGGACAGAATGCAAAAGAATAGAAAAATCTAAACAAAGCTGAGTAGCCAGATGATGACGATTTAGCAAATTGCAACTAAGTTGTATTCACTAACTGGTCTCCTCAGAAAGCTTATTCCTGATATATGATAGAGCTTGCTGATATTTGTCAAGGGCTTTGTGGTTCTTTGTCTTTGAAATTGATAAATAAGTTTTGAGCTACCATAGTGGGGGGAAATACGTGAGGGAAGGGTTGAACTTTTGAAGTGCCCGAGGCCTTCAAAAGGCATAGCCCTTTGAAAGCCAAAACTTTTGGCTTCAGGTTAGAATCATCTGGGAAACTTTAAAAATTACCAGTGCCCAGGTCCCATCCTTGACTAATTAAGTCACAATCTCAGAATTTGGGGAAGGGGGCAGGCCTAATCATGAGGATTTTTTTTTTCAACATTTCTCAGTCATCTTAGTCCATTTTCTGCTGCTATGACAGAATACCTGAAACTGCATAGTTTATAATGAACAGAAATTTATTTAGCTCATGGTTCTGGAGGCTGGGAACTCCAAGGGTATGGCATCAGCATCTGGTGAGGACCTTCATGCTTCATTATCTCATGCTGGAAGACTGGAAGGGGAAGTGCACTCATGCAGAAGAAAATGTAGGAGGAGCAGGACTAACTTTTATAAAAACCCACTCTCAAGATAACTAACTCACTCCTGTGATAAGGACAATCCGTTCATACAGGCTCCACATGAATCAGCTGTGAAAGGTCCCACCTCTTAGTACTTAGTATCTCTAAGGTCCCACAATGGCAATCTAATTTCAACCTGAGTTTTGGAGGGGACTTTCAGATCATAGTACCAGGCAATTCTAGAGTACAGTCAGGCCTGAAATCCATTCTTCCTGTTTCAGCTCTAGCAAGTAATCTGTGGGGAACATTTATTAAAATGTGTATAAAATACTTGCTAACTGTTTAAAATAGATATGCAGGCTTTCCCTCCCTTACTGTCAAATAGGCAAATTTTTTTTCCTTAGTCAGTTGCAGAATCTGAAGAAAAAAGTGGAAGGAGATGGAGGAATATTCTTTAAAGAGGTCCCATAGCCTTCTTTTGGGAAGGATTGGGGTTGAGGAGTAGATAGGAAGCATTGTTTATATGTACTTCAGGAAGTAGGAAATATGGCATGTTCTCAATCTATCTAAATTATATAACTTTGCAGGATGTGATCCATTTGTGTCAGAATAATGAGGCATATAATACGTTGCATTTAACACGTGTGGGAATTCTTTGCTGAGTAATTAGCATTCCTTTCTCCAGCCTGTATTCAGAGGAAACATACCATTCACACCCTCTCTGTGTTCACATTTTCCAGTGCGTTGGAGAGCTTTTTTTCAATAGAAATCTTTGTCCTCCTAATGAGACTTGGATTATATCTGAAGAAACTTAACATATCTTTCTTTGTTTTTCTGGCAGGAATTGATTTTAAAATTAGAACGATAGAACTAGATGGAAAGAAAATTAAGCTTCAGATATGGTAAGTAAACACACACACAGAGTTTCTGCTTTAATTGGGAATTGAAAGTAGGAATTAAATGTGAATTGTAATAAGTTAGAGGCATCTTGTGATAGCTAAAACATCTTTTCTTTATCGGAACCAAGGGGAAATAAGTAAGCACTGGGAATCCTTCAAAGGTATCTTCACCAAGAGTTGGGAAGGTGAGAGAGGGTACTAACTGTTGAAGCCAGAAGAGATCTGATAGCTCATCTTTCCAAAACTATAATTTTTGAGGGGAGGAAACTAAATTCTAAGGAACGCAAATTACTTCTTCATCACAGTTGTTGTAGTTTTGAAATCTGATAAGACAGAGTAGTCACGTCGCAGGAACCCTTGGCAGGAAGTACAGATCTAGGTTCTAGCCAGGATGCCTCCAAATTGAGGGCTTTGGGCCAGTTATTTCCCTTCTCAGGGTCTCACCTTTTCCTCGTTTGTAAATTGGTTGGATTGATGGCATTGGAGTTCCCCTCCAGCTATGATATTTTATGATTTATTTGCATATTTCTTATTAAATAGAAAAATGAAGACTGAGAAAAAAAATCATGTCATAGTTCAGACTGCTCTAAGATATTTTTACCACACTTTTTTTCTCATACATAGCACAGTACTTCTGACACCAGATGTCAGGGGGTTCCCCCCACCACCACCAGGTAATTCTCCAGCAGATGCCAATTGGGTGTCCTATACCTTTTTTTTAATTCTTTTTTTAATTTTCTTTTTCTTTCTGGGTGTCCTATAATTTAAGTCAGTTCTGATACTGTCTACCTGGAGATAGCATCAGATCCCACAGGTTGAGGGCTGGGTCCCGCAGTGTCCCCACTTCAGCTGCCAGTCACAAGTACAGGTTAAATATCCCTTATCCAAAATGCTTGGGAACAGAAGTGTTTCCGATTTTGGATATTCTTGGATTTTGGAATATGTGCATATACATAATGAGATATCTTGGGGATGGGACCCAAGTCTAAACACGAAATTCATTTATGTTTCATATACAGCTGGTACACATGAAGCTGAATATAACTTTATACAATATTTTAATAAATTTTTTTTTTGAGACAGAGTTTCGCTCTTGTTGCCCAAGCTGTGGTGCAATGGTGTGAGCTCGGCTCACTGCAACCTCCACCTCCCGGGTTCAAGCGATTCTCCTGCCTCAGCTTCCTGAGTAGCTGGGATTACAGGCATGCGCTACCACGCCCTGCTATTTTTTTGTATTTTCAGTAGAAACGGGGTTTCTCCATGTTAGCCAGCTGGTCTTGAACTCCTGACCTCAGGTAATCCGCCCGCCTCAGCCTCCCAAAGTGCTGGGATTACAGGCGTGAGCCACTGCACCCGGCCAATAAAATTTTTTAAATAAACTGTGTTGTATGTCTACATTTTGACTGTGACCCGTCACGTGAGCTCAGTTGTGTAATATTCTACTATGGCATCATGTTGGCACTCAAAAAGTTTTGGATTTGGGAGCATTTTAGATTTTGGATTTTCAGATTAGGGATACTCAACTGTAGTAGGTTGTCACCTCTACTTCTGACCAACTGGCTATAAATTGGGGTTCTGATGACCCCCCTCCTCTGATTCCTTTAATTTACTAGAGCAGCTCACAGAACTCAGGGAAACACTTTATTTATGTTTACCCATTTATTATAAAGGATATTGCAAAGAATACAGATGAACAGCCAGATGGAAGAGATACACAGGGCAAGCCATGTGGGAAGGAGTGAGGAACTTCCACACTTCCTTCCTTGTGGGAGGGGTCATCTACTCTCCAAGAACATCCAGCACCTCCACGTGTCTCACTCTCCTGAAGCTCTCCAAACCCAGTCCTTTGAGTTTTTATGGAAGCTTCCTTATATAGCCATGATTGATTGCATCGTGGGCCATTGGTGATTAAGTCAACCTTTAGCCCCTCTCCCTTCTCCAGAGGTCGAATGGTAGGACTGAAAGTTCCAGCCCGCTTATCACTTGGTTGGTTCTCCTGGCAACCAGCCTCCTATCCTGTGGCTGAACAGGAGCCCCAGCCACCAGTTATTTCATTAGCGCACAAAAAGAACTTAAACACTTTGTTGGAGATTCCAAGAATTTTAGTATCTGTGTGCCAAGAATCAGGAGCAGAGACCAAATATGTTTCTTATTATATGTGTTCCTTACTGTATCACACTATCACAGCTACTATAACAAAAATACCATAGACTGGGTGTCTTAAACAATAAACATTTATTTCTCACAGTTCTGGAGGCTGGGAAACCCAAGATCAGGGTGCCAGCAGATACAGTGTCTAGTGAAGGTTTGCTTCCTGGTTTGTAGACAGCTGTCTCACTTGTATCCTCACATGGCCCAGAGAGAGATCATCTCTATGGTGTGAAGAGCACTAATCCCTTTCACAACGGCTCCACCCTCATGACCTAATTACCTCCCAAAGTTCCCCTATCTAAATACCATCACATTGAGGATTAGGCTTCAACATATAAATGTTGGAGGAACACAAACTATTAGTCCTTAGGATGTTTCCCAACTCTGATGTTGCAATATGCAAGGCAAAGATCTTATGATTACCCAACTCTGGTTCATAAACTCCTGAAGAATCTGTCCAACTACAGTGAATAAATATGGTTCCTCCAGATTGCTAGGTTGAATATTTTTGACTTGAACTCAGAAGCTCTTCTTAGATTTTTTTTAACCTCCTAGAAGCTGGTTTAATTTCTTTCAGTTCAGTGCCTTGCATGGAGCCATATAGATTTGGAGCTTTTGGAAGGTTGTTGGTGATGTTTGCTGATCTAATGTGTATTGATGACAGCAGTAGACAAAACGTAGAATTCAGAGCAGCACTGGCTAAGAACGAGGCAGGGCTAAAGAGTAAAGTTATACATATTAGCTGTTGCCTTAGGCTGTATTTCTTTTTTGAACTCAGAACTGGGACAGAAGAAGAATATCCCCCAGCTCTTCTTTTATAGAGAAGGAAACAGGGACTGAGAGTGGTTAGGTCCACTCGAGGGCATATGTGATGAAGCTGGGATAACTACTCAACTGCCCTGGAACATAGTGATTGGCTTCCTAGTGGTTTCCAGTGTACTTCACTGGAAAATGTTATGAAGGTTACTATAGGCTGCCCTTTCCATCCATTGGTATTGAACAAGATGCCAAATATTTTACAGATTTAAAAAATTACATCTTTTCTCATGATCCCCTCCTTGGGTTTCTCAGAGAAATATGGTTAGTCTGCTAAAAAGTGCTTGCCTTCCATTTCCCCATGATTTGTTAGCGGTGCAGCAAACAAGTGCCCCATGCATCTAATGCCGATCAAAGAAAATGACAGGATAAGATGGCTTTTTTGTAAGGCCTGGCCCAGAGCTGAACAGCTGAGACCTAAGATGCTTGTCTCCTTCAAGAGTATGAGCTGGGCCGGGTGCAGTGGCTCACGCCTGTAATGCCAGCACGTTGGGAGGCCGAGGCGGGTAGATCACAAGGTCAGGAGTTTGAGACCAGCCTGGTTAATATGGTGAAACCCCATCTCTATTAAAAATACAAAAATTAGCCTGGCGTGGTGGTGGGCTTCTGTAGTCCCAGCTACTTGGGAGGCTGAGGCAGGAGAATCGCTTGAACCCAGGAGGCAGAGGTTGCAGTGAGCCAGGATTGTGCCACTGGACCCCAGCCTGGGTGACAGAGCGAGACTCCATCTCAAAAACAAACAAACAAATAAATAAATACATAAAGAATATGAGCTGTTTAGTGGCACAGCTGGGGCCATAGTTCCTCTGAGCCTGTTTCCTCATCTGCAGAACTTGGATGCTGGTAACACCCCCAGCCAGTAGCCCACCCTAATGGGCTGTGGTAGACATCACGTGAGTGCAGTGTGAAAGTATTTTGTAAGATATATGTCTATGTTAAGGTGTTTATTGCTTTTTAACTTATGATATTCCCTTGGGCCTTCATCTTTTATTAGGATTTGGTATATACTAGATTTCTAGTATATTTCCACAAATGCCTCTTTCTCTCCTGCAATTAAATTGTCTTAGTAGCACAGGGAATGAATTAGTTCTGGCTGGAAGTGGGAAATTTGAGAATATTGATTTTCTCAAGTATCAAGGAAATTTAACTTCCTTTATAGGATTGCTTCTATAAATGAAATCAGAAACTCTTATATTTTTCAGAATGCATTTTAATGGTATGCCATCAGCTAAAAAGCAAAAATATATGAAAGTTTATATAGTTTTGACATGTTGTTTATGTTTAAAAGTCTTTGAAAACGTTGTCAAGATTTATGTGTTGAACTCCAGGTCCCCATGAAATCATGGGCTCCATAGCTGAACAAGTTCTTGAGGAGATCTATTTTATTGTGCTCTACTGAGCAGAATGTACACAGTAATAAGTCCAGCTCGATTGCTTGCTTTATACAGAAATCAGACATTCAGGCAAGAAAGCAAAGTGCTTTAATCATTAAGCACTTACAAAAAGGATTATAACTATCTCGGGGAGTCGAAGAATTTAGAACTATTCTCTATTCCCTCCCACGTGTGTTTGACTAATATAACACACCAGTTCCTAGCAGGATTTTTCTGTGTATTTTTCTGTTGCTGCTTTTATCAAGGTCTGAGTTTTTCACCCAGGTCATTGTGAGCTCTTGACAGGCTCCTGTGGCCACCACCACCTCCAGCTTGCAGATGTGCAAAGGGCTCCCTCTGTGTCTCATTCTCCTTTCCTCTGTGACCACTGCACCCTGAGCAGACTAGAATTACATCTCCTACAGCAGGGTTTCTCCTCAGTGATGCTGGTGATGACTTCAAAAACCACTCTCCTTTGTTTCATATTTTAGGGACACAGCGGGTCAGGAAAGATTCCGAACAATCACGACAGCGTACTACAGAGGAGCCATGGTGAGTGTGTTGTAGGGTTTTGTAACTCTTCAGGTAGAAGTAAAGCATGAATGTTTGTTTGCCAAGATTATAGGATTCAAGATGGAGTCTAGTATGTAGAAAAATAAATTTTCTGATGGGGAAACAAGACATTTAAAAGGTTTTTTGGGGGCCGGGCGCGGTGGCTCACACCTGTAATCCCAGCACTTTGGGAGGCCGAGGCGGGTGGATCATGAGGTCAGGAGATCGAGACCATCCTGGCTAACAAGGTGAAACCCCGTCTCTACTAAAAATACAAAAAATTAGCCGGGCGCGGTGGTGGGCGCCTGTAGTCCCAGCTACTCGGGAGGCTGAGGCAGGAGAATGGCGTGAACCCAGGAAGAGGAGCTTGCAGTGAGCCGAGATTGCGCCACTGCAGTCCGCAGTCTGGCCTGGGCAACAGAGCGAGACTCCGTCTCAAAAAAAAAGGTTTTTTGGTTGTGTTTAGCAACTATATACTTTGCCAGTGGTCTTCATCGTAATAATCAGGTGATTAACTTATAGATGTTCTAGAACTCCTCCACACATTCTGATGTGATTGTATATTTTCATTATTCTTCCTTTTATTAATACCTTATGGCAGTCGTAGCAAACCACAAGCCCTATGACTAAGTATTCTTTTCTTATACTCTCTTGTCATTCAGCCCTGCCACCATTATCTCTTACCTCACCACCTCCACAACATCCACTGCTGTGGCTCATCTCCCTGTCATCCCCCTGACCACCATTCTGCCAGCTGGCCGGAAAGAATCTGGTGAATCTTGACTACCAAGTTATTTGCTGAATCCAGGCATTTTCCTTGCTGTCATAACTTCATCACTTGTTATGTTCTATCCTAAGATGCTTCATCTATTCAGTGCACTTTTATTGCTTTTTGGCTCTGGGCAGTGTGATGCTGGGAGTGCAGTGGTGAGTAAGGCAGCTTGGAAGCTGCCTTACTTCCATGAGCTGTGCTTAACCATGCTTAGAATGCCAGGCCCAGACCACGGCTTTATCGCTGGTGTTTAGGCCTAAGCCAAGCACAAGTTGGAGTCTTGAATTATGATGAAATCTAGTATGCTCAGAGTCTTTGAAGGTTGAACAACTGAGGTCATGAACCCCAACCTGGTAGATTGTAGGGTACCAGCTGCCGTCATTCCCAACTCATTGCTTAAAAGATTCTTGTATTCCTGGGAGTGGTGCTAGGATGACAGAGCTGAAGGGGTGATAGCTGTCCCCACACCTCTAGGAAGATGTGGTCTGAACCCACAGATCCCCTCACTGACATGCTGCCCTTCCT
The DNA here is from genome assembly GCF_000001405.40 of Homo sapiens. NCBI lineage: Eukaryota > Metazoa > Chordata > Mammalia > Primates > Hominidae > Homo > Homo sapiens. The sequence continues at coordinate 63,251,003 of NC_000015.10, forward strand.
CCTCCACCACCACTTGCTCTCCAGTGTTGGAGTAGCATCATAACTCATCCCCACAAAAAGATTAGGGATTCCTTTTTAAGGCTGAAGTGTACCACTAACCATTTTATGTGTATTTGTTCCCCACACTCCACCCTATAATACTTTTAAGATTGTGAAGGGTCATCATTTTAATAAAAATAGCTGCCAGCCACTTTCTATTTTGCTTAGACTGGAATCAAAGGGAAGGGGCTTATTATATGTGCCAGGAAGACATTTGTTTGTTGTTTGTTTGTTTCCCCCAGGAAGGAATTTTAGGGATAAAAAGAACATCATAACAGGGATGATTTGGAATAGTTTACAGGTAATTCTGATTAGAGGCATCTTAGACACACATGCCTTTCTGTTGAGCAGTTTTTTGCATGCTAGGAATGATGTGCTGACACCATTTGCATGCTCATTTTCACTGGAGGGTGGGCAGTGGCACTTAGAATATAAGAGTAAATGTTTCACTTGGATGTCTGGCTCTAGTTCATTGTATGAAGAAAGAGGGCATGGAAATGTATTAAATAATACATTTAGATTTGAGGATTGTCTTAATTTACTTACTGCCTAGTCTTTCCTCACATTACTTCAGATAATTAGAAATTGTTGCTATTCTAAATAGTATTACCTTCCACATTTTGAAGGTAGAGATTTCTGTCTTTGTTCTGCTGTATACAATGCCAGTGTCTGACACATAGTAGAGGCTCAATAAATGCTGGCTGAAGGGGTGAATCAGTGGGAAATTTTAGACCTAGACACCATCTTGGATAAATCTTCAGGAAATCCTGCTGTGCCTGACTCTTGGATCTCTCAAGTCATCCATTCCAGTCGGTTGCCGGGCCCACCATTTTCAGCAAGTGGTGGTTATGGCAGGTTTAGTTTGGCTGATTCAGGTATGTGGCATGTTGACAAGCACTATACTGGAGTCTGTCACCATGGCATTTCAAACACATCAACAGCATTCATAGGCATAGCAGTGATCCTGATGGACATTTGGGCTTTGGGGAAAAACAGGACCATATCATTACATTATTAATGTTTCTCATAGACCAACACCATCTTCTGAATTCTTAGGAAGCTATTCTTCTTGTAGATATATACTAGATACATAAAGTTTTAACCGATACACTTGAATTTGTATTTCTAACTGATTCATAATATCAGTTAGCTTAAAAACATAAGAAATAGGTGAATGATTTCTGCTATTGAAACTGAAGATATAAATTAATAATAGCTGCCATTTATTGAGTCCAAGCTATGTCCCAGGCTCTAGGTGAAGTAGTTTACAAATATCTCAGTAGATCCTCAAAATGATCAAGCGTGGAAGAAGTATTGTCCTCATTCTGTAAATGAGGACATGGAGACTGAGAGGAATAAAATAATGTCTGCAGGATCTCCCATTTAATATGTGGTGGAGCCTAAGTTAGAAGCCTCAGACTCTAGCCTGCGTTCTTAACACCACACCATGTTCACACTTTCTGTGCTAACCAGTGAAATGAAACTTCATGATGACATGGCATATAAATGATCTGGGTTGTTCATACAGTCCAAAGGATGGTAGAGCTAGGGCAGTTATTTGGGTAATTTTAATATTGTAGGCAGCCAAACACATTGCATCAGGAATTATGCAGAATCCACTTTGAATTGTTTTTATTGTGGTAAAATATACATAATAGAACATTTATCATTTTGACCATTTTAAAATGTATAGTTCTTTACTTTGACTTTTTTTTTTTTTTTTTGAGACGGAGTTTCACTCTTGTTGCCCAGGCTGGAGTGCAATGGCACGATCTCGGCTCACTGCAACCTCCACCTCCTGGGTTCAAGCGATTCTCCTGCCTCAGCCTCCCTAGTAGCTGGGATTATAGGCATGCATCACCATGCTCAGCTAATTTTGTATTTTTAATAGAGATGGGGTTTCCCCATGTTGGCCGGGCTGGTCTCAAACTCCTGATCTCAGGTGATCCACCTGCCTCGGCCTCCCAAAGTGCTGGGATTACAGGCGTGAGCCACCATGCCCGGGCTGACCTTTATAAAATAAAATTATTTACATGGAAACAATTGTAAATTGCCTTTACAGCGTGTAGCCAAAGTGAAGCATTTGTATTTGAGGCTGGAAGAAGGGAGGATAGAGGAGTTGTTTGTCATTTAAACAATAATGTATGTTTTTCTGGTTGCAAAAAGGATACATATACTACAGGAAACTTTGAAAATCCCAAGAAATCATCTAAAATCCCACTACTCTGAGAGATATATTCTGTTAACGTTTTATTTCATGTATTCTTTGTCTATGTGTATATGTGTGTTTTATATGATTTATATTTATTTATATTTTATGTTTACTTACAAAGTTGGAAGCCAGACCTGGAAGGACTTCCCCTACCATACTAAGGAAATTTAATTTAATTTTGAGTATAAAGGAGAGGTGCTAAAGGATTTTGATCAATGAAGTGATAGTTCTAGTACCCTTACGGAAAGTGGATTAGAGGAGGCTAAGAATGAAAGCAGGGAAGCTGGATGTGGTGGCTCATGCCCGTAATCTCAGCAGCTCGGGAGGCGGAGGTGGGAGGACTGCTTGAGTTCAGGAGTTTGAGGCCAGTCTGGGCAACATAGCGAGACCTCATCTCTAAAAAAAAGAAAGAAAGAAAGAAAAAAAAGAATGAAATTAATCAGGGAAATCAATTAAAGATGATGGGAATCCAGGTAAAGACTAATTTGTGAGAATCTGAATAAGGCCATGTGTGTGGTAGGTAAGATTCTGGAATATTTAGGACATTGAGTCTCCAGGACTTAGTGACTGATTGGCTATAGAGAAGATAACTCCCACATGTGTGCTTGGGCTGGCTGACTGGGTTGTATTACTTTCACCAAAATGGTAATACAAGGACAAATAGAAGATTCAGAGGAGACAAGACAATCTTGTTTTACTTTGTTGAGTTTGCCGTGATCACAAGGGGATATCTATTGGCCAATGTCCAGACAGTGGTCTCTTGAGTACCCCAGCCTAGCCCTTCAGCCTCAGCTTGTGCCCTCCGCCCATTAGATCTGTGCAGCCTTGCCAAGCTGACTTTCTTTCACTCAATCCAGCGGTCTCTGGTTCAACATCAGCAAGAGATTTACAATGTTTCTGCTATTTGCCAGGTACCTGGGCTTCCCCTCTTCACCGCAGCTCCTAGCCCTTTGCCTAGTTTAAGTCTACTAAGTTCCCAGGCTTTGGCTTTAATGTCATTTCCTCAGGGAAGCCTCCCCTGCCCACTCCAGCCCCTCAACCAGATTGAATTACACCCCTAGCATATGAGCTCCCCATGCATCTTCATAGCAGTTGTCAAAATTATAATTAGTTGTATAGATATTGGTTTATTGTCTGTTGTCTTTGTTAGCCATCTACAAGAGGAAGAGACCTTTTCTATCTTGTTCACTGCTAGTAGGATCTAGTATAGTATCAGGCACACAGTAGGTGCTCACTAAATATTTATGTAGTAGATGGACAGGTGAGTAGTTCTAGCACTTAGTACAGAAGTGTGGTCTGGGGATATAGATTTTGCAGTAGCATACAGGTGTTAGTTTAAACATTTGGAAGGTAAACCTTTTAGAAATACCAGACATGGGCTGGGCGCGGTGGCTCACACCTGTAATCCCAGCACTTTAGGAGGCCAAGTCGGGCGGATCACGAGGTCAGGAGATCGAAACCATCCTGGCTAATATGGTGAAACCCTGTCTGTACTAAAAATACAAAAAATTAGCTGTGTGTGGTGGCGGGCGCCTGTAGTCCCAGCTACTCGGGAGGCTGAGGCAGGAGAATGGCGTGAACCCGGGAGGTGGAGCTTGCAGTGAGTGGAGATCATGCCACTGCACTCCAGCCTGGGTGACAGAGCGAGACTGTGTCTCAAAAAAAGAAATACCAGACATGGAGTCTTTAAAAATATGATGAGAATGCCTTTCATTAAACCAGTATAACAAATGCATTGGATTTTAAGTGTCTGTGATGTACTTAGATAAATAGTGACAACCTATTTTTTGATCAACCTACATAAAAAATAATTTTAAAGCAGTGTGGTCTCAATCTTAGTAGAAGAGTAGAAAGCAAGATAGTTTCTACTTGGAATAAACAAGTGCACAGTGGAAGTGATTAACTCTTACTCTCAATGTTATCGCTGTTTTGACTTAACACTCAGCTCCAATTGGGGCTGATTGTTATCATGTGAGGTCAGGTAGAAAGGGTGTATCACCTTTACCACGATCACTAATTCATTAAAGGTTAACAGTGAAAATGTTAAAAGGGTTTTTATTTACATGGTGAGACCAGTGGAATAAGTATTTATTGATTTTTGTTTCTCTGTACTTTTCAAATTTATTATGAACCCTTTTTAAAGGGAAAAAATGGACAAACAAAAGGTTTCTGGAGGGTAGGAGTACATTGACATTATATACTATAACTTTAAATATATAAAGTACTAAATAAAGATATTTTTCCCCCTTATAGGGCATTATGCTGGTCTATGACATCACAAATGAAAAATCCTTTGACAATATTAAAAATTGGATCAGAAACATTGAAGAGGTATGTGTGGAAAGAGAATGGTGACATTGGAGAAGAGTCCTGCTGGGTGCTTGTAAAAGGCTCCTCTGTCTGCAAGGCAGCTGAGCTGCTTAGAAGCAGGGCATGGGCAGGTTGGGCCCTCTCTCTCTGAAGAGCTCCATAAATCTCTGGTGCTGCCAGTCTGACTACTGGGGGTTAGGGGGACAGAGAAGTAACGTCACAAGATTTTAAGCTTGGGCCAGATATGGGAAATAATTTAATCCTAGATCACATTTTACACATGAATAACTGAGAACAGAAAGAAGTGATTTGCCTGTGCTCATACAGCCTTTAAAAAGAAGAGCCAGGATTAAAACATCTGGTTCCCAGCTTCTATCCCACCATGCTGTTTGGCTAGCAACAATTATCTCTTTACCTTGGCAACTTTTTGCCCTTCTGACATTTTCTCCATCTTAGATATTTGAAGATTGTTTTAATTCCAGGATAATTGGTATTAAGATTTTTTTAATGTCTTTGTCACTTAAGAAAGAAATCTGACTCTGAAATAATTTTGTACACGTTTCTATAAACTTAGATGAATTTCTTTTTAAAATAGTACAGAATCTAGAATACCATCTCCACTGGTTCACTCAGTACCAAGTTTTTGTCCTTCTTTGACCTGAATATTTGGAAATTTTGTCATTAGATCACCATAAGCTTTATTTGTGTTTGTTCCACCTTCTTTCCAAACCTCGGGAAGAAGGTTTGCACAGGCTCTGTGAGGGCTCTTGTACTGTAGCTTTGCCCCTCTTCCCATCTTTAAACTTTTCTCTGAATTAGGCCTTGTGTGAGTAAAAGATTATGTCTTATTAAATTCATGTGTTTCTGACAGGTTGGATTTGTCTATTAAGTAACGGGTTTTTCTCAGGCTGTTTTTATAGCATGCTATTTTCTCCCTGCAGCATGCCTCTTCCGATGTCGAAAGAATGATCCTGGGTAACAAATGTGATATGAATGACAAAAGACAAGTGTCAAAAGAAAGAGGGGAGAAGGTAAATGTGAATGGAATGGATAAAGGTTGGAATCTACTCACATTAAGCATTTCTTTTCTTCATATTATTTAATTATTGATTTTTTTTAAAATCTGTGTTTTAATCCCTTTAAATTGGATATCAACAACAAAGAGATGTAATCCATACTTGAATGGTGTGAATTAGTATTCGAGATCCAGCTCTCTATACTGTGTGGTCATGACTCATTCCTAAAGAATTTGCTAATGTTTTCTGGGAGATACAAATTGGTCCTTTCTCAGATTCCTGCAGCTTAGAGTTCAGGCTGTTTCTTCCAGATCTGTGTGAAAATGCCCAGTTTTGAAGTTAAAGTAAACATTCTTTTTGAAAAAGAAGTTATAGGGATAGGTGAAGTTTCAACAGGAATCATTTTCCAATTCATTTTTTTCCCTAAGAATATTTTACTACACATTAGCGTTAGGTTTTATGGATAAATTCCTTGTAACTGATCAAGCTATGGATGTCATTTATATGTTGTTTATGGGCATGGGCATTTCTCTCTTTTGTGTCCTGTAAAGCAAAGGAATATTTTGTGTACATATTTACTTCTGTGACAGATTCTAAATTGACTTAGAAGCTTCACTTTTTAAGTCTTGGAATTTTGCTTTAGCCTTTAAAAAAATTATATATGCAAAATGCATTTTCTTTTCTTTTTTTTTTTTTTTGAGACAAAGTCTTGCTCTGTCTCCCAGGCTGGAGTGCAGTGGCGTAATCTCAGTTCACTGCAACCTCTGCCTCCTGGCTTCAAGCAATTCTCATGCCTCAGCCTCCAAGAAGGTGGGATTATAGGCATGTGCCACCACACACATATACCCGGCTAATTTTTGTATTTTTAGTAGAGACGCGGTTTTGCCGTGCTGGCCAGGCTGCTCTTGAACTCCCGGCCTCAAGCAATCCACCTGCCTCGGCCTCCCAAAGTGCTGGGATTACAGGTGTGAGGCACCATGCCCAGCCACATTTTGTTTTTCAATCTGACTGTGAACTTTTGCTGCAAACTTTTTTCCCCTAAAAACATTTACTTAATTTTAGCATTGTAAATGAACTAGGAACTTTTTGAGGAATATATAAGAGTTCGCAATTTGTCTCAATCAATAGAAATCAAAGCATGAATACTTTAGTATTTAAGTTTTTGTTCAATTCTGGACTCATTTATTAAAATTAATTAAGGCCTGGCGCAGTGGCTCATACCTGTCATCCCAGCACTTTGGGAGGCCGAGGTGGGTGGATCACGAGGTCAGGAGTTCGAGACCAGCCTGACCAACATGGTGAAACACTGTCTCTACTAAAAATACAAAAATTAGCCGGGCATGGTGGCGTGCGTGCGTCTGTAGTCCCAGCTACTCAGGAGGCTGAGGCAGGAGAATCACTTGAACCCAGGAGGCGGAGGTTGCAGTGAGCTGAGATAGTGCCACTGTACTCCTCCAGCCTGGGCAACAGAGCAAGACTGTGTCTCAAAAAAAAAAAAAAAGTAATTAAAAGTAAGTATAGTTTTTTTTTTTTTTATTTGAGATGGAGTTTCACTCTTGTCACCCAGGCTGGAGTGCAATTGCACAATTTTGGCTCACTACAACCTCTGGCTCCCTGGTTCAAGCGATTCTCCTGTCTCAGCCTCCCAAGTAGCTGGGATTATAGACGTCTGCCACCACACCAGGCTAATTTTTGTATTTTTAGTACAGACGGGGTTTCACCATGCTGGCCAGGCTGGTCTCTTAACTCCTGACCTCAGGTGATCTGCCTGCCTCGACCTCCCAAAGTGCTGGGATTACAGGCGTGAGCCACCACACCCGGCCTAAAAGTCAATACAGTAACTGTTGGAGAATTAAACTTTGGGAGCAGATAAAAGGAGTGAATGAATCCCAAGATAATGGTAGTTTTACCAGTGGAGGGTCTTGACTACAAGTCAGCCAGATTCTTGGCATTTTGAGCAAAGAATTGGACAAAATGCACACACACAAACAATGAAAGAATGAAGCCAAAACCACAAATTTATCGAAATGAAAGTACACTCCACAGAGTGGGAGTGGGCTTGAGCAAGCAGCTTGAGCACTGGTTACAGAATTTTCTGGGGTTTAAATACCCTCTAGAAATTTCCCATGGGTTACTTGGTTTACACTCTGTAAATGAAGTAGTGGCCCATGACCAGTTTGATTGGTTGCAGAAGGTGACCAATCAAAGGATGAAATGAAGTTACAAAGTTATACCCTGCGCAGACGTCTGATTGGTTGTGGGAGGGGACCAATCAGAGGTACTTTCCATTTTTAATCTGTGAGTCAGAAAAGGGGAGGAGGTTGCAAAGGGAGTAACCCCTGTACTTTTGTTACTTGGGCATGGAAGGCTGGGGTTTTTCTTTTGATTTAGTTCTAGGAAGTCAATGTGAATTGGCCTTAGGTTCCCTGCCTCCAGACCCTATTCTGCTACCTTAGGAGGGTGGGTATTTATCCCATATTAGAGAACTAAAAGTACAAAAACAGAAAAAAAGAGAAGTACTTAAATTATTATTATTATTTTATTTATTTATTTATTTTGAGACAGAGTCTCGCTCTGTCACCTGGACTGGAGTGCAGTGGTGCGATCTCGGCTTACTCCAACCTCTGCCTCCTGGGTTCAAGCAATTCTCCTGCCTCAGCCTCCCGGGTAGCTGGGACTACAGGCGGGTGCCACCACGCCCGGCTAATTTTTTGTATTTTTAGTAGAGGCGGGGTTTCATCATGTTAGCAAGGAGGGTCTCGATCTCCTGACCTCGTGATCCGTCTGCCTCGGCCTCCCAAAGTGCGTGAGCCACCATGCCCGGCCTTAAATTATGTTTGAAATGGAAGTTGTGCCATCCTTCTTACGATGATTAAGTTAAATTATTAAATTCTGAATACAGTAGAAGAAAGCAAAGAAATTTGAGAACCACAGGAGTTCTGAAATAGATACCCTACCTTTGAGACTTTGAAAAACCTAAGAAATACAAATGCATTATGTGTTCAAGTATCTTTTGCTAAATTTAAATATTTCTGTTTACTTTTCAGCTAGCAATTGACTATGGGATTAAATTCTTGGAGACAAGCGCAAAATCCAGTGCAAATGTAGAAGAGGTAAGAAGGAAACGTTTGGTGACTGTTACGGAGCAGCACCAGTGCTTAGGGGCCTGTGTTCAAACAGCTCTCAGAGCTTTGGTATTTTCTGACCTAATGAATGCCTTTTGTTGACCCAACTCTACTTTGTACACTTTTGTGCTTCTGATTTTTTTTTTTTTGAGATGGAGTCTCACTCTGTCGCCAGGCTGGAATGCAGTGGCATGATCTCGGCTCACTGCAACCTCTGCCTCCCAGGTTCAAGCGATTCTCCTGCCTCAGCCTCCCGAGTAGCTGGTACTATAGGTGTGCATCACCACGCCCAGCTAATTTTTGTATTTTTAGTAGAAACGGGGTTTCACCATGTTGGCCAGGAGGGTCTCGATCTCTTGACCTCGTGATCCCCTCTCCTTGGCCTCCCAAAGTGCTGGAATTACAGGCGTGAGCCACCATACCCAGCTGCTTCTGATTTTTATGTAGACGCTGGTTGTTGAATTTCTAGCATCTAGCCTCCACCTGGATTATATTAGCTTGCTCAGTTAAGATTCACAGAATAGATTATGGAAGTTCAGTTTTGCCCTTTTTTTGGGCAGCTGGAAATCCTGGACTAGAAGACCAACCAGTATCCTGTGCTCATTCATGTCACCCTGTATGCCTGCAGCAGAAGAGTTAAATCACTTTTAAGGCTGTACTCTCTCAAGGGAGAATTAAGCTGTTAGTTTATTGGACACATTCCTTTAGCGTACACATTTGAGGTAGATTAAGCACAATAAATTGTAACAGTGGCATTTAGTGGAAATAGGAAAGTGTTTATCAGGGAGTAGCTTTAATAAATTTTCATTAAGTTAGCTGTTAAGGAAAACCAAACCATCTAAAGTCTTATGAGAATAGGTTTTCTTCAATACCTAACGTAGATGACTGGTTGATGGTTGCAGAAAACCACCATGGCACGTGTATACCTAGGTAACAAACCTGCATGTTCTATACATGTATCCCAGAACTTAAAGTGTAAAAAAAAAAAATAATAGGTTTTCTTCACCAAGGGAACTGTTATTTTTTTTAAAAAACATTTTTTCAACTGATCATAAAAATAATACGTGTAATTTACATGTGATATGTGTTAATACATGTAATTCTTTTAATAATACTGATAGTTTCATAAACATTTAATTTCCTAGGTTACTCATTGTTCATCATAACATGATGGTTAAAAATCGAGACCTACATGACTTTATTAGCCAGTGGACACTGATCAGAACTTTTTCTTTGTTTTAAATAACGTAACAGTTATTTGTTTAGGTTGGCCGATGGGTGTTAGGAAACAGGAAGCCTCTACTGATTTACTTACACAAGCTTAGATAAGCAGAAAAATGCTTCCCTCTGCTTGATACAAAAGGATTTCCCGCCATCAGAAATAATCCAAGTTAAAAATGGACAAAAGATCTGAATAGACATTTCTCAAAAGAAGACAAATAAATGGCCAACAGGTATATGAAAAAATTCCCGACATCAGTAGTGATCAGGGCAATGCATATCAAAAGTACAGTGAGCTATCATCTCACCCCAATTAAAATGGCTTTTATCAAAGAGATAGGCAATAACAAATGCTGGAAAGGATGTAGAGAAAGGGGAACCCTCATATACTGTGGGTAGGAATGTAAATTAGTACAGCCACTATGGAGAACAATAAAAAAACTAAAAATAGAACTACCATATGATCCAGCAGTCTCACTACTGAGTATTTACCCAAAAGAAAGGGAATCAGTGTATCCACCTAAGTGTCCATCAGTGGATGAATGGATAAAGAAAATGTGGTATGTATACACAATGGAATACTATTCAGCCATAAAAAAAGAGTGAAATCCCATAATTTGCAACAGTATGGATAGAACTCCCTGAACTGGGAGTTGCCTGAGCTGCTTATTCTAGCAAGGCATACAGATGGTAACAACTTTGCCAGAGCTTTAAATCAGTGTGGTTAGGCTCATAGGTGACAAGTTTGACAGTGAGACACTGACAATGAGTAATAATAGTAGTTGTCGTATTGTTTTTATTTGATTGGATTGGAAATAATCCTTTTCCTGAACAGTTTTTGGGGATCAGGAGTGTTGGGAACAAAGAGGTTGATTTAACAATAGGTTTAGCATGGTGACAAATGAAGAATCTTTAACAGTTCCTGGCTTCATAGAAAAAGTGATGATGGATTTAAAAAATATTTGGTTTGTATCAAGAGACATTATGGATAAATTATCACGAAGATTAATCAGATTTGCCCTGCTTCTATTCGAACTGACTTCCATGGTGGGGAATTTAGCCGAGAGCTCCAGGAACTGTTGGGATTTTGGAGTAAGACATGGAAGATTATACATATTCAGCTATAAGAGTGAGAGCAATTTGAAAGAAAAAGCCAGAAATAAAAAGTAGAGATTTTTGTGAAGACATTTTAGAGCTATAGGGTAATACATAATTATTTATTCACTCATTAAACCAGATAGTCAGCATTTCCTAGATCAGCACTGTGCCCTGCTCTAGGGAAGTGGGGTAGCTTAGACAGAGCTTCTGTCCTGTTCTTGGTGTACTGAAGAAGTTACTCGTGACTCAACAAGGGTGTTATTGTGATATTATATCACATGAAGAAAATATTTGATGAATGAATGATAGTTTGATAACATTGGAAAATGTTTATGATACAATCTCAAAAGAGTAAACACATGCATACTATGATTACAATTATTACTTTCTTAATGTAAAGCTTTAAAGTGGTATATTTATATTGAAATAATGAAAAATTCTGTATTTCTGTTTTAAAATAAGTCAGGCATGGTGGCTCACACCTGTAGTCCCAGCTACTTAGGAGACTGAGGTGGGAGGATTGCCTGAGCCCAGGAGTTCCAATTCAGCCAGGGCAACATAGCAAGACCCCATCTCTGAGGCGGGGGGAATATATATATGTGTATATATATATATATACATATATATAGTGAATATATAATAATGAAAATGTTTTGTTTTACCTATAGGCATTTTTTACACTTGCACGAGATATAATGACAAAACTCAACAGAAAAATGGTTTGTATCACTTATAATTTTTATTTCCATTATGCTGTCTGTTTGGCATTTGATGAAAAGGATAGGTCTAATTATAAGATACTCAAATTAAACTCATTTTTTTCCTGACTCAGATACTCATTTGGTTGAACTCTGATTCTTAGTTCTGTTTGTTTAGGATTCTTATTTCTGAGCTGCCACTGTTTCAGTCCTTTCTTCTGGCTCTTTAAGTGATCTTTAATTGAATTTTGATGAGAATAATGAAAATAATAATGGCACAAATTCGATTTTTGCCATAAAATTATTCAGTTTTCATGTGACAGGTATTTATATCTGCATAACTACGATTTTGAAGTTGCTAAAGTTTGCTTAAATTTGAAATCATTAAGACAACCTTGAAAGTTTGTTTTATCCTGAGTCCTGACTATAATTGCGTACCTTATGCTACTAACTCTTCTTACCTCTAACAGAACTGTCTATGCCAGTATCTTAACATTGTTTCCATCATTACCTTTGAAACTTTACACTCCATTGGAACTAGAAATAGAAGCTTCCTATTGAATACATTATTGATATAAAAGCTGCTATCGTAAGGGCATTTTCCTCTTTTCAATTCACCATTTCCAAAGAAAAAGACAACATTGGTGCTTAACTAGTTCCCGTTCTAATAAAATACTCTAGTGAATACACATTTCACTAGAATACACATTTCACATGGTATGGTTAGTTATTTTTATTTTTTAGGTAACTGAGGTCAAACCATGAAACTTTTATTTCCTTGGTAACTTCATCTTCTATTTTTTAGAATGACAGCAATTCAGCAGGAGCAGGTGGACCAGTGAAAATAACAGAAAACCGATCAAAGAAGACCAGTTTCTTTCGTTGCTCGCTACTTTGATGAACTCTTTCTGAGAGACTGCAGCACACCTAGAGGGCCCTTTCCTGCTTCTCTGAAAGCACAGGTCACCCAGCCTCAGAATCACACCTCCCGGCTGCTGCTGAGAGCACCACTGAACTTAGACCTCTCAACACAGTATGCCAAGTGGATTCCAGCCTCATGGCCTAGCAAAAGAACAGACTCCCTTTTTCAAACATGGAAGCAATGAAGTGGAGACACATGCAGGACCTAACTCGTTTTTTCCTTGTTTTATTACCTGTTGCAGAAGCGGTTATCTTTCTTTTTTACTTTGCACATCAGTGTTAGCCTTTCCCTATTTCAGCACAATCTTAGACTCATATTTGCACACTTTTGTGTCGTGAAGTTCTAGACAAATTTGTACATGTGGCAATGTTAAAAGAGCATTTACAGCAGAGGTTAATATACTAAAATTAAAGGGTATTTGGTCTGGTTCATATGGTCAAATATTACTGCCTTGGTAGCATTTATTTAAGGGCTTTTTCTTAAATAAGAATCATTAAAGTCATTAAAAAAATTTACTGAAATGCCCATCTTGTCATCAAAGGCCACAATTTCTTTATTTCTTCAGATTAAGAGCTTTGCCTCATCCCCGACCTGTTTTCCAGAGTCTGGGTAGCTGAATGAATCACTTTAAAATGATTACCTCTGCCTAATCTATAGAAACTGCATTTGGAAATCACCATAATCTCATTTTTCCCTGGGGTTTGTATTTGCTATTCTTTCCCATGTTTGACTTAAGTGTAATCACTCTTAAGTAATATTTGAACATTATTATCTGTTTCTATTTGTGAACTTCTTGAGCTGAAATTTTACGTGGGCTGAGAGATATACCATTTAGGGTTTTAGTGCAGCATCTAACTGTGATTCTGTCAATAAGGATATGTAATATATTTTTTCTTAGGTTCACTCCTTAGCTGGCTGGTTTAGTTGTAATACCAAATTCCTACCATAATCCCTGTCTACAAAAGTTAGGTTTAGATTTTAGTTTGCGGAAACCTTCCCTATATAGAGACAGATTAACTTGTTGATATAAATTTAATAGAGCTAGCTCTTGGTAATGGTGAAAATAATGAGTTTTGGTTGGTTTTATTTGGCAGATGTTTTTAGAAATAAAAGTACTTAGACCTAGTGCAGCCTCTAGGAAAAGTCTTGCCTTTTCATTAGAGAAAACAGGACCAAGGTTTCAGTTTTCAAACAGCTGTTGTTGATTGTGTAGAACCCAGTTCCATCTGTTTTGGTTCATTGTTACAGAACTTAGTCCAGTCATTTGGGCTAAAGCCAACCAAAAGCTTAGTTGCCTTTCTCAACAAACACTGGTACTGGTATACTTTTGTAGATGAAACCATCACAAGGTATTTAGTGTTAACTTGTGTGCCAAATTCAGATCACTATGTCGTTGTTGCTCTAGCCTTCAGTGTCATAACACAGGGGGGATAAAACAGAGGGGATGAGGGAAATGAATTCTGTTAATAATTATTCTTCCTGGTATGCCTGTTTTGCTTCACAAAGGCTACTATCATGCTGGATAGATAAGAACAGGAGATGGCAGTGGAAAGGGATTGCTTGTTACCACAGAGAATTCTCTTCAAATTAAGATATGTCATTAGAATGCTTGGACCAGTCAATCTTTTGTACTTATTTGAAAATATAGGAACAATTTAGCAGCTGCAAATATGCCCAAGCTATTTTTAATAGATATACTAAACTTATTGTTGACAAATTTCAGCCTCCTTAATTTTTTTTTTTTTGGTAATTACCTATAGGCTTAAAAGTCATTCGTTGCTGTTCTAGTATAATTAGTAGTTCCGTGATTGAAAGTTTATTGTAATTCTACTATCTTCAAATTAGATACATTTTCAAAAGGAAAAGATAATTTTTTAGAAACATCTTAATATTCACTATTTCCTGAAAAAATCCAAGCAGTTAACGCTTTCTGGATGGTAACAAAGTACCTTCTAAAAGATAAGTGCTATGACACCATGTATGAATGTAATTCTCTTAGTAATTTACCTCTGACTATTTGGTGTCTTAACGCTTTGGTTTATATAATCTCAGGGGTTGTCTGCAAACCAAAACTGACATATTCTGTGGTTAGCTTTTATTACTTTTTTTTTTAACAGAATGCTTTGCTTTGGTTATATTTCTTCTTTCTTCTTTTGTCTTATATGGATTAATAACTAGTCTCCATGAACTTCACTTGAAAGAGCCTGTAAAAGTTAGATGAGTCTAAAAGTGCTCTTTGAAGTAGCAGCAAATTGGGAGTATATGCTCTGTTATATAGAAATAAATTGTCCTTGCTATTTTCTTACATTTAGCTTTGCTAGATTGTATATACATTGAGCTAAGACCTTAGGAAATTCACTTTCTGCATGATAAAATGACCCAATAAATATTCCACTTTGCTTAATAATGTACATACAGTGCATTATTTTTTCTATTTGTAGATGAATTTAATGACAGATAATTGTCTGTTCCCCGCTGAAACTGAAGAAATCTAGTTTTTTTGTGAACATTTTTGTGGTCTTATGGATAAGGTACATGAAGATTTTTGCAGCAGTATTAGTGGTTCAGTGGCTGCACTTTATTAATCAGTGTGTTAATTTTTGACAGTGATTGGACTAGACCTTTTCAAATAGAGTCTGAGGGTATCAGACAGTGAAAATGTGCTGTAACTAAGTAGCATGTAAATCAGTTGATTGTAAAACGTTTCGCTGGGAACTTATTTTAGCTATATTTTACTTCAGACAGATTATGATACAATAATCTACCTGTGCATCAGTTAGTAGGTGCTGCAGGGTTTCTTACTATTTACAGAAACATTTTGTGCAGTCTTTGTTATAAATTTTCAGAAGACTATACTCTTTACTTTGAAGGTCTATTTTTTAATTATACCTCATTTAGCTAACTAGTATTCTAATACCTGGTAGAAAAACAGTGAGCCAGCCTTTAAGCATCTAACAAAATTTAGACTCTTTGTTTTGTTTTGAACTGAAGACATCATTGGGAAAGGTAGGAAATATTAGTTTAGGATAGAGCATACATGTCATATCCAGTAGCATAAAAAAAGTATTATCTCCCTGTCTCCATTAATAAATTTAGCTGTGCAATATAGGTGCGTTTTTGCAGAAGTTTCTAGTAAGAGATTATAACTCCATTTTACAGGTTCTGAATGCTCAGAGTCTATATTAAGGCTTATAAAGTTTTTCCTGTGATCAGTAAGTGACACATTTAAGCAGACATTCTTTTCAAGTTCATGACTTAGATTCCTTTACAAATTTAGTTCTCAATCTTTAAAAACCACATTTCATTATGTTGGTTAATTATTATAAATTTTAAGCACTCATTTCTGCAATCAGGTTTCTCAGAATTTTTTTTTTTTAAACAGAAGAGACATTCCTTTTTCCTTGTTACATCCAAGGGGGGCACAGGGGTGGGTGGAAAGGAATGTCTAAAAATGAAATCCCTTGATATAGAGGGACCTAGACGGACAGGATATGCTAAAATAATTTCAAATTCTAGCACAATTTTAGAGTAGAATAAGTCATTTTTTTAGACTAATAAAATTAATGGCTGTCATGTTCACTCTGAAAAAAATCTAAATGACTGAAATGTACAGAAATAAAAATTAGCAAACAATTATTCTAGGGATATTTTCAGATTTTACTTCATTTCTTGAAATGCGTGTGCCATATGCAATTGCATTTCTTGTGCCAAGAAACTAATAGAACTTATTTCACTTTACCTTTTTTTAAAATGTGAATTTAGTTATTATAGTTCAATTTTATGGCCTTACAGATGGCTTTTATTTTGTTTGCAGCTGACACTGCAGTTCCTTTCATGCAAAATACCATAAACTGTTTGATGAAAATCATGCCCCTAATGGAAACTCTCTAGTTTTTCCATATAACTATCCTACTGTACATGTTTAAACATATTTTATTTTTGCTCCAATGGCTTAATGTGAAAAGCTCCTGCAGATAAGTGGACCTGTCATGTGGTTAATCTTGTTTAAGCCAATTCATTAACTGTGTACTGATACTGATGCTATGTTTTTTTTAAATGGATTTTATTCCAGGTGAACTTTTTTTTTATAATAATGTTCGTCTAAAATAAAAACTACATAATGAAAATGAAAATGCTAATGGCTCTCTGAAATGGACTGCACATTTTAAAAATATTTCTGCAAATTTGGGCCAGATGCAGTGGCTCACGCCTGTGGTCCCAGCACTTTGGGAGGCTGGGGTGGGTGGATCGCTTGAGGTCGGGAATTCAAAACCAGCCTGGCCGGCATGGTGAGACACCCATCTGTACTACAAAATTACAAAATACAAAAATTAGCCCAGAATGGCAGGGCATGCCTGTGGTCCTGGCTGCTCAGGAGGCTGAGGTGGGAGAATCGCTTGGACTTGGGAGGTGGAGGTTGCCGTGAGCTGGGATCGGGCCACTGCACTCCAGCCTGCACAATGGAGTGAGACCCTGTTTCACAAAAATAAATAAATAAATAAAATAAATTAAAAATGTTTCTGCAAATTTGACAGGTATATGTTTCAAACCATGGCAGACTTAAGATATTTTAGCAAACTTTATATCTGACGCAGAGTTGTTTAAAGATCTAGAAAAATAGCCAGCTCCCCTGTTCATCATACTTAGCTCAGCATACATTGAGGTTATTCTGTTGTAGAACCTGTAGCTTTAAATTGATCACCCTTCCTTTCTTAGTCCTTGCAAGTTTAATTTCTGTTGTTTTGTTTCCACTTGAAAATAATTTCTTTTGTGGTTTTTTTTTTTTTTTTTAGACGGAGCCCCACTCTGTCACCCAGGCTGGAGTGTTGTGGCGTGATCTCGACTCACTGCAACCTCTGCCTCCTAGGTTCAAGCGATTCTCTTACCTCAGCCTCCCGAGTAACTGGGATTACAGGCACACACCACCATGCCTGGCTAATTTTGTATTTTTAGTAGAGACAGGGTTTTGCCATGTTGCCTAGGCTGGTCTTGAACTCCTGACCTCAGGCGATCTGCCTGCCTCGGCCTCCCAAAGTGCTGGGATTACAGGTGTGAGCCACCATGCCCGGCCTTGTGGTGTTTTCTGAGACAAGGTCTACTCTGTCACCCAGGCTGGAGTGCAGTGGTGTGATCATGGCTCACTGTGGCCTCTACTTCCCAGGTTCAAGCGATCCTCCCACCTCAGCCTCCCGAGTAGGTGGGACTACAGGCACTACCCAACCCAGCTAATTTTTTTTTTTTTTTTTGGTAGAGACAGGGTTTCACTATGTTGCCCAGGCTGATCTCCAAATCCTGGGCTCAAGTGATCCTCTCACTTCGGCCTCCCAAAGTACTGGGATTACAGGCATGAGCCACTGCACCCAGACGGAAAGAACCAACTTGATGGCACCAGCACTGTCGATACTCTCCTGCTTTGTTTGCACATATTCCCAGTCTCAGCCTTTCCCATTCATCCCACGGCCATTTCAAACCTTCACTATTCTTCTCAAGCTTCCTACCTCTTCCCTGTCCCTCTTCATGGACTGATCTTTCACCTCCCTCCTTCCAGAGAAAAGCATCAGTCACAAACCACATTAGCCTCCTCTCCCTCCCTAACCTACAGGCCACCTTCATCCTTACCTCCTTCCTCTTGGTCTCACAGGCATTCTTAACCTAGGCTCTTCTCTCTGCCCCATATCTGAATTCATCCTCCCACTGCTATCCTGCTTTTCAGGGAACTCACAGCTCTTTCTCTTGTACCTTCAAACCCCTATCCTTTCTTAGCCCTTTCCTTCAGCCTCTGAGCATCCTCAACCCTCCTACCCTGTGGCTTGTGGTCCTCTCTCACCTGCTCTTTTTCCTCTTCTTTCTGTTATGCTTAAAGGCATCTGTTTTCAAAGAGGTATCTATAGTTACTATGCTCACTTTTTCATTTTCCATTTATTCCTTAACCTACTCTGGTTTGTCTTCTACCCCCCGCCCTGCCCCTCCCCACCACTTCGCTGACATTGTGCTTACGACAGCCTAGCTGCTAAAGTAGTAGACAGTTTTCAGTTCTGTTCCTAGCTAACTTCTCGGCAGCATTTCACCAGTATATTTCTCCCCCGCCCGAGAAATGTTCTTTCCTTGGCTTCTGTGACAGTATTCTCATGATTCCGACTTATGCACAATAATTTCACCCTTTTTCATGGCTCTTTAAATGCTCATAACTTCTGCGGTAAGGCTGAATAATGCCCCTCCCCACCTTCCCCTACCCCCTCAAGGTTGGTCATGTCTTAATCCCCGGAACCTCTGAATGTTACTTTATATGGCAAAAAGGACTTTGCAGAGGGGATCGAGTTAAGGATCATGAGATGGGAGATTATCTTGATCCAAGTGGACCCAATGTAATCCTAGGGGTCCTTCTCATGAGAGGACAGGAAGAGTCAGAAGAAAGCCACGTGATGATGGACGCAGAGGGAGAAAAGGTGCTGTGATGCTGTGCAGAGCCATGAGCCAAGGAATGTGGGCAGCCTCCAGGATCTGGAAAAGGATTCTCCCCTACAGCCTCCAGAAGGAACCAGCCTGCTCTGACACCTTGATTTTAGCCCAGGTCAGACCCATTTTGTACTTAACCACCTCCAGAACTGTAAGACTAAATTTGTCTTTACAGACTGCTTTATGTCACTGAGTTTGTGGTAATTTAGCACAGCAGCAATAGAAAGCTAAAACAGTTTTCAAACGTGTATCTCTAGCCATAACCACTTTCCGGAGGGCCAGACCTCAAAGTTACCTGCCTACGGGACATCCCCCTTGGATCTACTACAGGGACATCACACACAACATGTCTGAAACTCAGACTCAACTCTGTCTTTTCCCTCTCCCCAAGCAAACCCCACTTCCGAAGTGGGCGGTGGGGCGGGGGGGGGGGGGCAGCCTGTCCTTTTTCCATCATAATAAGTAGCACCATCATCTGTGTAGATCCTTAGTCAACCTCCAGATTTCATGGGTCCTACCCCTATCTACTTGTCCATTATTACTGCCACTCTTTGTTGAGGCCCCCTCAACTTCTGCCTAGATCACTGTAATCTCTCCAAATCAGTCTCCCCACCTCTAATTTTATTTTCCTCCAATCCAGTTTTCACAGTGCTGAGTTTTACAGGTGGCATCTTATCCTGTCCCCGCTACATATAATGCTTTAGTGGTACTGCCTAACCTTGGGATAAAAACTCCTTTGCATGGCAAACAAAGTCCTTTGCCATCCCCACATCTTTCTCTCCAGCCTTAAATCTCGTCATGCCTTAACTCATACTCTTCCTTTGAACCTCATGAGTAATTGCAGTTCCCCAGCACATCATATCATTTTATTCCTTTGCTTACATTGCTCCTTCTGCCGACTTCTGCTTCTTTACTTGGCTGGCCTCCGCTTACTTTCAAGACTCACTGAGGGGCAGGGCATGGTGGCTCATGCCTATAATCCCAGCACTTTGGGAGGCCGAGGCGGGCAGATCATTTGAGGTCAGGAGTTCGAGACCAGCCTGGCCAACATGGTGAAACCCCATCTCTACCAAAAATACAAAAATAGCCAGGCATGGTGGTGGGCGCCTGTAATCCTAGCTACTGAAGAGGCTGAGGCAGGAGAATCACTTGAACCCAGGAGGTGGAGTTTGCAGTGAGCCAAGATCATGCCACTGCACCCAGCCTGGGCAACAGAGCGACACTCTGTCTCAAAAAAAAAAAAAAAAAAGACTCACTGAGGGTTTCTCTGGCAAGATTTTAGCTACAACCCCCCCTCTGCTTAGAAGCCTCTGTGTA
The DNA here is from genome assembly GCF_000001405.40 of Homo sapiens. Lineage (NCBI taxonomy): Eukaryota > Metazoa > Chordata > Mammalia > Primates > Hominidae > Homo > Homo sapiens. The sequence continues at coordinate 63,271,417 of NC_000015.10, forward strand.
TGCCCCAAGTGTCACTCACCACATGGATTTGAGTTGACTATTTACTTTCCTTCTCTACTAGATAGACTCTAGGCTCCTGAAGGGTGGGAGTTGTGTCTTTAGTTTTTGTATCTACCATACCCAGTAAGGGGCTTGGCACATGGTAGGTGTTTAATAAATGAAAGAATCGCCTGGCACAGTGGCTCATGCCTGTAATCCCAAAACTCCGGGAGGCTGAGGCAGGTGGATCACTTGAGCTCAGGTGTTGGAGACCAGCCTGGGCAACATGGAAAAACCCTGTCTCTACAAAAAAATACAAAAATTATCCAGGTGCGGTGGCACGCACCCGTAGTCCCAGCTACTCAGGAGGCTGAAGTGGGAGGATCGCTTGTGCCCAGGAGGTTAGGCTGCAGTGAGCTGTGATAGTGCCACTGCACTCCAGCCTGGGCGACTGAAGTGAGATTCTGTGTCAAAATAATAATACATAAATGAGAGAATCAGTACTTCAGTCATCATCAAAATTAACTTGCCCATGAAGTAAGTGAAGTGTAATTTGGGAGCTAAGTGTAATTTAGAAGTTTTGTTCTCCATTTACTTTCAGACAGTTTCACTCTGTCATCCAGGCTGAAGTGCAGTGGTGCAATCTTAGCTCACTGCAGCCTCGACCTCCTGGGCTCAAGCAATCCTCCCACCGCAGCCTCATGAGTAGTTGGGACTATAGGCGTGGGCCATCACGCCTGGCTAATTTTTTTTTTTTTTTTTTTTGAGACAGAGATTTGCTTTGTCGCCCAGGCTGGAGTGCAGTGGCACGATCTTGGCTCACTGCAACCTCCACCTTCCAGGTTCAAACTGTTCTCCTGCCTCAGCCTCCTGAGTAGCTGGGATTACAAGCGTGTGCCACCAGGGCCGGCTAACTTTTTTGTTTCTTGGTTTTGTTTTTTGTTTTTGTTTTTGAGACGGAGTCTCGCTCTGTTGCCCAGGCCAGAGTGCAGTGGCGTGATCTCGGCTCACTGCCACCTCCACCTCCTGGGTTCAAGAGATTCTCCTCCCCAGCCTCCGGAGTAGCTGGGACTACAGGTGCCTGCCACCACGCCCAGCTAATTTTTTGTATTTTAGTAGAGACGCGGTTTCACCATGTTGCGCAGGCTGGTTGCGAACTCATGAGCTCAGGCAGTCCGCTCACCTCAGCCTCCCCAAGTGCTGGGATTACAGGCGTGAACCACCATGTCCAGCCAATTTTTGTATTTTTAGTAGATGGGTTTTCCCCATGTTGGCCAGGCTGGTCTCAAACTCCTGACCTCAGGTGATCTGCCTGCCTTAGCCTCCCAAAGTGCTGGGATTACAGGTATGAGTCACTGCGCCTGGCCTGATTTTTGTATTTTTTGTAGAAATGGGGTTTCACCATGTTGCCTAGGCTGGTCTTGAAGTCCTGGGCTCAAGCAATCCTCCCACCTTGGCCTTATATGCTCTTTATTCTGGTTCTTATCTTTTAATCTTTGTTAAATACCTTACAGGGGTCCCCAGTTCTGGGGACATGGATAGGTACTGGGCCACACAGCAGGAGGTGAGCGGCAGGCCAGTAAGCATTACTGCCTGAACTCTGCCTCCTGCCAGATCAATGGCGGCATTAGATTCTCATAGGAGTGTGAAACCTATCATGAATTGTGCATGTGAGGGATCTAGGTTTTGTGCTCCTTATGAGAATCTAATGCCTGATGATCTGAGGTGGAACAGTTTCATCCTGAAACCATCCCCATCACCCCAACCCACAGTCCATGGAAAAATTGTCTTCCACGAAACCAGTCCCTGCTACCAAAAAGGTTGGGGACCACTGCCTTATACTATCTTAATCTGTGTTGTATCTTACACTATATTAATCTTTATTAAGTATAGAAGGATTTGCTTTTAATAAGATCACCCAGAATGTTGTTTAGGTATTGATAAATTCAGTAAACCTTCTCTCCCACTTCATGATTCCAACCCTCAAGATTGGTGTTCCGTTATTAGTTCCAGGGATATATGAGAATGCACCATAGCAAATAAAATAAATAAATAATAAATTAAAATAAATAAATATACATTCGCCTAAGGTGAAAGTAGTTGGGTGATGACATGAAAGAAAAACAGAAATTGCTGTGGTTAAGAATAGCAACTGCTAAATACATGAAATGAGTTTTTGTTCCTTATGAGTAAATATTGCAATGAAATTTTAGGGAAATATTTCAAATAGGTAGTCACATTAGTCAATAAATTATCAAAATGTCTCAGGCTTCAACTGAGGCAGCTGGATCTAGCAAAAAGAGGCCTGAACTAGAAATCAAGACTTCCAGGTTCCAAGTGGGTTCTGCTGCTCAGTAATGGAGTATTTTCTAGGCTTGTTGTATCCTCTGTTTGCTTTTAAAAAAAATTATATTGGATAATCTCTATGTCCTTTCCTAGCTCTAAAATTCTAAGAAAACACTGGTAATTTCTCTAACATAGATCATTTGATACTCTACCATCATTGCAATTTTCTCTCTGATATCTCAATGAAGGTATTTAGTTTTATGGTTTATAAATTTGGAATATAAATTAAATCAACTTGGCATTATAAACATGGACACTTAGTATAAACTAGGTAGTAATTCTTTATCTGATTTCTTATGACCAATATTTGCCCTCGTTTTTGTTTCTTAAGGTTTCTTCCTCTTGCATTGCCCTTATTTATTTACTTATTTACTTTTGAGTTGGAGTCTCGCTCTGTCACCCAGGCTGGAGTGCAGTGGCATGATCTTGGCTCACTGCAACCTCTGCCTCCCGGGTTCAAGCAATTCTAGTGCCTTCGCCTCCTGAGTAGCTGGGACTACAGGTGTATGCCACCACGCCCAGTTAATTTTTGCATTTTTAGTAGAGATGGGGTTTCACCATATTGGCTAGACTGGTCTCAAACTCCTGACCTCAAGTGATCTGCCCACCTCAGCCTCCCAAAGTGCTGGGATTACAGGCGTGAGCCACTGTACCCAGCCACTTCCTCTTGCATTGCCTTTAAAAAAATTTACTTGTGAATATTGTGTGCAAGCTGAAGTTGAAAAAACTCTAAGAGAATGTAGTTAAGACTCTCATCTTGTACCATCAACAAAACCAGTGCTGCTTGAAAGCTGGGTCCTAGGGTTGACTCTTATAGGGCTGGTAACTTCACTCCGACCTTCAGCATCACAGCAGGATCGAAATTGCATCACTCGTTACCAAGGAAACTGGGTGGGTACTCTGAGGATCCCTCCATTTCCTGTCTTCCTTCAGCTGGTGTCCTGTCTCCTCTCCTCTAAAGCTAAATTTCTCCATTTTTTCCTCTTTCCTTTTTTTTCTTACCACACATTAATGTGAGAAGATTTTACAGACTGCCTTTTACCCCTATGTCTGGGTCACTGATGACCTCTGTATGGCTAAATCCAGTGGACATAATTCACTGGTAGCTTTTGTTGTTGTTGTTGTTGTTTTGTTTTTTGTTTGTTTTGAGATGGAGGAGTCTCACTCTGTGGCCCAGGCTGGAGTACAGTGGCGCAGTCTTGGCTCACTGCAACCTCTGCCTCCCAGGTTCAAGTGATTCTTCTGTCTCAGCCTCCTGAGTAGCTGGGATTACAGGTGTCTGCCACCACGCCCAGCTAATTTTTGTATTTTTAGTAGAGGCAGGGTTTCACCATGTTGGCCAGGCTGGTCTCAAACTCCTGACCTCAAGTGATCCGCCTGCCTCAGCCTCCCAAAGTGCTGGGATTACAGGCGTGAGCCACTGTGCATGGCTACTTAACCTCTCGACAGCCCTTCTTTCTGAAATGTTTTCCCCTTGGCTTCCACAGCACCACATTCCCCCAGTTTTCTTGTTACCCTCTTGGCCACTCCTTTTCAGTTTCTTATGAGGTTCCTCTTCTCCTCATACCTTTAATGTTGGTGTTCTGACATAGGCCTTGTTCTGGCTTTACTAGCTATCTAGGTAATTCTATTCTATATACTCTCACGGCTTCAGGTATTCTGGTCTCAGCTCTGATGTTCAGTCCATTTCTCTCCTGATCCTGTATATGTAGTTGCCTACTGAACACCTCCATTTGGAGTGCTACAAGTATCTCAGTCTCAAGGCATCCAAAATGAAGGCCAGGCACGGTGGCTCATGCCTGTAATCCCAGCACTTTGGGAGGCCGAGGTGGGCAAGTCACTTGAGGCCAGGAGTTCGAGACTGGCCTGGCCAACATTGTTCACACTGTCTCTACTAAAATACGAAAATAACCCAGGCATGGTGGCGCGTGCCTATAGTCCCAGCTACTCTGGAGGCTGAGGCAGGATAATTGCTTGAACTCGGGAGGCAGAGGTTGCAGTGAGCTGAGATCACACCACTGCACTCCAGCCTGGGCGACAGAGTGAGACTATGTCTCCAAAACAGTAACAACAAAATAACAAAATGGTACTCATTATCGTGTCTACTTTGCCATATTCTCTCCTCCTCCTGTCTCCACAGCATCCACTTAAGCCCGAACCCTCTAGAAGCCCTCATCCTTGACTCTTCCCCCATCTCACTCTATGTAGCTCATTAGTCACTAAATTCTGTTTGTACAATTCCTAAACTTCTATTAAATTTGTCTGCTTCCCTCCAGAGTCCTGCTAATTCCCTGAATCAGGCCACTGCCATCTCATGCCTGCGTTGCACTGAGGACCTCCAGTCTGGAAGCTCATTTTCCATATCTTTACAAAGCAGATCTATCACTCTGAACTGTTGTCTCGACCCGAGTTTTGATAGGTATTGTGCTGGGATCTGACCATTCAAAATACAATCACTGGAATCTGAAGAAGTATTCTGTGGGAGTGAATGGAAATATATATGACTTTTAAATGGGCAAAGGTAATGTTTTTCTGTAAGAATTAAATACCTGCAGTTGTATTATTTGAAGGTGCATTTTCAGGGGCGAGCTGCAAAACATCTGTCAGGTCCCAACATTTGTCTACTGGTGTTTTTTTAAATGTGGATTGCCAAAATCTTTATTCATGATGGACATTATGTAGGAGTGGTTAATACTTACATAGCACTTACCTGTGTCAGGCACACTGATCAAAATAACCGACGAAGTATTATTCAACATAAAGAAAAATCTAACTTGGATGTGAATGATCAGAGAACTTAAGTTTTAATTTTTAAACCTTTCAGAAATTGTTAATATAGATGTTTATAACTTCCACCTTTTAAATTATTTCACTTATTGAACAGATATTAGTGAACTTCTAGGTGCTGAGGAAACAACAAAGAGCAAAGCAAAGTCCCTGTCCCCCAGGAGTTCGCGTTTTAACGGGGAAGAAAAATAAGCAAGTGAAATGGACGACTGTGAGAAGACGGAGCAGGGAGATGTTACTATTGCTTGTAGGGTGGTCACAGAATGCCTGCAAAAACAACCCTTTTGAAGAATTGGGAAAAAAATAAAAACCATTTGGCTGAAACAGCCCTGAGAAGGGCAGCTTC